>NC_000011.10:95311750-95938964 GCF_000001405.40 Homo sapiens
GCGGCCAGGCGTTCCTCCAGAACCTCCTCCCCCAGGAGCTCTCTACAAGTGCCAGAAATCTGACCACCAGGCCAAGGAATGCCTGCAGCCCAGGATTCCTCCTAAGCTGTGTCCCATCTGTGCGGGACCCCACTGGAAATTGGACTGTTCAACTCACCTGGCAGCCACTCCCAGAGCCTGTGGAACTCTGGCCCAAGGCTCTCTGACAGACTCCTTCTCGGCTTAGCGGCTGAAGACTGATGCTGCTCGATCGCCTCGGAGGCCCGGTAGACCATCACAGACGCCGAGCTTTGGGTAACTCTCACAGTGGAAGGTAAGTCCGTCCCCTTCTTAATCAATATGGAGGCTACCCACTCCACATTACCTTCTTTTCAAGGGCCTGCTTCCCTTGCCTCCATAACTGTTGTGGATATTGACGGCCAAGCTTCTAAACCTCTTAAAACTCCCCAACTCTGGTGCCAACTTAGACAATACTCTTTTAAGCACTCCTTTTTAGTTATCCCCACCTGCCCAGTTCCCTTATTAGGCTGAGACACTTTAACTAAATTATCTGCTTCCCTGACTATTCCTGGACTACAGCTACATCTCATTGCCGCCCTTCTTCCTAATCCAAAGCCTCCTTTGCGTCCTCCTCTTATATCCCTCCACCTTAACCCACAAGTATAAGATACCTCTACTCCCTCCTTGGTGACCGATCATGCACCCCTTACCATCTCATTAAAACCTAATCACCCTTACCCTGCTCAATGTCAAGATCCCATCCCACAGCACACTTTAAAAGGATTAAAGCCTGTTATCACTCGCCTGCTACAGCATGGCCTTTTAAAGCCTATAAACTCTCCTTACCATTCCCCCATTTTACCTGTCCTAAAACCAGACAAGGCTTACAGGTTAGTTCAGGATCTGTGCCTTATCAACCAAATTGTTTTGCCTATCCACCCCATGGTGCCAAACCCATATACTCTCCTATCCTCAATACCTCCCTCTACTACCCATTATTCTGTTCTGCATCTCAAACATGCTTTCTTTACTATTCCTTTGCACCCTTCATCCCAGCCTCTCTTTGCCTTCATTTAGACTGACCCTGACACCCATTAGGCTCAGCAAATTACCTGGGCTGTACTGCCGCAAGGCTTCACAGACAGCCCCCATTACTTCAGTCAAGCCCATATTTCATCCCCATCTGTTACCTATCTCGGCATAATTCTCATAAAAACACACGTGCTCTCCCTGCTGATCGTGTCCAATTAATCTCCCAAACCTCAATCCCTTACAAAAGAACAACTCCTTTCCTTCCTAGGCATGGTTAGTGTGGTCAGAATTCTTACACAAGAGCCAGGACCACACCGTGTAGTCTTTCTGTCCAAACAACTTGACCTTACTGTTTTAGCCTAGCCCTCATGTCTGCGTGCAGCGGCTGCCGCTGCTTTAATACTGTTAGAGGCCCTAAAAATCACAACCTATGCTCAACTCACTCTCTACATTTCTCATAACTTCCAAAATCTATTTTCTTCCTCATACCTGATGCATATACTTTCTGTTCCCCAGCTCCTTCAGCTGTACTAACTCTTTAAGTCCCACAATTACCATTGTTCCTGGCCCGGACTTCAATCTGGCCTCCCACATTATTCCGGATACCACACCTGACCCTCATGACTGCATCTCTCTGATCCACCTGACGTTCACCCCATTTCCCCACATTTCCTTCTTCCCTGTTTCTCACCCTGATCACACTTGGTTTATTGATGGTAGTTCCACCAGGCCTAATCGCCATTCACCAGCAAAGGCAGGCTATGCTATAGTATCTTCCACATCTATCATTGAGGCTACCTCTCTGCCTCCCTCCACTACCTCTCAGCAAGCCGAACTAGTTGCCTTAACTCAAGCCCTCACTCTTGCAAAAGGACTACGTGTCAATATCTATACTGATTCTAAATATGCCTTTCATATTCTGCACCACCATGCAGTCATATGGGCTGAAAGAGGTTTCCTCACTACACAAGGGTCCTCCATCATTAATGCCTCTTTAATAAAAACTCTGCTCAAGGCTGCTTTACTTCCAAAAGAAGCTGGGGTCATTCACTGCAAGGGGCATCAAAAGGCGTCAGATCCCATTGCTCTAGGCAACGCTTATGCTGATAAAGTAGCTAGACAAGCAGCTAGCTCTCCAACTTCTGTCCCTCACGGCCAGTTTTTCTCCACTTTAGTCACTCCCACCTACTCCCCCACTGAAACTTCCACCTATCAATCTCTTCCCACACAAGGCAAATGGTTCTTAGACCAAGGAAAATATCTCCTTCCAGCCTTACAGGCCCATTCTATTCTGTTGTCATTTCATAACCTCTTCCATGTAGGTTACAAGCCACTAGCCCATCTCTTAGAACCTCTCATTTCCTTTCCATCATGGAAATCTATCCTCAAGGAGATCACTTCTCAGTGTTCCATCTGCTATTCTACTACTCCTCAGGGAGTGTTCAGGCCTCCTCCCTTCCCTGCACATCAAGCTCGAGGATTTGCCCCTGCCCAAGACTGGCAAATTGACTTTACTCACATGCCTCGAGTCAGAAAACTAAAATATCTCTTAGTCTGGGTAGACACTTTCACTGGATGGGTAGAGGCCTTCCCCACAGGGTCTGAGAAGGCCACCTTGGTCATTTCTTCCCTTCTGTCAGATATAATTCCTTGGTTTGGCCTTCCCACCTCTATACAGTCTGATAACGGACCAGCCTTTACTAGCCAAATCACCCAAGCAGTTTCTCAGGCTCTTGGTATTCAGTGGAAACTTCATATCCCTTACCATCCTCAATCTTCAGGAAAGGTGGAACGGACTAATGGTCTTTTAAAGGCACACCTCACCAAGCTCAGCCTCCAACTTAAAAAGGATTGGACAGTACTTTTACCTCTTGCTCTTCTCAGAATCAGAGCCTGTCCTCGAGATGCTACAGGGTACAGTCCATTTGAACTTTTATATGGATGCATTTTCTTGCTTGGCCCCAACCTCATCCCAGACACCAGCCCTCTAGGTGACTATCTTCCAGTCCTCCAGCAGGCTAGACAGGAAATTCGCCAGGCTGCTAATCTTCTCTTGCCTACTCCAGATCCCCAGCCATATGAAGACACCCTAGCTGGATGATCAGTTCTTGTTAAGAATCTGACCCCTCAAACTCTACAACCTCGATGGACAGGACCCTACTTAGTCATCTATAGTACCCCGACTGCCGTCCGCCTGCAGGATCCTCCCCACTGGGTTCACCATTCCAGAATAAAGCTGTGTCCATCGGACAGCCAGCCTAATCCCTCCTCTTCCTCCTGGAAGTCGCAAATACTCTCCCCTACTTCCCTTAAACTCACTCGTATTTCTGAAGAACAGTAATAACCCTTATGAGCCTAATACATCACTTCATTCTATTAGGTCTTTTCATCCTTACCCTACTTTTTGCAACAGGGCTTTACGAAGCCACCCCCACCACTTAGGCCGAGCCCCAAAAAACTAGTCATCCCTACTGTCTTCTGTCCGGTCATACTCCTATTCTCCATTCTCAACTACTTATAAATGCCCTACTCCTGTTTACACCGCCGGTTTACACTGTTTCTTCAAGCCATCACAGCTGATATCTCTTGGTGCTATCCCCAAACTGCCACTCTTAACTCCCTCTTAGAGTGGGTAGATGATCTTTGCTGGCAAGGCACCCTCCAATACTTCCACCCTGATGAAGTTCTATTCTTTACTTTTATACTCACTCTTATTCTCATTCCCATTCTTATGCCACCCTCTACCTCTCCCCAGCTATCTCCACCACACTATCAACCTTACCCATTCTCTCCTAGCCGCTTCTAATCCCTCCTTAGCGAACAACTGCTGGCTTTGCATTTCTCTTTCTTCCAGTGCCTACACAGCTGTCCCCGCCTTACAGACAGACTGGGCAACATCTCCCATCTCCCTACACCTCCGAACTTCCTTTAACAGCCCTCACCTTTACCCTCCTGAAGAACTCACTTACTTTCTAGACAGGTCCAGCAAGACTTCCCCAGACATTTCACATCAGCAAGCTGCTGCCCTCTTCGCACTTATTTAAAAAACCTTTCTCCTTATATTAACTCTACTCACCCCATATTTGGACCTCTCACAACACAAACTACTATTCCTGTGGCCACTCCTTTATGTGTCTCTCAGCAAAGACCCACTGGAATTCCCCTAGGTAATCTTTCACCTTCTGGATGTTCCTTTACTCTTCATCTCTGAAGTCCAACTACACACATCACTGAAATAATTGGAGCCTTCCAGCTCCATATTACAGACAAGCCCTCTATCAATACTGACAAACTTAAAAACATTAACAGTAATTATTGCTTAGGAAGACACTTGCCCTGTATTTCGCTCCATCCTTGGCTACCTTCCCCTTGCTCATCAGACTCTCCTCCCAGGCCCTCTTCTTGTTTACTTATACTCAGCCCCGAAAATAACAGTGAAAGGTTGCTTGTAGATACTCAACGTTTTCTCATACACCATGAAAATCGAACCTCACCCTCTACGCAGTTACCCCATCATTCCCCATTACAATCTCTGACAGCTGCTGCCTTAGCTGGATCCCTAGGAGTCTGGGTAAAAGACACCCCTTTCAGCACTCCTTCTCATCTTTTTACTTTACATCTCCAGTTTTGCCTTGCACAAGGTCTGTTCTTCCTCTGTGGATCCTCTACCTACATGTGTCTACCTGCTAATTGGACAGGCACATGCACACTAGTCTTCCTTACCCCCAAAATTCAATTTGCAAATGGGACCGAAGAGCTCCCTGTTCCCCTCATGACACCGACATGACAAAAAAGAGTTATTCCACTAATTCCCTTGCTGGTCGGTTTAGGACTTTCTGCCTCCACTATTGCTCTCGGTACTGGAATAGCAGGCATTTCAACCTCTGTCACGACCTTCTGTAGCCTCTCTAATGACTTCTCTGCTAGCATCACAGACATATCACAAACTTTATCAGTCCGCCAGGCCCAAGTTGACTCTTTAGCTGCAGTTGTCCTCCAAAACCGCCGAGGCCTTGACTTACTTACTGCTGAAAAAGGAGGACTCTGCATATTCTTAAATGAAGAGTGTTGTTTTTACCTAAATCAATCTGGCCTGGTGTATGACAACATAAAAAACTCAAGGATAGAGCCCAAAAACTTGACAACCAAGCAAGTAATTACACTGAACCCCCTTGGGCACTCTAATTGGATGTCCTGGGTCCTCCCAATTCTTAGTCCTTTAATACCCATTTTTCTCCTCCTTTTATTCGGACCTTGTATCTTCCGTTTAGCTTCTCAATTCATCCAAAACTGTATCCAGGCCATCACCAATCATTCTATACGACAAATGTTTCTTCTAACATCCCCACAATATCACCCCTTACCACAAGACCTCCCTTCAGCTTAATCTCTCCCACTCTAGATTCCCACGCTGCCCCTAATCCTGCTTGAAGCAGCCCTGAGAAACATCGCCCATTCTCTCTCCATACCACCCCCCAAAAATTTTCGCCACTCCAACACTTCAACACTTATTTTGTTTTATTTGTCTTATTAATATAAGAAGGCAGGAATGTCAGGCCTCTGAGCCCAGGCCAGGCCATCACATCCCCTGTGACTTCCACGTATATATCCAGATGGCCTGAAGTAACTGAAGATCCACAAAAGAAGTAAAAACAGCCTTAACTGATGACATTCCACCATTGTGATTTGTTCCTGCCCCACCCTAACTGGTCAATGTACTTTGTAATCTCCCCCACCCTTAAGAAGGTACTTTGTAGTCTCCCCCACCCTTAAGAAGGTTCTTTGTAATTCTCCCCACCCTTGAGAATGTACTTTGTGAGATCCACCCCTGCCCACCAGAGAACAACCCCCTTTGACTGTAATTTTCCATTACCTTCCCAAATCCTATAAAACGGCCCCACCCCATCTCCCTTCGCTGACTCTCTTTTCGGACTCAGCCCGCCTGCACCCAGGTGAAATAAACAGCCATGTTGCTCACACAAAGCCTGTTTGGTGGTCCCTTCACACGGACACGCTTGAAAGATGCAGCCCACTTTGGTGGGCTTTTCCTTTGTCCCAAATTTCCTTGTGGGCCGCTCAGCTGCCAGTGATGCTCCTCGCATGGGTCAGGTGTCCTATCCTGTTAGAGTTGGGAAAACATCTCAATTCTTGCCTCACCATTGCCCTTTTATAACTGGGCTTATGATTACAACACCATCGTAGAAAACCTAAACAAATCTTTTTTTTCTTTTTTTTTTTGAGATGGAGTCTCGCTCTGTTGCCCAGGCTGGAGTGCAGTGGCGCGATCTTGGCTCACTGCAAGCTCCGTCTTCTGGGTTCACGCCATTCTCCTGCCTCAGCCTCCCGAGTAGCTGGGACTACGGGCGTCCACACCGCGCCCAGCTAATTTTTTGTATTTTTAGTAGAGACGGGGTTTCACCGTGGTCTCCATCTCCTGACCTCGTGATCTGCCCACCTCCCAAAGTGCTGGGATTATAGGTGTGAGCCACCGCACCCGGCCTAAACTAACCTTGTATTTCTAGGAAAGAGAATGTTTACAAACATTGGACTCACTTGGTTTGTGAGCCGAACAGCATAACCAAGGCTATAGAACAAGCCTCATTTTCTAGGGCTCTGAAAAGCCCCTTTCTCTGCAGTTCACTCCTAGGAGCTGATTTAATTCCCTCTTACCTTGGTGATTCTGATACAAATTTGGAGATGATGGCAAATTCATTTTCCTATGGTTTATTTATTTATTTTTGTTTTTAAAATCTCCAGTTTACAGTTGGAGAAACTGAGCCTCAGGGAGGTTATTTCACTCAAGGCCCAACATTTAATAAGTAAGAGTCAGAGATACAATCAAAGTAGCTGTCAGCTAAAGTGGACAGAATACAGATGGGTTTTGGACTTGGCAAAGTTCCTTATTATTTTTGAGTTTCACTTTCACATCCAAAATGAGAATAATAGTTACTACAAGGATTGTTGTAAAGATTAGAAGTAATATATGTAAAGCACTGAGCTCAATGCCTGGCTCTTGGTGGGTGGTCCATAACTGGTAGTGATTATAAATGGTCTGCCTGACTCCAAAAGCTTTGAGCTCTCCTTGAAATGACAATACCCTTGCTGCAGAAATGTAAAAAGAAAAAAAGAAAAAGAAAAGAAAGGAAGAAAAACCATCAAATCATCCATTCATCCATTGTTGCATTCCCCTGAAAACCAAAATCATTAGTTATGTAGTGATTTTTCCCATTCCCCCATTTCATTCTTTCTTTCTATGAAGTATTTTCCTGATAGTTGTGATCACACTGTATATATAACTTGTTTAAGAATTTCCTTTCCACTTTTCGTCTCATGCTAGGATGAACTTTAATGTCTACTTTCCTACTACTGGGTTTTGTGGGAACAAACTGCCCTAGCAATTAGAAGCCTAGGTGGCAATGGCCCTTTGGGAGCCGTGGGCCTTGCCTGCATGGTGAGTAGGAGCTTGCTAAATGCTTCTTCATTTGTGAGTGACCTTGAACTGCTTTTTCAGAGCGGGAGCCACCCTTTGGCACATTGGTATCTTGACCTTCACCATGACTTTGTCCTCTTAGAGTTTGAGAGCAGACACTTCCTCCTCTGAGACAGCTTTCCATTTTTCCTCCGTTTGTGCTTTTATCTCACTCTCATCATCAATGCCCCAGATTCTCTAATGATCAGCCTCTTGCTCGTTTGCTGCCTACACAGTCTGACCCTTGACTAAGCTCTTTCAACACTGTACTTGCCACCACGTTGGGATCTTTTATCCCTCTACTCCTGGAGATCTCCACTGGACTCTGCTTCAGCTCCCAAATTGCTAAGCTTTACTGAAGCAAGTCTTGCAGTTGTGTGAACTGAGGCTGCTAACACATTCACACTAACTGTAGCTGGGCTCTTACCGTTGGGTAATACCATAGCCTATGTCTTGATAACTGCATGTAGCATTTTGCTCAGGCCACAGTTCCAAAACTGCTTCATTATCTTCAGCCTGCCCCGGGCAGGCCAACAAGAGGATTCTTCCTTCTCTGGGAAGTGAAGGCAGGTGGGGCTGCTTCCTTATCTTTGCTTTTTTCTATCTCAAATTTTCTTTGTATCTTGAGCCTTCCTTTATTCTCTGAGAAGAGTTCTATCTGATTTCTAAAGTTCCTCTCATCTCTTACCTTCTCCATTAAAGTTGTCCTATTAATTGCTCATCTCTTGAGTATATGTTTAATGCATATATCTTGACTATTTTTTCCCATGTGTTCAAGTCTCTCTCATTCTAAAAACAAAATACAGAAGCAATAATAATAATATAACAAACTATTCATGTAACTCTGCTTACTCCTCAAGTCATTTCTCTCTTCCTTCTATCGCCATAATGGCTGAATGACTAGGTCACGCCCATGCCTTCCTTTTATCCTGGCTTTTTCCTTTACACGCCAATGTAATTGCTTTCTTTTTTTTTTTTTTTTTTAATTTATTTTTTTATTGATAATTCTTGGGTGTTTCTCACAGAGGGGGATTTGGCAGGGTCATGGGACAATAGTGGAGGGAAGGTCAGCAGATAAACAAGTGAACAAAGGTCTCTGGTTTTCCTAGGCAGAGGACCCTGCGGCCTTCCGCAGTGTTTGTGTCCCTGATTACTTGAGATTAGGGATTGGTGATGACTCTTAACGAGCATGCTGCCTTCAAGCATCTGTTTAACAAAGCACATCTTGCACCGCCCTTAATCCATTTAACCCTGAGTGGACACAGCACATGTTTCAGAGAGCACAGGGTTGGGGGTAAGGTCACAGATCAACAGGATCCCAAGGCAGAGGAATTTTTCTTAGTGCAGAACAAAATGAAAAGTCTCCCATGTCTACTTCTTTCTACACAGACACGGCAACCATCCGATTTCTCAATCTTTTCCCCACCTTTCCCGCCTTTCTATTCCACAAAGCCGCCATTGTCATCCTGGCCCGTTCTCAATAAGCTGTTGGGCACACCTCCCAGACGGGGTGGTGGCCGGGCAGAGGGGCTCCTCACTTCCCAGTAGGGGCGGCCAGGCAGAGGCGCCCCTCACCTCCCGGACGGGGCGGCTGGCCGGGCGGGGGGCTGACCCCCCCACCTCCCTCCCGGACGGGGCGGCTGGCCGGGCAGAGGGGCTCCTCACTTCCCAGTAGGGGCGGCCGGGCAGAGGCACCCCTCACCTCCCGGACGGGGCGGCTGGCCGGACGGGGGGGCTGACCCCCCCCACCTCCCTCCCGGACGGGGCGGCTGGCCGGGCAGGGGGCTGACACCCCCACCTCCCTCCCGGACGGGGCGGCTGGCCGGGCTGAGGGGCTCCTCACTTCCCAGTAGGGGCGGCCGGGCAGAGGCGCCCCTCACCTCCCGGACGGCACGGCTGGCCGGGCGGGGGTCTGACCCCCCACCTCCCTCCCGGATGGGGCGGCTGGCCGGGCGGGGGGCTGACCCCCCCCCACCTCCCTCCCGGACGGGGTGGCTGCTGGGCGGAGACGCTCCTCACTTCCCAGATGGGGTGGCTGCCGGGCGGAGGGGCTCCTCACTTCTCAGACGGGGTGGTTGCCAGCAGAGGGTCTCCTCACTTCTCAGACGGGGCGGCCGGGCAGAGACGCTCCTCACCTCCCAGACGGGGTCTCGGCCGGGCAGAGGCGCTCCTCACATCCCAGATGGGGCTGGCGGGGCAGAGGCGCTCCCCACATCTCAGACGATGGGCTGGCCGGGCAGAGACGCTCCTCACTTCCTAGATGTGATGGCGGCTGGGAAGAGGCGCTCCTCACTTCCTAGATGGGATGGCGGCCGGGCGGAGACGCTCCTCACTTTCCAGACTGGGCAGCCAGGCAGAGGGGCTCCTCACATCCCAAACGATGGGCGGCCAGGCAGAGAAACTCCTCACTTCCCAGACGGGGTGGCGGCCGGGCAGAGGCTGTAATCTCGGCACTTTGGGAGGCCAAGGCAGGCGGCTGGGAGGTGTAGGTTGTAGTGAGCTGAGATCACGCCACTGCACTCCAGCCTGGGCACCATTGAGCACTGAGTGAACGAGACTCCGTCTGCAATCCCGGCACCTCGGGAGGCCGAGGTTGGCGGATCACTCGCGGTTAGGGGCTGGAGACCGGCCCGGCCAACACAGCGAAACCCCGTCTCCACCAAAACCAGTCAGGCGTGGCGGCGCGTGCCTGCAATCGCAGGCATTCGGCAGACTGAGGCAGGAGAATCAGGCAGGGAGGTTGCAGTGAGCCGAGATGGCAGCAGTACAGTCCAGCTTCGGCTCCGCATGAGAGGGAGACCGTGGGGAGAGGGAGAGGGAGAGGGAGAGGGAGAGGGAGAGGGAGAGGGAGAGGGAGAGGGCTGTAATTGCTTTCTTTAAAGTTACTAAGGATCTCATTCTAGCTAAATCTTACAACCTTCTCTTTCTTCACCATCTTTATTCAATTCAACAGACATATATTGAGCTCCTTGCTCCCCTCTGGGCACCAAGCCCACAGAAAGACAGACTCAATCCCTGTCCTCCAGGAGATCACAGTCTCTGTAGTCAAAGAACAGGATTTGAAGGTCTTCCATGGATTGGAGGATAAAATAATCAGGTGGTCATGTGGATCAGCTCTTCCCCTCTCTTCCTGATGCCCTGACTCTGTATTCTCCTCTTTCTTTTCTAATATCCTTAGACAAATCTTTTTCTGTATTCTTTACTGGCATCCTTTACTAATACCCCTTATTTTGTCCTGGAAATAGAAGCATTCACCAAGGTTCAGTCCTTGGCCCCTTTCTTTCATTGTACACCCCCTCTTTCAAGATTTGCCTTTAATTGTCACCTCTGTTTCTCTAGCCTTGATTCCCCTCCTGCCAATTTGCTCTCTCATTTTGGATTGAAATTGTAGCTTGATAGATATCCAACTAAGATATTTCACATGCACCTCCCACTCACAATGTCCAAAACTGAGCTCATCTTTTCCTCACCTCTTAGGCATTTCCCCTCAGCACATGGACCTCCTCTGAGAACTTTCTCCACCCCAGAGTGGGTGTGAACTACATAATCCTGCACCCTTGGCTGTAGCTGGCTAGATATGATCTCCTAAGGGTATGGAATAGTAGCAAGCACTAGTTCATTGTGGTTTAACTGGGAAGTGATACAAACTCAGAGGTGAAGCTGCCACTGTGGGATGGCCATCTTCAATCATGGGCATGGCGATGCAGAGAAAGCTTGTTCATGAAAAGAAGCATGAATGCAGCAAATAGAGGTCAGGATGTGAGACTGTGAAACTTGGGATAACAGCATCACCAAGGAGGGATGTGGTTCCTTCCTGGTTCTGCCAATTCCTGATTCTGGTCCCTTGTGAGGTTCAGCTATACTTTCTGCACTTAAGTTTTGGGAAATAATCCTATATTTTTATAATAAATTATTCCGTTCTACTTAAGTTAATGTAAGTGGGGCTTCAAATGAAAGCGCTTTAGGTATAACACCCCCAAGCCCAGACATACCCTCTTCATTGCATTTCTATTTCCCTTAATAATAAGAATGCTCTTTTCTCAGTATTCACACTGAAAACTCCCATATTATCTTTGGCATTTTGCTTACCTCATTCCAACCTCTCCATTATATCCCATTATCTATCATGTCCAATGGAGTCTATTTTCCATATTGTTCTTGAGGAAAAAAAACGCTCTTAAGTTTGTCACTTCTTTCCATTCTTCCCATCACCTCAGGCTCACTGGTTCTTACTGAGACAATTAAAGATTCCTTACTGATTTTCCTGCTTCTGGTTATTTTCTCCTCCAATCCATCAAAGATCTTCAAAGCTTGTTCATTATGCACTGAATTAATATCATATTTCTCACCTGAATTTTCATGTCTTCTTTGACTATTTACCCCTTGTGGTCTGAATGTGTCCCCCAAAATATGTGTTGAAGCTTAATGGCCAATGATATAGTAGTAAGAAGTGGGGCCTTTAAGAGGTGACTAAGTCATGAGGGTGGAATCCTCATGGCTAGAATTAGGGCCCTTGTAAAAGGACTTGAAGGAGTGGGTTTGATCTCTGCTGCTCTTCTGTCATGTGAGGACACAACCTTCCATCCCTTTTGTCCTTCCATTCCTCCCACGATGTGAGAAGACCACATTCAAGGCACCATCTTGGAAGGATAGTCTGGAGCTCTCAGCAGACACTGAACCTGGTAGCACTTTGATCTTGGACCTCCCTCCAGAGCTGTGAGAAAATACACTTCTGTTCTCAATTACCCAGAATGAGGCATTTTGTTATAGTAGCACAAATGGACTGAGACAGTAACTAAGTATCTACCTTTGCATTCTTATCTTAGGCTTTCCATCCTTGGAGGCGGTGATGGTTAATACTGAGTGGCAACTTGATTGGATTAAAGGATGCAAAGTCTTGATCCTGAGTGTGTCTGTGAGGGTGTTGCCAAAGGAGATTAACATTTGAGTCAGTGGGCTGGGGAAGGCAGACCTACCTTTAATCTGGTGTGCACAATCTAATCAGCTGCCAGAGAATATGAACAGGCAGAAAAATGTGAAAAGGTGAGACTGGCCTAGACTCCAAGACTATATATTTCTCCCATGCTGGATGCTTCCTGCCCTCAAACTTCAGACTCCAGGTTCTTCAGCTTTGAGAATCGGACTGGCTCTACTTGCTACCCAAGCTTGCAGACAGCTTGTGATTGTGTAAGTTAATACTTAATAAACTCCCATATATATGTATATGCCAAATATTTCATACTTTTTTATTAGTTGATAGTCATTGTGTTGTTTCTGGCTTGTTTTTATTGCTTATTTTATGTATATGTATTTATATATATTTTTTACATTATATATAAATATATATACATTTATATATATATTTATATATATAATATATATTTATATATTATATATAATATATAATATATATTATATATATTATATATAAATATATAATATATATTTATATATTATATATAATATATATAATATATATTTATATATTATATATATTATATATATTGTATATAATATATATTTATATATTATATATATTATATATAATATATATAATATATATATAATATATATAATACATATTTATATATTATATATTATATATATTATATATATTTATTTTATTTATATTTATATTTATATAGAATATATAAAATATATATATTTATATATATTTATATATGTATCTCTCTCTCCTATTAGTTCTGTCCCTGTAGGGAACCCTGACTAATACAGAGGCCAACCTATATGAAACACACCATCATTTATTGAGTGCTCTGTGGTTGCTAGCCATGGGTTCCTGCACTTTCCATTGTGGTTCCCCAACTTTCTGCCCACGCATTGTAAATAGGCTTTTAAAAATAAACATCCATTGAATTGTTCTAAAGTGAATGCACCATTTCTTCCTACTGGGGCCTTGACTGATGGGGGCAGAATGATAATAGCAGCTACCTCACATTCCTGATTTGAGAATTAAATGTTTTCGCTTATGCTTTGTGTTAAAACAGTGCCTGGCACATAGTAAGTTTTTATTAAATGTGATTATTATTAGCATTGTCCCTCATCACTTTCTTATTTTGCCTTTTACTCTGTAGATTAAGTGGAGAGCATATTGTTTCTTAATACTCCCTGCACCTTATCACTGCCATACAGTAAGACGCGATTTTGGCTGCCAGGAGACCACCCCCCTTTCTTTTTCTGCTCATCTTTTACACTCCACTTAGACATTTTCTTTGCTGACAAGCTTTTTTCGTTGCCAGTTAACATTGTGTCTTCATTTGAGTCCCCACAACCCTTCCTACCCTCTCTCTGTGTGGTTTCTACAATCCATTTATTCTGAGATTTATGTGTGTCTATATATACCATTTCCTCTACCACTCTGTTAGCTCTTTTAAGGCAGAGATTCAATCCTATTTACTTTTTCTTCTTTTTCAATACTTTGCCCTTAATCAGCCAAAGAAAATTTAATACCAGCCTCCCACAATCTGTTCTTCCCATAGCAGCCAGAATGATCTTTTGAAAACATAATTGAGATCATGATGCTCCCCTGCTAAAATCCTCCAGGGACTTTCTTCTGCACTTGGAATAAAATCCACCCCTCCCACTGATGTTTACAAAGTCAAATCATCTTCCCCTACCTGCGTCATCAACCTATCTAGAGATTCCTTGAATATACTTTTCTTGTTTCTGCTTCAGAGCCTTTGACTATCTGTCCCCTCTCCCTAGAATAATATTTTTTCAGATTCCTGCAGGACGGGCTCGTTCACACCACGCAGCCCTCAGTTTTTATGTCACCTCTTTAGAGCAGTCTTTGTCTCCATCTAGTCTAGGGTGACTATTAAGTTACTCCCCATTTCATCACCCTATTTACGTTTTCTACACAGCGCTTCTGTTTGTTTTTCTTAAAACAGCTTTATTGAGATATACTTTACATACCATAACATTCATGTATTTAAACTATGCAAGTTGGCCTGGGCAGGGTCGCTCACGCCTGTAATCCCAGCACTTTGGGAGGCTGAGGCAGAAGAATTGCTTGAGGCCAGGAGTTTGAGATCAGCCTGGGCAACAGAGTGAGACTACATCTCTACACAAAACTAAAAAATTAATCGGGCATAGTGGCACATGCCTATAGTCCCAGATACTTGGGAGGCTGAGGTGGGAGGATTGCTTGAGCCTGGGAGGTTGAGGCTGCAGTGAGACGTGATTATACCACCGTACTTCAGCCTGGGCAACAGAGTGAGACTGCATCTCTACACAAAATTAAAAAATTAATCGGGAGTAGTGGCACATGCCTGTAGTCCCAGATACTTGGAAGGCTGAGGTGGGAAGATTGTTTGAGCCTGGGAGGTTGTGGCTGCAGTGAGACATGATTATACCACTGTACTTCAGCCTGGGTGACAGAGTGAGACCCTGCCCCCAAAAATAATAATAATAGAATAAATAATAAGAGTCAAAAAATTTTGGTATATTTATAGAGTTGCACAACCATCAAATTTTCATAATTTTAAAACATTTTCATCACCCAAAAAGAAACCTTATACCCATTAACAGAAAGAGTTACCCATTTCCCCATCCTTCACTCTTTGTTTTAACATCTAGCTGCTGGAAACTGCTAATCCACTTTCTCCGTCTATTGATTTACCTATTCTAGATCTTTTGTAAACATAGAACTATATAATATGTGGTCTTTTGTGACTGGCTCCTGTCACTTAGCAAATTTTTGATGTTCATAATGTAGCATGAATCAGTACTCATTTCTTTTTATTGCCAAATACTGTTCCATTGCATGGACCTGCCAAATCTTTTGTACTTTTTTATTAGTTGATAGTCATTGTGTTGTTTCTGGCTTGTTTTCATTGCTTATTTTTCTGTCCCCCTCCATGACAGAAGAGAAGGGGTCTCATCCATGTCTGTCTCATTCATTGCTGTAAAACCACGTGTGTGGCTCTGTTGCCCATCTGCCCATGAGCTTCTCCCACTCCTGCTGATAACAGACTATCCTCCTCACCCTGCACTCTCACAGGAGCCCACCAGGCTTGAGTTGCCAGAGCCCATGCTCCCCACCACAAAGAAAAAGGGGTTCTTGGGCCAAGAGAAGGAGGCCATGATTTAAGGAGAAGCAAAGGCAAGAAGACACAAAAGGCAGTCAAAGGGAGTGCCAGGTCCCAGCTGCCTGAAGCCTTAGATCCCATCACTTTCCTTTGACTGAACTTCTCCAGGCTCTTCCCAGGTAAAGGAATCAATAAATGTCTTTGTTCCTCTGACCAGCTTGGCTTGGCTTCCTATTACTTCCCACAGAGAGAGGTTCTGATGAATACAAATTGGCTCCTACTCACCTAACTGGTCTGGTCACAGTAACAAATAAGATTTGTTGAGGGTTTCCCAGATGACAAAGTATTTTCACATTCATTGTTTCATTCTACCCTTTTAACAGAGGAATGTGTCACAAACCTAATTTTAAACTCGAGGAAGCCAAAGATTGGAGATGTTGAGTGATGAGCTTAAGTTCACACAGCTTAAAAGTTGGCAGAGCCAGTCCTCAAAACCAGTTCCCTTGGCTCGTGGTTCTGTGTTCCTTGCCTACTGGGCCACAACCCCTACACTGGCCTTGGGAGGAAAAGGTGACATTTGCCCCTGGATGCTTTGGTTGTGCACCAGGTGCCTAGCACAGTGCCCAGAGTGTTTACTAAATAAATGGCTGAATTAATTTGACGAGGTTAAGGGGTGAAAGCAAGGAGAGATCTCTACAGGTACCTTGGACCCAGTGTCAGGATCTCTGGTTATCTGAGGATCTGAAGCAGAGTAGAAGAGAATCTGCTGGAACAAGTTACAAAGTGAAAATCAAACACTCAGCACTTAGTAGGGGTCAGATGCAAAGGGAACAACAAAGGGCCATGTCCTCTGCCTTTCTCTGCTCCTTTCCCTCTTCTCACTACTTGCTCAAATGTCTTTTCATTATAGATTCATCCAAACTAAGGAAAACAGCAGAACTTTGTCAAGGACCTTTCCTGGGTTCCGACTTATACCTAAGGCAGGCTTTCTAGAGATGTACATCAACATCAGAACACAGGAGAGATCAAGAAGAGAGAATCTGACATTCGAGTTTCTGTTGTCACCTCTTGCCCTCCTACTCCCTCATCCTGCCACATGCTCCTGGCCCACCCTTTCTTTAATATGCCTCTCTCTCATCTGACCTTGGTACTACAGCCATGTGAATTTGTTCAACATACCTCAAACTGGCCGTTTGCCCCTCTGCCTTCTTTTTGTTTCTCAGCCTGTCAAACTCTTATTCATCCTTCAAAGCCCAACTCATGGCCGAGTGTGGTGGCTTACACCTGTAATTCCAGCACTTCGGGAAGCCGAGATGGGTGGATCACTTGAGATCAGGAGTTCAAGACCAGCTTGGCCAACATGGAAACCCTGTCTCTACTTAAAAAAAAAAATACAAAAGTTAGCTGGGCATGGTGGCGGGTTCCTGTAATCCCAGCTACTTGGGAGGCTGAGGCAGGAGAATCACTTGAACCTGGGAGGCGGAGGTTGCAGTGAGCCAAGATCACGCCATTGCACTCCAGCCTGGGCAACAAGAGTGAAACTCTGTCTCAGAAAAAAAAAGAAAGAAAGAAAGAAAAGAAACATTTGTTGACATTTTCTCTTGAACGTTTCTCTCATGTTATGACTTGAACAAAATCATTAGCAGCACAATCAAGGCAAGCGAAAGAGATTTTTGGGGCAGAAGTGCTTACAGAATCTCTCTGGTTATGAGTTATTCCTTATAGATGGTACAGAGAGAAGCACTTTTACATTCCTGTTTTGGTTGCGCTTTTACAGCTTGTATTATGAAGGACATTATATTGATCTTCATTTTTTGACAAATGATGTGGAGGGGAGATATATGCAAAGTGATTATATTCACTTACTGGGGTGCGGTAAGAAAGTACTACAAAATGGGTGGTTTGAACAATAGAAATTTGTTGTCTCACAGTTTTGGAGACTAGAAGCCCAAGATCAAAACATCAGCAAGGCTGGCTCTTTCTGATGGCTGTGAGGGAAGTTCTGTTCCACGCCTCTCCCTTGGCTTGTGGTCTGCTGTCAAGTCTTTGGCATTCCTTGGCTTGTAGAATCATTACCCTGATCTCTGCCTTTATGTTCACATGATGTTCACTCTGTAGGTCTCCAATTTTTGCCTTTGATGAAGACACTAGTCACATTGGATTAGAGCCCAACCTAAGGACCTCATTTTAACTCGATTACCTCTGTAAAGACCCTATCTTCAAATAAAATCATAATGTTAGGTACCATGAGCTGGAAAATTTAACATATGATTTTAGGGGGACACAAGGCCACTTATAACGGTGACCCTGAGAATTGCTAGCTGAGTGGATGCAGACCCAGAGTTCTAAAGCCAGCCTGGCAGGAATGACAGGCAATTTTCAGTGAAGTGTGGGCCTCTGCCTTGAGTCCATCCCCTAACCTCAGTACAACTTCATTATGCTACTGGAGCATTTCAGAGGGACAGATGCTGAGGACACTCCAGAAGACGCAGACAAATATTTATATAACCTGTGCTGTTTTAGGTCCTCCTAGGGCAAATGAACCCAAAATCATGGCAAGAGAGACACAGGTAGAGAAATGAGGTGAGAGAGAGGCAGAGCAACAGGAAATAAACCTACTTCTAAATAAAGGCTGATTTGCCACAAAGGCAATGAAACTTAAGCTTTCAGAGCTTTTCTTTCTTTTTTTTTTTTAAAGCTCTGTACTTAATTTTGTATGCTTTTGTAAAAGAGGGACCCTCCCCCAAATGGTATAAAATCCAGGCTACTCAAAACCTGGATCTGCCCTGCTTCTAAGGAAAATGCTTGGATGTTGCTGAAATGGGACAAAAGAATTTCCCCTCTACTTTATATATTTCTGAAGCAAAGGCTCACCTGGGCTTGCTTTCTTCAAGTCTTGCCTAAGTAAAATGCCTCAGCTACCATACCCCGCATAAAAGGCAGTGGTTCCTCCTCTTGCCCTATCTTCGTCCACCTACATGGGATGGACCTCACTTTCCTTCCCCTTCCATGAGTGAGTGGCAGCTTCAGAGTCTTAGCACAGCTGGTTGGTCCTGGCAGTTATTCCTGAGCCAAGCATGGAGCCAGAGCCCAGGATGGATGCCACCGGAGTCAAAGGAAGTTCTGGAGGAGCTGCCACTTTGCCCAGCTGCTGTCTGAGGGATGCACTGACACAAGCTGGGTATGGAGAGGGCAAGGTGACAAGCTCATTGGACAGCTAGGCCCCTCCCCTGCTGGCAGCTTTCCCTCAGGCAGCAGGGGTGCTGAACTGCTGAGAGGGAAATCATCCTTTAGGAAAATACTACTCAGCACACTTAGCAATTTTTGTTTCTTTGGGCTTTGCCCTGATCTTCTCTAGTTTCTGCCTTTCCCTTTCCCTAACATGACTGCAGAGCTGGATGCCTGCAGAACTGCTCCTGGCCAGGGCTGGCTCTTCATTTGCAGGTAATTAATGGCAGAGATGATGATATTTAGTAGTTATGGTTGATTGATCAAAATGTCAACTATCTCATTTCTCAAAAATGTTTTGTGTGTGCTGTATTTTTTTCTCTTAAGCACACGGTGTCTATTTCAATTTCTCTCTCTCTTAGATGAGATACATTTGTACCATTTGGGCAGCATAATTGATGTCTTCTGTAATCTATCTCACAAGTCACATCCCAGAATTTCAAAAGGCCCATCAGGATCAGTATATTTAGTAGTCTGACATTTAGGGGTTGATCGGCAAAGCTGACGTTATCCTATTCTTAAGAGAACTATGTGACAGGGCTTTAAAAAAATGTCATTACTTCAAATATCTAAATAATTAAATCAGGTGGACATTCAGTGATTGCTTGGTAGTTGGAAGTTATCATGGCTGGAAAACCCCCACTTCAAATCAACTATATATTTATGAAGTCCAATCAACTCTGAAGGCATGGCCTAAGAGATAATTATCCCTATTTTGCTGATGAAAGCTTTGAAGCACAAAGACCAAGTGGCTTGCCCAACATTATATTGGTTCATGCATGTAAGTCACAGACCATAAATGAAATCCTTAGTTGGATATCTCTGATCTCAGGCTAAAAACGAGGGCATGTTACAAAGGCTAGCAATAAAGCATGTAGGAATGTACAAAGAATATGACCAAGGTATGGCCAAAACTCACAGACACCAGAACCTCAAGGTCATTCAGAATCTACAGTAGTTCCAAGGACTTGTTTAAACTCTTGTTCTCACAACAGTAGAAGTTCAGACTCTCATTCTCTGCCCTTAGTGTTATTCACTACTCTCCAGTCTGCCCACTTCTCTGTTTGACCATCTGATTGAAACTCACCCTTTTTTCCTCCCATCAAACTCCATTGTTTGAATAGCACTTTGGAAATAGGACCTCTTATGAATCCACAGACCAGTCTCTGGAATAATTACACCTTGGTCCTTGGTTCATTTTCAGGTGTGGCTTGAGTGAGGGTGCAGTCATGTGGTACAAAAGATGGCCACATCATTTAAGTCACAGCTAGAGGCTACTCTTCTCAGCCAAAAATGGTGAGTCCCTTAGAAGGGACATTAGGGAGGGTAGATACCTCTGAGTGACTTTCCACTCTACATAACACACTGACCTGGCCAAAACTGTTTCCCTAGGCAAGTGATCATTTATCATAAGCATGTAGCAAAAGGGCTGATTTAATTTATTTTCTGGCTTCTTTTAAGAGAAGGGCAACTGAAGATGGGTTGTGGTTGTGGCAATTTTGGGGATCTTCTTATAAAGCTATGAGAACTTAGAGTCCAAAGGAAGAAAGAAAGAAGAAAATAAGGTAAGAAAATAGTTAGCAGAGGGCTGATATTTGTGGTATTTCAGCCGTAACATGATATAGTTAATGACTAGATATAGGTCCCCAGGACATACAATTATTCACCATGAGGCGTCAAGCAAGAGAGTTCATGGCTCAAAGTCTGGTTTGTTTCTATAAACGGGAGATGATAATAGCATGTGCCACCTACCTGCCTCTCCTGGGGTGTCTGAGGACAAGTTAACATTTGCACTGTGCTTTGAAACTCTGGGATGAAAGGTGTGAAGAAACTACAAAGAGGTATTGTACTTGGTGATTTGCATTTGGTCATGAGCCACTTTGGATTCTTGTCTGAGACCAGACCTGGCACATGCAGTGGGAGCATGTAGGGTTAGGTCAGGAGAGCAGTTGGGGTGCCGTAGGCCATGCCCCTGAAGCAAGGGTCTGTGGGCTGTCACCTTGGGGGAAATCCAACACTGAAGAGAAGGTGCCTCAACCAGGAGATTTACTTTCTGATAGACTAAAGGGTGCAGGAGCTGTGACTTCTCTTGTTTCTGATTTGCAAAAAAAAAAAAAAAAAAAAAAATTCTCCAGGCAGTAAGATTGTACCTAGTGCAGCAACTCCCTGGTGTCTTGGTAATCAAGGGGATAGCCCCAGGTCGGCCTAATTTTTTGCTCTTGCTCTTCCTAATTTCTCCTTCTCATCTCCATGACCACTTGCAGTGACTGTCTCTAGGTGGAAGCTGGAGAGATACTTAGGTAAGGTTCCAGCCAGGCAGATAAAAGTTTCATAAACATCAGCTTTTAAACAATTACCAGTGCCTCTTGCCTCACCTTGTGGGCTGGCCTCCTTTTTCTTAATTTTCCTCTTTTAGGTGGTTCCTGATTTCCATTTTCATTTACTCCTCTCACCATTTCCATGGTGGTATGTATGACTGGCTATTAGTAAGGGGGGGTGCAGTGCTCAGTGTATGGTTTGCTCTAGGCCCTAGAACCTGGCGGGGCATATACCCAGGAGCTGGATATTCCCATGTCTATGGCAAAACCCAGCTGTCTTCATTTTATCCCCTACCTGCTTCTGAATTAGGATCCCGTGGCCTTTGTTTGTTTTACCCCCTCACTTTTGCCAGCAAAACCTCGGTTATTTAAAATGCCTGGTGAATTAGGTGATTATAAGTGACATTTAGAGTTTAAAAGTGGTAGGTTTTAATCCAAGCTTCCCCCTTCCTTATCCCTGGTGTGCTTGAAAAGTGCACTTGACCTCTGAGTCTGAGTTTTCTCACCTGTTAAAATGAGGTAATAATGCCTATCCCACCTATTCACAGGAGCATTTTGAGAATCCGAGGGTTTAAAGTAAGTGAAAGCACTTTGTAAACTGTGAACCACTAAGCAAATGTTAGTGATTATGTTGAAGATGGTCATTAGTTTCTGGACCTGTGCAGAGAACATTGTACACAGACGATAAACTGAACAGGATTTAAATTAGCTAATTAAGTTGGAGCTTTAAAATGCTTTTAACTAAGTCATTCAGAAGCAGCAGGGCCCACATGCAGACATCTGAACCTCCACGCACATGAAGAGCCATGTGTGAAGGGCATTTCAGTTCTTGGGCTCTGTCAGCATTGATGACAACAAAGGCATGATGAGCTTAACTTTTATATTGATTCTGTTTGACTCTCTGGTGATGGGTTTCCATCTCTGGAGATCTGCCACAGGGCATCTGGCATCCCAGGGCATGTGGTTAGAACTATATTCTAAGGGTGATGGGAAGCCATTGGAAGGTTTAAAAACAGGAGTAACCTGATCTACTTGCCTATCTCTGAGGCTAGTTTTAGTGCTTTCTCATCAATTCTGTGAACTTCTCAATAGATTTCCAATAATCCTTTTTCTGCTTACTGGAGTTGGTATCTATTGTTTGCTTGCAGTCGACAGTGAAGAGACTGCTTGGTGCGGGGGTTTTCACTGTCAACCAGTGAGAAATGATGATGGCTTGGATTGAGTATGGTGGTGAAGATGGAAAGAAGTAAATGGAATGGATTTAAGATGGTGTTGGAGGAATAGGCACTAGAATTTCCTGGTGGTTCGTATATTAGTCAGCTAGGGCTGCCATAACAAAGTACCACAGATGGGGTGGCTTAAACAACAGAAATTTATTTTGTCACATTTCTGGAAACTAGAAGTCTAAGATTAAGGTGTTGGCAGGGTTGGTCTCTTCTAAGGCCTGTCTCCTTGGCTTCTAGATGGCCATCTTACTCTGGTGTCTTTGCATGGTCTTCCTGCTATGAGTGCACATGTCCGTGTTCAGATTTCCTCTTTCTCATCCTTCTTATAAAGACACATATCATATTGGATTAGGGCCCAATCTAATGACCTCATTGTAACCTAAGTATCTCTTTAAGACCTTATTGTCAAATATCATAATATTCTGAGGTAACTGGAGTTTAGGACTTCAACATATGAATTTCAAGGGGATATAATTCAGCCCATAACATGTGGTAAGAGGGAAAGAGAAATCAAAGAAACTTTGATAATTGGTTTGAAAACATTTGTTCATGTTTGTGTAAGCCCAGAAACAGTCTGGAAGGAAAGGCACTAAACTTTTATCGGAGCTGATCCAAGAAGTTGCCAGGAGTCATGGTGAGGGCAGGGGCTTCCTTTCATATTTTATACCCCCAAATATAATTTTTGTTGTACTTACTTCATATTTTGTATACAAAAACAGTGATTTCATTATGGATACTTAATTTTTATCTTCTGATATTGTAAATAGAATATAAAAAATGCTTTAAAAAGAAACTGGAAAATGTGGGGAGGTATTCAATTAAAGACAGAATTAGATTAATGGAAAATGTTTGGGTCCATTTAAAAGTCGAAGGAAAAAGTAGACTTTGTTGACTAAATTCAAAAAATGTTAATATTTTGAAGGGAAAAATGGGATGGAGAACATGGGGAGATTTTTATTGTGGAAATCGTCAAACCTTCCACTTTGGAGGAGAAGTTTTCACAGCCAAGTAGCAGAGCACTGTGTCTTCTTTGATAGCATTAATTACATCCTTTGGGGTCCACAGCTATCTAGAATTGAGACCAGCAGCTAGTAGGAGTTTACCTATATGGAATGAGGTGTCCCCGAGAGAGCTTGTGAGTGGGCTGTCCAATCTTGCTCCCTCTCTCTGGCAATTTGGCCTTGGGGAGGGGAGGGGAAATAGGCTTCCGCTGGTGGGAGCAAGTGGGGAGCACTACTTACCGAGGGCTGTGGAAAATGGTCAAGCTGCCAAACCAAGTGACCAAACAGCCAAGGTAGGCACAAGTGGCAGGATGAACAAGAGGCAGCTCAGGACCCTGAAGCAGGCCCGAAGCTGGTGAGCTATGGTCTTCAGTCATAGGTGGAAGTGTGTCTTGGATGGTGAAGACTTTTTGTTTTTTTTGAGATGGAGTCTTGCTCTGTCGCCCAGGCTGGAGTGTAGTGGCACAATCTTGGCTCTCTGCAACCTCTGCCTCCTAGGTTCAAGTGATTCTCCTCCCTCAGCCTCCCGAGTAGCTGGGACTAGAGGTGCATGCCACCACGCCTGGCTAATTTTTGTATTTTTAGTAGAGACAGAATTTCACCATGTTGGCCAGGCTGGTCTCAAATTCCTGGCCTCAAGTAATTTGCCCACCTGGGCCTCCTGAAGTGCTGTGATTACAGGTGTGAGCCACCACGCCCTGCCAGTGAAGACTTCTTGAGAGGAATGGACATCCTTTCTACTTCCCAGGGCGTCCCCTGAGACCCAGAGGCCCATGTTTTAAGGAAATAAAGACATAAGTCTGGTGGACTCTATTGAAGATTCACCCATCCATCTATCTGTAAGCAGACAGGGAGGATCTCCAGGGACTATAGGAATTTAATCAACTTGAGCAATCAGCCTGTTTTACAGCATCTTGTCTTGAAGCCTGTTTTGTCCCAAACCCTATGTGGAATGTGGTCACCCAGTTGGTTGACACCAGCTCCTGACAGACCCTGGCAAATTATAAATGAACCTGAGTGAACTTTCCTCATTACTATGCTAGAGTCCACCCCCCCACCAACCCCCTCAGGGGAGCTATAGCCTCATTACCATAACATGTGACCTATGTGCTGGTGTGATGACTCATTGCATCTGCACCACTGGTGGGACCCTTCCTCTACATGCGCTGACACTTCCTCTCTACTCTCCATTGCCCCGTAAAACCCTCCTGTCACTTTCCCTCAGGGAGACACTGCCTTGGAGAACACACCAGTGCTCTTCTTTTTTGTGACAAATAATAAAATGCTTATTGAGAAAAAACCTGTGTTCTCGTGGAGAGTTGTTACTTGCCAGGCAAATGAACCCCATTTTTTTCAGGTAATATAGTCAATCATGAATTTAGCAGTACCAGACCATAAACAAACTCTAACTACACCAACATCATTAATTCAAATTAGCTTTGGGGGAATGCTTGCGAAGAAAAGCATTTTCATGAATTTCCAATATGTAGGGTGATGAAAATGAAGCTAGAAGCACGTTACCAACTAGAGGTTCTTTGAGGGTCAGCTTTTAAGGAAAGATGACAATAATTTGTAAGTAGTATAAAAATGTTTACATGTAAATGGATGCTGCTATGGTTCTTACAATATGTTTCTTCAAGTAAGGTAAAAAATTTGGGCTGAGATTTTGTTTATTGTCCTCATTTACTTAGCAAACTTTTCTTCACAGATAGCATGAAGGTAACCTTCATCTCAGACAATGTCTGAAATCGCATATATTTTAAAATAATAGATTTCCTTTTCATAAGAATTGTTTCTATTAACCCTAGCCCAATAAGAAGAAAGGTATAGCAGTAGGAAGAAAAAAAAAATAATGCTTATTCTGGTATACGTAAAAATCATAATCTAAGTTGTCTGATGTTTCAAATTCTTTCAATTTGTCTTTACCACAGTGGATAAGTCAAAGTTAAGATCTAGAAGTCACTAGAATAAAATTATAAAGTTGAAAACATGACAGTACAGTTGCAAGGCTTCACTCCAGAAGCTTCATTTGAGTTACCGAGGGCAGTGGTGGTGGGAATCGTGTTCAGAAGGACATCCTTAAAGTTTCAGATCTTGCTGAAATAAAAATACCAGGCAGAGCTGGTTAACGGGTTAGCGTTCATCCCAGTGGCTCAAGTTCACCCTGATGATTAATTACAGTCTTGTTCGCCTGGTGTTAATAAGGCTTCCAAGAAGCCAGGCCCCTCCTCCCCACCAACCTCTGAAATTATTCTTCATTTTCAAGCACTGTGATAATCAACCAGAAAAAAATAATAGCGGCTCTGGAGACCTGCCCCAACCGGCTCTCTTGCTTGTTCTCTTTGAATCTTTTCTCTGGCCTCTTTACCTCACATGCTTCCCCTATGTGCAGTTTCTCTTTAGGCTGTAGAACACACACACACACACACACAAACACACACACACACACACACACACACACACACTCTCTCACGTAAACCCCTTCTTAGACTCCCTGAGAGCTTAGCAGAAAACAAGTCCTTGCTTGTGGGGAGCTTAGGAAGGCCAGCCCAGGAAAGCAAGGCTCCGGTGGCTGCTCGCCACGGGCTTTCTCTTTCGTATCCTGCCAGATGGTTTCCAACCCCCTTTCAGTTCCAGAACGGCCTAAAGCCCAGGGCGGGCAGGCTGCCTCCCCGGAGTGACATCTGTGTTTCTAGGAAGGCAGTCTTCTGGTTCTCTAAGACACTCTCTACTCTTCCTGCTTTGGCCTAAAAGCCTGCACTGGGGGAACCTTGCCTTTAGCTGAGGTGATAATCCTCTTTAAAATGCAAATCCCCCTGGGAGAGGGGACAAGTTGTAGCTCATACATCCTTTGCACTAGACAGGGAGCGAATTTCTGTAACCTGGGAGAGTACCAATTCACTTGGATCCTGTGGGCCCATAATATGGAGGGACTAAACTCTTAGCACAGGGTTGATAGGAATTCCAGTGATGATTGATGAAATGAATTGAGGTGCCCTGGAGAGAGGCCATGCAGGGTAGATCTGAGACTGTTCTAATACTCCTATGGTGGCTCTGGTCTGCCTAACTATTGTAGTATAGTAGCTGTTTTTACTAGACTGTCTTCCTACAGAATAGTAGGCAGAGATTGTGTTTGTCATGACTGTATTCTCAGTGCTGAGCGTGGTGTGTCTCAAACACAGTAGGCCCTTAAAGACTGTTTGAAGAACAAATGAAGGAATGAATGGTATGTCGGGTGAAGCCTCCTTCATCAAGAACAAATTCTAACAACTTCTCAGCATGTTTATCAAACCTGGCCACTCTGGAACAGTGACATTGGCTGTCACCTATGTCCAAACTTGCAGGGATTTCTGAATCTGCCTTTGCACAATAGGCACTGGGGCTCTTCACATCCCTCTGGGGGCTGTGCCAGGGCAGCTGCTTTCCCACCCAGCTCACTCCCCAGTTGAGTCTCTGCTTTTTTTTTTTTTTCCAAACCTTTCCACCTGGCTCAGAGCCAAGGAGGCCTCTAAGTCACACTCAGAATTTCCATGACAGTAAATAGACTAAACGAAGGCCTTTCCAGCCCCTGAAAGAGGCCTCTTCCAATTCCGCCCTGTCTGGCAGCATTTTTGTTCCCCCCATTTTGATACAGGCCTGTGGAAGGTCAATGACTCCTTTAAAAATAAGGAAAACATGGACAAGCGCCCAGTTCCTAACCTGCTGACAGTGCAGTTCTCTGCAGCCAGCCCACAGTTCTCTGCTGAAGCCTTCACAGTGATTTTTCACAAAGGTCTGCAATCTATTATGCTACAGTTGACTGCCACATTCAAATGTAAAAACAGATCCTTGGATCAACACCCTATAAAAAGCCAAGAAAAATGTGGTAGTGTTCTTTTCTGGCCGGAGCCAAGAACTTTCTGAGGGAGGAATCCTTTGCAAGCCAGCAGCTCTGTACCTGTGTGGTTTCACTGTAACTTGATCAATTCAGAATCCCGGCAAACTGTAGAGGTTGCAGGCATTAGCCCACCCATTGGGTTGAAAAGGATCTAAAGATGCTGAAGGGACTAATCACTAAATTATTTTCACCAACTCAGAGCTCTTGGAAAGATCCCTCGAGGTCTTTAATTTTATCCAGCTTCCTCGCTGTTTTCAGTCTGGCCTAAGTCATTCTGGAAGATGGCACTTTAAAACCTCTGCTCAAAACATGCTCCCTAGCTAAAATACAGCCACTTTCTTAAAATAAAACAACATGCCTGCAGCCCAGAGATCCTGGCTGAGCCCAAACAAAAACAAAGTTTCCTGCCTGGGAAGGAATGTCCAAGGGACATTGCTTACCACTGGCGCATAAAATCCACACAGGAAAAATGTTAGTTAAGAAAGATCAATTGGAATGTTTGAAGGTGTGGAAAAAAGATACCCATATTCTCCTTCCTGTCAGCTTGTCACCTTTCTCCTGTTGTCCCCTATCCCCTAAGCGTGTCTTAAGGCAGTGAGGAGTGCAGTGTCAGGAGTAGTTGGATAACTAGTTTCAAACTGTTTTGCTGGACTGTAACTACTGGTGGTATGCCACACTGACATTAGCCCCACAAACTCATCCCCTCCCCACAGGACTGCCAAATTGCTGCTCATATTCTGTCTGCTTCATTTGTTCACCTATTGGCAATTACCTTGCTGAGATCATTGTTTTCCTCTTCTGTATTTTTAGCTCCTTATGAAACTTGTAACAGGATGACTATCTCATATCTAGTCTTTGCTTTTCAGAGTTTAGCAAGCTTTGTTTTGGCTGAGTGTGTGGAAGTAACTTTCACTGTGCAACAAGATTCCTTTATGCCTGCTTCAGCCAAATATACATTGAGACATTGATTTTTGTTTGTGAACTCATATGCTGCCAGGTATATGTTTATCCAGATAAACATACACATAGCACACACATGCACAAATACACACACATACTTCTCCCTAGTTTAATTTTTTAAAAACAGCTTTATTGAGGCATAATTGATAAAAGGAATACATATATATTTTTTAATATGTACAATTTGATGAGTTTGGACATATGCAAACACCAATGATACCATCACCAAAATAAAGGTAATAGACATATCCAACACCTCCAAAGATTATTTGTGTCCCCCCACCCCCACTTTCTTGGTGGTAACTTCACTTACATAAATGAGATCTACCCTCTTTATGAATTTTTAGGTGTACAACACTCTATTGTTAACTACAGGTACTATGTTGTACAGCAGAAAAAAAAATCCATTGTATGTATATACCACATTTTCTTTATCCATTCATCTGTTGGTGGACATTTGGGTTGATTCCATATCTTGGCTACTGTAAATAATCCCTAGTTTAATTTTGATCTAAATGAAATACACATTAAGTATTGAATCCTGTTCTTAGGTCCTTGTTCTGTGGTCAGATGCCAGTACCTGTATTATATCACATTCCCTGTGTCCATCAAAGTACCTGGTACATGGTAGACACCTAATACATGTTGAATGAATAAAGACACAAGTAGATAAATAGTTTCTAGATCAATTTTCAGGCTGGGAGAAAAATCTAAGAAGAAAAGAAATACCATAGAATTGCTGCTTTCTGCTTCATCTTCCGACATTGACTTTAGGGAACTGGGGGAAGGGGGCCATATGCGGGGAACTAGGGGAGAGAGGGTGCATGCAGGTATGTGTCTCCTCCAGATCTGTACAGAGCCATATCCTTCTTGTCATTTAGTTTTCATTTTAACTATCACCTTCTCAGATGACCTTTCCTGACTACCTTGTCTAAAGAAACTTTCTCGCCACCTATTGCCATTCCTTTCTCTCACATCACCTTTCTTAATTGTCTTTATGGCACTTTTCCCCATCTGAAATGATTTTACCTATTTGCTTATTTATTGTCTGTAATTTATCTCCCCTTCTCCCCAAAAAACTATTTGAAGAAAAGGACCACGTCTTTCTTTTTATTGTGGTATCCCTACTGCTTAGAAGTGTCCAGCACAGAGTAATTATTCAATGAAGATTTATTAAATGGCCGAGGAAATGAATCCCCCATTGCTTGGTAACGGAAGCCTTAAGGGAGATATCAATAGGAAGCAGGTCAAAAACTAACAGTTCAGCTTCTCCCAAACCCCTCCTTTCTCTTCATCTGTTTCCCTGGCTGGACCCCGGAGCATCTCACGCTGTCTATCCTTGAATGCCCAGTTTTATGGCCTAAGCAGCTGGTGCCGATCCCCAATGCCCTTGCTTTCTGGCTTCCACAGCTCATTCCTGATGATGTGGGCTGGGAATTGTTGCCTTTGACATGCTGACACCGCCTCTCCCATCGGCACTATTGCTGAGCGGATGGTTCCCTGCCCTGTCCTGCTCGCTGCCTTCAAGCTGTCAGCCCTTTCCCACACCACACAGCTGGCACACATGGAAATGGAGCCCTGACACGCCCACATGGGTCGCAGCCTCTGGGTTGAGTAGTTTACGGCTCACCCCAATCTGCCTCAGATGTTGCTCCCTGACTCATTCCTCATCTTCCTGCCATCTGTCTCCTTGTCCTGTTTTCCCTCTTAGGCTCCTACAAAGGCCTTCAGCTTTGACCTTTGGCTCCTTTTCTGGACCACAATTGGTACTCTCCCTCTGGCCACAATATGGTCAACCAGCCTAAGTTAAATGGGCCCTTCAGCCTGCTTTGGCCCTCCAGTGCTGCGGCACCCTCTCCGTCATCCCGTCTCCTCTAGGCTTTCTTCAATTCCCTTGGTCGTTACAGTACTTGTCCTCCCTCACCTCCCCCCTGTTATGCCCAATGATACTTTTTTTGGGCACCAGATTGGGCACTTTATTTCTTATGTAATGATCATGATAATATATACCCTCTATTGCAAACTTTTTGCGTACCAAGCATGGTAAGGGGAAAAAAAACTTTATGTGATCTTGTTTGATTATCTTAAAAGTTCTTAGAGTGAGGTATCAGTAAACTGATCTTAAGAGTGAAAAAAACTAAAGCTCAGACACTGAGTAGTTTTCCTAAGGTTACACAACCAGAAAATGGCAGAGTGAGGATTTGAACTCAGGCCTGTCTGACCTCTGAGCTAGTCTAATCATTATACTATGCTATCTTTCTCCACTATGCCTTTACTTCTTGGCAGCCCCTCTTCTTGCTCTGGAGTTAGACAGTCTCGCATTCAAATCTCAACTCAGATGGCTACTCTGTCTATATGATCTTGGGTAAATCATTTCCTTCCTAGGACAAGATGTGGCATGAGAAAGGCATGGAAGCTTGGCCTTTCTTGCCATCTGAATCTCAGTTCTGCCTAGACATTGCCTTTCCTCTAAGGTTAATAATAATGGTAACTAGCACTACTATTACAAGCAAGTGCTTGCTGACTTTCTATCACTCCTCCTCCTCCTTGTCCTCTAACTACTGTAGTATATTGAGTCCTTGCTGTGTGCCCGACAATGTTCCCAGCAACTTTTCTTTTCTTTTTTTTTTTTTTGAGGCAGGGTCTCATTCTGTTGCTCAGGCTGGAGTGCAGTGGTGTAATCATGGCTCACTGCAGCCTTGACCTCCTGGGCTCAAGCAAGCAATCCTCCCACCTCAGCCTCCTGAGTAGCTGGGACAGCAGGCATGCACTACCATGCTTAGCTAATTTTTCTTTATTTTTTGAAGAGACAAGATCCTAGTATATTGCCCAGGCTGGCCTAGATCTCCTGGGCCCAAGTGATCCTCATGCCTCAGCCTCCCAAGGTGTCAGGCTGGAGGGAGGGAGAAATAGGGAGGTAGTGGTCAAAGGGTACAAAGTTGTTTCAGTCATGCAAGATGAATAAGTTTTGGAGATCTACTGTACAGGCGTGAGCTGCTGTGCCCAGACTGTGCCCAGCAAATTTATGTACATTATTTCCATTTAGCCTCTACAATCTTGTAAATTAGGTATTGATAACACAGTCACAGAGAAGCTAACGAATTGTTGAAGATCATCAGCTAAAGAGTGGCCTAGTTAAGATTTGAATGCACATCTGCTCAACTCCAAAGCCTGCTTTCTTTCCCCTGACATCTTTCAATTTTTTGAGTGGGCGGATAAAATTGCTTCCCACTCTTCTCTATAATTGACTTCCCATAAGCACACTATTAGTACAGTAGCAAAGGCAACCTACCAGTTATTTAAGAATTTAAGGGAAATTAAAATGCTATGATTTCTTTAAAAAATTGAAGACCTATAGTGATCTGCCTGTCAGTGGTAAAGTTCTTGCATAGGTGACATTTGTTTTATCATGTCATGATCTATGAGGTCAGACACCAAAAGGAGATTGTGTTTTCCCCTTTTCCATGGTATGATTTTCTGTGTAATCACTCAGGCTAAGCCCACTATTCAATTGATAAAGGTGGTATAATCATCCTCACTTCTGATTACTCTACATAAGCTTTACATTGTGGTATGAAAAGGTGAAATGCTACTCCACGTAAACCGTGCCAACTACTGACAATCTCTATTGGATCATCTCAGAGTACAGGAAAACAGTGACCACAGTCAGCATCTTTCAAATACTGAGCCATCTAAAATGGCATTGTGAGCAAGAAAGGTAATCTGTGGCACCACATGTGTGCCTCTTTTGCTCTTTCCCCCATACCTCTTAGCAAGGACCTAGATGAGCTGCCATGCACGGCAGAAGGCTAAGCTGAGGTGCTCACATAATCTCTGGAATCCTCTGCTTTCTCTGAGAGAGGGTTGAGTTTTCTTTAATGTTTTTCATGAAGAAGGCAACAGCGAGGCAGAGCTATGTGTGTTTTTGAAATGAGGCAGAGCTCAGTTTTCATTGGTTTTGCATTATTTTCCAATTACAAATGAGCTTAATAATGCTCATTAAAACAGGTCTTTTGATTTGGGGAAACACTGTGATTCTCAATATTATGACAGTGGGAGGAGGCTGTCAGGCTGGAGAAGGGCATTCCTTCTCATTAGAATTGCCTGGGAGACATCTTCAAATTAGAATACATTCCCCTTTCTCTTGCAGGAACAATTTCTTCAGTTAAGAATTACGGTACCTATAGCGAACTGATCCTATATATACACGTATTTGGGGACAGCTATTAGATTTGAGGATACAGAGAAAAAAATTAAAATATATTGTTCTAACTTTTGCATTCCGAAGGGTAACACTGACCAAGGGCTAGAACATAGTTATTATTTATTAAATGTTTGTTAAGTAACAAATATTTAACATGGAGCTCAAGAAATGTCTTCTTCTTGGAAAGTCTACAGAAAGCTTGTCCAACCCATTGCCTGCAGGCAGCATGCGGCCCAGGATGACTTTGAATGTGGCTCAACACAATTTGTAAGCTTTCTTAGAATATTATGAGATTTTTGGAATTTTTAAGCTCATCAGCTATTGTTGGTGTTAGTGCATTTTATGTGTGGCCCAAGACAATGCTTCTTCCAATATGGCCCAGGGAAGCCAAAAGATTGGACACCCCTGGTCGATAGCATCTCATTGCATTTCTCAGTAAGTTCCAATGGACTGGGTCTTGGTATTGTGCCTTGCAGGTGAACATAAAAGCCAACATGTGCTATTCAAGACAGACTTGATGAGACTCTGAGCCAAGCAGACTTTCTCTGGGGCTTGGGTGAGAATGTACAGCATAATATTGGTGAAGAGGCTTAGTCTGGTACCTAGACGGCTAGAGGCTTTGGGAGCCTCCACACACAATGGCGTGGCATGGACCCTGTTGTTCTCAAGATGGGCAGAGGTAGGGTTAAGCTCTTGGGGACTTTGTGGACAGTATCATGAACAAGAGGAAGCATTTTCAAGAGAGGAAGACCACTGAAGATACTGAGGTCAACAGGCTGGTTTGTAGACATGTGAGACATCCTATTAGAGATACCCAGAAATAACATGCGTTATGTGGAGTGGAATACCACTGTCATGCAGGCAGGCACGATCAAAGCAGAAGGTACTTTGGTTACATAAGTATGTGCCAGGCTAAGTGATAATGGTTAGTGGGGGGTGTTTCAATCTACACATATTTGAGATATCAGCCTTGTGCTTTGAACCATCCCAACCCTTACATCATTCTGATCCAGAGTTGCTGTTAACCTCACTCTGCAATCTGAAGTCTGAGTGATTGACCAGAGCAACTGAGCTACTCCTGCCATGTTGCTGCCAGATTATTTCTTCTAGCAATTTTTATTAAAAGGCTCTGTTGGTCTCTGCTCTTAGATATTTTCTTTGCAATAATCATCCAACCCTCTCTAACAATGTCTTCTGTACTTGGCTGCTCCACTCATTCTTCTCGTTTCCTTAGTTTGTCCTCCCACCCAAGCCGTACTTCCACCTGAGTGTTGGGCATATTTAAACCTGTTGAGACAAGGAAGAGGGGGAGGGAGAAGCAGCTGACAGGAGGCTTTGGCACCAGCTCACATCTGACTAAAGGGCAAGTTACAACCTTGCCAAGCTTTCTTCCATTTTTGAATCTTTACCCTGGGGATCCAAATGCTGAGTTACTGCCCAAAGGGTTAGTGAGGAGATGCCTTTTAAAAGCCAGTAAAATCATTTTGAGATGTTGAGGGCTGTGCCCAGGCCCAACAACTCATGTGTTCTTTCTGTCATGCAGATCATGAACATAGGGTGGGTAGGGCTGGAGGGCCAGGGAGAGTGAGAGGCTTCACTGGGAATAGGAGCAGGCAGCAGGTTTGGAGCTGATGCAGGTTTATAAAGGTTACTGGGCTGTCCTGACAAGCAAGACAAGGTTAAAAAATAAAGCATTAATTCCAGAACATCTACATGGAACACTTGTGTGAAGTGATGAAAGAAAGAGTATGGCATTAGGTTCAGCAAGAGTAGGGTTTCAGTTGTGGTTTCAACCCTAGCATTGCACAAGTTACTTTCTCTGAGTCTCAGTTTCCTTCTTGGTAAAATGGGGCTATAACAAAATCTATTTCCTTTGATAGATAAAACCTTTGTTGCTGGGAGGATTAGAAGTAATAACAGACTTATAAAAATTGGCATATAGTTGTGAATCCATTACTTTTTTTCTCTTTGCCTTATTTATTTTCTTCTTTGGTGCTTATTCTGAAATTCTAAAAATCAAAATGAAATAATTTTTAAAAAATCAAATAAATTGAATCCTGGAGGGTGCAGCAGGATGGCAAAACAGAAACCTCCACCAATTGTCCTCCCCAACAAGACACCAAGTTGTACGACTATCTACACACAAAAAAAACCTTCATAAAAAGCAAAACTCAGGTGAGCACTCATAGACCTGTTTTTAACTTCATATGGCTGAAAGAGGCACTGAAGAGATAGAGAAAACAGTCCTGAATCACCAATGCCATCTCTCCCCATCCTCTGGCAGTGGTGGCCTGGTGTGGAGAGCCTCTCTGGGTGCTGTGGGAGGAAGAACACAGCTACTGTGAGTCACTGAACTCCATGCTGTTCTATTAGAGCAGAAAGGAAAACTGGATCAAACTCAGCTGATGCCCACCCACAGAAGGAGCATTTAAGTGAGCCCTAGCTAGAGGGGAATTGCCAATCCCAGCGGGCTGAACTTGAGTGCTTACAAACCTTGCTACTGAGGGCTACAGCACTCTGTGTCTCCAAGTAAACTTGAAAGGCAGTCTATGCCATAAGGACAGGCTCTCTTAGGCGAGGCCTAGGGCTGAACTAGGCCCAGGGACAGTGGACTAAGGGAGCATGTGGCATACAGAGACACCAGCTGGGGAAGCCAAGGGAGCTCTGGTCTCATCCTTCCCCTAACCCCAGGCTGCACAGCTTGTGACTCTAAAAGAGAACTCTTCCTTCTGCTTGAGAAGAGGAGAGGGAAGGATGAGGAGGACTTTGTCTTGCATCTTGGATGCCAGCTCAGCCACAGTAAGACAGGGCACTGGGCAGAGTCATGATGCCCTAGCTTCCAGATGACATTTCTAGACACACCCTGGGCCAGAAGGGAAACTTCTGCCTTGAAAAACAGGGTCCAGTGCTGGTAGCATTTATCACCTGCCAGCTGAAGAGCCCTTGGGCCCTGAATAACCAGTAGGCATACCCAGGTACTACATCGAAGGCCTTGGGTGAACTTCTGAGACTTGCTGGCTTCAGATGAGACTCAGCACATTACCAGGTGTGGTGGCTATGGGACAAAACTCCTTCTGCTTCAGAAAAGCCAAGGGAAAAGCAAAAGGGACTTGTACCTTAGGTACCAGCATTGTCACAGCAGAGATAGAGCACCAAGAGGGCTTTTGCAGTCCCCAATTCCAGGACTCAACCCTTTCACAGCATTTCTGGACCTACCCTGGGCCAGCAAGGAGCCCACTGTCCTGAAGGGTGAGTCCCAGGCCAGGCAGCATTCATGACAAGCTGCCTTTAGAGACCTTGGGTTATAAGGGAACACCAGTTGTAGTCTGGCAGTACTCCTCATGGCCTGGGGTGGTGGTGGCTATGGGGTGAGGCTCCTCTACCTTTGAGAAAGGGAGAGAAGAATGGGAATGACTGCATCATGTGGTTTGAGTGCCAGCTCAGCTGCAATACAATAGAACACCAGGTAGATGTGTGAGTTTTTATTCCATTCCCTGACTCCTGGACAGAACTTCTGGACCCAGATGGGGACTAGGGGACCTCACCAACCTGAAGAGAAAGATACAGGCCTGGCTGGCTTTCCTACTTGCTGATTGTAGAGCTCCAGGGCCTTGAGGAAACATAGGCAGTAGCCAGGGCCTGGTTACAGTGGGCCTTGGGTGAGGCCCAGTGCTGTGTTGGCTTCAGGTCTGACCCAATGCAGTCCTAGCGGTGGTCTGACCCAATGCAGTCCTAGCGGTGGTGGCCACAGGGATACTCGTGTCACTCCACCCCCAGCTTTAGGTGTCTCAGAACAGAGAAAGAGGCTCTGTATGCTTGGGCGAAAGTAAGGGAAAAGAACAAGAGTCCCTTCTTTGTAATTCAGATAATTCTCCTGGATCTTGTCCAAGACCATCAAGGTAATACCTCTGAGTCTATAAGAACCAGAGTGTTACTGGGCTTGGCATGCCCCCCAAAGCAGATACAACTTACATCATAATACCCAAGTCCTTTAAAATATCTGAAAAGCCTTCCCAAGAAGGATAGGTACAAACAAGCCCAGATGCAAAGACTATAATAAATACCTAACTCTTCAATGCCTGACACTGAAGAACATCCACCAGCATCAACACCATCCAGGAAAACATGACCTTGCCAAATGAACTAAATAAGGCACCAGAGACCAATCCTGGGAAAACAGAGACATGTGACCTTTCAGTCAGAAAGTTCAAGATAGCTATTTTGAGGAAGCTCAAAGAAATGCAAGATAGCACACAAAAGGAATTCAGAATTCTATCAGATAAATTTAACAAAAAGATTGAAATAATTAAAAAGAATCAACCAGAAACTTTGGAGCTGTAAAATGCAATTGGCTTACTGAATAATGCAATCGGAAGAAGGAATTAGTGAGCTTGAAGACAGGCTATTTGAAAATACACAATCAGAGGAGACAAAAGAAAAAAGAATACAAAACAATGAAGCATGCCTACAGGATCGAGTAAATGGCCCCAAACGGGGAAATCTAAGAGTTAAAGAGAAGGTAGAGAAAGAGATAGAGGTAGAAAGTTTATTCAAAGGGATAGTAACAGAGAACTTCCCAAACCTAGATAAAGATATCAATATCCAAGAACAAGAAGGTTGCAGAACACCAAGCAGATTTAACTTTTTAGTGAGAACCTTATAGGCCAGAAGAGAGTAACATAACATATTTAAAGTGCTGAGGAAAAAAAAAAACACCCTTATACCTAGGATAGTATATCTGACAAGAACATCCTTCACATGTGAAGGAGAAATACTTTCCCAGACAAACAAAAACTGAGGGATTTCATCAATATACCAGACCTGTCCTACAAGAAATGCTAAAGGGAGTATTCAATCAGAAAGAAAAGGACATTAATGAGTGACAAATAATTATGTGAAGGTACATAACTCACTGTAACAGTAAGTACACAGAAAAGCACAGAATATTATAACACTGTAACTGTGAAGTGTAAACTACTCTTATCCTAGCAGAGGGACTGAATGATAAATCAATCAAAAACAGTGACTACAACAACTTTTCAAGGCACAGTCAGTACAGAAAGATGTAAATAGAAACAACAAAAAGTTAAAAAAGGAAGACAAAGTTAAGATGTAGAGTTTTATTAGTTTTCTTTTTGCTTGATTGTTTATGCAAATAGTGTTAAGTTGTTATCAGGTTAAAATAATGGGTTATAAGATAGTATTTGCAAGCTTCATGATAACCTCAAACCAAAAAACATACAATGGATACACAAGAAATAAAAAGCAAGAAACTAAATCATATCTCCAGAGGAAATCACCTTCATTATAGGAAGACAGGAAAGAAAGGAAGAAGAAAGAGAAGACAATAAAATAATAATTAAACAAAGAACAAAATGGCAGGAGTAAGTGCTTATCAATAATAGCATTAAATGTAAATGGTTTAAAATCTCCAGTCAAAAGACATAGACTGGCTGAACAGATGAAAAAACAAGACCCATTGATCTGTTGCCTAAAAGAATTACACTTCACCTCTAAAGACACACATAGACTGAAAAGAAAGGAATGGAAAAAGATATTCCATGGAAATGGAAACCAAAAAAGAGCAATGGTTGCTACACTTATATCAGAAAAAATAGATTTCAAGACAAAAACTATAAGAAGAGTCAAAGAAGGTCACTATATAGGTCACTTTATAATGCTAAAGGGGTTAATTCATCAAGATGATATAACAATTTTAAATATATATGCACTCAACACTGGAGCACCCAACTATATAAAGGGAATACTATTAAAGCTAAAGAGAGAGATGGGCCTTAATACATTAATAGCTGAAGACTTCAACACCCCACTTTCAGCATTGGACAGATCTTCCAGATAGAAAATCAACAAAGAAACATCAGAGTTAATCTGCACTATAGACCAAATGGGTCTAATAGATATTCGCAGAACATTTCATCCAAGAGCTGCAGGATACACATTCTTTTCCTCAAAACATGGATTATTCTCAAGGATAGACCATATCTTAGGTCAGAAAATATGTCTAATATGTCTTAAAACATTCAAAAAATTCAAATAATAAGAAGCATCTTCTCTGACCACAATGGAATAAAACTAGAAATTAATAAGATAAATTTTGGAAACTATACAAATACATGGAAATTAAACAATAAGCCTGAGTGACAGTGGGTAAATGAAGAAATTAAGAAGGACATTGAAAAATTTTTTGAAGCAAATGATAATGGAAATACAATATACTAAAACCTATAGAATACAGTAAAAGCAGTACTAAGAAGAAAGTTTATAAATGTCTACATCAAAAAAGAAGAAAAACTTCAAATGAACAATCTAGTGATGCATTTTAAGTAACTAGAAAAGCAAGAGCAAACCAAACCCTAACTTGGTAGAAGAATAGACATGATAAAGATCAGAGCAGAAATAAATAAAAATTGAAATTTTAAAAATAATACAAAAGACAAATGAAGGAAAATGTTGTTTTTTGAAAAGTCAAACAAAATTGATAAACCTTTAGTCTAAGAAAAAGAGAAGATCCAAATAAAAAAAAAATCAGAAACAAAAAAGGAGACATTACAACTGATACTGCAGAAATTCAAAGGATCATTAGTGGCTACTATGAGCAACTAAATGCCAATAAGTTGGAAAATCTAGAAGTAATGGACAAATTCCTAGATATTACAAACTACCAAGATTGAACCAGGAAGAAATCCAAAATCTGAACACACCAATGACAAGTAATGAGATCAAAGCTGTAATAAAAAGTCTCCCAGTAAAGAAAAACCTAGGATCTGATAGCTTTACTGCTGAATTTTACCAAATATTTAAAGAAGAACTAATACCAATCCTACTCAAACTATTCCTAAAAATAGAGAAAGAGGAAATACTTCCAAACTCATTCTAAAGTCAGTATTACTCTGATACCAAAACCAAAGACACATTAAAAAAAAAGGAAAAAGAAAAGAAAACTACAAGCCAATAGCTTTGATAAATATTGATGCAAAAATTCTCAATAAAATACTAGCAAACTGAATTCAACAATGAGAAAGATCATTTATCATGACCAAGTGGTATTTATTCCTGGGATGTAAGGATGTTTCAACATATGCAAGTCAATCAATGTGATGTATCATATCAATAAAATGAAAGATGAAAATCTTATGATCATGTCAATCAATGCTGAAAAAGCACTTGACAAAATTCAACATAAAAACTTCATTATAAAAACCCTCCAAAAGCTGGGGATAGAAGGAACATACCTTAACATAACAAAAGCCATATATGACAGACCCGAGGTTAATATTATACTGAATGAGAACAACCTGCATGCCTTTCCTCTATGATCTGGAACACGACATGGATGCTCACTGTCACCACTGTTATTCAACACAGTACTGGAAGTCACAGCTACAGCAATTAGACAAGAGAAAGATAGAAAGGGCATCCAAATTAGAAAAGAAGAATTCAAGTTATCCTTGTCTGCAGATGCTATGATCTTATATTTGGAAAAACCTAAAGACTCTACAAGAAAATTATTAGAACTGATAAGTAAATTCAGTAAAGTTGCAGGATACAAAATCAACATACAAAAATAAGTAGCATTTCTCTATGCCCATAGTGAACAATGAGAAAAAGAAATTTAAAAAGTAATCCCATTTACAATGGCCACAAATAAAATTAAATACCTAGGAATTAACTGAACCAAAAAAAAAGAAAGGTCTCTGTAATGAAAACTATAAAACACTGATGAAAGAAATTGAAAAGAACACCAAAAAATGGAAAAATGTTCCATGTTCATGGATTGAAAGAATCAATATTGTTAAAATGTCCATATTTCCCAAAGCAATCTATAGATTCAATACAACCCCTATCAAAATACCAATGATATTCTTCTCAAGTATAGAAGAAACAATCCTAAAATGTATGTGGAGCCATAAAAGACTCAGAATAACCAAAATTATCCTGGGCAAAAAGAACAAAACTGATGGAACCACATTACCTCACTTCAAATTATAGTACAGATGGATAGTAAACAAAACAACATGGTACTGGCATAAAAACAGACACATAGACCAATGGAACAGAATAGAGAACCCAGAAACGATCCACACACCTACAGTAAACTCATTTTTGACAAAAGTGCCAATAACACACACTGGGGAAAAGACGGTATCTTTAATAAATAATGTTAGGAAAACTGGATATCCATATACAGAAGAAAGAAACTAGACCCGTATCTCTTGCCATATAACAAAAATCAAATCAAAATGGATTAAATACTTAAATCTAAAACCCCAAATTATGAAACTACTACAAGAAAACACTGGGGAAACTCTCCAGGACATTGGTCTTGGTCTTGAGCAATACCCCACAGATACAGGCAACCAAAGCAAAAATGGACAAATGGGATCACATTAAGTTAAAAAGATTCTGCACAACAAAGGATACAATCAACAAAGTGAGGAGACAACCCACAGAATGGGAGAAAATTTTTGCAAACTACCCATCTGACAAGGGATTAACAACGAGAATATATAAGGAGATAAACTCTTCATGTCCCTTTTAACTATTCCTCTTGAGCTCAATTTAAAATATCTGGTTATTTTCTGTGAAATTGAATCCATATATCTTTCAGAGTAGTGACTGTGGGAAAAAATGACATATTCAAACTGGGAGGAGACTTTAATGAAGAATCTACTCATAGGATTGTGGGCAGAGTTTAAGGAAACCAACAAAGGATGGTGCAGTATTCCTGGGCTTGCCTTATTGGAGAGACTTTACTACCCTACACCCTGAGGGCACAAAGGGAGGGAGCTGTCACTAGAACCCAGAGAAGGTAGCTGCATATTGACAGCCACTTAACAGGAGCCCTCAGAAGGTAAGGACAGTGTGCAGCAACCCAAGGGGGAGGAAGCAACAAGAATAAATACCCCAAACTTACTTTTCTCCCTCCCTCTGATCACTTGCCAAAACATACCAGTGACCAAACCAAATAGGAAAACAGGGGACAAAGTAACCACGGTGATGAAGTCCACATGGGTCAGCCTCCCAGGACAGAATGGAGTAGGGTAAAGATCGGATGGGGGAGTGCAAACAGGCCCTCTCTCCACTTCTTGGTTTATAGACCTTCAAAATAGACATGGTCACATAGCTGATCCAGCCCCACTAACCTAGGCCAAGGAGGAAAGATGAAAATATTTCATTTTGGGATTGGATTCACATAAGCTTTTAGGATTCAAACGGCCTTATTCTACCAGTCTGGCCACTACTTTGCCAAATTGGAATTTTGTGTTAAAATTAAAAGAGATTGAGAGCAAAAGAAATGACTCTTACTGTATATATGCAGTGACACATGCAACCTTCATGTCAAATATGATTCTTGGGGTTGTTTGAGGGTCAGGATGCCCAGGCTAAAGCCCTGGTTCTGAAACATTACCAGCTAGGTGATTCCACACAGTTTCCTCCACCTCCTGTAAAGCTACCTTGCTTCTTCTAACTCTGACATACTGTGATTCTATTTTCATTTTTTCCCCAGTTACTACTCTGACAGATTTAGGGCCTCTTCAATTTCACAGAAAAGAACCACATATTTTAAAATTGAGCTCAAGAGGGATTATTAAAGGGTGTATGAATAGTTTATCTTTGAAAAGAGAAAGCAAATAAGCTGCAAAGCAAAATTTAAAAAGTATCTTTAAGTTTTTAACTGAAAGGAAAACATCTTCTCCCCTGAGGAATTATTTTCTCTACCATTTATTAAATATTTTACTGCATTTTCTGGGCATTCAAAGATGAACCAGATGTGAATTCAGCTCTCACAGAACCTCCAGACTGGGAGGGAAGAGGAAACAGACATAGGAAAAATGACAAAGTTGCAAAGGTTGCAGTTATTTGAGGTGGCTTTTGAGGATTGTTATGATTTTATTTTTTCCTTTTATTAAATTAAATTTTATTTTTAAAATTTGCATATAATAATTGTACATATTTATTGAGTACATAATGATGTTTCCATACATATACTGTATAGTGATCAGATCAGGGTAATTAGTGTACCTATCATCTCAAATATTCATAATTTCTTTGTATTGGGAACATTCCATTTCCTCTTTCTAGCTATTTGAAACTAGAATCATCTTACAGTAGTATAGAATACTCTAACTTGTTCCTCCTATCTACCTGTAATTGTATCTTTTAACAAATCTCTCCCTATGACCCCTTCCCTCATGCTTCCTGGCCTCTAGTATCCTCTGTTCTACTTTTTCCTTCTATGATATCAACTTCTTGTAGCTTCTGCATATGGAGGAGAACATGCAGTGCTTAGGTTTCTGTTTCTGGCTTATTTCTCTTAACATATCCTCCAATTTTATCCATGTTGCCATGAATGACAGGATTTCACTCTTTTTCATTAGTGAATACTATTCTATTATGTATATATACCACATTTTCTTTATCCATTCATTAGTTGATAGACACAGGTTGATTCCATATCTCAGCTGTTGTGAATAGTGCAATAATAAACAGGGAGACACAGATGTTTCTTTGATATATTGATTTCCTTTCCTTTGGATAAATAACAAGTATGGGATTGCTAGAGGATATGGTAGTTCTATTTTTAGTTTTGTTGTTGTTGTTGTTTTGAGACAGAGTCTTGCTTTGTCACCCAGGCTGGGGTGTAGTGGTGCAATCTCGGCTCACTGCAACCTCTGCCTCCCGGGCTCAAGCGATTTTCTTGCCTCAGCCTCCTGAGTAGCTGGGATTACAGGAACGCGCCACCATGCCCGGCTAACTTTGTAATTTTAGTAGAGACGAGGTTTCACCATGTTGGCCAGGCTAGTCTCAAACTCCTGACCTCAAGTAATCCCCCTGCCTCAGCCTCCCAAAGTGCTCGAGTTACAGGCGTGAGCCACTGCGCCTGGTCTCTTATGTTATTTTTAAACAAAAAATGTTAAAACATCCATGAAAGGGAGCAGTAAGATTTAAGTTTGAAAAGTATGTTTGGGTCAGCTATAAATGAGTGGATAGATGAATCACACCTGGGGGTAAAAATACTGAGTTGAAATAGCGCCAAAAGGGATTTAGGTACTTATGGAAATGGCTGTTCATCATAAAGGATTTTAGCCCTTGAAGTGGATTATCAACAAATGTAATGGAAAGTCTTAAATGTAGGATTCTAAGAACAGGACAGACATAGCTCAATGATGATATAGAAACAGTAATGATGGAGCAGGGACGAACATGAGGGAAGAAGGAGGGCTGGTTGAAATTGAAGACTTCTTGAGGCCACATTCTGGACTTAGAATATGGTGTTGAAAAAACAAGAGAGATTCTGAAATCAGGTGGTATGGACTTGGATGTTTGTTTTAGTTTTGGTTTCCCCAAATTCAAAATGGGGTTGAAATATGGTTCTTGTGGCTATTCAATACCATAACTTATTGAAAACAATTATCACAAGATTGATCATGTAACTAGACATTCGAAAAATGTTAGCACGCATCCTTGTTTTTTTACAACGTTTGAATGCCGTAGCAATTGCTTCTTTTAAAAATTTCACTTTTCTGAGCTCCAAATCCATGTACTTCTCTTTTCTGCCTTCTTTTAGTTAGCTGTTGACACCTAAAGAGCACTGGTTTCATTTAAAAGTTAAATGCGTCACCATCATGCAATATACAAAAGTAGATCTTTTGCAAATACACTACCATCCATGTCCTTAGATTTTGAAGGCCTATTTCACTTAATAATAGCATTTTAGGTATAAGTGAGAACTATCCTCTAATCATGTGGATTTTTATTCTTGCACCAAATGCCCATGAAGGTTAAACATTCTTCAAGTACTGGGCTTCCCTGTATTTTGTTATTAAGAGAAAGGGGTGGTGGGACCTGGACTGTGGTTTCCCACTTATGTGATATTCCTCAACATATGGAATCCTTTCTCTTCTTCTTGTTCATTTGAAACACAAGAAACAGTTTCATCATATGGTGTGTTGATCTGAAGAGTCCCAGAAAGGGTGAGAGTTCCCCGTGGAATTGTAACCAGGAACAGAACTTAGTGGGTCGGCAGTCATAGTCCCCGAGGGTTCTAGTGTGCTAAAAGAAACAAAGTGAGAGGAGAAACTCTGGTATTAAATAATTAAATACAAGAAAAAGGCCAAAGGAGGAAAATACTTTAGGAATGAGTGGCTGAGACTACACCAAGCCACATATGAATTAGGAGTAGAACTGAGATGAATTGTAGCATTTCTAAATTTTATGTCAGTTTATTAGAATTTAGAGCTGAGAACATGAGACTTGGATAGGTAAAGTCATTTTCCCAAAGTAACCTAACTATTTAATGTAGGATCTCAAGCTAGAACCCAGACTTCTATAGCCCAGTTCAGATCACCATCTCTGCACCTAAGTATATTTGGGAGTTTGGAGATAGCGTTAAAAAAATAAAAAGCTGTATTTAGGCAGAATGAGGTGGAGCCATCTTTTCTTTTCTTCTGATCAGTCTAGGCAGTTTTCCTGGCTTAATTTTAAGATTATGACTGTTTCGGTGTCATATATATATATTCCTGGGCAATGTTTTTGGTGCATTTTTCATCAAAGCATGTCATAAAATCACTTCTGACAACTCTGTTCCTGGTCAGAATGCCCGAAAACTGCACTGACTCCAAATTTCCAGCATGGCCAAGAGACCTGGATGTAGCCATTTTTAAAGTCTTTTATCCACTGGGCACACGCAGTGCCATCTGCCTCAGCAATGCCATGTACCTGCATTCCTAGAGGCACATCTGCAGAGCCAACAGTTTACCCCAAGGCTATAACAGGCTTCCTATACCCTCACTTCTCCAGTCGGACTTATCCAAGGCTATCTAATTAGCTCCTCTGTGTCCTATTCAAGTCTTTATTTTCTCCACAATACCAGAGAACAGAAAAAGATTGTATTTGTACATGTTCTAGTAGGAAAGGTGTGCTGTAGCACCATCTAATATCATAAAACTTGGACTCTATCCTGGGCCAGGATCATAGGCCATGTATTAGAAGGTTAAAAACTTGATAAGATATTGCTTCTTCTCTCAAGGGAATTACAATATCATAAGCAGAATGAGAAATGTCACAAGAAAAGGCAAAATGCTATAGGGCTGGAATGAAGTGATAAAAGTGTAGAAATCACATCAGGTTCAAAGGATTTCAAATGATTTTGTTCAGAATGTAGCACTGAGATGGCCTTTGAAGGATGGATAGGATTTTATAGGCTCAATGGCCAGAGGAATGGAGGAGGGATGTTCCAGACAGAGGGAGAAGCAAGGCCAAGAATTAGCAGCAGTGAGCTTTGGGCCATGGTCAAGAAATGCTGAATAGTTCAGCTGGACCAAAATTTTGGGTAACAATGGGAAAGGAATGGGAGATAGGAAAAGATGGTTAGAATCATATTGAAGGAGTTGAACCTTGAAGGTTTTTGATGAGAATAGTTCTTGAAAAAGAGATTCAAACATTTTAAGTGACTCTGAGGATGAGGATAACACAATGTGTTCATTCAGGTGCCTGGGAGGGTGGCCGTAATGAATGATCTGAGCTAGACCTGTGGGAAACCACTTGTTCACACTGAGGGAGTGCTGGAGCTAGAGTCTAGGGATGTAGCCTCTATGGAAATGCTGAGGGAGACTTGGTTGTTTTGGAATGTTCGACCTTACCCGGTCCTGTTGTTAATTTCTTTTCCCTCCTCCTTCTTGGTTTACTTTGATGGCTTAGTGAACATGGTACAAGATGTATTCTCAAGGAACAAATCTTACTGCTGCTGAAAACACAGTACACCACTCTCAAAAGCTGTATCCTATACAATTTGAATGTTGTGAGTACTTAGAAGCTCTTTTCTTGATGAAAGCCCTTAGCTGAATTTTGAGTTTGCGCTTTTGAATTTAACCAAAGAAGTGGAAGACTGCAAGAGCAAAGTTACCTGCATGACAGGATGCACTTTGTTAAAACTGTTTGAATCAGTGTGATTTAGTTGTATTTATGTGGATACTAAATAAAGTACTCCATATTACTACATTTTAGGAAAGAAAGCCACACAACACACCGGTAATCTGAGAGCTTTCTAGCGTTTTCTTCCCTAAAATGAAGTAGGACAATAAAACTGTCTTCGAAAGGGACTTAACTTAGACTTTAGGAAAGTTGAGAATGTTGATGGCCATAGAAAGACTGGGTAAAATAATCAAGCTGATCCTAGATGTAAACTATGCAAACACAAGGGAAGAATTGTATATACTTGTAAAGAAATGACCCAGAAAACAGCGTTGCACAGTGTTGCACTTTGTGTCCTACCACTTTACAAAATGTAAGTTTCTGGTGTTTTTAAAGTTGTGTCATGCGCCAGTTCCTCTCTTCTAAATTGCTCTGGGACACAGTAGGGACTCAACTGATATTTTGTTGAGGGGATGAGTGGAATCCTCATGCATCTAATAATTTTTAAAAGATCAGAAGCTTTAGGTGAAAATGTAAGCAAAGTAAATAGATCAGAAAAGTTACATAAGTATGTTATAAGGGACTGGGTAAAATGTCAGCACTTGGGAAGTTTCAGCAGCTGTTGGGAAATGCAGCCAGAAAAGCCATATTGGGTTCCCAGGAGAAGAAGAAAGGCCACTCCCTTGCCACAGCACTAAGCACCTGTTTTAGTAATCAGTGTTGGCCTGGGGCTTTGCAGCTAACTTTTAGCCCTGAAAGCACCCATTGGTTTGCGAGGACTTAGGTGGTTTGGCCAGACCCAGGATTAAAGCATCTCATTTATTTTAGTCAATGTTTGCCTATTCCAAAGGGCACTTGTCCACAGGTATCTGTACTTTTTGCTGTATTCTCTCTTTGTAAGCTGTAGCTCATCATCCTCTGGGAACCTCCATACCCGGTATAGAGTTTTAGTGTATGTACACTGGATGCAGACACATTATTATATTTAATCCACATTACACCCCTGTCTTCCTTATTTTACAGCTAAAGGATCAGAGAGGTTACTAGACTTGGCCAAGGTCACACAGCTAGGAGGTGACATAGCTGAAATTCCAACCCAGGATTCTTGGCTTAAGCACAGTATTTTTGTCTGTTGCATGGTGACAGATGCAGGCTTCATTCTACCTTCACTGCCAGGGCAGCGGGGCCTTTCCTGCTTCTGTACTTTGGCGTCAGATTGACTGGCTGGGCATCAAATTCCAGCTCCACTACTTCTTGCTATGTGACCCGAGGCAACTTGCTTAATTTTTCCCAACCTCCATTTCCTTCTCTGTTGATTAGGCTCATGATTCCTTTTCACAGGATTTTCCTTCCCTTACATAAAGCTGAAGGCTGCCTGTGTTGGAAAAAGACTGAGTTAAGATATTATGTGCAAGTTTGTACAAGGCAGCCTCTTCTCAATTGTGGCAGCACTGTGCTTGCTCTAAGCCCTGGATTTGAGAGAGAGAGAAGCAAAGCTCTTGGAGGGAGAAGTTAAAGCCCCAGTTGGTTAATTTCCAGCAGTAAAGCCAAGTCTCCCTGAGCCCCTTTCCTGTCTAGGAAAAGGCGATCCTAACACCTTTCCTAGGGGTGCTTTGGGTATTCACTGAGATTGTGCATATAAAAGCCCTCTGTGGATTTTAAATAATCATATAGATGTTCATTCTCATTATCAGAATAATCTCATTATTTCCAAATCAGGCCTCTCAGCTTAGACTTTTCTAAGTCCACATGAGGTCTCCATTTTCTCCTCTACTAGGAGCAGCAGATTACCAAAGAAAGAAAAGGTAGAGATATGAACGTGCTTCCCATTCACTACTCCCTACCTGTTTCTTGCAGTCGTGTATTCTGGGACTTTCCTCATGGTGGGACCTTTCACACAACCCTCCTCTTCAAGCTGGGCAAGCCTGTTCTTGTCTCTCTTGTGCTTCAGGAGGAAGTACTGGAGAAGATGTAAGTTTTTAAGCCTTCATTTGGGGGGATGTGGAATGAAGGCAAAGGAGAGATGGGCAGGGATGTTTGATTTCATACTATCCCCAGCCCTTAGTGAAGTACTTGGCATCCTAAGAGGTACTTTGTAAATACCTGTTGAATGAATGACTGTGGAAAGTTGGTGGCAGGAAGAAGGGCTAGATGTAGAGAGCTGATGGAAAAGCATGAAGTGTGGCCAAAGAATTTTGCTATTCTCCCTGTTGCTTTTAGACAGGTTAACATCAGACTGCTCTGGAAGCTGTAATTGATGAGGCCAGATTCACAGGACCACAAACAAAACTCCCTGTTGTTTTCATTTCTTTGTCTTGCAGACAAACGCATCAGCTATTTGAAAAAGCAAGCCCAGAAAACAACTGACAAACCAAACAAATCTGGGAGGCTCAGCATATACATTTTTCTCTTCTAGAAGCTCCAAAGTGCTAATATAACATTTACATTTAAATCTGGCGACATTCAAATGAAGAAAGCCAATGTAAGTGAGTTATGTTGGATGCCTCCTCTTTCACAACTCCCTCCTCTTGAGTCATGACATTGGCAATTTCAAATAGGAAGCAATCCCATTGAAAGGTTGTGAACACCCTTTCGAGATCTTTCTCCTTGTGGGCCCCGCATACTTGCAACTACATTCTTTCTCCTGAACCAGGCTCTAGCCAATTAAGCTGTTCATAATCAATATATTTTATTTTATGCATTTGGGGATTTATATCCTGCCAACTTCCAAAAGGACTTAAGAGCCCTTTAACATTTCAAAATAAAATGAGGAAATAAGGGATAAAAATAGAACCTTATAAAATGAGTAAGGGAATAGATGTTACAAGGCATCTGAGTTGACCTAATTCTTGCAGCTATAGCCAGTAAACTAAATCCCAGCTTTATTTGTGGTTAGACCAAAAGGGAGCACACTGCGCTTACATAGCTCTCAGTGCTGTGTCGATGTGGAAAAAGAAAAGTACCGTTCGAAATGATTTGTAGAACTAAACCATTTTTTAGAGCTATAGCTTAAAAAGACACTATAGTTATTCTGTCAACAACCTCAAGAGAAGTCTGTGCATATAACACTTACTGCGAGCAACCCCTTGGGCCTGCAGCCATACTGGCCTTTCACTTAGTCACTTTGCTACGCTGTTCCCTCTGCCTGGAATGGTCCTCTCAGGAGTCCACTCACCTTCATCCAGTTAACCCTGCTCCTCCTTTCAGTTTCTGTTCCATCAAAAGAGCCATCATCTCCCACTCAGCTTGGGACAGGCCCCCTTGTTATAGGGTTTCAGAGCACCTTGTACTCTAAATAATGACACCAGTGAGTGAGTATGGTAAACTATGGTAGGTATGTTTACCTACCATAGTTTACATTTAGTAACCTATCACATGGTTACCTACCATAGTTTACATTTACTCACTCACTGGTGTCATTATTTAGTGTCTGTCTTCCCCACTAGACATAAGCTCCCTGAGGCCAGGAACTGATGTACTTTTCTCACTTCTGTATCCCCAGCACCTCGTACCAAGTCTGTACCATGTCTGACTTATGGTAATAATAATAATAGGATAATAATTACAATGATAATAACTAAAATTTATTAAACATTAGGAATTCTTCTAAGTGTTTATATCTAATGATTCATTTGAGCCTCAAAATAGCCCTTTGTAGTGGATACTGTTGTTACCCTCCTTTCATAGGAGAAGGACAGAGGTGGAGCTCTAGGATTAGGTAAATTGTCCAAGGTCACAGAACTAGCAGATAAAGAAGCTAGAAGGTAAACTCACAGTCTGGTTCCAGAGTCTGACCTCCTGACCCCTGTGCTTTGCTGCTCCTTGGAGATGTACAGTAAATATCTGTTGAATGAAGGAATGAATTCAGGTGATAATATGGCCCAGGAATTTTGCTTTCTTATCATCTAACTTAATATAGAAATAGGATCTGAAAAATGAGAATGAACCCTACATTTCACAATTAACCGATTTCTCTGAGCTCTCAAATTGATTACTTAACGGAGCATTAGGCCAGGGCCAAACCACAGACAATTAAAATGATTGGGTTATATTTTAAAAAATGACCATGGTAACTGTAGGGTGAATGGGCCAGCTGCCTGGCATAAAAATCCCGTATCTAAAGTATATGCAGTTATATGGGAGCTAAGCTGTCATTTTGTTTTGAGACGCTGAGTTGGATTTATATTCTCTTCCAAGAGAGAAAGAAGGAGAAGTTAGGTAAGTGTTTGCTGCATTAAAAACAAACCAACTTCAGCATATGGAGTCACCGGAAAGGTTACCAGGTAATGTTGGAGTCAATGTTTTCCTCAAAAGAATGTGAACTCTTACCAAGCTTTCTCACATACAGTTGGGCAAGACCCTAGATATCTACACAGGAAAACTGAGAAAGATGATGTGGACATGAAAGATTGTTACTACTGTCTCCTCTCTAACAGAGTCTCTGTAAGGCTATGGAGTATCTGATGTGAAGTAAAGCCATATCCTAGTGAGCCAGCTAGAACTTGATACTTGAAAGGTCTACTAATATGTACGAAATGGCTTGTCTGTTGGATACAGTTGTTGATGACTACGCATTTTAATATTGGGAAGGGATTTCCTTTTGATATATTTGATGCAGAGTTGCTCTTTTTATAGTAGCAACTGGCTAATATACCCACTTGTTTCCAACAATCACATACTAATTATATAGGCTTGGTAGCATGGAATCTGTTTATACATGTTTTGAGCCATCTCATTCAAAATATTTAGGGAGAGTGTATATACCTTGAACTAGTCCCAGGGATGGATTGAAAGGAAAAGACATGGTCCTGCTCTCAAGGTACTTATAATTCCTATAAAAATTAGTATAAATAAAATTCACTCATTTGTTTGGTACCAAGCATGTGCCCATACAAAAAAGGTAAAGAAAGACAGTTTATTATAGTAGAAAAAGTCCTGACTTTGGAGTCATACAGCTTACTGCTTATCAACTACTTAACCTCAGGGAATTTATCTGAACACTCAGAGAATCAGTTTTCTCATTTGTAAAATGGAAATCTTATGCTTTGCAGGATTATTGTATGGAAAAGAAATAAATGTTATCATCTAGCACATAGGCAGTACCCATTAAATTGCTTAACACACGATTTCCATTTGTGAAAAGCCACATCCTAATGAAGCATGGAATAAACAAATAATTACAACATGAGATTTTGATATTGCACAAAACTGACATTGAGCAAAGGAGAAGAAGTGCAGAGAAGAGCAAGGAGCTAACTGCCTCTTCCCAAGCAATTAGGGAAGTCTCCCCAAAGGAGGCTACTTCAGAGGTAGGTCTGGAAGGATGAGTAAGCTTTTGTTGGATGGAGAAGGGGAAACGTTTTTCAAGTACAGAAACATGAAACAGCATGTGCTGCTTGTCATGGGAAAGGTGGGAAAGTCAGTGCCATCAGAGGGTAGGCTCTCTGTGACCAGGTGAGGCCAGGGCACATCATGGGAGATGAGGCCAGAGGGCGCAATCAGTTACAGACTGGTCATAGAGACGTACATAAGATGAAGTCCTAATAAAACAGATCCTCTTCATTTTATTCCTGAATGTTCTATTTTTAGTGACCAGATTCCATGATTTTCGCTGGCAAAAAAATTTTTCTTTTCTGTTTCCCTGAGAAATTTCACTTTATTCGTTCTTTGAACATGTATTTCTGTATGTTCTTAGAATTCAACACTAGCCCAAAGTTTCTGAGAATTCTCTGTTAGCCGCTTAGACAACTTGGTATAATTCTCTGTCACATCTGTCATGCTTTCCTGCCTTTCCGAGCCTGCATTGTCCAGGCTCCCATACCTCCCATGGGGGGCGCAGACGCATCTCAATTGGCCTCTTTGTGCAGAGCGGAAGGCAGGTGTGAGCTGTGATTGACGGCTGGCTTACATGGCCACAGAGAAACTGGCTCTGGGCATTTTCTTTTCTCCTCGAGGCCCAATCCATTCCTTCTACCCAGACTTTCTTGTAAGAGAATTTCTTTGAGTTGTTACCCTTGGAATTTTTTATTAAGTTGTTCAGTTGTCAAATATAAACACATTTGAAAAAATAGGAATTTGATTCAGATCCTGAGGAGAGAAATGATGACTGAGGGTTCGAATAACTTTTTTTCTTTTTATTTCCATATTAAGTTATGCATCACAAACTATGGTACAGGGTAGTAGTTGTGATGCCAGGTGTGTATCCTAATGACTAGGGGAGCTTTTAAAAAAAACACCCCCTGGGCCTGATCCCCACCCCCAACCAGAGATGTATCTTCAGAGGGTGTCTGGGGAAGGAGACCTGGGGAATCTGTGCTAAAGATTACTACTTTGCAGGCAATCTTGATATGTAGCCATAAGGGAGAACCTACTGGGGGAAGGGGATGCTCTGATAAATAGTCTTAGTTCCTGTCCCACCACTCCACCATATCCATCTGTCCTGTCCTGTCATTCAACAGATTCTGTTGAACATAGACTATGTGCCAACATGCTCTTAAGCATGTGGGACAGATCCAGTCGCAGTCCTCATAAATCTTACATTCTAATTGGGGAGATAAACAATAAATAAGACAGATAAGCAAAACATATTAGCTGCTGCTACTTGCCCAGGAGAAAAAAATACAGCGGATAATGTATTTACTTCCTTACCACCCACTCTCAATTTATCCAATCTGGCTTTTATTCCCAGCTTTGCAGATTGTTCATTTGTATGGGCCCAACTCTATCCAACTTGCCAAATCTAGTGGGCACATTTTAGTCTTTGTCTTGCTTGGCCCCTCTGTGGTATTCAGTATGACGCATGACTCACTCCTTAGGTAAATATTGAGACAAGTACTGTGTCTTTACAAGTTAAAAAATAACTTATTTTTAAAATGTTTCACAACTATACCTAAGATAGGCAGTATTATTTTTGTCATTTTAAAAGAGGGAAACTGAGGCACACAGAAGTGAAATAACTTGCTCAAGTTCACACAGCTAGCAAGTAGAAGAGTGGACATTGTTCTGACTGTCAGCTCTCCCTTTCCACACCAAGTTTCCCTGTTACCACCCTAGGCTTCTTTTACTCCTTCTCTCATCATTCACTTTCCAACAGATCCCAGGCTCATCTTCGTCTGCTAGCCCCTTACATGCAGGCATTCTATGCCCAGTCTCTCCTTCCACACTCACTCTGAACCATCTCTTTAATGCCCCCATTTTTCTCTATTGCCCATATCCCTGTGACCCCCAAATTCACACTGTGGGGCTGGGCATCTCTTCTGACTTTCCAACAACCTGACTGGTGCATGCACTTGGATATCAGGTAGACACCTTTCTTTGTGCATTTAATAGGGAAGTGCCTAATATGTGCCAGGTGCTACATGGTTATTGCAGATATTGTAGTGAACAGGGCAGATGGGGTCTCTGGCTCACAGAAGTTACTCTCTAGCAGGAAAGACAGTCCAAATGCAAAGACATCCCCAAATGAACTTAAATACTGTCTTTCCTCTCCCTTGAATACTTACTCAACTTCCTGTTTTCTCAATTTCAGTTAATACCACAGCCTCGGAGTTGCCGTTAATTCCTTCTTCTTCCTCCAGGCCTAAATCCAAGTGTATCTCCTACATACCTCTTGACTCTGTTCCCTTCTTGCCATCACCACAGCCTTGGATTCATTTCCCACCTGGAAAACCTGGTCGGCTTTCTAGCTGGCTTCCCTGTCTCCAGTTCTACATGCCTCTAATCCATCTGCGACACCATTTTTTTCTAAAGTGCAAACTCGATTGTGCCCTCCCCTCTTTATATCCTCCGGTGGGGCATCTAACTGGCGACACCCCACCTCTTCTGATAATGGGTCTTTTCGTGAGAGCCCAATTCATGTGGTTGGTCCAGCTCCAACCGCCTTCTTATGTCCTCCATGCACCTGGCCATAGTGATGAGTTTCAGAATGGGCAAGAAGAGGCCAAGAAGAACTGTCATGTATAAGTATGGGGAAGGAAAGGGTCTCACTCTTGCTCTGAAATACGAATTGTTTCTTTTTCTCCACATTGGGAGAATCTCTCCAAATGTGAAGGCAGTGCATGAAAAGAAGCTGACCCAGTCAAGACAGAGCCTTAGGAAATTGTTTGAGCTCCTGGATGATTTAGTTGCCCATGAAGTGGGCCTTACTCGTGGACTTTACCAGTCACAGGGGTCAATATATTTTCCATGTTAGAATCCAGTGCTGGCACTTAATGGCTATGTAACTTTGGATAAATTATTTAACCTTTCTGAATACCAATATCCTCATCTCTAAAATGGGCATAATAATAACACCCTCACAGGATTGTAATGAGTTCCAAATGAGTTAATGCATACAGAAAGCTTAGAACATTGCTAAGTGTTAACCATTATTATTATTACCATTACTTAGCTGAGTTTGGTCTTGGGTTTCTTTAGCTTGTAATTGAAAGAGTCACAACAAATACCAAGTCCAAACTTTGTATCCTGCTTACAAGGCTGATTTCTAGCCTGCTCTCCAATGGCTCCATCACAGTCCTTATGCCTCTGTCTTGCTTGTATTAAATTTCTAAAACTCTCCAAACATTTATGCTGTTTCAGACCTTTTTCTAGGTATACAATGTTCTTTCTGCTCAGAATGCTCATCCCCAGTCACCTAGCAAAGTCAGGTAACGATTTTAAGCAGCAAGAAGAAGCAACTAACTCAGGATGCCAGCAGTTTGGGGTCTGATTTTGCCATTGATTATCTGCTGTCTCTGGGCAAGTCTCAACAATTTGGGTCCCCTGCATTTTAAAAATGATTTTTTCTTGATTCTCAAATGTACTTCTCTGTGAACAGAGTTCTATAGATTCATTGGCAGTCAAGGATTCCTTACTCAGCTCAAGTTTCAGGTGAGGAAAAAATAATAAGGCCAGTGTATTAGGCCATTCTTGCTATAAATAAATACCTTAGGCTAGGTAATTTATAAAGAAAAGAGGTTTAATTGACTCATGATTCTGCAGACTGTACAGGGAGCATGGCACCAGGCATCTGCTTGGCTTCTGAGGAGGTCTCAGGAAGCTTACAATCATAATGAAAGGCAAAGGAGGAGCCAATGGATTATATGGTGAAAGTGGGAGCAAGAAACAGAGAGTGGGAGGTGCTACGCTTTTAAACAACCAGATCTCACTCGAACTCACCCATCACCAAGGGAATAGCCCTAAGCCATTAGTAAGGGATCTGCCATCATGATCCAAACACTTTCCACCAGGCCCCACCTCCAACACTGGGGATTACATTTCAACATGAGATTTGGTGGGGACACAGATCCAAACCATACCAGTTAATTAACTCTCCCTAACTCCCATTGCTGGAATGGAGAAGACAGACTTAAATCACAGCAGGAACAGTTGGCTCCCTAGAGACAACCTTCTGAACAGATAGGTGGTCAGCCCAAGAAACAGGGCATTAAGAAGGATGTGCTTCCTTTCTTAGATCTCAAGAAGGGACAAGTGAAATTTCTTCCTGGTCACGTTCCCTGGTCCCCACCCCTGCCTTTCTAAAAACTCAAGAGTTCTACAATCTAACAGCAGCCAAATTAACTTAACTATATCTTTAAAAGCAAGAATAGTTTTCCATTGTCTCTAACGCCTGGCTAGGTTTCTAGAATATTTGGGAATAGTAGTAAAATCAAAATGTTTCTTCTGTATTTCAGCGGGAAGATACTGTCTCTGGGTCTGCATCCCTGAAGCTTTGTTTTACTGTTGGAGATGAACAAATGTAAATAATTTAAAGCATCGCCCCAGTAGTATTTTCCTCATTTAAGTTTTATTTCTATGTAAATTTACCTCAGGCCTGGAAAGGTTTGTTTCTGGCCTAGGATAAATGGCTGTTTTATTGCCAGAGTCCAGGCTGGCGAATTTCCCCAGACACTGGCTAGCTCCTGGGTGGCAGAGTTTGGCTGAAAGACATCAACGCAAACATGGTCTCTTTTTCCTTTGCCTGAACTACTATTCAAATGAAGATTATTAAAGAGATCTAAATGTGAAAATGTTATATACTAGCAACAGACACATCCCCCAAATGCATGCACATGGCCTAAATTAGACCACCGAAGTAGGCGGTGTCCAGCCTAAAAATTATAAGAAAGGAATTGGATAATGAGAGGCAGCAGTCCGTGAAGCCAGCCCACCGGCAGAGCAAGTGCAGCATCCCTAGAAGGGTTTCCTAGAGGGAGAAATGGAAGCATGTGGCACAGGAGTGGAAAGTCGCCCGTTTGTTTCTTTCCCTTCTTTCCCATCAGATTCATTTCCTCTCAACTCCTCTGTAAGAACAATAGTACTTGACTCACAAGCCCAGGTCCCATTAGCTTCTGAGGTCACGTTTTCTTTGAAAACATTATCTTATTTATTAATACTTTTAATAGAGAAGCACTACATAAACAGTCTACCCAATAAAATAATCAAAAATACATCATAGAATTTAATGATTTCTGTCCCCGCCATCTCCTTCATTTTCCGCCCCCTAAGGTTACACCTTCCACACTTTTTTGTTTATGAAAATGTGCATATACCTATATGAGGAGGAGGATGATTGCTACTTATTTTTATAAAAATAGAACCATATTTATTTTTCCGTAGCCTGCTTTTCTTAACAAGACATCGTGGAATTCTCTCTGGGTTAATAGATATTGATCATTTTGTTTTTCAATAGCTGCATAATATTTCCTATTAAAGATATACCATAATTTGAACTATTTCTCTATCAATATACATCCAAAAATAAACAAAAATAGCAATAAGCATTCTTAACATAAATATTTATGTGCTGGCAATTTTATTTTTATAGGATGAATTTTCAGAATTGGATTATTGGGCTTGCATATTTTTCAATTTAGTAGACATTTCTAGTTTATTTTTCCAAAAGGTTGTAGCAATTCAAGCCTTCCCAGAATATAGGACAGTGAAAATCTCCTCCAGGTTTACCAATTCTGGGTTTTCTTCTTTTTATTTCCCCCCCCATGTGATAGGCAAAAATGATGTCTTTAAACTTACTTTATGCTTTCTTGATTACAAGTGAGGTTGCTCATCTTTTCATGGACTTTTTTATTTCTTCTGCTGTGAATTCTCTTATCCTTTGCCTATTTTTGACTGGGTTGAAGTTGTCTTTTCTTACAAATTAAAAGAGCTCTGTACATTAGGAAGATTAACCTTATATCTATCATATCTGTGACAAAAATTTTCCCCAGGACATCACTGGTATTTTGACTTTGTCTACTTAATCTTTTAACAATAACAAAATGTAATCAAATATCATATGTTGGTGTTTTCCTTTATGGCTTCTGGATCTCTTATCTTACATGGGAAAGTCTTCCTACTTCAACACTATGTATTATCCTAAATTTTGTTCTAATGTATAATTTTTTCACTAACTCTTTAATTTATTGGGAATCTTTTTTTGTGTATGGTGAGAGTTAAGAATTTCTCTATGTTTTCTCCTAGATAGCCAAGTATGTCAGCAGCATTAATAAAATAAACACTCCTTTTCTCATTAACATGTTCCCTTTGTCATATATTAAGTTTTTACATGCACTTGGATTTATTTTCTGAACTCTTAATTCTATTTTACCAGTCTGAGCCAATGTCATTATATTTTTATTGTAATGGCTTTATCAAACATCTGATATTGGATAAGGCAAATCTACCCTCATGATCCTTTGTTCTTTTTTTTTTAAACTAGTCTCAGATATTTATGTTCTCATTAGAAATTTAAACTTATTTTATGCAGCTGATAAAAATTGGGATTCTGTTTGACATTGCATTAATTTTGGAAGGATTGCTATAGTAAAGATAAATAATTTCTATTGAGAAAATGGTATATCTTTTTCATTTGTTCAGAATTTTTTTTCACATCTGTCAATGAGATTTCATAGTCTTCTTTATCATTGACCCTGTACCTTTCTTGCTAAATTGATTCATGGATCGTTTCATTTGTATTGATATTGTGACTGGGTTGTTTATCAAGTTGACTTCTAATGCCTAACTTATAATGGCTTGAGCTCTTCCCCACATGGTGTCACGACTCCAACCCTTCTCAAAGTGTTGCCAAGTCACTCACAGAAACGCACCTTTGTGCTTCCTGTCTGTTCTTGGATTTATTGACAGGCAGGTGCTCTCCAGCTCTGACTTTCTCTTGCTGCTCTCTGCAACTTGGGAAGCCTCGCTGTTGCCACGGCAGAGGCACCATCATAAGCATGATAACACCATTGCCAGACCTCCATCTCCAGCGACTTCTAAAGCTGTACATTTTCAGGGGGCCCAAGTGGTTCTGGGTCCCATGAGAGGCAGGGAGAATGGCCTTTTCCCTAATTCCATACCACATCTCATCCCCTAGTTCAAATGACTCTGCTTGTTCTCAGAATCTTCCAAAGTTGTGCTTGCACAGTTCCATCAGCTCTTGTTCCTGCTCCTCCTCAGAGCCTCTCCAAACCTTCCTGGCTGTGGATACAGAAGCCAGAACAGCTTTTTCTTTCCTCTTAGCTCAAATCCATCCCCACAACCCCTAAATTAAAGTAACGTAGTTTCTCCAAAGTGTAACTTTCCCTGTCTCAAGAGTTAAAATCTGTGTTTTTAACTCCTGAAAGCCTCAGGATCACTAAAGAGCTCCATTAGAGCAGAAAGTTATTTTGCTTATTTAGATAAAAACCAAAAATCTGATTGAGTTTTCTCAGATCAGAGAAAGAACTGTTTTGGAGGGTTAATCTCTACCTATTACAACACTAAAAACAGCTGGAATCTTTAGAAATATAGGTTTTCTCTACCTCTATCTTCTTCAGCAAGGTTTCAAAATTCACAGGTCCAAATTTTCCCAGGAGCTCAGATCCAGGGTGCTGTGGGCTTCTGCTCCCTCCAGCAGTCTCTGCTGGAAGGAAGTTTCTCTCCAGCTATGACAGGGACTCCAGCAACTAGGTGGTAGAGGGAGGGCCACTTACTTCCATGTCTGTCTAGGAACCACTGAGCCTTTTTCATTACACATGATACTAATGCAATTTCTTGAGGCTCTCATATACATTATTGGATTCAGTCCTCAACACAATCCTATAAAATAGAATTAATTTTTCCCCATTTTACTGCTGAAGAAACTGAGGTTGAGAAAGGTGAAGTAAATTGTAGAGCTAACAGTGACAGTGATCTAATTAAAACCTAGGTTGTACTCCATAGTCTGAGCTCTTACCTGTGGAAATGTATCTGGGGGGACAGGGAGGATCCTAGCACAAACTTCATCTGAGTGCCAGTCCAACCACTTCCCCCTGGAGTCTTGACCCAAAGGGCTTGAACAATTCCTTGTGGTAAAGCTCAGGGCCTTCCATTTCCCCTTTTTATCGGATGCATCAACTGACTTCTAAGTCTTTGTTATATGGTATTATTATCAGGCCCTTTGTTATGTAGTTTAATTGTTTCTGTGTTACTGTTTAATACATGGAAGCTCAGAGATTTTACAAAATAAAGGAGGCAGGGTATTGAGGTACAGATTATACAATTTTTGTTAGCAATGAAAGTTTAGAGTTGGTAAACAATCAGCTATCTCAGTAAATTATCCTTGATCATTTCATTCGTTGTAGTTTGTAGTTTGACTTACATTTAATGTGTAAATGTTTTCTTGTCAATTTCTTTGGTTTATATGTACAATTTACAAATTGATTTTAATTTCTAGTTTTATAAGAGCTATAAGCTTAAAAATTTATACCCAGTGTTAACTTTGTTCATATGTATGTAACACTATAATAAAAACAATCTACATCAACATTGCAGATTCCCTGAAAATATTTCCCTTTGTAAGGACATTATTTAGAGAAATACTGATATACAGCTTCCCTCTGGATCCTCCCTACAGCTCTGTGAGGCATATTTTCTCATTTCAGTTTATAGACCAAGAAATGTGGGCTCAAGCAGGTATGTGGACAGCCCATTAGAGCAGATGTAGACAGTGACAAGGCCAGAAACAAATCAAGGTCTGAATCAAAATCTAAGGCTGTTTCCCAGAAACAACTTCTTTTTAGCAATGAGACACTATTTCACACTTTCAGCAGAAATGTTATTTATTATGTCTCTTCTTAGGGCAATGATGTTCAAACTTCAGGATTTAAAAAATAATTCCTCTGAAAAATCTAGTTTAGCAAGGCTGACAAAACAGGCAGCATCTAAATTAAATTTACTGTAAAGGTTAAAAAAATGTGTAAGTTATTTGAGTGATATGGTGCCCTCATGTGCTTTGCAGATGAAACTTAGGAGATAGCAGGGTTGGGGGAAGCAGACAGGAGGATGTGAAGGAGGAGGGCAGGACAGGGTGAGGCAAGAGTTAGAATTAGAGTCCAAGTATTCTCATCAGGGAAAGAGAGAGAAGGAGAAGGAGAGGAAGAGGAGGAGAAGGAGGGAGAGTGGACAGGGGAGGGGAGAGGGAGTGGGAGAAGGAGGAAGAAGAGGAAGAAAAAGAAGTAGAACTAGTAGCAGTAGTAGCTGGACTAGATCAGGTTGACAAGCCTGGAAGTATGAGAGCTAGTTTCACTATTTTAAAAAGTCCATCGTAAGGATCTGTGGGGTAGTTAAAACATCAGGCTTCTTTGTTTTGGCTGTAATTATACTAACTCAGTGGGGGTATCACTGGTTGCTCATGCTAAGTAGAAATTCAGATGAAAAGGGCTGGGCACAGTGGCTCACGCCTGTAATTCCCAGCACTTTGGGAGGCCGAGGCGGGTGGATCACGTGGTCAGGAGATCGAGACCATCCTGGTTAACACGGTGAAACCCTGTCTCTACGAAAAATACAAAAAATTAGCCGGGCGTGGTGGCGGGCGCCTGTAGTCCCAGCTACTCGGGAGGCTGAGGCAGGAGAATGGCATGAACCCGGGAGGCGGAGCTTGCAGTGAGCCAAGATCATGCCGCTGCACTCCGGCCTGGGTGACAGAGCGAGATTCCGTCTCAGAAAAAGAAAAAGAGAAATTCAGATGAAAAGTTCTAAATGATTTAGATTAATAAAGTTAGAAAAATAAACGTCCTATCCACAAAATCTCATTTGTTGAATAAATAAAATCTTCAAAAACACGTATTCATTCAATCAGTAATTACTGTGCATCAGCTACGTGCTGCACGTACACAAAGATGAGTAATATATCGTCCCTCCTCAAAGGCAGGTGTTGCATGCGCATTGGGGTGGGGATTGATGACAGACATATGCCAGCATTTATAATTCAATGTGAAAATGCAATGAAGGCATAATGTATAGAGGATTAAGGGACTGGGAAGATCTAAGGAAAGAGGTTCCTGACTTGGCCTTGGAGGTGAGAGTCACAGAAGACTTTCTCCAGGAGTTAGGAAATGAGCTAAATTATACAAAATGTGTCAGCAGGGAGGAGAGGGAATTCTGGCCCAAGGGAACTATGCCAGCAAAGGCCTGGAGGTGAGAAACAGCTTGGTGGTTGGCAGAGAATTCTGTAAGCAGTTCAGTGTTGCATGTGTATAAACCGTAAAGCAAAAAGATTAAGAAGTCAATAAGGAGCCAGATATTGGAAGTCACTTGTATAGAGTGACCATAAAATGTATCATCCAAACTGGGATGCTTTTGAGAATTAAAAGAGGACACTTTATATCATAACCACAGGTTCAGACATGTAAACCTGGACATATGGCCACCCTATTTATAGGTCATGTCACACAGCTTAGACTTTGTCATTGAGTGACGGGGAATCATTGAGAACTTTTCAGCAAAAAAATGACATAATGAGATTTGAGTTTTAAAAGATTATTTTAAATAATAGATCCATGTATATTGGATTTTAAAAAAAGGAGTTAGATACAGGGAAAGCTCTATCTTCTTGATGCATTTATTCAAGAAATCTTGTTTGAGAGCTGCGATGTGTTGGCACTCTACAGGGGCCTCTAACACGAACAAAACCAGAACTGATTCCCGCCTTCAAGAGTTTATAGTGTGATGGAAAAGACTGTGAACAATTAAATAACACACAAATAATTATAGAATTGCAAATGTGGCAATGCTATGGAAGAGTGGTAACTGGTGCTATAAGAACATATGATGGGGGATAAAGAGGGCAGAAGTGACTGAAGACAGAAGGAACGAATATTCTGGAAAGAGAAAGAAGGTATGCAAAGATCCTGTGACAAAAGGTATGCAAGGCCTGACAACACAGAAATAAATGGGAGTAATTTGTGGGCAGCAAAAATTTCTTTATATAGTAACAGATCAGATGCTGTGTGCTAATGTGGTCCTCCACAAGAAGAATAGTATAGTATGCAGTGAGCCTCACGCTGAGCCCCTCTGACCTAACGTGTTCCTCACTGACTGGCTAAATTAACAACACAACCTCTTTGCCTCCTAGGTGGAATTAGGAAGCAAGTGGATAGCAATGTCTATCCTCCTCTGGGTTTATCTTGTATATACACTTCACACGGTTTTTTGCTGAGCCAGTAGTAAACTGATGTTTAACCACCATCAACAAAAAAAACACAAGACTGATTCATCACCTATTTCAGTCTTCAAACCCAGATCTGCCTTTATTGAGCAGGCTGGCACAGGAGAGAGCACAGCCAGCTGGAGGGACTGGAAGGTCACTGTGGCTGTGATGGGCAAAGCAGTGGGGTTTGAGAGGGAGTGTGAAGCAAGACCAGTCCAGATATACACACAGGGGCCACAGCATAGCTTTGCATGCTATGTTAAGCAATTGTGTTTACATCTGAAGAACAATGGGAAGCCAATGATGACCTTTTGGATCTTCAGTCAAAACGACTGCTCTAGAAAGAAGAGCTAAGTGATGGGTAAGAGTGGATGCTGCCATACCAGTAAAGAGGGTATTGCAGAGGTCCAAGCCAGAAATGATGGTAGCTTTGCTTAGGGTGATGAAATAGAGACATTTGGTACTCACCAAATATCCAGTTGTTCCTATGCATTTCCCAGCGTCCCTTGGAATTAAACTGGTTCATGTGAGTAGTTCTAGCCAGTGGCATAGGAGCAGTATTGATGTGTGTCACTTCTGGGTAGAGACAATAGGTGAGTTGGCTCTGTCTCTCTCTTCCCTTGCTGTAGTGACACTGGGGATCCTGACTCCCAGAGGGCAGAACTCCAAGATGGAGGAGGGATGCTTGATGTGTATTGAGTTGTGATGAAAGATAAATAAATTTTTGTTAAGACTGTGAGATTTGGGGCTTACTTGTTACGAAAGCATAAAATAGCCCTTTTTGGGTAATATAGGTTGTAGATGGTGGAGATAGACAGAAGTGGGTGGATTTGACTGAGAGATGTTTTTGAAGCAATTCAACAGTCCTTGGATATAAATTTGAGATGGAGTTGTGAGGAAAAGGGAGGTGTGAAGGACTCCTCAGTTTCTGGGTGCATGTTTAAGAGGACGGCGGCATCAGTCACTGAGATGGAGGACAATCAAGTTTCTAAAGATAGAACAGATGGGCTCACATATCTCCAGAAGGAACATGGAACAGTGAGAAGTGGGTTTTGACCCCAAGTAAAAAAAAATGGGTAGGTTTTCAGTAAATACTTATGACTAATATCTGCTGCTATCTAGCTGTGATTTTAGATAATTTGCTTCATTTAACTGGATCTTTGTTGGTTAAATGAATACAAAGAGATAAGAACCTATGTCTACATCAGGGCTTATTTAATTCTGAAGCTCAAATTATGTTAACTCAGTAACATCTGGCCACAAAGCTAGGACTGTTTGTTGGTACTAGACAACCCCAAGAGTATGACTACTGATGCACAACCTATTGTCGTGAATTCTTAGAAGTAAATGAAAAGGGGAATTTTGTTGAATGAAGATAAAACAAGTTGTATTCTTAACCAAGATTTCTCCCAATTTGAGAACTGTATTAGTTATCAGTTGCTGCATAAAAAATTACTCCAAAATTTAGTAACTTAAAACAACAAACATTTATTATTTCAGTTTCTATGGGATAGGAATCCAGCTGTGGCTTAGCTGGATGCCTCTGTCTCAACGTCTCTCATGTGGTTGCTGTTAAGCTCTTGTCTGGGGCTATGATCTCAACTGGAGAAGCATTTGCTTCAAAGTTTACTCATCTGGTTGTTGGCAGCCTCAGGAGATTTGCTTCCAAGTTCACGTACGTGGACCTTTCCATAGGGCTGCCTCAGCATGGTAGCTGGCTTTCCCCAGAGTGAGCAAAGAAAGTAGGAGCACTTAAGACAGAAGTCACAGCATCTGTATAAACCCATCTTGGAAGTCACTATTTTGCCATAATCTTATTTACTTCTTCTGTATTTTCTTTATTAGAAGTGAGTCAGTAAATCCAAGAGGAGGGGATCATACAAAAGCTTGAATATCAGGAGGTGATATTAAGAAGCTACCTACCATTCTGGTGACTTGGTTTATACAGGGGAAAGGATTTATGGTTCTATTTGGACAGAGAGAAGTGCTGTTGTTTTCCTTTCATCAACCACCTATAAGCCAACAAAATCATGGCATTTGCTGCCACTGGGATGAATTATGTAAATTCTTGGCTCATTGACATTTTGTTTACTTTCTCTTGGGCTAAGCTCTCCAGAGACTGGATGAATAGAATTTCCCTACCAAAACACAGGGGTTCACATGCCACAATTTACCATGTTTCTAGAGCGCTTTCTTTGATGTTGCCAGATCTGTGGTACCTTAAGTCTTATCCTGGGGCTTGGCCTCTCATGGTTCTGTGGAATCCCAGGCTTTTGCTCCTGGTTAAAGAATGGGGTAGGTCAGAAGCCTTCCCTTTTAATTAACTAATTTTTGGGCTGACCCAGGGACATTTGTCCCTTCCCTCCTCCCTCCCTCCCTCCCTCCCTCTCTTCCTTCCTTCCTTTCTTCCTTCCTTCCCTCCTTCTCTCCTTCTTTCCTTCTTCCTTTCTCTCTCCCTCTCTTTCTTTCTTTTTATTTTTTAAAAATCTGCTACAACCCATCTTTGGCTCTTTTTTGTGATATAATACAGTAAGTGATTATAAGCATTTGGATTCTAAAACGTAATAACCTAGAGAAGAGTCTCAGTTCTGCCGCTTAGCTGTGTAATCTTAGCTGAAGCTTTCTGCAACATAGTTTTCTGATTTACAAAATGAGAAAACCACCAATGCTTACCACATAGGATCATTATGAAGAGCCAGTTAAAGCATGAAAAGCACTTACAGCACTTGATAAACAAAAGGTACTCAAAAATGTTCAGCATTATTAGTGTTCTAACTCTTCATGTCCCAAAGGTGCTTGCTGTGTCTGAAATGCCATATATCACTGCAGACAAAGCTATGAGAGGATAGAGCAAAGGCAATGATTCTTCCTTCTTTATTACATCCTGTTTGCCACCATAACCCACACACTTTGCCATTTTTTTCCCTGCCCCTTTCTACTCCTTCTCCTTTTTCTTCTTTCTTTTTTTCCCCCTACTTGTGATTTTCTTTGATTGTATGGCATAGAATTAGGATTTGAATATTTCTTCATGTTGGATATATGAAAGGATATGAGAAGGATGTATGTGTGTGCGTAACGTGTGAAGAGATAAATTGCCCTTTTCTTCCATCTCTGCCTGATAAAATCCTCTCTTTTAAGTCCCATTTTAAATAGCAACATTTCTAAATAAAAAAAAAAAAATCATCTAAACCCTCAACATGTGACCAGCAACCTCTCCCTTTCTACCAACAAACTAATTGTATTTTCCTTGAGGCGTTTGACACACTACCTTCAAGTTTTAGAGCCAGTGGAAAGCAGTTATTGTTTTCAGTATAGCAAAAGACCCGCACACTCTGATTTCTCAAATCACATACCAATCCTATTTAGAAAAAGAAGCCCTTGGCCGGGCATGGTGGCCCACTCCTGTAATTCCAGCACTTTGGGAGGCCGAGGCCAGCAGATCACCTGAGGTCAGGAGTTTGAGACCAGCCTGGCCAACAAGGAGAAACCCTGTCTCCACTAAAAATACAAAAATTAGCCATGCGTGGTAATTTTTGTAATTAACAGGCATGGGCCCTTGTAATCCCAGCTACTAGGGAGGCTGAGGCAGGGAGAATTGCTTGAACCCAGGAGGCAGAGGTTGCAGTGAGTCTAGATCATGCCATTGCACTCTAGCCTGGGCAACAGAGTGAGCCTCTGTCTCAAAAAAAAACAAAAAACAAAAGAAAGAAAGAAAGAAAAGAAGCTCTCATTGTAAAACTTGCTTTCCCAATAAATTAGTAATTCTTCAGCCACCTTGATGAGCCAGAGGGAAAATCCCCTAAATGTCACTACTCGGATGAGGAATGTGATCCCCTGGGGGCTGTGTGGTAGGGCCTCAAATCGAGGCCAGGGTACATTTCCTGCTCAAGGCCCAGCCTCCTGAAATTCCTGAACACATCTATTTCCAAAATTAGAGAGGACACCTCACAGAACAGCTTGGCAGCTTGTAAAGAAAGGGATGAATGCTTCCCAAGGAGGAATTTCTGGGACACCAAGCAACAGAATAGAAGAAAATAGGACAAACAGAATAGTCCAATCAAACTGAAAGTTCAGTTCCCTCTAGCCTGAAGGCACCTTATATAAAAAATGTTATTTATAAAAACATGTGAAACAAGCAGTAAATAAAATCAATGACTTTGACATATTGAAGAGAGTCTAACCCTCACCACAAGGATTTTACAAACATGATTAGTAAATTTACCATAATTTTTAAACCATAAAATTTAATGTTCCTTCTACTTCAGGTTTCTACCAAGCTCTGCGGTAGTGGACACTATGGTGTCACCAAGCTTCCTTCTTCAGGATGGCACTGTCCCCTCAGCTGTCAGGAGTGCTGCCTGCTGACTAGTCACAGCTGAGTGAGGAATTACCCTTAATACAATGGAGATGCCTCACCTGGATGCATAAAGTTATGCACTTTCCCTGTGGGCAGCTTGCACCCAATGGCCAGTTGACGTTGGGGGAGGGGGGTACAAAGGACTGCCAGCTGGGCTCAATTCAGTCATTCTAAAGGGTCATCCCTGCTCTAAAGCACCCTGAGGGTAGAGCTGAAGCTTTTGCTGCAACTGAATTGCAGTTCAACTTCTCCCTCTACCTGTTCCTGCTGCACTTCCTCCCTCAAAGGCACTGTTAAAGCTCCTGCATGCAAATCTCTGCCTCACAGTCTGTTTCCCAGGGAACCCAATCCAAATCCCGCCATTTTATCTGATATAATAGTTAATAAAGAAATTTACAATGTCTCCCAAACCTGTGCTGACATCTTTCATTCATTATTTCTTTTAATCTGCATGACAACCCCATAAGTAGTATTTTTGTTCCCATTTTATAGTTGAGGAAATTGAGACTCAGAAAAGTTAAATAATTGCTCAGTGTGGCCTAGCTACTAAGCAGTAGAATCACACCTCAAACCTAAGTGAGGATTACATGAGATCACATCTTCAAATGTGATGGTGCCTGGCGCAAGGTTAAGTGTTTAGTAAACGGTAACAGCCTTATTATTATCAGGCAGGTCTAACCAGAGATTTTCACAATCTGGGCCATTTATCAAGAGTTAGAACATATAAACACATTTCAATAGACCAACCCACATAACATATAAATCCAAATCCCAGAGGTTATCTTAGAATGTTATGAGAAATGAGTAGGCAATGGCCAAAAGAGATGATTACATTATGAGTGACAATAAAGCCAGCTGTTTATCTTGTCACAGAGGCATGTAGGTTGCTTAGGCAATAAACAGATTGATGCTGGAGATGTAATATCTTGAAAAGCAGCTAGGCTTTAAAATACAAGCTGATTCACTGAGTAACATTCTCCCTAGACCCTCACACAGAGTTTTGCATTGAGTATTGCTTCAATCAATGTTTGTTAAGTGCTTGCATCTGGTTGCTGGCAAAATTCACTTGCCCAGTTCAGAAGCAAATAATAAATATTTCTGTTAATTATAATGAATATTGTATAAGCATCAATATTGTGCTCAGTGCTTTATTTATTTCATGCAGAATTGAGGACTATACTATATTCAGAAGCTCAATTTGAGCCTTTCTTATTGAATTTTAACAAAATAATGAGTCCATATTTAAATTGATGCTGCTGATGTGAGAAGACTATATTTCATACCGGATTTAGTGAAGTGACTAATGGATTCCCCATAGCTGGGAGTCTACCCTCTCATCATCTTGACGGATATAGTCATATACACTTGAAACAACTACCAGTGCCTAGGTGGCAGGTCCAGAGCAAGGCTGCCTGACAGGTTTCTCAATGTGACTAGGTGAAACCAGTTTAATTTCCTCTGGTTCTGTTGATGTCTTCTGGACATCAACAGAGTTAGTCCAGGCAAATCAAGCTGCTTACTGAGTTCCTTACCTTAGTGCCGATCACCTTCTTCTCTTGGGAGGGAGAGAACCAAGAAGAAGCTATGATCCCAAGTGCTCCAACAGCTTGGGTAATTTGTCTGGGAAACAACTAGAAAATATTGGATTGTCATGAGTACATTTTGTGACAGAGATGATAAGAGTTTATAGTAATTCAGAGACGAGAGAGGATAATTTGGGATAGGGGCATCTGGAGGAGGTTCTTGTGATGCCTCCATCACCTCAAGGATTTACTTACTTTTTTCCACAAGGTTTGATGAAGCACTTTCTATTTCCCAGAACCTGTGCTCATTAAAGAGGAGTCTGACAATAAACATAGTCTCTGCTTATAGTGGCTCACAGTTTAGGGCAGAAAGATAGATGAAAAGGAAATTACAACTGTAGTAATGTGGTTAAATGGTAAAATAGAGGTATGAACAAGATGCCCAGAAAGCGCAGAAGAGGAAGCACTTCGCTCGGCCTCCAGGGGCCAGGAAGATTTCTAGTAAAAGGTGATACCTGAGCAGAGGCTCAAAAACTGAGTAGGCATTCAACAGATCAACAAAATAGAAAGGGCATTCTAGGTAGAACAAATAGCATGTACCATGTAATGCAAGTTTTTTAAAAAAGGAGAGAATATTGGGCAAACTACAGGGAATTTAGTGCTGTCTGTGTAGGTGGTATGGGGCATTGCATAGAGGAGGGTTTCTTAGTTTTGAAACTATTGCCATTTGGGGCTAGACATTTTTGTGAGGATGAGGGCTATCCTGTGTGTGGTAGGATGTTTAGCGGCATCCCAGACCTCCACCCACTAGATGCCAGTAGTATCCTTCCCCTTCCTACCCCTATATTTGTGACAACCAAAAATGTCTCCAAACTGAGGGACAAATTGCCCACAGTTGAGAACCACTGGAATAGAGCAGGATGAGATGGAAAGGGGGACGTCAGATACACCATGGGGGAATAGGTGCACCATGCTAAAGAGTTTAGACTTGTATTGATTCATCCAACTATTCATTCACTCAACAAATATTGAGTGTTAAATATATACCAGCCAGTGTTGTGGGTGCCTAGGATATAGCAGTGAACAAAACAGACAGATCTCTGGCTTTCTATGGCTTATTTTCTACTGATAAGCAATAAACAATAAACCCAATATATTAGTAGATAAAATTGTATATTTTAAGATGATAAGGCTATGGGAAAAATGGAGATAGGTTTATCATGGGAGACAGGTAGCAATTCTCAATATGGTAATCACTATTGGGGGAATAGTATATTTTATTTCACTAAATAAAAGGACTTTCTAGTATATGTAATCTACAGGCAAGTAATTACAGATTCACATATTATTAGAAAATCCAGTCTTTTCTATTTAATATGGATTGGGCTACTCACCCCTGTTACGGTTCATGAGGAGAGAACAAATTTCAAATGGCTCATTCATTAATTCATTAGTTCAACTTTTAAGAAGAAGCCGCAACCACTGTGCTACACACTGGAGATGGATAAAAGATAAATGTCATACAATTTCTGCCTACAAGACTCTCACAGGAGTGCTCTCATGTAAACTATGATTACAGTAATATATGACTGAGGTATAATGGATGTGTATAGAAATGCTCAGAGAACCCAGAGAAACGGTGGACATGCCTAGGGATAAGGAGAAGGCTTCACAGAGGAGCTGTCATTTGAAATGAGGCTGGAAGGATGAGGAAAAGTTTGCCTGGAAAAGAAATATCAAAAGAGGATTCCAGGCCAAAGTGTGTAGACATGAGAAATTATAGCCATAGGTATAAAAACTCTGAGATCAGTTTAAATCTGATCTTTCTTTAGTCTCATGATATCTGAGTTGTTTTCTTTATCCTTCCTGGTTCCCAGATCTGCAATTTCTTGGGTCTAGTTGCATCAGTTTCTTACCTGTAAAATGAAGGGTTGGATGAGATGATCTCTAAAGTTCCTTTCAGCTGGAATATTCTATGATCCTATGATCCCATGATTTTATTCTTGTTCCCACTTTTTCAGAGGTTAATTCCTACTGTTTCCAAATCATTCTTTGTCTCCTTTTGTACTTTCTTTTTTCATTTATCTTAGACAAATTCTCTCATTCACTGTCCTTACCACATCAAAACAACATCAAACTGTTTTTTGCCTATTGTTTTCTTTTCATATTGCCTGTCTCTAAGAGATTATTTGCCCAATGCATATTTATGTTTAGGGCATTAATATTTAGGTGAATACTTTCCAAAGGCCAAAAGGGAGTAAGAGTAAGTACACCTCTGCTAGGGATTTTTGGCAGAGCCGAATTATCAACTAATTGAATATTTATTTAGCCTTTCCCATGAGCCAGCAGTATGCGTGGCACAGAAAAGTTTATAGGTAAGGGCAAAAAAGAATACCTTCCATTAAGGCGTCATAGCCCTGTAGGGGAGGAAGGTAAATACATGATAAATATAATGCAAAAAGAATCAATTATAACTAATTTAATGCAAAAGATAACTTGGAGTATAAGATGCAAAGAAATGTGCATAAAGTAAATTATTTGAATTGTGCAGTAAAAGCATAATCAATTTTTATTAGATAACTGACAATCATGGGTTCTTTGATAGGTGAAAGACAGAGGTACAGTTCTCTCAAACTTCTCTGCTCAAAGAAATGAAAAGGAAAACAAAACAAAACAAAATGCTAGGAGTAGAAACTACCTGACCTTTTAAAAAAGGTTCTGGAAAGAGGATGAATGTAAGAACAATAGTGACAATACCCTGTTACATGCCTATCATAAGATTTAACCAAGCATTTTCACATAGTCTGTTCTATACCTCAGTCAATGACATCACTACCTCCAAGTTACAGGCTGCTGGATTCTATGAAGGATTATCTCTTGAACTAGCTCTTATTTTCCATTTCTAGTGCCTTAAGTTTACATGTTCTCTACTTCCTAGATTTTTGCAAAAGCTGGTCTGGTCTGCCTGCTTCTGCTCCATCAACCACTCTGCTTCAAAGAGAGCTTTCTGGACTGCCTATCTGACTTCAGTACTTTGCTACTGAGGAATAATTTGGCCTCTCAATGCCTGAAGAAGAAAAGTTGAAACTCTTTAGCATGACAACCAAGACACTCTATAGTTTGACTTTCACCTGCGCACTGGTCTTGAAACTCCTTCGTTTGCCTGTGTTTAAATCATGATTTATGCCATTTTCTCAGAATGATCTCTTCCCTTGTACCACTAAGTCTTTGTTAACTCAGTTCCCTTTTTTGGGATGGTCCCTCACCTTCATTTCTACTCGCCAGTCTTGCCCCCCTCATTGTAAGGAGCCAGGACTACTACACAGAACCCCAGAGTAGGGGCTGCTGGCTTCAGAGAATAACTGGAACCAGAAAGTAAAAAGTCAAGGGGGTTTTCTCTGTGTGAGCTTCTCAGGTCAGACTTTCTGGGTACAAAGCCCAGGCTTTTAACAAGAATGCTCTAATATCTTCACAAGTGTGTGAGAAATTCACTTAAATTGATGGGGTTCTGCTCTCGGTATAAAGAGGGACTTAGGCTCTGATAAACAAAGAACATTATTAAAAACTTTAATTGAAATCAACTAAAAGTTTTAGATTCCAAACAGTGCACATGAAACAAGTGGGTTGCGATGAAGCACTGAGTTATTCCGGGGAGCTGTGACACTCCTTAGAAGACTCAGGAACGGCTGGGTGCGGTGGCTCACGCCTGTAATCCCAGCGCTTTGGGAGGCCGAGGTGGGTGGATCACAAGGTCAGGAGATCGATACCATCCTGGCTAACACAGTGAAACCCCATCTTTACTAAAACTAGAAAAAATTAGCTGGGCGTGGTGGCAGGCGCCTGTAGTCCCAGCTACTCGGGAGGCTGAGGCAGGAGAATGGCGTGAACCCAGGAGGCAGAGCTTGCAGTGAGCGGAGATCAGGCCACTGCACTCCAGCCTGGGCGACAGAGCAAGACTCTATCTCAAAAAAAAAAAAAAAAAAAAAAAGGAGACTCAGGAGCACAACCTTAGTAGATAGTTCAGCAGGTTTCCAACTCCAAGAAGAAACTCAGGAGAGCTTTGCTAGGGGCTGCAATGTGATGCAATATAAGTAGTAGTTGAAGTTAAGGAAAAGCAGATTGGTATTTATATTTTTAATTCCTGTTCTATAGTATATTTCTTGTTGATTCCAGCATGTATAATATGTTATTAAATATTTATGCTGTAATTCCAACACACTAAATTTTCTGCATTCATCGACAGGCAACAGAGTAGAATAGTTGAGAACATGGGCTCTGAGTTGGAATCTCAGCTCTGCCATTTACTAGCTGTATGACCTTGGGCAAGTAATTTAAACTCACTGTTCTTCAATGTTCTCATTTGTAAAATATAGATAATATTGGTTCCTAACTCATACAATTATTATGAGAGTTAAATGAACTATTCAAAGCACTTAGAATAGTGCTTAGGACAATATAAGCACTTTACAAATATTGGCTATTAATATTGCTATATACATTTAGATGTCACTTGATTTAATCCTCATAACAATATTCCAACATGGGAAGAAGATGATGATGACAATGATCATTATTGCCATTTTATAAATGGGAATATGGAGACTAATATTGTAAACTGACTTTTTCAGCTAGGACTTGAAGGAGCTGGGATATCAATCCACATCTTCCAAATCAAGGTCTAGAAATTTTATAATTGCATTTAACAGAAAAATTCCTGTTGTCTGTATCATAAGGTAGAGTCAACAAGGTTCCTAAAAAACAGCAAGTCCAGGCTTCCTCTGTCCAACCCAAGATCCCACTCTTCCCCGAGAGTAAGGTGAGGGACTTCAGTACCTAGCAGTAATTAACTCAAACCCAAACTCATGAAGAAACTATAAATCTTAAATGGCTGGATGTTGATCAACATTATCACTTTTTCTGAAACTTGGTTGGTTCTGAATGTGTTGGGTAGCATTTACAAAGAAAGAATATAATTTTTCTTTGAAGCATATAAATTAGTCTTGTTCAGTGCAGAGGTATAAGATTTGGAAAAATGAGGTTTTTTTTTCCTTTCCATGGAAATAGAAATCTGGTTTGTTGAATGAGTCATAAAATGATTGTAAACAAAGCAACATTCATTTAGTCATTCATCCATTCATCCAATATTTATTGATCACATATATGCCAGGCACTGTATGTAAGACACACTATCTATTCTTTAAGAATAGATTCTGCTTAAGGAACTGCTGAACCCAGAACAGAGTCATTCCATCTTGGAAATGTCCAAGCAAATGTAGTACTCACTCCCCTGTTAAAACCTGAAAGCAATGACAAAGCTCCTCTAGCTTACACTCAGCCAGTCTCTCACTGACCTGGGTCAGCCTGTCCTTCCAGGAAGGAAACAACCAATAGTGCTAACATGGTGGCAAAGACAATGATAGATTGCTCCTCTCATCCTTATCATTTCCCACAATCTCTGCCCATTTTTATCCCTTAGGCCACAAGTGGATGACATGGGTTACACATGTATTTCTCCCTTTCCCCAGTATGTAAATCAGTCTTTCTTCTATTGCTGATCAGAATCAATTAGCCTTGCCAGTATGAGGACTCTTCTCCTGCTGGTCCCTGGACACATGGAGTCCAAAAATATCCTGGTGATGAAGTCTGTATACAATGAGACCCTTGTTGTATCTGCTTGTAAGAGTGTGCTCACTTTGGGACCCAGGATCTTCAACCCTGCAGATCCCAAAGTTACAGGAATGGGGAAAATAAAATTTCCAAGTGGATTAAAGGGAATGATTATAGGTGAATCACTTTTGATTCCACTCCTTGATTCCCAGGTTTATGTCTCTTCCTACTAGGAATACAGCATCATGCAGAGATTTTAAACTTAATGCATAGACTGCATCCTGAAGGATAGTGCCCACTCTGGTACCACTTACTTTAGTCCATTTCTTCCTAGCACCAGACATCATGCCTGAATTAGCTACGAAAGACATTTGTTACAGAAAATCCTTGTGAGGGAAAATGAGGATAGACTGGAGGAGGCTGGGGGAGCCCTCAGACTATGATGCAGGTCTGATCTCTGTGAAGGATAAGGGACAGGCAGGAGGAAGTGGTCAGAAATTGTTGTCAGGGTTGACAGAAAGTTCTGCAGCTCTCAGGAATGGGTGTCTTAATATTCCTGATACAATTATTGGTACTGGTCGGGGTCAACCTGTGGAAAGTGTAGCCCATGGGAAGCATGGAGACTTGATGTGTACAGAGTGGTGGATGTGGCCACTGGGGGACTGGAGGACCCCAGTCAATTGTATATTCATAGTAGGATTGCTAAGAGGTGCATTTTATATTTTCATGATAAACACAACTCTGTTCTAAGCCCTGGGGACACAAGAGTGAGCAAGAAAGATATGGTATCTGCTTCAGGGAGCATACAGTCTAGTGGGGGACAGTTAAGCAGTCACAGCTTAGTGTAACAAGTGCCATGAAGTACAGAGGCAGTGGTTTCCAGCCCAGCGTTGGGTGAGGGGGAGTAGGGCTCAGGGAGAAATTCCTCAGGGGCCATCCTGTGTGGTAGTAAAGAGCCCAGACTTTGCATGGATTTCAATGCAAACCTCTCTACTCTCTAGTTCCGTGCCCTTGGGAAAGCTTATAACCTCTTTGTGCCCCAGTGTTCTCATCTACAATGTGGAAGAATGTAGTACCTACCTCATAGGCAGTTGTAGTGATAAAATCCCATAATATCTCTATAGACCACTTAGAAAGGCAGAGGCACACAGTGCCCAAGCACATTACTTGTTATAGTACAAAGTTTGATGGGACTGAGGGTAGCTCTGAGGCTGGAGATGTGAGCTGGCCAGTTCACAGACAGCCTGATCTGCCAAACTATCCTCTGTTCATTTTCCAGGAGTCAGGAAGCAGCAATGCAAGCCCAAAGGGAACTTGCCATCAGTGGCTTTATGATATCACAGGGATGGCACCTCCAACCTGCTATCAGCTGGCACTGTAGATAGAAAACCTGCTCTGGTCCTCAGGCTGGGAGTCTCTGCTCTTTCCAGGCATTATCAGTTCTTGTACCAAGTCCTTTTCATACAGGAAGTGTCCAAGCAAATGTAGCACACACTCCCCTGTTAAAACCTGAAAGTAATGACAAGGTTGTTCCAGCTTATGCTCAGCCAGTCTGTCACTGACCTGGGTCAGGCTGTCCTTCCCAGATGAAAGGATCAGGTGACCCTTACCTGCACAAGTGGACTCTGGGGCCTGTATTACTTTTATTTCTTTTTTCTTCTCTTGCTATTTGAAGTTTGCCTAGCCCACACCTGCCTGACAGCCTTGGGTTTCAAGACCAGATTTGTCGATATCCCCTAACAATCTGTGAGGTCTGAAAGGCTTGCAACATCATTTTTATTACTTTTAAAAACTTTCAGTAACCAATTTGCAAGAATTTTCTTTGTGGTAGCTTCTGATATTAGATGGCCCAGGAATCTATATGCCCCAGGGGCTTAAACCCCTCTGATGAAATACGTGTTATAAGATTTTTGTTTTCAGTCGAAGACCATTTTATAACAAGAGGCAGGTGAACAAAATATCATTTCACTTAGACTCTGACCTGAATTGTGATTGCCTAACTTTTTTTTTTCTTCAGTTTTCAACTTCACTCCACAGAGTTCAAGTTGCCAGAATTACCAAGGCCTCTTTCACTTCTTGGAGCTCTAATAGGAAGAGGGAGACATTACAGCTCAGGATACAGTGCATGTGCATTCCTGCGGCGGAATGAGGGGAAGGAGGGTAAGGGAACTTCTAGTTATTGAGCGTCTACAATGAACCAGTCACTCTGCCAGATAGTTTATATTTATTCTCTCAGTTAATCCTCATAACCTCTCTTTGAGTTGTGTATTCTGACCTTTGTTTCATGTAAGAGCAAATAGAGATTCAGGAAAAATAAATACCTTGACCATTATCCCACTGGTAGAAAGGGGCAGATTTGGTGTTTGAGCTCCAAATCGTCTCCATCCTCTTTCCCCTAGTCAACCCAATCGATTTTACTACTTTTGCCCAATGACCTCCATCCTACTACTTGTCATCCGGTATTAAAACTTGTTAGCTCCTCCTTTTATTAAAACCTTTTATCCTCATCCAATTGTCAGGTCCTGGCGTTTCTGTCTTCACTGCATTTCCCTTGTTTGCAACCTATCCTTGTTGACACCCTGCTGGCTCAGACTCTTCTCTTGAAATAACTACAATAATTGCTTATGTAATCCTCCTCTTTTCAGTCTCCATCTTTGTAATTCATACTGTAGAAGGATTTTCCTAAAATTGTGTTCTGAAATTACCACTCCCCTGCTCAAAATCTTCAGTACTCTTCCCTGACAATGGCAAACAATCCCAAATCCCTAGTTTGACATTTAAGAGCCTCTGCAGTGAGTCCCCAGCCCACCCCTTCTCTCTCATCTCTCATGATTCTTTTCAACATGAAACCTCCATTTCATGCAGACTGATCTACTTGCCACCTCCAGAGCATACCTGGAGCATTCCTGCCTCATGGCCTCTGTGCCATCCTCTCTCAGATACTCTTCTGTGTCCCCTCCTACCATAACTCACCCCCTAGTCACCAGTTGAAAATGTTCTTACATTTTTTGGAAGCCCCTCTGTACTTGTACGTCTGTACTGAGCAAAGACCACTGAAAATGTTGGCTGCCTTTTTCACAGGTAAGGCCATTTTCCCTGAGACTTGGTAAATGTTTGAAGATAAGAACATGAATTTCTCCCTAATTCCCTTCCTCCAACTGTGTCTATCATAAAAACCAGGTGCATTGTAGGTACTCAATCAAAATAAGCTAGTGACTTATAAAGAACCAAAAAGGAATACTTTCTAAGGCATCGTGGTCAAACATCTAACTAGCTAATGCTCAAGGCCAGAGTCAGTAGAAAATGACAGTCCTGTTCTGAATCCTGAATCCAGAGGAAGTGTCTCCCTGAATTGCCACAGTAGCTACTTAAGTAGTTACTCCCTCCAACCTCTGTTCATGAAACTCTCCCAGCACTACAGGGTATCTTCCAAATATGCAGCTCTGATGATCTTACTCTTTGCTTCTGATGCCCTTCTCATTCTGTTTGATGACTTTTCTTCTTTGCTTCTTTTCCTCCACCCTTCTTATGCCTTCTAAAAGGCTACTTTGGGGAGGACAAGATCTGGCCTAATCAAGCTTTTGGGCAGTCACATTCCAGGTCCTTTTAATCAGGACAGCTGTCCTGACATATCCCAAAGAATTAGTGTAGTTTCCAGAGAGTGTGGGTCAAACTCCAGCTTTATTGAGTAACGAGAGTTTGTTTCAGAGAAGACATAGAAGAGTGACAGTGACAGTAGAGTGCTGCTGAGTTTTGATTTTGTAAATGCTGGTTCCTTTTTTTTCCTGTTTTTGTTTTTGTTTTTACCTCTATCAACCTACAAAGATATGTGGCTTCATTTCCCACAAACTTTTCTCACAATGAGACAATGCATGGGGATATAGGGCAGGAAAGACATAGGCCAGCTACTGTGGGTTGCATTGAAATATTTGTTAATTTTGTTTTTTGGTTCCCAGACCTATTTATTTCTGCCTTCAGCTTTAGCTCTAGGCCTGGATTAATTTTCTTGATGAGGTGACTATTTATCATTAGAACAATTCATCACGTACTCTGAAAGGCCTGTGTAACTATACAAACGTGGGCAGGGCCCATCAATGTAAGAGTAACTGGAATTTGGACAGCATGCCTCAGACTCCAAAGCACTTTTATGTATATTGTTATAGCCAATCCTTGTATCAACTCTGTGAAGTAGGCCTTACCATATTTGGAAATTGAGGTAAGGAGTGGGGAAAAAGAACTCTACGTTATTCATAGGCTTATTATGTACCAGGCACTGTGAGGTGCTTTTATATATCATCTTACTAAATCCTCACAACTCCTCTAGGAAGTTAAGGATTAATATCTATATGTTAATTTAGATAACATGGTGCATGCATCCCTGGAGAGAGAGCCCTATAAACTCTTGTTTACACTGTCCCATGTAAAGCACCATACTAAGTGTTTTATGTGCATTCTCCCATTTATTCCTCATTAGCTTTCACACCATTCCCATGTAACTGATGGGATAAGAGCCACTGAGAAGTTTAATAACTTGTTGAAGGTTACACAGCTATTAAGTAACAGGGTTAGGATGTCTACTTAGGTTTGTGGACATCAAAGCCCAACTCTTTTCATTTCTCCACTAACGACTATGCTGAGGTCACCTACCTGGTGGGTAGAAAATTCAGGATTTCAACCCATGACCTCGGATTCCAACCTAGGCTCATTCTTCTCCACTGCACTGCTGCTTCCAACTCAAGAAAGACAACTGTGATACAGTTTCCTAAACACTGTGCTGATGTCTAGCTTGAGAAAGTAATGCAATTTTTATAGGTCCAAGGACAAATGAGAAAAATGAATTCATTCAATTTAAATAATTCCTCTTTATTCTGAGATTATGCTCTTTCAACTTTTGTAGGTGTTAAATGTACCTTATTTTGCAAAATAATGATATAAGGTGGAGGCTTTTTTGTCCTATTTTAAAATGAGACTCTTTTTTCACAAATAAAATGTTAGACAAGATGCCATAGACTCAAATTTCCCTGCTCTTCTCCTCTAAATACAACTAAGTACCCTGTAAATAGTTCAACATAGAGCCATAAAAGGTTTCTGAAAGTTGTTAGGAAAGTGAACCTGCTAGAGACCTCAGGACCTGAAGAAAGACACCATGGTGAGTTCTCTGGTCTCTTAGTCTATTTTCTCTCTTCTGCTGCTATAACAGAATACCACAGACTGAGTAATCTACAAGGAATATAAATTTATTTGGTTCGCAGTTTTGGAGACAGGGAAGTCCGAGAGCATTGTACTGACATCTGGCAAGGGTCGTCCCCAAATGGAAGGCAAAAGAGCGGGAGAGCACATATGAAATAGAAAGCATAAGGGGCCAGGCTTGCTTTTATAACTATTCACTCTTCTGATAACAGACCCACTCCCATATTAACTACATTAACCCATTCATGAGGGCTCCACCCTCATGACCCAATCATCTCTTATTGGAGACTATCTCCCAATGCTGTTACATTGGGGATTAAGTTTGCAACATGTTAATTTTCAGGGGCACATTCAAACCATAGCACTTTGCCTCAGGCACCCAAAATTTACGTCCTCACAATGCAATATGCATTCATTTCATCCCCAAAGTCCCCAAAGCCTTAACTCATTCCAACACCAACTCAAAAGTTCAAAGTCCAGAGTCTCATCTAAATCAGATATGGGTGAGACTTTGGGCATGACCCATCTTAAGGCAAATTCCTTCCAGCTGTGAGCCTGTGAAATCAAAACAAGTTATCTCATTCCAAAATAAAATAATGAGAAAGGCACAGGACAGACATTCTCACTCCAAATGGGAGAAAGAGCCAAGAAGAAAGGGAGAACTCGTGCTCAGTAAGTCTAAAACCCAACAGGAAAACAATATTAAGCCTTAAAGCTGGAGAATAATCTCCTTTGATTCTATGTCCCACAACCTGAGCACACTGATATGGGGGTTTGACCATCAGGGCCTTGGACATCCCAAACCTCATGGCTTTGCTGGGCTCAGTCCACATTTCAGCCCTCTCAGGTTGGCATTGCACAATCACAGCTCTATAGTTCTGGGGTCTTCTTCTGTACTCACCAGAATTGCCCTCAGTGCTCTGTTCATGGCAATATAGTCTTTTTCTAGCCTCCTTCTTCAAATTCTTCCAACCTCTACCCATTATCCATTACCCAGTTCCAAAGTTGCTTCCACATTTTCAGATATTGTTATAGCAACAAATCCACTTTAAGTACCAATTTTATGTCTTAGTCTATTTTCTGCTGCTATAACAGAATACCACAGACTGGGTAATTTATACAGAATAGAAGTTTATTTGGCTCACAGTTCTGGAGGTTGGGAAGTTCAAGAGCATGGTGCTGGAATCCGGTGAGGGGATTCTTTCTTTATCCTCCCATAATAGAAGTCAGAAAGGCAAGAGAAGAAGTATAAGAAAGCATGAGGGGCTGGGTTTGTTTTTATAACAACTCACTGTCATGATAACTGACCCACTCCCACATTAACTACATTAAATTGTCCATAAGAGCTCTGCCCTCATGACCCAATTACCTCTTATCAGGCCCCACCTCCCAACACTGTTGCACTGGAGATTAAATTTCCAACATGAAAATTTTGGGGGCTACATTTAAACCATAGCATCTGGGTTTTCCTTTTACTTCTTATATCTTGGATTTGGTACTCAAGAGACTCGAACCTGAAAGAGTCAACAGGCATAGACAAATACTGCCAGATAAGGCAAAAGAAGAGAAGCCCAAGAAAGGGAAAGTCAAGAAGGGACTTAGCAGGGAGATCCACATCCAGTATTGTTGGTGGAGCTGGGAGGTGGGGAGGGATTCCTCACATAACTCACAGCAGACACACCTCTTCCTGGACCAGCAGGCTTGGTGTCTCTTCATTCTCAGTACCAGAGAGCCATCCACACCTGGGGGCTCCTGGGCCACCATCCAGTGGCTGGAAAAGATTGAGGTAAGGTTTTCCTGCCTCTGGGAGGACCAGCAGAGCACCAGCACCATGTGGCTAGAGAATAGGCTGGGGAAAATGCTCCATCTTATCAGTCTGCTATCTTTCAGCCTCTACATAATGTCACCAAGTTGTCCAGGGAAGTATGCCTCATAGGTGGCACCAGCAGGCATTAATTGGAAACTCAGTCAGAGCCAGAAGAACAAAGCAGTCCCGGACAGCATTGCAAGGGCTCAGAAAAATAAATTGTTGCTGGAACTGTAGCTTACACAAGTAGGCCACAACCTGCAGGCTAAACCTAAATAGGGTGACTGCCAACTAAAATGAAATGTTTAAATAGGGTCAAGAATCTTCTAAATATCTAAAATGTGCAGAATATAACTGAAAATCATTTAATATCAAGAACCAAGAAAATCACGACCAAAATGAAGAAAGATAATCAACTAATGTCAATATTGAGATGACACAGATGATGAAACTAAATGACCAAGATTTTAAAGCAACCACCATAAAAGTCCTTCAACAAGTAATTACAAATTCTCCTGAAAAAAATGAAAAAATAAAAAATCTCAGCAAAGAAATATAAATCATAAAAAATAATCAAATGGCGTGGTGGCTCATGCCTGTAATCCCAGCACTTTGGGAGGCCAAGACAGGTGGATCACTTGAGACCAGGAGTTCGAGTCCAGACTGGTCAACATGGCAAAACTCTGTCTCTACTGAAAATACAAAAATTAGCTGGGCATGGTGGCACACACCTTGTAGTTCCAGCTATTTGTAAGGCTGAGGCAGAAGAATCACTTGAACCTGGGAGGCAGAGTTTGCAGTGAGCCGATATTGCCTCACTCCACATCAAATGGAAATTATAGAAGTGAGAAATGCAATAGCCAAAATAAAATATTCACTGGATGGGCTCAATAGCAGAGTTGAGATGACAGAATCAGTGAATTTGAGAACAGGTCAATAGAATTAACTCATTCTGAACCTCAGTGAGAAAACGGACTAAAAAAATATTAACAGAGCTTCAGGGTCCTGTGGGACAACAAAATATCTAACATTCATATCATCAGAACCCCAGGATGAGAAATAATGTGGGGTTTAAAACCATTAGAAACATAATGGCTGAAAACCTCCCAAATTAGGCAAAAAATGTGAATTTACAGATTCAAGAAGCTGAACAAATCCCAAATAAGATAAACCCAAAGAAATCCATGCCATCACATATTGTAAAACTTTTATAAACTAAAAACTAGGAAAAAAATCTTAAAACAACTAAAGAGAATTGAATCATGCATTGTTTATATGGGAATACCAATCAGAATTTTGATTTCTTATTCAGAAAAAAAGTGGCACAGGCCAGGCTCGGTGGCTCATGCCTATAATCTCAGCACTTTAGGAGGCCGAGGTGGGTGGATAACGTGAGGTCAGGAGTTCAAGACCAGCCTGGCCAACATGGTGAAACACTGTCTCCATTAAACATACAAAAATTATCTGGGTGTGGTGGTGCACGCCTGTAGTCCCAGCTACCCGGGAGGCTGAGGCGGAAGAATCTCTTAAAGCTGGGAAGTGGAGGTTGCAGCAAGCCGAGATCCAGCCACTGCACTCCAGCCTGGGTGACAAAGCAAGACTCTGTCTCAAAATAGAAAGAAAGAAAGAAAGAAAGAAAGAAAGAAAGAAAGAAAGAAAGAAAGAAAGAAGGAAGGAAGGAAGGAAGGAAGGAAGGAAGGAAGGAAGGAAGGAAGGAAAGAAAGAAAGAAGTACATTTTTCAAGTACTGCAAAAAAGAACTGCCAGCTGCAAACTCTGTAACTGCTGTAACTATCCTTCAGGCATGAAGGGGAAATATAGATATTCTCAGACAAAAGAAAACTAAGAGAATTTGTCACTAGCAGTTCTACATTTGAAAAATGGCTAAAGGACGTTTTTACAACAGAAAGGAAATGATAGCAGAAGAAGGATTAAGCCTTTGAGGGGCGGGGGACATAATGAAGTGGGTAAAGATAGGGATCAATATAATGGACTATCCTATCCTTCTCGTGCATTTCTTAAATCATATATGATTATTGAAATAATGTGACAACAACACCTGTTGTGGTGCTCAATATATGTTAAAGAAATAGTTTAGAAAATTATATTTAAAGTGTGAGGATGGTAAAAAATTTTAAATGGAAGTAAAGTTTTAATGTTTTATTGAAAGTGATAAAATACAGATACTAGTTTTGGAAGTGATAAAATACAGATATTAGTAAACTGTGATAAGTCACATGTCTACCTAGTAATATCTGTGATAACTACTAAGAAAACTATTAAAAACAATATATTCAAAAACAATATAAATAAAACATTATACAATCCTAACAAAAGTAAAGTAATCTAAAGGAAGGGAAGAAAAGAGAAAAAGAAGAATGAGAAACAGAGAAAAGAAAAGACAGAAAATAAATAATAAAATGTCAGATTTAAGCCTTAACATATCAATAATTAAATAATTACTTTAAATGTAAATGGTCTAAATACCAATAAGAAGACAGATATTGGCATGAGGAATTAAAAAAAAATCCAACTAGGTGCTCTCTATAAAAAGTTTATTTCCAATACAATGACATAGGTAGGTTAAGAGTAAAAGAATAGAACAAGATATGCCATACTAACATTAATTTTAAAAAAACAGGAGTGGCTGTAATAACATCACATAAAGCATACTTCAGAGCCAGAAAAATGCTAGGGACAAAAGAGACATTATATAATGATAAAAGGATCAATCCACCAAGAAGATATAGTAATCGTAAATGTGTATACACCAAATAAGAGAGCTTAAAAATACATGAAGCAAAAATAGATAAAGGTGAAAACAGAAATAAGCAAATCCACAATTATAGTTGAGAACTTTAGCACCCCACTCTCAGCCATTGATATAACTACTAGACAGAAAATTAACAAAGATATAAAAAAATTTGACAACACCATCAACCAATAGAATTTAACTGACATTTATAGAACACTATACCAAACAACAACAGAATACACATTTTTTTAAGTGTCTATGGAACATTCACCAAGGTAGACCATATTATGAATTATAAAACAAATCTACAAATTTAAAATAATTGAAACCATATAGAGTTTCTTTAAGTCACCACAATGAAATCAAACTAGAAATCAACTTAAAAAAAAGACAACAAGAACATCTTCAGACTTTTGGAAATTAACACAATTCTAAATAATCCAGAGTCAAATAAGATGTCTCAAAGGAAATAAAGAAGCCCTTAAAACTGAATGAAAATGAAAATACAACATATCATTTGTGGGATGCAGCTAAAGCAGTGCAGAAAGGGACATTTATAGCATTGAATGCTCACATTACAAAATGAGAAAGATCTGAAATCAATAATTTAAGTTCATGCCTTAAAAAACTAGAAAAAAAGAGTAAAATACATTTAGTGCAAGCATAAGGAAAGGAATACTACTAGTAATAAAATAATACGTAAAAATCAACAAAATGGAAAACAAAACTACAGTAAGAAAGAAAATCAGTGAAACCAAAACTTGATTCTTTAAAAAAAAATCGATGAGACTGACAAACTGATAAACTTCTAAAAAAATAGAGAAGACACATACTGCTAATATCAGAAATTAAACAGGGCCTATCACTACAGATCATACAGTCATTGAAAGGATAATAAGGGCATATTAAGAACAAATTAATGCTCATTAGTTTGCCAACTTAGAAGAAATGGACCAATTCACCAAAACCCACAAACTACCAAAACTCAACCAAGATGAAATAAATAAACTGATTGGCTTTATAGCCACTTAAGAAATTAAAATTTTAATTTAAAAAGTCTTGAAAAGGAAATACTTAGGCCCAAATGGCATCACTAGAGAATCTTATCAAGCTTTAAAAAAAGAATTGACATCAATTTTAACAATCCCTTCCAGGAAATAGAAGATGAGACAATACTGCTGAACTTATTTTATGAGACCAGTGTTACCTTGATATTAAAGTCAAACAAAGCATATGCAGAAAGGAAACTATGGACCAATATCTCTCCTGAACTTAGATGCAGGAATCTTCAAAATAATATTAGCAAATTAGATATAATTTTATATTAACATATGAAAAGGATTTTATTTATATATATATAGAGAGAGATAGAGGAATACATATATATATAGAGAGAGAGAGAGAGAGGGAGAGAGAGCAAGCGGGATTTATTCCAAGTACACAAGACTGGCTCAGCATTAAAAATCAATCTATCTAATCCACCATATCAATAGGCTAAAGAAGAAGAAGAATGTTATGATCATATCAATTTACGTAGCAAAAGCATTTAACAAAATCCAACACCTATTCATGATAAAAGCTAAGCAAGTTAGGAATAGAGGGAACTACCTCAACTTGATAAAGAGCATCCACAGAAAAAAGCCTACAGGTAATCTTAAGGAAGATTTTCACCATGCTTAATGGTGAAGGACTGAATGTTTTCTGCCTAAGACCAAAAATAAGGCAGTGATGTCTTTCACCTTTCTATTCAACATAGTACTGGAAGTTCTAGCTAGTGCACTAAGGCAAGAAAAAGAAATAAAGGCATTCAGATTGGAAAAGAAGAAATAAAATTACCTGTATTTACAAATGGAATAATGGTCTACATAGAAAATCCCAAGGAACTTTAGAACTAATAAGTGAGTTCAGCAAGGTCGTAGGATAGAAGCTCAACAAGCAAACATCAATCACATTTCTATATACTAACAATGAACATGGGGAAACTGAAATCAAAAACATAATACTGTTTATAATTGTTTCAAAGAAAATGAAATACTTTAGGTATAAATGTAACAAAACATGGATAGAATCTGTTGCTGATAATTACAAAATGCTGATGAGAGAAATCAAAGAAGATCTAAATAAATGAAGAGACACAGGATATTCAAGGATTAGAAGATTAGATGTAGTAAAATGTCATTCTCCCTAAGCTGATCTATATGTTTACTGTAATTCCTGTAAAAATCACCAGCAAAGTTTTTGTAGATATAGATACAGAAAAACATTCTGAAATTTATATGGAAACATGAACCTCCTAGAAAAACTAAAATAATATTTAAAAAGAATATCGGGGGAAGAATCAGTCTACATGATATTAAGGCTGCAATAATCAAATCCATGTCATATTAGCAGAGGGATAAACACATAGATCAATGGAACAGAATAGAGATCCCAGAATGATACCCACATAAATATTCTTAAATGTTTTTCAACAAAGATGTCAATGCAGTTTAATGGAGAAATAATAGACTTTTCACAAATGGTGCTGAAGTAATTTGATATACATAGGAAAAAAATAAAACTTAATCTAAACCTTACATCTTTTACAAAAAATAACTCAAAAGAGATTGTGGACTTAATGTAAAACACACTATAGCTTGCAAGATGTTCTCATTGAGATAAACTGGATAGGAAGTACGCAGAATTTCTCTGTATTATTTCTTGCAACCACATGTGAATCTATAAGTATGTCAAAGTAAAAATTTAATTAAAAAATAAAATGTTGACAATATTTTTAGTCCTCCAAATTATTTTAACCATTTATCCAGATGAAATCCAGATATCTTAGAGTTCCTGACCTAAAGTACATAAAACAGTGATCTTGGGGAAAGAGTCCTGTTTTACATCAGAGTGGACATCTGTCTGTTTGCTTAGCTCCCATCAACTTGCTAGTGATCTGGTGATAGCAGGACCCAGCTAAAGAGTGCGGATGAGTCAGCACAAGCCAATCCCTGTTGCTTTAAGAATATACAGATGAAAAGATTTTACTTTTTGATTTTGCTATGTGCCATATCCATCACCTCACTTCAGGCTCACAAGAACCCTATGAGGTAGTGACCGACAAAGCTGGGCTTGCAGCCCCATCTTTCTGAATCCAGAGCGTGCTTTCTTAACTACTATATGTTACCACTCTGGGCCACTGTGCTTATACTGGACATATGCCAGTTCTTTCTGTGCAACATTTGAAATGAAAATGAAAGAGCAATCCACCAAAGAAGACAATGTCCAACTGTCTGTACCCACCTCACAGCTGGAGCAGCCATGTTAGTGTGTTGCAATCCAGAAGCCACTGACTTTAGCCCCAAGAACACCAAGGACTTCTACATCTTAGCATGTAGGTATAATTCCACCTGCTTGAATAGGAAAAGCAAGCATTTTCTGCGGTTATTGCTTTTATTCCTGGTTTCAGGGCAGTTGGCTTTTGTTTTTAACACCTGTATCAAGGTATAATTTACATACCACCAAATCCAGCCATTGTAAGTCTACAGTCTATAGTTCTACGATTTTAGTGACTCTATAGAACTGTACAATTGCTACCAGTTTTAGTTTTTTCCATCACCCCAAACAGGCATCACATTTTGATCATGCCTGTTTATGGTTATTCCCTGTTCTCACTTCCTGTCTTAGGAAACCACTGATGTACATTCTGTCTCTATAAATTTGCCTTTTGATCCTTTGGGCCTTTTGTGGAATTTCATGTAAATGTAATATGTAGTCTTTTGTGTCAGCCTTCTTTAACTTGTGTTTTTGAGTTTCCTCTGTGTTGTAGCATGTATTCATAGTTTGTCTCTTTCAACTGTGCAAATATATTCCATTGCATTCTATTCCTTATTTTATTTATGCATTCACTAGCTGATAGATATTTTCAGCTATTAAAAATAATACTGCTATGAACATTCAATGCATGCTTTTGTGTGGATATGCATTTTAATCTCTCTTGGGTAAATTCATAGGAGTGAAATTGATAGCTTTGTAACTATATGTTAACTTTTTAATAAACTACTAAACTATTTTCAAAAGAGTCTGCACCTCTGTTTTTTTGAAAATAAATTTTAAATATTTCAATACAGAAAAATAAAACCAAAAATATTTTCTAATTCTACTGCTCATGAAACCCTAACATTTATTTTAAGCAAAATGCATGAATATTGTAAGACAATTTGAATAGTTAAAAAACGATATTTAAACAAGGTATTTTTTCCAATATTTTTAAAATTTTATTTTAAGTTCCAGGATACATATGCAGAATGTGCAGGTTTGTTACATAGGAATGCATGTGCCATGGTGGTTTGCTGCACCTATCAAACCGTCATCTAGGTTTTAAAGCCCCGTATAACTTAGGTATTTGTCCTAATACTCTCCCTCCCCTTGCCCCCTACCCCCTGTGTTGTTCCCCTCCCTGGTCCATGTGTTCTTATTGTTCAACTCCCACTTATGAGTGAGAACATATGGTGTTTGGTTTTCTGTTCCTGTGTTAGTTTGCTGAGAATGATGGCTTCCAGGTTCACCCATGTCCCTGCAAAGGATATGATCTCATTCTTTTTTATGGCTACATAGTATTCCACGGTGTATATGTGCAACATTTTCTTTATCCAGTCTATCATTGATGGACATTTGGGTTGGTTCCAAGTCTCTGCTATTGTGAATAGTGCTGCAATAAACATATGTGTGCATGTGTCTTTATAGTAGAATGATTTATAATCCTTTGGGTATATATCCAGTAATGGGATTGATGGGTCTAATGGTATTTCTGGTACTAGATCCTAGAGGAATCGCCACACTATCTTCCACAATGGTTGAACTAATTCACACTCCCACCAACAGTGTAAAAGTGTTCCTATTTCTCCACAGCCTCACCAGCATCTATTGTTTCCTGACTTTTGAATAATCACCATTCTTACTGGCATGAGATGGTAATCTCACTGTGGTTTCGATTTGCATTTTTCTAATGATCAGTGATGATGAGCTCTTTTTCATATGTTTTTTGGCCACATAAATGTCTTCTTTTGAGAAGTGTCTGTTACATCCTTTGCCTACTTTTTGATGGGGTTGTTTGTTTTTTCCTTTAAACAAGAGACTTCTTTCTATCCCTAGGCTATCTCCCTAAGACAACCACTGTTAATATTTTTTTTTTTTTTTTTGAGACAGAGTCTCGCACTGTCACCCAGGCTGGAGTGCAGTGGCACAATCTCAGCTCACTGCAAGCTCCGCCTCCCGGGTTCATGCCATTCTCCTGCCTCAGCCTCCCGAGTAGCTGGGACTACAGGTGCCCACCACCATGCCTGGCTGATTTTTTTTGTATTTTTAGTAGAGACAGGGTTTCACCGTGTTAGCCAGGATGGTCTTGACCTCCTGACCTTGTGATCCGCCCGCCTTGGCCTCCCAAAGTGCTGGGTAATTTTTTATCTTTCCAAAAAATTTTAGGCATATACAATTATATATTTTAGATATAGGTCAAATGATACAATACACATTGTTTTGCATTATTTGCAGTTAATAATATATTTTGGAGGTTTTCCCATAGCCGCATATATAGCCCCACCTCTTTCTTTAATTTTTAATAGCTTTATTGGTGTGTAATTGACATGTAATAAACTGAACATATTTAAAGTACAAAATTTGATAAGTTGTTTTTTTAAAAGTTTTTATTTCAATAGGTTTTTTGGGGAACACGTGGTGTTTGGTTACATGGATTAGTTCTATAGTGGTTATTTCTGAGATTTTGGTGCCCACATCACCTGAGCAGAGTACACTGTACCCAATGTATACTCTTTTATCCCTCACTTCTTCCCACCCTTTCCCCAGAGTCCCCAAAGTTCATTGTATTATTCCTATGTCTTTGCTTCCTCATAGCTTAGCTCCCACTTATGAGTGAGAACATACGATGTTTGGTTTTCCACTCCTGAGTTACTTCACTTAGAATAATGGTCTCCAATTCCATCTAAGTTGCTGTGAATGCCATTATTTTGTTCCTTTTTATGACTGCCTTTATTTTGTTCCTTTTTGTGACTGAGTAGTATTCCATGGTGTGTGTATACATATATATATACTCTCTCTACATATAAAGTAGTATTCCATGGTATGTGTGCATGTGTGTATATATATATAAGGTAGTATAATATTAGTGTATAGATATATAAAGTAGTATATATATGAAAATGTGGTAAATTTGGTATGTGTACTATATATATATATATATACACACACACACGTGTGTGTGTATGTGTATGTGTGTGACATTTTCTTTATCCACCCATTGATTGATGGGCATTTCGGCTGGTTCCATATTTTTGTAATTGCAAATTGTGATGCTATAAACATGCATGTGCAAGTATTTTTTTTTAATATAATGACTTCTTTTCCTCTGCGTAGACACCCAGTAGAGGGATTGCTGGATCAAATGGTAGATCTACTTTTAGTTCTTTAAGGAATCTCCACACTGTTTTCCATAGTGGTTGTAGTAATTTACATTCCCATCAGCAGTGTAGAAGTGTTCCCTTTTCACAGCATCCCATCAACATCTATTTTTTTAAAATTTTTTTGATTATGGCTATTCTTGCAGGAGTAAGCTGGTATGGCATTGTGGTTTTGATTTGCATTTCCCTGATCATTAGTGATGCTGAGCATTTTTTCATGTTTCATATGTTTGTTGGCCATTTGTATATCTTCTTTTGAGAATTGTCTATTCATGTCCTTAGCCCACTTTTTGATGGGATTATTTGTTTTTGTCTTGCTGATTTGTTTGAGTTCCTTGTAGATTCTGGATATTAGTCCTTTGTCAGATGTATAGATTGTGAAGATTTTCTCCCACTCTGTGGGTTGTCTGTTTACTCTGCTGACTGTTTCTTTTGCTGTGCAGAAGCTTTTTAGTTTAATTAAGTCCCATCTATTTACCTTTGTTTTGTTGAATTTGCTTTTGCTTTCTTCGTCATGAAGTCTTTGCCTAAGCCAATGTCTAGAAGGGTTTTTCCAATGTTGTCTTCTAGAGTTTTTATGGTTTCAGATTTTAGATTTAAGTCTTTGATCCATTTTGAGTTTATTTTTATATAAGGTGAGAGATGAGGATCCAGTTTTATTCTTCTACATGCGGCTTGCCAGTTATCCAAGCACCATTTGTTGAATAGGATATCTTTTCCCCACTTTATGTTTTTGTTTGCTTTTTCGAAGATCATTTGGCTATAAGTGTTTGGCTTTATTTCTGCGTTCTCTATTCTGCTCCATTGGTCTATTTGCCTATTTTTATGCCATGCTGTTTTGGTTACTATGGCCTTATAGTGTAGTTTGAAGTCAGGTAGTCGTGATGTCTCCAGATTTGTTCTTTTTACTTAGTCTTGCTTTGGCTATGTGGGCTCTTTTTTGGTTCCACATGCATTTTAGGATTTTTTTTTTTTTTTTTTTTTTTAGTTCTGTGAAGAATGATGGTGATATTTTCATGGGAATTGCATTGAATTTATAGATTGCTTTTGGCAGCATGGTCATTTTCACAATATTGATTCTACCCATCCATAAGCATGGAATGTGTTTCCATTTGCTTGTGTCATCTATGATATCTTTCAGCAGTGTTTTGTAGTTTTCCTTGTAGACGTCTTTCACGTCCTTGGTTAGGTGTATTCCTAAATATTTGTCTTTCTTTCTTTTTCTTTTTTATTTATTTATTTTTTTGCAGCTATTGTGAAAGTGGTTGAATTCTTGATTTGATTCTCAGCTTGATCACTGCTGGTGTATAGGAGAGCTACTGATTTGTGTACATTACCTTTGTCATTTAACATAATCCCAACTTCTTGGAGGCTTTGTTCATTTTTTAAAAATTATTTTTTCTTAGTCTTTGTTGTATTGGGTTAATTCAAAAGCCTTTGAGATCTGAAGTTCTTTCTTCTATTTGTTCAATTCTGTTGCTGAGACTTTCCAGTGGATTTTGCATTTATCTAAGTGTGTCCTTCATTTCCAGAAGTTGTGATTGTTTTTTATTTATACTATCTATTTCTATGGAGATTTTTCCATCCATATCATGTAACATTTAAAAAAATTTATTTGAGTTGGTATTCACCTTTCTTTGGTGCCTCCTTGAGTAGCATGATAATCAACCTTCTGAATTCCTTTTCTGGCAATTCAGAGTTTTCTTCTTGGCTTGGATCCATTGTTGGTGTGATCTTTTGGGGGTGTTAAACAACCTTGTTTTGTCATATTAGCAGAATTGTCTTTTCTGGTTCCATCTCATTTGGGTAGACTATGTCAGAGGGATGATCTGGGGTTCAAGAGCTGCTGTTCAGATTCTTTCATCCCATGGGGTACTCCCTAGATGTGGGTGCTCAGGGATGTGGATTCCTCAGAGCCAAACTGCAGTGATTGCTGTTTCTCTTCTGGATCTAGCTGCCCAGTGGAGCTACCAGGCTCTGGGCTGGGGAGTGTCTGCAAAGAGTCCTGTGATGTGATCCATTTTCAGATCTCTTAGCTTTGGATACCAGCAACTGCTCCAGTAAAGGTAGCAGGGGGGTGAAGTGGACTCTGTGAGGGCCTTGGTTGTATTTTTGATTATTGTATTGATAGTTTTGTGTTGGTTGGCCTCCAGCCAGGAGGTGGCACTTTCAAGGAAGCATCAGCTGCAGTAGTATAGGGAGAATGTAAGCTTGCCCTAGGATAGCCTGGATAAGTTTCTCAGTTGGTGGGTGGGGCCATACAGCCTCGAAAAGATTATGTCCTTTGTTTTCAGCTACCAGGGCGAGTAGAGAAAGACCATCAGGTGGGGGCAAAGTTAGGCATGTCTGAGCTTCGACTCTCCTTAGGCAGAACTTGCTGCAGCTGCTGTAGGAGATGGGGGTTGTGCTTCTCAGGCCAATGAGTTCCCAGGGGGATTATGGTTGCCTGAGCAGGACTGAGGACTTGCCCCAGGCACAAGGTAACCCCACTGGGAAAGCAAGCAGGGCTTTCAGGTTTCGCACTTCTCAGCCTGCCACAACTTTGGTTCTGTGTCTGCACTCCTGGTTCACCTCTCCCCCAGATTCTGTCCAGGAAACTTGGTGTTCAGTTAAAATTGTTACAAAATTCAGCTGAAGGTTTCCTTCTCCCTGTGGTCTTTCCCCAATTTCACTGGCAGCCTTCCCCAAGGACCCATGTGAGACAAAGTCAGAAATGGCTTCTCTGGGGACTGAGAGTGTCCACAGAGCTCTTCCCATTTCATGCAGCTCTCTAAGTTCATCTCAGCGCCAGGTAAGGTCTAATCCTTCACCTGTGATCTGGACCTACAGGTTCCCCAGTGAGGATATGTGTTCAGGGGTGGACAAGTATATCAACAAGTCATTTCTTTCTATTGCTGACAGTATATCATTGTATGAATATGTCAGTTTGTCAATCCATTCTCCCACTGATAGACATTAGGATTGTTTCAAATTTTTTGCTATTACAAATAAAGCTCCTATAAGCATTTGTGTACAAACTTTTGTATGGACACATCTTTCTTTTCTCTTGGGTAAATCCCTAGAAGTAGAATAACTAGACTACATGGCGAATATGTGTTTAACTTTTTAAGGAACTGCCAAACTGCTTTCTAAAGTAGCATACCAGTTTACATTTTCATTAGTAGTATACAAGACTTCCAGTTGCTCTGCACCTTGTTTATGTCTCTAAAAATCAGATTTGGTTCTTTTTTACATCTTCAATGTCTTTTATATTTTGAACATATAAAAAGCAATTATAATAACTATTTCAAAGTTCTTGTCACTAATTCTCACATTTTCAGCTCTGCTGCAATTGGCTGATTTTTCTCCTTATTGTAGGTTGTATTTCTCTGCATCTTTGTGTGCCTGGTAATCTTTGATTAAATGCCAGACATTGTAAATTTTACCTTGATGGGTGCTGCATATTTTATATTTTTGTAAATACTTTTGAGTTTTATTCTGGGACATAGTTGAGTTTCTTAGAGACTGATCCATTTGGGCCTTCCTGTAAAGATTGTTAGGTGGGATGAGACCTACGTTTAGTCTAGGGTTAAATACTCCCCACTACTACAAGCTCTTTCCAAAAAATCTACCTAAAATGAGTTGTGAGATTTCTCAGTCTAGTTAGTGGCACTATTCCAAGCCCTGTGTGAATGCTGTTACTATTTCCTCTAATCCTTTTGAATGGTTCTTTTCCCAGCCTTGGGTAGTATCTTTGCCCACATGTATTGATCAATTCTTTGATCATTACGTGAGGGGAAACTGCAGCGGATTTTCAGAGTTTTCTTTCTGCAAAAGTCTTACATCTCCTACACCCTGTGCTGTGAACTATGGCCATCTTGGTTCCTCCCAATACTCTCAGCTCCATCTGTTCAACTCAAGTATCAAATATTATAGATGCACTATAATTTGTTTAATCATTTCCCTATTGTTAGATGTTTGGGTTTCTTCTGTTGTTGTTGTCTTATTAATTACAGCTAAGACTATCTTAATATATGTATATTAATAGACTCTTGCAAATACAACCATAACATAGGGTAATGATTAGCAAGAAAGTTACAAGCTAAATGGATACGTACTTGCTTAATTATAATAGATAATACTAAATTATCTTCTAGAAGCTTGCATCAACTTACACTTCATGAAAAGCATATGAAAATGACATTTGGTCCATATCCCTGCCAGTAATGGGTATATCAAAGTTGAGATTTTTGCCAATCTGATAGGTCAAAAAATTGGTATCTTGTTGTTTTAATTTGCATTTCTTTAGTTATGAGTGAAGCCTAGCAGCTCTTTACATGTTTGTTGGCTGATTTCCTCATTTCCACTGAGATAATGTGCTGAACCAATGACTCCAAGGCACAGAACTCCCTTGTAACAACTCGCAGTCTCTTCTCTAACTGATGGCTCATCTCCCTCAGCCACACACATAACAGTCTTCCTGGATTTCCTAATTTCTTGAGATCTTTAGAACTAAGTCCTATGCCTTCACTCTAAAAACCAGTGACATTGCCATTCTAAATGAATGTGTCGATCACTATCACAGTACAAACTATTGCAATTACCAACTTCAGGTGGCTACAAGGTAGCAAAGTTTCTCTATGTTTGCCTAAAGTGATAGGCCTTCTGAATACCTAAAAATCAGCAATGTAGCAGATCTCCAGCCTTCTGAGTCAGTAGGACTTATAATAGTGATGACCACAACTACTGTTATCATCACTAAAAATCCAATACAAACCTAAGCCTTGTCATGTCAAATCATTTAGAATTTTGGTGGTTTTCTGGCCCAGTGGTTAAAGAGATTGACAGGGAAGAACCCTGAACATCATCAATCCTGAATTCATGACAGTATGACATTAGCCTGCACGAAACTTCTAGAATCAGCATCTGCTTAGCCTCAAAGCTATAACTACACTCACTAAGATGGAAGAAGGCGCTGGGATCCTGGAACAAGGGAAGGAAGATTGGATTCAATGGCTCATAAGACCCTTTCTGATTTTAACATATATAAACCTGCTCTGTCATGAGCTACTCATAGCCATACTGTTTTCCCCATCACCTTCCAGATCTGCAACAAATCCCTGGGATTCAAGAACTGCCAATCTGTACTGAAATATTTCAAGACTATCCTTTCTCCTCACGGTATATCCCAGCTACACCTTGTTTCCTCTAGAAAAGCCTTCAGATTGGCTCCCTATTCCAGTTCTATCGAAGATATACCTTTCCAGGGACCTCTGACTAATCACATTATGTCCATCTTAAATTTTATGTCACACCTGGAAGCCCTCTTTTCACAGGGAAGAAAGTAAAAATTAGTTTCATGGGAGACAGGCACAAAGCTTAACACCTGTTCAGCATTTTTTCTTTGGTTCCTCATGGCATTACTTAAATATTACCATAAGTGCATTGACTCAAAAATAATAACAACAGCTGCTATATGCCAGGCACTGTTTTAGTCACTTTATGTGCATTATCTTTTTACTTTTACCTGATCCTTGTAAAATAGGCATTAATAACTAATTTTTAATTCAGGGAAAGTCAGAATAATTTAAACTAAGTCAAAGCCACACGGCTAGAGAATGGCAGGGCCATGTCTTTTGGATTCAGAAAACTGTGCTCTATCTATTATACTGCAGTATCTGCTCTGTGCATAGCACTATGAATTTTTGAAAAACACATCACTTCCTTGACTTTGTGAAGGTTTAATTTTGCTTGCGGGGGATGAAGTTGACTTTGATGGAAAATTAAACAACAGTGTAAGATTACATTGCTGAAGAGATTAGGCATAGAATGATTGTGGCAGCTGCTAGGTTTATAGGAGAGAGCAGAATGCCTACAGGAGGCTTTGTGGGAGACATGAGACTTCAGCTGCTCTTAAAAGATGTATTTTGGGGAATTTTTTTAGATATTTAGAGAATTTGCTGGAATTTATTCAGAGAATTATAAGGTGGAAGAGAAGTAATTGAGAAGATTGCTTATGGGACTAAATAGGGACTATGTCTGCACACAAACACACACACATGCACACACATACTCAGCCAAGTCACTGCACATAGCAAAGCGTCTCCTCACTGGTCACAGAGTAAGTCCAACTGGCAAGTGTGCACAGCCTTTGGGAGTTAATTCATTGTAGTTTATTCATTCTTTCAAAGATATTCATAAGCCAGGCCCTGAATGATGCCATTGGGCATGCTCAATGAGAAACAAACTGAGCTCTGTGTATAATCTGTGATGGATCTGCAGAGCAGGACTGGAACTACTTATTCCAGTATTCATAATGAGGGTGTTTTTCTGGTCCATTTTCACACCTACTTCTCAGCCAGGGTAGTTTCTACACTAGGTCAAGGCTGGGAGTGCAGGCTTTTCCAAACACTACAACTAGACTACACCTCCTCAAAGAATTGTGAGATCCCAGACACAAGATCACTAATCATAGAATATTATCCCTAGGAGGGCCATTATAAATCATTAAACTAGAAGACTTCAACTCCTCTTTGGAACCCTTCAAGAGCCCCTGTGGTTGGAAGGTTAAATGAGTATGGCAAATCCAGGACAATGTCAGCCTTTCATCCCTACTCTGGCGAAAGTAGTTCAGCTTTATTTACTTAATTTATTTGTGCTGCTTCACAAAACACATTTCTCCAAACTTAAAAACAACGTTTGCAGAGAGCTAGTTTTGCCTTATTTTTCATGTAGTAGATGAAGACCAAGGCCCAAAGAGGTGAAGAGACCACCCAAGCTGGCTACTTAATATCTAAGCAGGATCTAGGCCTCCTATTTCCTTGTAATCTCGTTTGAAGCTGGATCACATTACACTATCTTTGGGATTACATTTTTGGCACTGACAATGTTACCAGGAGATCATTGACACAAAATTTAGATTCAAAGGGAAATTGTGCTTTATTGTCTTTTCCCTCTCCTCCTCTTCCTCCTTTTATTCTTTCTCCTTCTCTTCTTCCTTCTCCTTCTTTTGACTTTTACTACAGAGTAGCATGACCATCAGTTCATCCTAAAATTACTTTTCTGCTTCCTTCACTCGACTGCTCCTCCTCTTGTCATTGTTGCCATTCAATATATAGAGTGTCATTAAGAGGACATTGGGGGCAATAATTAGTAGTCTACCAACCAGAAAAAGTCCAGGACCAGACAGATTCACAGCCGAATTCCAGCGGAGGTACAAAGAGGAGCTGGTACCATTCCTACTGAAACTATTCCAATCAATAGAAAAAGAGGGAATCCTCCCTAACTCATTTTATAAGGCCAGCATTATCCTGATAGTAAAGCCGGGCAGAGAGACAATAAAAAAAGAGAATTTTAGACCAATATCCCTGATGAACATCAATGTGAAAATCCTCACTGAAATACTGGCAAAATGAATCCAGCAGCACATCAAAAAGCTCATCCACCATGATTAAGTCAGCTTCATCCCTGGGATGCAAGTCTGGTTCAACATACGCAAATCAATAAACGTAATCCATCACATAAACAGAACCAATGACAAAAACCACATGATTATCTCAATAGATGCAGAAAAGGCCTTTGACAAAATTCAACACCCCTTCATGCTAAAAACTCTCAATAAACTAGATATTGATAGAACATATCTCAAAATCTCAAAATAATAAGAGCTATTTATGACAAACCCACAGCCAATATCATACTGAATGGGCAAAAACTGGAAGCATTCCCTTTGAAAACCAGCACAAGACAAGGATGCCCTCTCTCACCACTCCTATTCAACATAGTGCTGGAAGTTCTGGTCAGGGCAATCAGGTAAGAGAAACAAATAAAGGTATTCAATTAGGAAAAGAGGAAGTTAAATTGTCCCTGTTTGCAGATGACATGATTGTATATTTAGAAAACCCCATCGTCTCAGCCCAAAATCTCCTTAAGCTGATAAGCAACTTCAGCAAAGTCTCAGGATACAAAATCAATGTGCAAAAATCACAAGCATCCCTATACATCAATAACAGACACACAGAGAGCCAAATCATGAGTGAACTCCCATTCACAATTGCTTCAAAGAGAATAAAATGCCTAGGAATCCAACCTACAAGGGATGTGAAGGACCTCTTCAGGGAGAACTACAAACCACTGCTTAACAAAACAAAAGAGGACACAAACAAATGGAATAACATTCCATGCTCCTGGATAGGAAGAATCAATATTGTGAAAATGGCCATACTGCCCAAGGTAATTTATAGATTCAATGCCATCCCCATCAAGCTACCAATGACTTTCTTCACAGAATTGGAAAAAACTACTTTAAAGTTCATATGGAACCAAAAAAAGAGCCTGCATAGCCAAGTCAATCCTAAGCCAAAAGAATAAAGCTGGAGGCATCACACTACCTGACTTCAAACTATACTACAAGGCTACATAACCAAAAGAGCATGGTACTGGTACCAAAACAGATATACAGACCAATGGAACAGAACAGAGACCTCAGAAATAACACCACACATCTACAACCATCTGATCTTTGACAAACCTGACAAAAACAAGAAATGGGGAAAGGATTCCCTATTTAATAAATGGTGTTTGGAAAACTGGCTAGCCATATGTAGAAAGCTGAAACTGGATCCCTTCCTTACACCTTATACAAAAATTAATTCAAGATGGCTTAGAGACTTAAATGTTAGACCTAAAACCATAAAAACCCTCTATAGAAGAAAACCTAGGCAATACCATTCAGGACATAGGCATGGGAAAAAATTCATGACTCAAACACCAAAAGCAATGGCAACAAAAGCCAAAACAAACAAATGGGATCTAATTAAAGTAAAGAGCTTCTGCACAGCAAAAGAAACTACCATCAGAGTGAACAGGCAACCTACAGAATGGGAGAAAATTTTTGCAATCTACCCACCTGACAAAGGGCTAATATCCAGAATCTACAAAGAACTTAAACAAATTTACCAGAAAAAAACAACCCCATCGAAAAGCAGGCAAAGGATATGAACAGACACTTCTCAAAAGAAGACATTTATGCAGCCAACAGACACATGAAAAAATGCTCAACATCACTAGTTATCAGAGAAATGCAAATCAAAACCACAATGAGATACCATCTCATGCCACTTAGAATGGCGATCATTAAAACGTCAGGAAACAACAGATGCTAGAGAGGATGTGGAGAAATAAGAATGCTTTCACACTGTTGGTGGGATTGTAAATTAGTTCATCCATTGTGGAAGACAGTGTGGCGATTCCTCAAGGATCTAGAACTAGAAATACCATTTGACCCAGCAATCCCAATCCTGGGTATAGACCCAAAGGATGATAAATCATGCTACTATAAAGACACATGCACACGTATGTTTATTGTGTCACTATTTACAATAGCAAAGACTTGGAACCAACCGAAATGTCCTTCAATGATAGACTGGATTAAGAATATGTGGCACATATACACCATGGAATACTATGCAGCCATAAAAATGGATGAGTTCATGTCCTTTGCAGGGACATGGATGAAGCTGGAAACCATCATTCTCAGCAAACTATCGCAAGGTCAGAAAACCAAACACTGCATGTTCTCACTCATAGGTGGGAATTGAACAATGAGAACACTTGGACACCGGGAGGGGAACATCACAGACCGGGGCCTATCGGGGGGTGGGGGGCTGAGGGACGGATAACATTAGGAGAAATACCTGATGTAAATTACGAGTTGATGGGTGCAGCAAACCAACATGGCACATGTATACCCATGTAACGAACCTGCACACTGTGCACATGTACCCTAGAACTTAAAGTATAATAATAAAAAAAAGAGAGAGCATTGGGAAATTAGAGATTGACTGTATTGGTTAATGGCAAAATGGTAAGCTTGACTCCTCCCAAAGAGTTGGAGCTTTCCAACATTCCAACAGTTTGGGCCGCGCCTTTCCTTTCTTCTTCCACATCCTGCTTTTGCCAGGGCTTGCCCCACCTCCAGCCCCAGCCCCCTTGCCCTCAACTACTTGAATCAATAATTAAGCCCCTGCAGCCAGAAAGTCGAAATGCCTGAAAATTGTAGTCTGCAGTGCTACAGATGGCAAGTTCAAAGCTTTCCTACCTGTTGAGACCTGAGCCCAGGTTCTCAATTGCTGATGAAGTCAGCAATGTTTATGGCAAATGCAGTAAGTGAAACAATAGCCTCCAGGTTGTAATACAGGCCTTGGCAGGCATGTGACAGAGAAGGTTTGTTATATGCTTAAGGATGTGTCGAAAACTCCATTAACTGAAAGCAGGGTAGTGTGGATGGGCGGCATGGGGGCATTAACTGAAAGCAGGGGAGTGTGGATGGGCAGGTTGGGGGAGTGGGGCGGAGATGGCTAGGCAACACTTTGTATTCTTTTTTGAGTTTAACTATTGATGGTGCTCTAGCATGTGACTGCTGGATATCCACTGCAAAGAATTGATATCACTAAACATCGGGGGATCTAATTGCATTCAGAGCCCTTCAACTAAATAAAAATTTCCAGAATATCTACTATGTTTATATGATAACACTCTTTTGAAAACACTACATTATAAAAATCAGGAATTTAGTGTCCTAGTATTTTTGATTTGGTTAAGGAAACAAGATTAAAACACCAGAAATAATTAGAAGCTAATTTATGTAGTTTTGGAAGCTATTTGGTTTTATGATTGAAATTTTCTGCCTATTCACAAACTGCTCTTATTTTCAACTCAATTTAACAAGGCTTTATTGTGTACCTAGTTTTTGCTAAGTACTATACAGTGCAATGTAATATCATGAGCATAAGTTTAAAATTAGACCTAGTTTCAAATTCTGACCCTGCTATTTACTAGTTGCATGATTTTTAAGAAACTTCTAGAATCACTGTTTCCTACATAATAACTTTGGTCTTTTAGGATTTTGTTAAAACTGTATCTTAATGCATGCAAGTCACCTAGTACAGTGCTTAGTAGACATTGGATGAATGATGCCTTTGTTATTCTAGGCATTGTGAAGACTACAGAAATGAGCAAGAGATAATCCCTGCTTTTAAAGAGTTCATTATATAATTATAAACAACAATGCCAGAGCTGAGTAAAGGTGACCCAGGACATTTTTCCACTTAAATTTAATTTGAATTTGGTTCTGCATTTACTTTTGAGGCTACAAAGTTTTGTACTTCTGTTTTGTGAGGCAAAACTATACCAATAACCAAGGGGCAAACTCAAAATTTCAACACCTTTCTTTTTACTACTACTAGACCTAGCATATATGGGATGGCAGAAGAATGTGTGACTCAGGATAAATGGAAATGAAGCTCAGCTGATCTTTTGTCATTCTCCACATTTTAAACTAGGACATCTACTTTTAAGGACTCTTAGTGAAAATGACAGGAATTGACTCAACGTAGCTTCAGCCAAGTATTGCATATAGTAGAGCATTACCTCTACTTGAAGAAAGAGCACCCAGGTTAGTCCAGCATGGGTCATGTGGTTGTCATTGAGCCAATTCTTTTAGCTACAGGGATGTTGGTCTCTAATTGGCCAGGTCTGGGTCAAGTGATTTTCCTCTTGCTGTTGCTGGTTGGCCAGAACCAATAGTCATCTCACTGAGTCTATTCTGCCTGGTGAACTACATGTTCTCTTGCAGAGCTGAAACTCCTGGAGAAGAAATCAGCTTCTTGAGACTGTTTAAAACCTCACTGATTCTCCAAATTTCAGTGAGGCCACTAGCCTTAAGGAGATTTTGTTGTACAAAGACTACTACTTTGGAGGAGGCTATAGACTTGAGTAGCCCATCCAACTCCATTACGCAATTATTTGAGAGAGACCTAATTTCATCGACTGCTTACTCAGGGAAGACGAGCTGTGTTCCCTTGAGCCAAAAGTCAAATGTGCCAGTATTAACACTAGACAAAAGGGAAATGTCATAAACGGCCAAATGCCTCCATGCTCCTGCACAAGCCAATGCATCACAGGCACAGTAACCTCCTGGAGTTTTCTTATCTCTATGGGCTAGATCTTGTCTGTTCTCATCACCAGCACCACACCAAATCATTCTCAATGGGCTTCTACTATTTTCATGCTACCAGAGACAGTCACCTATATAGTATGATTTCAAACGTTACAGGAAATTTCCCTCTCCCTTCCCTAAACTATCCAAGCCACCCAATAATATCATCTGAAAATCGTATCCTCAGTGTCCTTTTTAGGGATTTTCTTGAGAATGAGTCCTGTTAGAACACTAGGCTGAGTTAAAAAAAAAAAAAGTTACTTGTGTTCATTTTGAAACCAACTAACTACAACCAAATGTTGGATGACTCTCTTCACTTTGGAGAATCTATTTTCTCAACTGTCAAACCAGAAGTTTGGAGAGGACATACAAGACTCCTTAAAAGTAACTTAATAAACTTCCTGGCACACAGCAGGTATTTGATGAGGGTTGATTGGTCTTTGCTTCTCCTTTCCCTCTCCCACCTTCACATTTTGTGATTCAGTGTCTGATTGACTTCTTGGGCTATTCACTCATTATCAGGAAAAAGAAAGCAGAAAGTGGGATCTGAGATGATGAAATTTTGGTTTGGAAGAGGGAAGAAGTAAAAGCATAAATATATTTTGGGTTACTATCAAATAATGGCATCTTTTATTTTAAACACTTCACCTAAACCTGGTAAACATGCTAGAGGCCAGCACACAGCAATTGGAAGTCAACATTTTTGGTTATATTCATGAGCCACTCTCACCCTGATTCCAGGACCCTCTTTTTATAACCTGTCCCTATAAATAGCCAGGACTTTCAAAAGTAAATTTCTCTGGGCATATGAGAGACAGATGAGAGAGGGAGGGAAGGAGGAATGAAAGAAGAAGAGGAGGATGAGGGGAAGAAAGAAGAATTTAGGAGAATCAGAATTTTGGAGAATCAGAAAAAGGGGCTCAGAAGAAAACATGGAACAGAGGGAGCAAGAACTAGAGAGAGAGAGAGACAGACAGAGAGAGAGAGAGAGAGAGAGTGTGTGTGTGTGTGTGTGTGTGTGTGAGAGAGAGAGAGAGAGAGAGAGAGAGAGAGAGAGAGAGCCTAAGAGCAAGCAGTCAATATTGAGAGAAAGCAGTGGATTATGGGAGACTACCATGGGCAAATTCCCGATAGTTCAGAAGCTAAAGAATAATTTAAGAAGGGAGATGACTGATGTTCAATTTAAAATTGTTTCTGTTGGCTCTTTAGTTGGGATATTAGAATCATAATTATAGTATTCACAAATGTTTCTGTGTTTAAGGAGTTTATTTTATTTTGCTTTTGTCTTCTAATTAAAGGAAGGTCATGAGGTTTGTTTCTGGATTATTCTAGTTTGAAACAAAGAGAGTACTTTGAGGCAACATAAATCCCCCAAGAATTGGCAGAAATATGTTAAAAGCCTTTGAACTTCTACAAGACATGAAGTAGTCATTCCAATAAATTTTGTGTGGGTTTTAAGTGGTTAGATGATCCCAACTGACATTTGGGTTACACATGTAAGGCACCCAGGATAGAATGCATACTAGTTGTGCCTAGGAGGTGGCCTAGCTTAAGTGCTGCCTGGATGCATGGTGTGCCCAAAGAATGGCTACAGATTCCAGTCTAGCCCAAAGACCAGACTGGCCTAGACACTTAGTCTCCTTCATGATTAAAGTGGACAGACTACCCTGTCTCTATTCCCACAAAGAAACTTCAGATTTTAAAACACTTTTCATCTTTTTGCAGGTGCTTATGTTTTGCAAAAATGGAGACTGGGGCCAGGCTGCAGTGATTCTCTCCTAACCTGCCTAGCAGTGCCCCTGGTACATGTATGGCAGATGCAACTGACAGCAATAACTTATGCATACCCTGAAAATGACCCTATGGTCTAAGCAGAATGTGTGTTCAGAGTTACAAGCTAAGAACCTGGGAGTAGCCAACCTAGAGATTTAGTCCTTATCTATGACGGACATTCAAACCCCTGACCCATTTCTTGGAACACAGGCTGTACTGGCGATCAAGGCCCTTTGTTTTGAGTTAAATGAGGGTTGCTAGGTGAAGGTTGCTAGGTAGAGGGAGCTAAGTGAAAATACTATACAAACCACATGCTTTTTACAAATCGTAGTGGTTCTCCTGTCCAGTCCACAGCCACTGAATGGCCCCATATGTAAGTCCACAATAAACCCCATGTCTTATTTGCTGGCTCCTGTTCTCTTCTTCAGCCTCTTGGACATGGTGCCATCCCTATTGGAGTCAATAGGGGTCTAGCATAACAGTACATAATGTAGATTAATTGATGTAGTTTGATGGGCCTGAGTCATCATTGGCAATTGTCTGCTAGTGAGGAGGTACCTAACTGCTGCACTGCCAGGTTTGGGTTCTAGTGTCTGGGTGACTCCCCCTTCCTGCATTTCCATATTCCCACACTCACTGACGTTTATCCAGGTCAACCAGTTCTCAGGCTGGGCTCTTTCCACTATGGGTAGCCGCATCCTGAACTACAATGCTTTACTGTAAGCAATGAACATAAATCAGATAGTGCAAGGAAAGTAAAAACCCAGCTGGGAATTCAAATCTATGAGAAAGAAACCACTCTCTTGAAGAAGGTAGAAATGAAGACCGAAAAAAGATAAGTGGATGAACAAACTTCAATAGCTTCTTTGACGCACCCTTCTTGTAAAAGGGCTCCAATGTCCTAAAATGATATTGCAGAGTATGCAATGATTCCCTTTCCTTCCTCCACCATCATTCCCAATCTTGCCTGTGTTCCTATAGTTGACCCTGCCATAATGCTCTCCCTCCTCCATTTAGAAACTCTAAGCCTTCTCCACTCTTCAAGGCTATAGGCTTTCCAGCCAAGACTGTAAGTTCCTCTGGGGCAGAGCTCTATCTGCCCCGTTCACTGAATATCCAGTGCCTGGCAGGGCTCTCCATAGATATTTTAAGTTTAGATAGGAAGGAAGGAAGGAAGGAAGGAAGGGAAGAAGGAAGGAAGGAAGGAAGGTAGGAAGGAAAGAAGGAAAGAAGGAAGGAAGGAGGGAGCAAGGGAGGGAAGGAACTGTACTGGCCCATACTATCTCTGCTTCCATTGAACAATTGTATTTATAGTCACTTCCTAATGGTAGAACTGAAGGCTTCCCACTGTTTTACCTGTGTGTGACAACCCCTTGAAGGCAGAGAATTCTACTTCACTATTTAATACCCTTCCAGTTCCTATTAGGTCCTTAGTAAATACTCAAGTGAAAGAATGGCTTGTTTAGAGGCCTCAGTTATGGGCTGTGTACAGGCCCAGTGTTCTCAGCACTCAGTATTGCTGCTCTTTGTTAATTACAACCAGCCTGACTGTCCACTCCCAGCAACCCCACGGAACAAAACAGGACTCTTGGACCTGCTGGGGAGAAACACAGCCAAATTCTACTCCTCGTGCACCTCTGTGGAAACAACTCACCGTGACTTTTACTGTCTGAATGACACTGCCTGCCTAAAACTTCAGGCTCAATATTAATATTTTCATGGTTATTATCATTATTTTTAATACAATCAAATAGGGATTTTATTAGTTTCAGAGGGAAGACATTGTCATATTCCTAGTACTCAAGCTGTAGCTACCGGTTAAGGATCATCGGGCTTCTCCTCACAATCCCAGTGACCTGGAGATTACTTTAAACTCCCTAATCCTGGTTCCTTATTTCTAAAACAAGCTGTAGAGAGGACAAGGAGAAGTCATCTATTCCCTGGCCCTTTTGCTGGCACAGACCCTCTACACTTTGAGCTCCCCTGACTTGTTATGGGCCCTGGAGACCTCATTCCTTACCTGCCCAGGTAATTAAAATAATTTTCCAGTACCACACTCTGTTATTCACTCCTTTTACAGGCTATTGCTCATGGGTTTCTAATAGTTACCTCTGGACTCTTAATTTGGAAAACTGTCCGGACTCTATTTTCAGGTATATTAGGCTCAGATCTTGCATGTCTCCAGGATTTGCAAATCTGAATTTTGGGTGCCTTCACCCCACCACTCTCCAGTTTCCAAGAACACATCCCCTTCATCAGTCCCACATTGTGGGGAACCTCATGCAGAGCAAGTATTGGGCCCCAGTTACCCAGGGGAGGAAAATATAGGCAAGTGTTGTTAAAATGTAAGGTTTGATCTATCAGGGGTTGAAGAAGTGGTTCCATCTTACCTAGCTGCTTCAAACTGTCCAGGCCCCTCTGGCCAAATGCACCCCATAAAAGGGGTCCAGTGCCCTGATGGTCTACATGTGCCCATTTCCAATACTGATTCTGTTTGCCCTCTGCATGTTCCAACTCACTGTGTTATTTTCTTATTCCTCATTTTTAGTCTCACCCTAATCTTCGTATTTGGCCCCTGACTCTGCTTTTGGCTATAACCATGGCCCTTTCAGCAAAGCTTCTGGTCTCACCTCGGTTTTGACTCAGGTTGCCTGCGGTCTCCCTGGGCCCTGGCCTCCTTCTCCCCATCCGCTGTCCTGATAGCCATGCTTTACTGGACCTGCCCTGAGAGATGGAAGGTCCTGTCAGAATGAGGGGTCTTTCCAATCAAAGATTCTAGGGTTTTCTGAAGCCCAGGTTCAAATGAAGGTCAGAAAGTATAGTTCTGATAAAGAGAATCCTATGAGTTTAAGAGCTCAGGGGACAGATTGGACATAATGGAAGAAGGAATGGAAGGGGCAGTTAGGAGGAAGGTGGAGATTATCTGCTTGGTGAGAAAGGAGGAAAGAACAGAATTACTGCTATATGTTGGTGCTCCTATATTTTATTTTTACCCAGAAAATTATCACAAAGGTGATTTTTGGAAGGAATTTCTTGGTTCTAACATAATTATAGAAACAGTGGATTTGACAACTCCAAACTGACAAAAGTTGTAGGCACTTGAGCCTGAGCCCAAAGAAATAGAAGGGAGAAATCCTATGGCCTTTCTATTTCCTCCTGCCTCCTTCTCTCCTTCTGCCACCTGTCAGCAATGAAGGGTGGGGACTGTGGGAGGCTGTTTTTCGAGAACTGCACATACTTTATCAGGTTGTCTGAAAATCTCAGAGGAACTGTCACTTGTTCAGTATCATATAATAAGATACTGTAGGATTGTGATTTTTTTTTTCTTTCTTTAAATGCTGGAGAGAGCCAGCATAGGTTTGTAGGGCAACTACCCCCTTATTCAGAATCAGCATAGCAACAACAAGGTGCTGAGGTCAGCCAGTACATGCAGTCAGTTTCCTTTGTTTGCTGTCAAGGATCCATCTCTTATCTTGGTGTCGAGTAGGTCTTTGTCCAACCTGGAGGTTGCATGGATTATCTCTGCGGGCAATGGGGTACTGTGCTTGCAAATGTATTTGTGTGAAATTGGGGACAGAGCCTGCTGCTGTGATTTGTAGTCAGTTGCCAAGACAAATTTGATATTGGAGCAATAACACACTCCATTGGCCCAACCATCCTTAAACAGACTCTATTACATCAACATGCTGAATTTACTTAAAAGGGTCTATGTGATGGGGTAGGAGAACTGCCAGGGGAAGGCTGATTGACTGTCTGACTAGCATGGCCTGGCAAGATAGTGACTTGATAAAGGGCTAAGGTTCTGGTTCTCAGCCTTGACCAGAAGAGCATCTATTCATTCAGCATCTTCTGCCACCCATGCCAGGCACTTTCACACACTATTTTATTTAAACCTGACTGCAAACCTGTTAAATGAGTATTATTAGCTCCAACTTACATGAGACTCAGAAGGTCAGGCAGCTTGCTTCAAGATCCATAGCTAATACCTGGTAGAGCTGGGATTCAAACAAATGTCTTTTCACTCCAAAGCTAGTGTGCTTAATTACTACACAATTTACCTATCCTTACAGAAACCAAAATTGGAGCAATTAATATACTCAGAGATGACTAGACTTTTGGTGGAAGGCAAGAATTACAGAATCACAAGAGACTGCTGAGTAAGATGCATGGCTCATTTGTTTACCTCTCTAGTGAGCAGAATGCCAGTGGCCCCTAGCAGTGGTGAGAGATCCCGGGAGCTGAGTCAGGAATCAGGAAGTTATTTGGTGCGCAGGAATGAGAAGATAGTGAAGCTCTCTGAACTCTATCATTTAGAGTTTTTAATGGCAATTCCATTATATAGGCATGATTGATTAAATCACTGACCATTGGTGATTGATTCAATCTCCAGCTCCTCTCACCTCCCTGGAGGTCAGAGGGTGGGAGTTGAAAATTCTAACCCTCTAATCCTGCCTTGGTCTTTCTGGCAACCAGCTCCCATCCTGAGGCTATCTAGGGACTATTGGCCATCTCATTAGCAAAAAGACACTCCTATTATTGTGGAGATTCTAAGGGCCTTAGAAGCTCTTATGTCAGGAACCCAGAATAAAATCCAAATATTTATTTCTTATTATATTACAATATCACTATTGTATCACGATAGCACAATGGGACTTATATTCTAGTGGAAAAGAGACAGACAATAAATAAGTGGATGAGTAAATTACATATTATGTTAGAGGATGATAAGTGCCGTGAAACAATAAAAATGTAGAGCAGTGTCTCAGACTGGGTTCACCCCAAAGAAGACCCTGAGACAAGGGCTTTGGTGCAATTAGCTTATTAGGAGATGATCCCAGAAAGCATGCATAAGGGAGAAGAGAAATAGAGGCAGGAAAGGGAGAAAAGCCAGTTAATTGTTTGTTAATGAGCAGGGAGCTCAATCCTTCCGGAGACTCACTGAAAAATAGTGTAAAAATAGTGTAAAATAGTGTAATAACTCCCAACCCTGAGGGCTGGGAAATCTAGGTTATTTACCCACCAACTCCATCCCTCATTACCTGAGGGGTACCTCTAAGGACATTAAATCCTCTCCTCTTCAGAACTGCCCCAATGGGCCTTGCAATCTTCAGTGGTAGAGAAAACCCTCAGAAAGTGAAACAGAAATGTGAGATGCCTAATGGGGAAAGCTGTCAACTTGTGGGGAACTGTTCACCATAGCCACAAGTGATAGCCAAGGATGGGCTGAAGGATTATGGGCAGGATATCAACAGTGTCTACTTCAGCAGGGTAAAGGAGATCAGCAGTGCAAAGAGCTGGAAGGCTTGTTGCAGTTTTAAATTGGGTGGTCAAGATGGATTGATTAAGAAGATGACATTTGTACAAAGACTCAAAGGCTGTGAATGTCTGGAGGAAAGCATTTCAGGTAGAGCAAATAGCAGTGCCAAGACCCTAAGCTGGGATCCTGGAGCATTTAACACTTAGCAAAGAGGCTGAAGTGATTGGAGTCCAGTGATCAAGGAGAAGAGAACTAAGACCTAAGAGCTGGAAGGGTAACACAGGCCTAGAGCATGATAGACCATGGAGGACATCATGAAGATGTTGGCTTCCACTGTAAGTGAAATGGGAAGGAGTCAAAGAATTCTGAGACCTGCATTGCTGTAATTCTCTGGCAAAGTCAGTTGATGCTCTTTCTGGGGCTGACTTTCATTGTTATGGGTTCTGGAGTTCCACCACAATAAAAACAGAAATGAGAGGCCAGACAGCTCTCTCAGATAGTCCAGCCTGGATACATGGAACAAAAGCAAACGTGGCCTTCCTTTCTTAAGAATACCTAGTGAGTTCTATTGATTGGAAACTTAGCCATTAGGTTCACTGTCTTTGAGACCTTTTCGTGTTGGCCATTCACTAACTTAGAGAGTTGAATACTGGGCTTGTGGGAGAAGTTTCTGGGATATAAGAAAAAAAGGAATTTCATTTTGGTTATCATCTACATTATTTTTTGACTTTGTGTTTTCAGAATTAGAACAATTTACTTCTCATCCTTACAGTATCCTAGTGAGGAAGGTCTACTTTTATATTCTCAGTTTACAGATAAGGAACTCCAAACATAGTAAAGATCACATTCAATTAGCAAGTGGCATTATAAGTTCTGTAGATCCCAGTTATAATCTATGGTTTCCAAACTACCCTAGAATATCTTGAAAGTCATTAGGATTGGTATTCAAATGACAAAGGGGGCAATTTACAAGTAAATACATACATATTACATACACACACATGTGTATACATAATTTTCTATCTTCATATCTTCGGTTAAGCATATGGTTGTTCCTAAAATATAAGTGTGAGATTGTTTCTATTTGTGTAAACAGAGTTACTTCTTAGAACACCAAGCAAAGGTAGAAATTGTATCAAGAACAGGAGGGACTGATCAACATTGGTAGTCATACCTAATAATCAAGTAGAAAGGGGATTGAACAGGTAAATGATGCCAGCAGCCACGTACCATCATTAAATAAAAAATAGGTTCAACATTGTCTTCCAAAAAGATAAATTAACCAAATGCCCTTGGAAGAAAAGATAAGTATGTAGATATTATCTCTTATCTCATAGAAGATAAAAATGCTTGATAGATTCCATTAAATTATAAGAAAATATTAATAAAGAGTATAAACATTTTTATAATGCTATCAAAACTATATATTGCGATGATGGAATATTTGATTTGGTAACAATGGCCAAGTAAGACTTAATGTATTGTTTCATGGCAAGACATAAGTTATAAAACAATAGAATCTATGTCAAAGTGTGGACCTTAAAATTTTTATTAATGTAACAAGTTACATTTTTTCTTTTTTTTTTTTTTGAGATGGAGTCTCACTCTGTCACCTAGGCTGGAGTGCAGTGGTGTGATCTCAGCTCACTGCAACCTCTGTTTCCCAGGTTCAAGCGATTCTCCTGCCTCAGCCTCCTGATTAGCTGGGATTACAGGCGTGTGCCACAATGCCTGGCTAATTTTTGTATTTTTAGTAGAGATGGGGTTTCACCATGTTGGTCACGCTGGTCTCGAACTCCTGACCTCATCCGCCTGCCTCAGCCTCCCAAAGTGCTGGGATTACAGGCGTGAGCCACTGTGCCTGGCCAACAAGTTAAATTTAACAACAAAAAAGGAAGCTCAGTTTGTTGAACAGTGGCTTGGGTTTGAATCACCTTGGAAGAAACAACAAAATCCTGAGAGTTGGGAAATAAGCCAGATCCTATAAGCTTGAGTGGCCTGAAAAGGTTTTTTTTTTTCTTTGTATCTAGAAAGATTTCTGCAACCTTGGGAAGGTGTCAATATATGTTATTGACATGCTGGAAAAGCAGCCAGATAAATAGGAACGACATATGTAAGTACAGAAATAAGGAAGAAATTCATGAAACCCTAAGTGTTGATTCTTTAGAGCAGGATTAAATATTAGTGCTCTATGTTCTGTGGTAATTGTATTTTTATATAGTTTATTTTGCTGCTTATGGGATTTGAAGTGTTTAAATAAATCGATCACATTAAATTTACATCTGTTGCTGAAACACTTTAAAGGAATTAAGTTTGTAATCATTGTTAATGGTGTAAAAGTCAAATAAAATAAGGAGACAAGTCTCCAAAATATTTTATTTGGAAAGAAAAAATTGCAATTCAGGGCATACACACAGACTGGGTGGACTTCGATATGTCTGAAAAAGTAACAGAAGGTTAGAGGTTTTACTTTAAAAAGAGAAATGTTACGTATTGCTCTTTGAGAAAGTTCATTGGCACTAGTAAAGTTTTGGGAGCTGGCAAGCTCTGACTGGTAAGTGACACTGTGGGCAAAAGTTGTCTTGGAGTTGTAGCAGATTGTTTCAGTAGCTATTAGATAAAACTGGTTCCAGGTTACAGCAGATAGTTTCAGCAGCCAGGCTTGCAGATAATTGTATTTTTGGAGCGATGCTATGTGTGCTGAGTGCTTTTTGCCTCCGGCTTCTCAACTTTGTTTTAGTTGGGTATGGCAAGATGGCCCAATTCGTATGATCAACTTTCACAATGTTTTAAGAAAAAAATGTTTTCTTCATGTATCTTAAAAACACACACACATATGTACACCCACATATATGTGTATATATACATTATATTATGTAATTATAAATTGATCATTAAAGTAGATATTCTTCACCAATGGAAATGCTTCAGACATTAAAGAATTTCTTGAGCACTAAGCTTTCCTGGGAATAGCTGGCACACTGCGCAAATATTCTTCTGTCAGAGTTACAGTTAGAAGTTTATCAATGTCAAATTTTAAGTGGGAACAGTTCATTTATACGTGATAATTTCTAGGAGGTCCTTGTCACTGGAGACCATTGTTTTAATACTTCACGTGTAACCATTGATTATTACTTAAAGCAAATGGGCATTCAAATGAGGTCTTGGAGTATACTCTCTTCTAGATTGAGTCTCCCAGAATACTTGAAAATCTGTGGTATGAGTTGACTCTTGGCATTCTCTTTCCTCCAGTCTCCAGTGGAAGCATCTTCTCTCTGCTGGGGCTGGATCTGATACCTGGGTTGCATTGGACTGAGATCCTTTTATTTAGCATCTTCTGGGAAGTCAGTAGCCTGAGTTATAGTCTACTCCTTGTCTAAGGACCACATGGCAGAGAAATAGTTTGTGAGTAAGGAAGAGGAGATTAGTTGTGGAAACAGATACTTACTCATTTTCATTAGTATTTCTCTTTTGATTACTTTTCATGCCCTGGCCAAAATCACTGGCTTATCCAAATGGACTTTCTGGCCACTCAATTTTCTGCCACTCATCAGTAAAAATTCCCCTATTTTTAAAAACTATCACAGGTATTTCATATCCTAGAATCTTCATAGTAACTTTTTCTGTGATTAGTCCCAACCCCAGATTTTAATCTCTCTTTTCTGAACTTCTATGGCACATACGATTGAGACCACACCATTGAGCAATTACTCAAACACTAGTTCTCTGGAATCCTCAAGGGAGGGTCATTTTGCCCCACAAGGGAACCCCCCTAAGATTAAGTTATTTTGTTTAGCTGAGCTTTGCAGCTCCTTAAGAGTTAAACTCAATGAGATTATTGAGCCCATTGGGGTTTGCTGCAATAAGACCTCATTGGTAGCAAATATTTAGGCTTCAGTGCTTCAATTCTGCAGAGCACTTTTCTGTAGACTTGTGCTTTAGAATCACCTGAGGCCACTTATTAAAATGTGATTTCCTAGGCCCACCCCAGATGCACTGAATTTCAACTTCTGGGGATGGAGCCTAGGAATCTAAGTTTTCAACAAGCTCTACAGGTGATTATTATGCACACTGAAATGTGGGAATTGCCCTCCTAAAGAAAGGGCAATAGGACTTTGGATGAACTCAACACAAAGTAGCTGATTGAATATATGTGCTTTGTTTCCCTAGGACTTCAGGTTGCATGTGCTTGTATTTACACTTCTATTTCCTCTCTTCCAAACATCTTTAACATTTGCTATCACATAACAGTTTTCTATTTCATACTTCTTTTCAAATGACTCTGATACAATTGAGTAGCCGTTTCGCTGAAATTAAATAGTTGGTTTCATGGTATTGATGCCTTGGGGAAGTTTAGAGAGCAATCAGGAAATACTGGGCAAATGGAAATTGAATGACTCCCTAACTCCACTAAGCACCATTGAATGTTAGTTGAGATTGGGTGGAGAGAGGAGGATCATAATTGAAATAGAACTGTTGTTAACAGAGGTACATAATAAAGAATAGATGTTACACTAGGCAGAATATGCCCGGCTATGCTGTGGTGACAAGTGTCCTCCACTCTGTTTCATGAAACAACAAACGTTTCTCACACCAAATCCATTAAGGTTTCAGGAGACTCCCTAAGAAAACTGCCACATGTGGGCTCAGCAGTCTCGGCTGCTTTGATCTTAGAGTTTCACCAACTTTTTTACATGAGAATTCCTTCATGCATGATCAACACAGCAAGAGAAGAGAGTGAGATATAATCTATTTTTTTTTTCTTCTTCTTCTTCTTTTGAGACAGGGTCTCGCTCTTTTGCCCAGCCTTGAGTGCAGTGATATAATGATAGCTCACTGCAGCTTCAAATTCCTGGGCTCAAGTAATCCTCCTGCCTCAGCCTCCCAAGTAGCTGCGACTACTCTCAGCCAGGCATGGGTACAGGCCACCGTGCCTGGCTGAGATACAGTCTTATACTGGTAATTAAATGCCCCTTCCCACAGTCCATTGGCCAGAAGTAGTCATATGGTCTTATCCAACTGCAGGCACAGGATCATTTGTGGAAAAACAAAAATGTCCACTGTGCCCCGGTGGAGAGGAAGACAAAATGGGAAAGCACTAGCAATCTCTACTACAGATGCTCCATTTCAGTGAGAAGTGTTTCTGGGAACAGATTAACTGTGATGTGAGGCAATGATTTTCACTAGGGTAAAGGGAAAATAGGGTATCTAGGCTTTTTATTAACAACTCTCTTTCTCTCTCTCCTCTCTCTTTTGCTCCCTTCCTCCTTTTTTCAAACCTTGATTTCTCTTTTTTCCTTTTTCTTGGCAACACTTTTTAAAAAATTATTATACTTTTGTGTCATAAAATGACCTGAATTCTTGAAAGGCTTTATGCTACATGCTGTGTATCCAAGGTAAAAATATGCAGTGGTCACTCTTCTAGCAATGGATCAGAAGATACTTCCAATGACTGTATTCTTAGGATAATTTCTAAACTCCCTAATGTGGCTTACAACGCTCTTTTATCTAGATCTTGTTTACCAGTTTCCAGCCCCAAATCCCACAAATGCTCAAATTTTGATATGTAGAAGAATCACCTGGGCAGTTAATCAAAAATTTAGATTCTCAGGCTTCATCCTCAGAGATTAGAATTTAGTACATCTGGAATGGGACCCAGGAATTTGCGTTTTAATTAGTGGCCTCAGGTGATTCTAAAGCAGGGTTCCGCAGACCACTTCTAGGGAAGTGCTTTATAGCAAATGAAGCACTGAAGCCTAAGAATTTGCTCTCAATGCCTTCTTTTAAATGATAATGTTCTCATCTCTGGATCTTTTCCCAGGTGGTTGTCTCAGGCTGAATCATTCTTCTCCTTACCAGTTCTCTACCTCCACTCTGCTCCCCGGCTTGGCTAACTACCCCTCTCCCTTCGGGTCTCATAGATGAACTTTCTCTGTATGATTTTCTTGAAACTCAAGCTCTCAAGTCTAGCATTAAGTGTACCTTCCAGCCGCTCTTATAATGGTCTGATGTGCCTTTATGACAGCACTTACCTACTCATATAATAATTGTCTGGTTGCTATTCTTGTCTGTTACTGGAATATAATCTGCTGAGTGCTGGAAACATGTTTATCATGTTCATCATTACATCCTATTTTCTAGTACTGTGACTAATACATAATAAGTGCTCAAAACTGCTGGCTGAAAGAAAGATAAAGGAGAATTACTTAAAAGATAGTAAGGGCAAAATATCAGAAAGGTTATGCAGGGAATCAGTAAGATTGACCCAACAGGCAACAGTGTGATATTGTTTTAGGTTTAAAAGGCATATTTGGCCAGGCGCAGTGGCTCATGCCTGTAATCCCAGCACTTTGGGAGGTCGAGGCAGGCAGATCACGAGGTCAAGAGATCGAGACCATCCTGGTCAACATGGTGAAACCCTGTCTCTACTAAAAACACAAAAATTAGCTGGGCATGGTGGCACGTGCCTGTAGTCCCAGCTACTCAGGAGGCTGAGGCAGGAGAATCACTTGAACCTGGGAGGCAGAGGTTGCAGTGAGCCAAGGTCACACCACTACATTCCAGCCTGGGGATAGAGCAACACTCCTTCTCAAAAAAAAAAAAAAAAAAAAAAAAAAAAAAAGGCATATTTATGTCTGGGTGTGGTGGCTCACACCTGTAATCCTAGGGCTTTGGGAGACAGAGGCAGGAGGACCACTTGAGGCTAGGAGTCCAAGACTAGCCTAGGCAACATGCGAGACCTTCATCTCTATACAAGTTTAAAAAATTAGCCAAGAATAGTGGCATCTGCCTGTGGTCCCAGCTACCTGGGAGGCTGAAATGGGAGGAGCACTTGAGCCCAGAAATTCAAGGTGCAGTGAGCTATGATTGTTCCACTACACTCCAGCCTGGGTGACAGAGAGTAACGGACCATCTCTTTAAAAAAAAAAAGCATACTTAAAATGAATGGAACATCTTGTACTTATCAACATATTGGTTGTGTTTAATGTCTTCAAATTCACCTGAGTCACAATAGGATCCTCCAATTCATCACCCTCTAAGCCCAATAACCTCTATAAATGTGAAATCATGACTTACACTTTTAAGTGATGGGACCATTTTTCTTCTTCCCTCACAGACATCACACAAAAATAACAAAGACAATAAGAAATTATAACAGAAATTTTAATAAAATTAAGAGACTTCTGTAACACAACTACATAATATCCAAAGACAAAGTAGAATGGCAAGAACTTCGCAGAGCGGAATAAGCCTTGATGGTAAAGGGAAACATCCAAATAAGCAAGCCCTATGGTCCTCAGGTCCGAAATCTGTCCGAGAAAAGTTAAAACAATACTTCGCAACTCATAGTTGGATGTTAATCTTTCCTCTAACCCCAAGAGAGATGGGAAGCTTATACTTTTGTGAAATGAAGCCAGAATAGACCCAACTTACCAGACACAAAGAAGGAGAGAGACTGTACTGAACACAAAGTTCATATTGAATGGTGAATCCCCAACATCGCTTCTCCAGTCCAGCTCCCAGAATGTCTGAGGCTAGCCTTGTACTATTAGGCAAGAGAATGTGAGTCTTTCCCTGGAGAACCCAGAAGATCTCAGAATCAAGACCTATGGATTAAATAACATTTAGGACACTCACTAATAAAAAAGCTGACTCGCTACTCAGTGGCTCTGCCACGAAGCCTATTGGTCAAAAAGCCATTCTAATGCACAGAAGACTTCACATCCCCTTTTTAGTGCTTCACAACTAAATACCAATGGCAAGGATGTCAAGATAATTCAATGGGAAAAGAGAAGGTCTTTTTTAAACAAACATTCTTGCAACAACTGAAAGTTCATATAGGATGAAATGAAGTTTAACCCCTACCTCACTTGAATCATAAAAATTGATTTGAAGTGGATCATAGACCTAAATTTAAAAGAAAACTACGAAATTTCTAGGAAAATATTTTTACTACCTTGGGAGTAGTTGCAGATTTCTTAGAACACAAACTCCCACAATTTTAAAACTTACAAAAAACTTTAAATGAGTATTGTTGTAACCTATATTACTAAGGTAATAGGTAGGCTAGGCTAAGCTACAATGTTCAGTAGGTTAGGGGTATTAAATGCATTTTTAACGTGATATTTTCAACTTACCATGGGTTTATTGGGATGTAACCCCACTTAAGACTTAATCATAAGTCAAGGAGCATCTGTATTCTAAGAGGAGAAGAGACAATATAGAAATAAATGAATTCACAAGGAAATGTCTGAGCAGTAAGTGCTATTTAGAGAAGTAGAGTGATAATACAGGGAATATTTTAGTTTGAAGGGTTAAGGAAGACTTGCCTAAGGAACTGGCATTTAAGCTGTGAATAAGAGACCAGTCATGCAAATGGGAGTGGGGTAGAAAAGGCAGAGTCTTGATAGAGGAACCAGCTGCTGTGAAGGCCTTGAGGCAGAAGCAAACTTGGCCGGATAGAGGAGATGCAAGGTCAAGCAGTTGATATGTGGTGGGTGAAAGGAAGGAAGGAATTAAATGAAACCAGAGAGGTAGGTAGAGTTCAGATCAGCCAGGGCTTTGGAAGTCAGAGTGAATGGATTGGTGTTAGTTTCTGAGTGTAATCAAAAGTTGCTGGAGTGCTTTAACCAGGGAGGCACTTTATATGACTTATGTTTAAGAAATACCACTCTGAATAATGTGTGCAAAATGGAAAGGTGGGAAAGTGGAAGCAGGGTTATGAGTTCCAAGCTTACTAGGGAGAGATGAAGTGGGGCTTGTGTTAAATTAGCAGTAGTGGAGAAGGAGAAACATAGATGAATTCAGGATGTGTTTTGGAGACAGAGTCAATAGAATTTGCAGGTGACTTTGAGGAAAGGAGAGAAGAAATTGAAAGAATCAAGGATAGCACCTATATTTTTAGCTAGCACTACCAGTAGTGCTATTTACTAAGATAAGGAGAATTGGAGAAGGCAATTTAGGGTAGAGGATAGGCAGTAGTTCTATTTCGTCCTTGGTAAGTTTTAGATATCTTTTAGACATCCATGTAGAACTATTGAATAGATAATGGGGCATAGCAAAGTGGAGTTCTGAAGAAAGACCAGAGCTGAAAATGTTGAGAGTCAAAGGACATCTATCTTCCTATAGATCATATTTAGGATATTTAGAGCCGTGGGACTAATGGTCACAGAGGAGGCTGTGTAGATGGGTGCAGTTCAATAGAAATATAATGCAAGTGACATATGTGAGCCATGTATGTAATTTTAAATTTTCTAGTAGCTATATAATAAATGGCCATATTAAGCACATTAATAAAGTAAAAAGAAGCAGGGTAAATTAATTTTAATAAAATATATTATAATTTAAATATGTAATCAATATAAAAATTGCTTGTGAGACACATATTTTGTTTTTTAGAGACAAGGTCTCTCTCTGTCACCCACACTGGAGTGCAGAGGCATGATCATGGCTCATAACAGCCTAGAAATCCTGGGCTCAAGTGATCCTCCCACTTCAGCCTTGGTAGTAGTGGGGACTACAGGCATGGGCCACCATGCCTGGCAATACTTTACTTTTTTATTTTACAAAGGCTCTGAAATCTGGTATGTGTGTTTACACAGCACATCTCAATACACAGCACAGGTATGTGGCTAGTGGTTACTATATTGGAGGAAGTTTGCTATAGAGGGAAAACTGGGAATAAGGCAGAGGTTGGAAGAAATGTGGGCTTGAGCTCTTTTGCTATTCATTTTAAGACAAGGATACTACAGCATTCTTGTGTGCTGATTGGGATAAATTAGTAGAGAGGGAAAGATCCATAATGCAAAACAGTCGAAAGGATAATTACCGGAGCAGATTCTAGGAAAAGGTGAGAAGTTGAGGTCCAGGGCAAAGGCATACGGATCACCTTTGCCAGGAGCAGGGATGCTTCATTCAAACCAACATGAGGGGAAACCGAGCATCTCCAGTGCAGACAGGGTGGGAATTTGGAGGTGGGAAGAAGTTCTTTGTTTAATGTCTGCTTCTATTTCTTTAGTGAAATATAACACAAGGTCAAGAGTGGAAGGGCACAGGTGCATGAAATTTGAGAAGAGAGAAAAAACTATGAAACAGTTTTGAAGAGTGAAAAATTATAGATGTCTACTTTAGTGCCTATTTGAGATTTGCAATCATGTGGTGTGTTTCTGTCTAGAAACATTCAGCTGTGTGGACTGCACGTTTAGAGTAAGAGATAGTAGGGTTTAATCGGTTTGGGCTTAGTCTGGTTGGCTCTGCAGAAATGGAAGCTGGTGATTTAAGAGTGTTTATAAAGAAATGATCATAATGACCATAAACTCTTCACTGGGCAAGGAAGAAGGAAAGTGGAGTTAGTTCTCTCAATGTGGCTCCAATGGATGGGTCATCTTGATGAGACTAAGGAATTTTTGGATTAAAAATATTTAGAGGAAGTGAGCCTAAAGTACAAGAGCTGGTGATAAAAAAGAAAAAAAACAAAACAAAACAGGGCACTCAAAATTGAGATTTTCGAGAAGATTACAAGGTCAAGGACATGATTATAGGGTTACATAAATGAGGTGGGATGAAGGAACAGATAGTTGAAAGTGAGGAGATTGAGGAACGGGGTGGCCAGAGTGATGGATGGATTATACACATGAATATTGAAGTGTGCAAGAATGATGTGAGTAGCAGTACAATAAAGGACAGTCTGGTGCTAAAGCCACTGGAGAAGGGGGCTCTCCAGGGTTTGTGTTTCACAGTAACAAAGAGGGCTATTGGGTAACTGAAGGGCTTAGGGATTTTGAAGGCAGGAGGAAAACTATTTTGAAGATAAACTTGGAAACAAGGATGAGCTGTGAGAGAGAAAAAAAAAATAGCCTGCACTTAGAAGAGTAAGGATTTAGCAGGGCAACAGGTAGAGGCAGTGTTGCTGGCATTATCCAACTTGATAGGATACCATTTACATAGAAGATGACGTAAGTGGTACCTTCCTAGGGTGTGCGACACATCCACAGTGGAAAGGACAAATTCAGAGTAGTTGAAAATGCAGAGACATTTTTCTGATAACACAGCATGAGTTCCAGAGGACCCCCAAGAAGGAGTGAGAAGGTCAGATCCATGGACATGCAAAGATACCAGAGGATGAACATCCAGGGGATTACGGGTGGCCAGGGGAGGCTCAAGCTTCCTGTGCTTTGTAAATACCTCATTCACAGATTGACCTAGATTCTTAAGTCATTTGTGCTGCTCAGTGTAATTTTCCCAGGCATCTTTTTTGATAAGATTTTAAATCACAGGATTGAAGAGAACTTATCTCCAGAGCTCTATTTTCAGTCAGCAACAGCCTGAAATAATTTGAGTGCAGGTGTTTTGGAGTCAAACTATCTCCCCAGAACAAGCAAGGTCAGGCACTTTTGTGTGATTTCTGCTCATTGCTGTTCTTCTACTTGCCTCCAGAAGCATGTAACAAAAGGTCAGCTTACTTGGAAATATGCCCAGCTGCGTATGGGGGCATGGTTGTCCCCAGCATTGGTTTGAGCATTTTTTCTGTTACAGTGCGTGAATATTTCCATGTGACTTCACCCTGAGCCTGCATTCATGAGAAGAACTCACGCAGTCTATGACCCTGTGTAGAGAGTGTCTCTTCTTTCTTTCCAGAAGTGGTGGACTGGTCTAGCTTTCCTAGAGTTTTCTGAATTACCAACAAGTCCTAGTGAATGACATGTGCCTGCTTTGGAAACCTTTGCAAATGGGGTGGGAGCTCAGCGAGCTTGAATTGCTATGACATACTACCCACAATCCAAAGTCCTTGACCTGGATCTTATGTCACCATGTTCAACCTCTTTGAAGCACTCACTTATCACAGTTGTAATTCTATAGTTACTTGTGATAGTCTATAAATAGTATCTCTGAACATTTGACTGTAAGCTTTACAAGGGCAGAGACCATTTCTTTCTTTCACTGTCACTACTATTCCCAGCACCTAGGAAATTCGTAGATAACATTTACAAATTGCAAAAATGAATGAATGCTTGCACCTCCTTGTTCTATGCCATTGTCTGCCCAGTAGCTTCCCACATTCTCCCTGATCTCAACTTTCCTCCCAGCTGCCATCCAGATCTGTCTCACTCCAGGATGCCCTGGGCTCTGAATCACCCTTCACTTCCTTCCTCTGAAAACTGAGTCCACACCAAATTAACAAGTCCCCCATACACATTCTGTCCACTCAAAGAAGACCTGTCAGTGATGGCATTCAGACATCAGCAGCAAAATACATCCTATCCTGAGTTCAAATCCTCATTCTAGCATTTAACTAGCCGTGAAGCTCAGCAGGAGACTTTGCCTCTCTGAGCCTCAGGGTTTTTTTTGTTTGTTTGCAAAATGGTGATAAAATCATTACCTACTTCATATAGCTACAGGCTGAGCATCCCCATCTGAAAATCCATAATTCAAAATGCTCCAAAATCTGAAACTTATTGAGTGCTGATATGATGCCACGAGTGGAAAATGCCACAAATAAGTACTTAACACAAACTTTGTTTTATGCACAAAATTATTTGCCCAAAGTTGTGTAGCTGAGAAAAGAAGGGAGCCAGGTTGGAACAAAGTCCTGGAATCTTAGCTCTTAACTACTTTCTACGTTGCCTTTTTTCGTGATGATTTTCATTTTACTCCCATTTCCTGATGTTTTAAAATTGTTTTTACGTCTATCTCTGTAGATCTTAAATATTTTTTAAAAGAAGACACAGGAAAAATACATATATACATATGTGATGGCATTACAATGTTTTTTTCTTAGTTCAACATAGAAAATGAAGGAGAGAAGTAGAAATAAATTGGGAAAGAATTCTCTATTTCATTTTCTATCCACTTCCATTTTTACAAAAAAGGATGAGTACATTCACAGATACACACACAAACTCACTCCACTCTAGACCAAATAGGGAGAAACCAAGCAAAGAGTTTAGGCATCATATGCTCTGGAACACTGGCAGCATGAATTAACATAGTGTTTCCATGGCTGTTTGTGCTTTTAAAAATTCATTTACTTACTTCATCTACAAAGGCGGCTATGCATGTGTTTGTGGCTGTGCATGTGCACGTGAGTATTTGTGGGTATTTGACTGTGAGTCTTGTTGACCAAATCACACATTGTCTGAGACCATGAAATGTCTTAATCTCTTTTTAAAAATGTATTTTTACTTTGTCCCCAAAATTCAACACACCTCTCCCACCCCCCCACCCCCCCATCCTCTCTCTCCTTCACACACAAATGTTTGAGCAAGGAACACTTATAGCAAATGCACATTGCTGGTTCCCCATCTGATAACCCTTCTCCCTTTTTCTTTAGTGACTGAGCTCTGACTTTATTTGGGGTGGTGATGTGCTTAGCTTGAAGGCTGTTTTTCAGCTTTCTTTGCAGCTAGGAGTGGTCCATAAGATCAAGCAGAAGCTGATGGGTGGGAGTTCTGGAAAATCTCTGGAGAGAAACATAGACAGCTCTTCTCCCACCTTCTCCCACCTTTCTGCCGAGCATGTGGATGTGGTTAATACAGCTTTGGCAGCCATCTTGGACCATGAAGGAACATTAAGGATGAATGCCTGGTGCTATAGTTTAAGGAAGACAAAAATAGAAAGAGGTGTCATGTCAGCTTTAGATGCATAACTCTAGACTTCTTTCACATTTCAGTGAAACAAACTTTTATCTCCTTGAAACCACTGTCCTGTGGTCTCTGTGGCTAGAAGCCAAGCACAACTCCTAGCTGGTAGAGTATTCAATAGTTTGTTAAATTGAATAAAAACAAAACCAAACAAAACAAAAAACAATGGATTCTCTGAAAAGAATTTAAATCTTGTATCTTCATTTTCTGGGTCAAATAGTGAACCTAAAAGATTATAAGTCAAGGAAAAGAAGAATATTTTATTCTACCATAAAAAATAATTAAAACTTAATGCCCCACTCAGGAAGAAGAATATCTCCCAGAAGATTTTCTGGTTTGAAATGCCCATTCATTTTAGTTAAGTGTTTTCCTTTCACAAATTTGTTCTTCCTCTTAGGTTTATTAACAGAATCTATCAATTGTACATGGCATCTTCAGAAACTCTACTAGCTCTCAGTCTCGCTGCACTTAGCATTTGGGAAATCACGGAGCAATCTACTTTTTTCTCTATTGGCACTTATAGGAAAGTCTACATGCCTCCTTGTGAAAAGCAAATGCTTTTCAACATAACGGGTGTTAACTGAGTGGGTAGCACTCTGCAGCCTGAAAAACACAACAGTGGTTAAAAGGATGTGTGAATTGTGAAGATCTTATTGTTAAGAGTTTCCTGGGAGGCTTGCATGTTTTCCTCTCTCAAGATTCCTCCTGGTATATCATTAATTCCTTGCAGTGTGAAACTGGAAACAGGGAGATCCAAGGAGGTAAGAAGAGTGAGGGGGGAAAAGTGCTTAGAATACAGTGGTGTGCTGTAAACATTTAACAACTGGCTGGGGAGTGGGGAGGAAGACTGATTTGTAGTGTTTGCCAATTTCTGTAGTGTAAGTATGTGCACCATGGCTGATTTCAAGCTACCAACAGCCTAAGAGCTGGCTTGTAAATTTCCTGAGAATTTAACAATCAGCTCTCAGAAGCCTTTGGAACTGTCTCCAGTATTTCACTGCAGGCACATCCTCTGTCTCAAACTTCCCAACAGTTTTAGGAGGATGTTTTTACAGGATCATGTTAAAGGTGCCGGAACAGAGGCTACAAGATATTAAGTAACTTGTCTGCAGTTATTCAACATTTGGCATTGGGGTTGAGATTTGCACCCAGGCTTGGCTGACTTCACACTTGGGTTTTTAACTTCTCCATTAAAAGAACATGGATAAAATGTAAGGAAAGAAAAAAGAAGACAAGTAAAAGAAGAAAGGAAACAGTGAGGGGAAGCTTCAGGCTAAGGCTAAACAGATTGCTAAGCCATGTAGTAGAACACAGGTCAGCAAACTGCTGCCAGTGTGTCACATCCATCCTGATGACCTGTTTTTGGATTGCAAAATGGTTTTTACATTTTTAAAGAATTGTAGGGGAGGAGCCAAGATGGCCGAATAGGAACAGCTCCGGTCTACAGCTCCCAGCGTGAGCGACGCAGAAGACGGTGATTTCTGCATTTCCATCTGAGGTACCGGGTTCATCTCACTAGGGAGTGCCAGACAGTGGGCGCAGGCCAGTGTGTGTGCGCACCGTGCGCGAGCCGAAGCAGGGCGAGGCATTGCCTCACCTGGGAAGCGCAAGGGGTCAGGGAGTTCCCTTTCCGAGTCAAAGAAAGGGGTGACGGACGCACCTGGAAAATCGGGTCACTCCCACCCGAATATTGCGCTTTTCAGACCGGCTTAAGAAACGGCGCACCACGAGACTATATCCCACACCTGGCTCGGAGGGTCCTACGCCCACGGAATCTCGCTGATTGCTAGCACAGCAGTCTGAGATCAAACTGCAAGGCGGCAACGAGGCTGGGGGAGGGGCGCCCGCCATTGCCCAGGCTTGCTTAGGTAAACAAAGCAGCCGGGAAGCTCGAACTGGGTGGAGCCCACCACAGCTCAAGGAGGCCTGCCTGCCTCTGTAGGCTCCACCTCTGGGGGCAGGGCACAGACAAACAAAAAGAAAGCAGTAACCTCTGCAGACTTAAGTGTCCCTGTCTGACAGCTTTGAAGAGAGCAGTGGTTCTCCCAGCACGCAGCTGGAGATCTGAGAATGGGCAGACTGCCTCCTCAAGTGGGTCCCTGACTCCTGACCCCCGAGCAGCCTAACTGGGAGGCACCCCCCAGCAGGGGCACACTGACACCTCACACGGCAGGGTATTCCAACAGACCTGCAGCTGAGGGTCCTGTCTGTTAGAAGGAAAACTAACAACCAGAAAGGACATCTACACCGAAAACCCATCTGTACATCACCATCATCAAAGACCAAAAGTAGATAAAACCACAAAGATGGGGAAAAAACAGAACAGAAAAACTGGAAACTCTAAAACGCAGAGCGCCTCTCCTCCTCCAAAGGAACGCAGTTCCTCACCAGCAACAGAACAAAGCTGGATGGAGAATGATTTTGACGAGCTGAGAGAAGAAGGCTTCAGACGATCAAATTACTCTGAGCTACGGGAGGACATTCAAACCAAAGGCAAAGAAGTTGAAAACTTTGAAAAAAATTTAGAAGAATGTATAACTAGAATAACCAATACAGAGAAGTGCTTAAAGGAGCTGATGGAGCTGAAAACCAAGGCTCGAGAACTACGTGAAGAATGCAGAAGCCTCAGGAGCCGATGCGATCAACTGGAAGAAAGGGTATCAGCAATGGAAGATGAAATGAATGAAATGAAGCGAGAAGGGAAGTTTAGAGAAAAAAGAATAAAAAGAAATGAGCAAAGCCTCCAAGAAATATGGGACTATGTGAAAAGACCAAATCTACGTCTGATTGGTGTACCTGAAAGTGATGTGGAGAATGGAACCAAGTTGGAAAACACTCTGCAGGATATTATCCAGGAGAACTTCCCCAATCTAGCAAGGCAGGCCAACGTTCAGATTCAGGAAATACAGAGAACGCCACAAAGATACTCCTCGAGAAGAGCAACTCCAAGACACATAATTGTCAGATTCACCAAAGTTGAAATGAAGGAAAAAATGTTAAGGGCAGCCAGAGAGAAAGGTCGGGTTACCCTCAAAGGAAAGCCCATCAGACTAACAGCGGATCTCTCGGCAGAAACCCTACAAGCCAGAAGAGAGTGGGGGCCAATATTCAACATTCTTAAAGAAAAGAATTTTCAACCCAGAATTTCATATCCAGCCAAACTAAGCTTCATAAGTGAAGGAGAAATAAAATACTTTATAGACAAGCAAATGTTGAGAGATTTTGTCACCACCAGGCCTGCCCTAAAAGAGCTCCTGAAGGAAGCGCTAAACATGGAAAGGAACAACCGGTACCAGCCGCTGCAAAATCATGCCAAAATGTAAAGACCATCGAGACTAGGAAGAAACTGCATCAACTAATGAGCAAAATCACCAGCTAACATCATAATGACAGGATCAAATTCACACATAACAATATTAACTTTAAATATAAATGGACTAAATTCTGCAATTAAAAGACACAGACTGGCAAGTTGGATAAAGAGTCAAGACCCATCAGTGTGCTGTATTCAGGAAACCCATCTCACGTGCAGAGACACACATAGGCTCAAAATAAAAGGATGGAGGAAGATCTACCAAGCCAATGGAAAACAAAAAAAGGCAGGGGTTGCAATCCTAGTCTCTGATAAAACAGACTTTAAACCAACAAAGATCAAAAGAGACAAAGAAGGCCATTACATAATGGTAAAGGGATCAATTCAACAAGAGGAGCTAACTATCCTAAATATTTATGCACCCAATACAGGAGCACCCAGATTCATAAAGCAAGTCCTCAGTGACCTACAAAGAGACTTAGACTCCCACACATTAATAATGGGAGACTTTAACACCCCACTGTCAACATTAGACAGATCAACGAGACACAAAGTCAACAAGGATACCCAGGAATTGAACTCAGCTCTGCACCAAGCAGACCTAATAGACATCTACAGAACTCTCCACCCCAAATCAACAGAATATACATTTTTTTCAGCACCACACCACACCTATTCCAAAATTGACCACATAGTTGGAAGTAAAGCTCTCCTCAGCAAATGTAAAAGAACAGAAATTATAACAAACTATCTCTCAGACCACAGTGCAATCAAACTAGAACTCAGGATTAAGAATCTCACTCAAAGCCGCTCAACTACATGGAAACTGAACAACCTGCTCCTGAATGACTACTGGGTACATAACGAAATGAAGGCAGAAATAAAGATGTTCTTTGAAACCAACGAGAACAAAGACACCACATACCAGAATCTCTGGGACGCACTCAAAGCAGTGTGTAGAGGGAAATTTATAGCACTAAATGCCTACAAGAGAAAGCAGGAAAGATCCAAAATTGACACCCTAACATCACAATTAAAAGAACTAGAAAAGCAAGAGCAAACACATTCAAAAGCTAGCAGAAGGCAAGAAATAACTAAAATCAGAGCAGAACTGAAGGAAATAGAGACACAAAAAACCCTTCAAAAAATCAATGAATCCAGGAGCTGGTTTTTTGAAAGGATCAACAAAATTGATAGACCGCTAGCAAGACTAATAAAGAAAAAAAGAGAGAAGAATCAAATAGACACAATAAAAAATGATAAAGGGGATATCACCACCGATCCCACAGAAATACAAACTACCATCAGAGAATACTACAAACACCTCTACGCAAATAAACTAGAAAATCTAGAAGAAATGGATACATTCCTCGACACATACACTCTCCCAAGACTAAACCAGGAAGAAGTTGAATCTCTGAATCGACCAATAACAGGCTCTGAAATTGTGGCAATAATCAATAGTTTACCAACCAAAAAGAGTCCAGGACCAGATGGATTCACAGCCGAATTCTACCAGAGGTACAAGGAGGAGCTGGCACCATTCCTTCAGAAACTATTCCAATCAATAGAAAAAGAGGGAATCCTCCCTAACTCATTTTATGAGGCCAGCATCATCCTGATACCAAAGCCGGGCAGACACACAACCAAAAAAGAGAATTTTAGACCAATATCCTTGATGAACATTGATGCAAAAATCCTCAATAAAATACTGGCAAACCGAATCCAGCAGCACATCAAAAAGCTTATCCACCATGATCAAGTGGGCTTCATCCCTGGGATGCAAGGCTGGTTCAATATACGCAAATCAATAAATGTAATCCAGCATATAAACAGAGCCAAAGACAAAAACCACATGATTATCTCAATAGATGCAGAAAAAGCCTTTGACAAAATTCAACAACCCTTCATGCTAAAAACTCTCAATAAATTAGGTATTGATGGGACGTATTTCAAAATAATAAGAGCTATCTATGACAAACCCACAGCCAATATCATACTGAATGGGCAAAAACTGGAAGCATTCCCTTTGAAAACCGGCACAAGACAGGGATGCCCTCTCTCACCGCTCCTATTCAACATAGTGTTGGAAGTTCTGGCCAGGGCAATCAGGCAGGAGAAGGAAATAAAGGGTATTCAATTAGGAAAAGAGGAAGTCAAATTGTCCCTGTTTGCAGACGACATGATTGTTTATCTAGAAAACCCCATCGTCTCAGCCCAAAATCTCCTTAAGCTGATAAGCAACTTCAGCAAAGTCTCAGGATACAAAATCAATGTACAAAAATCACAAGCATTCTTATACACCAACAACAGACAAACAGAGAGCCAAATCATGGGTGAACTCCCATTCACAATTGCTTCAAAGAGAATAAAATACCTAGGAATCCAACTTACAAGGGATGTGAAGGACCTCTTCAAGGAGAACTACAAACCACTGCTCAAGGAAATAAAAGAGGAGACAAACAAATGGAAGAACATTCCATGCTCATGGGTAGGAAGAATCAATATCGTGAAAATGGCCATACTGCCCAAGGTAATTTACAGATTCAATGCCATCCCCATCAAGCTACCAATGACTTTCTTCACAGAATTGGAAAAAACTACTTTAAAGTTCATATGGAACCAAAAAAGAGCCCGCATTGCCAAGTCAATCCTAAGCCAAAAGAACAAAGCTGGAGGCATCACACTACCTGACTTCAAACTATACTACAAGGCTACAGTAACCAAAACAGCATGGTACTGGTACCAAAACAGAGATATAGATCAATGGAACAGAACAGAGCCCTCAGAAATAATGCCGCATATCTACAACTATCTGATCTTTGACAAACCTGAGAAAAACAAGCAATGGGGAAAGGATTCCCTATTTAATAAATGGTGCTGGGAAAACTGGCTAGCCATATGTAGAAAGCTGAAACTGGATCCCTTCCTTACACCTTATACAAAAATCAATTCAAGATGGATTAAAGATTTAAACGTTAAACCTAAAACCATAAAAACCCTAGAAGAAAACCTAGGCATTACCATTCAGGACATAGGCGTGGGCAAGGACTTCATGTCCAAAACACCAAAAGCAATGGCAACAAAAGACAAAATTGACAAATGGGATCTAATTAAACTAAAGAGCTTCTGCACAGCAAAAGAAACTACCATCAGAGTGAACAGGCAACCTACAACATGGGAGAAAATTTTTGCAACCTACTCATCTGACAAAGGGCTAATATCCAGAATCTACAATGAACTCAAACAAATTTACAAGAAAAAAACAAACAACCCCATCAAAAAGTGGGCGAAGGACATGAACAGACACTTCTCAAAAGAAGACATTTATGCAGCCAAAAAACACATGAAGAAATGCTCATCATCACTGGCCATCAGAGAAATGCAAATCAAAACCACTATGAGATATCATCTCACACCAGTTAGAATGGCAATCATTAAAAAGTCAGGAAACAACAGGTGCTGGAGAGGATGCGGAGAAATAGGAACACTTTTACACTGTTGGTGGGACTGTAAACTAGTTCAACCATTGTGGAAGTCAGTGTGGCGATTCCTCAGGGATCTAGAACTAGAAATACCATTTGACCCAGCCATCCCATTACTGGGTATATACCCAAATGAGTATAAATCATGCTGCTATAAAGACACATGCACACGTATGTTTATTGCGGCACTATTCACAATAGCAAAGACTTGGAACCAACCCAAATGCCCAACAATGATAGACTGGATTAAGAAAATGTGGCACATATACACCATGGAATACTATGCAGCCATAAAAAATGATGAGTTCATATCCTTTGTAGGGACATGGATGAAATTGGAAACCATCATTCTCAGTAAACTATCGCAAGAACAAAAAACCAAACACCGCATATTCTCACTCATAGGTGGGAATTGAACAATGAGATCACATGGACACAGGAAGGGGAATATCACACTCTGGGGACTGTGGTGGGGTCGGGGGAGGGGGGAGGGATAGCATTGGGAGATATACCTAATGCTAGATGACACATTAGTGGGTGCAGTGCACCAGCATGGCACATGTATACATATGTAACTAACCTGCACAATGTGCACATGTACCCTAAAACTTAGAGTATAATAAAAAAAAAAAAAAAAAAAAAAAAAAGAATTGTAAAAAAAAAAATTATAAATAAAACAAAGAAGAATATGTGAGAGGAGCTGAATGTGCCCCATAAAGCCTAAAATATTTAATCTCTTGTCCTTTTTTCCTGCACCAGGCCAGATATGACTCCTGGGCCTCACTACCCTGAGGTTAACTGTAGGTGAAAAGGAAGGGGAAGGAGATCAGCCTTTGGTAAAAATTTCCTACTGCTACCAGCGTTTGACATAGATTATCTAAGTTAATTCTTAAAATAACCCTGAGAGATGGTTTGCACTTGTCTTCCCTATTTTAGCCAGAGGGAAAACCTGCTCAATGATTAATTCGCTTGTCTAAATTCCCAGCTAGGAATTGGTAGAGATCAGAATGGGTCTCCTGGGATCAGACTTAGACTTAGAGCTCAGACTTAAGTCTCTTGGGCTCTAAATCCTTGTGCCACACTGGGTGTAAGCTTTTCCTCCAGGATTCAGCCTCCAGATTCTCTGAGCTGCCAACCAGAATCTCATGATCTAGCAGAAGAGGATGCTACTCCTGCAACCAGATAATCCCTACAATAATCTCAGGAGCCTCGAGCATATTAGGGAGATGGAGGAGGAAGTGCTGCATTCTGCCAGTGAGCTGAGTTTCTAGGCTTCACAGAGGAGGGGACAATGAGCTGGTCCTGAAAAGAAGGCTATACAAAGGACAGTATGAATGCTATCTAGGAAGCAGGAAAGAGTGAGCATTCTGGGAACTGGTAGGGGGTTCTCCAAAGTGATTGCAGCATAGGGTTCACAGGGAAGATGTGGCGGGCATTTCCCTGGACAACTAGGTTGGAGCTACATGGAGAAGGGCCAACTTTTAAACCCCACATCCTGGCACCCCTCAGTTGCTAGGGATAAGACCACTGAGCAGATAGGAAGGAAAATGGAGAAAAGCACAAATTCTTTGGAGTTAAATGAGATTACATATGTGAAAGTGCCTGGAACATGTGAAAGAGCCTATTGACACTCAGGATGTCTAATATAGTAAGAGAAAGATCTAGCTCTAACGGAACCATGGTATAAGTCAGCATTGAGTTTTTAAATTAAATACTTAATTGAATAGCCAGGATCGCTCATACAACTAATATTAATCTTCAATTAACTAATATGAATCCCAAGAAGGTGACTGTGCTGGTCCTTGGACTATTTGCTATTGAAGCCAATCTTCCCCTCCCTGTTATGCTATGTACACAGGGTGTCCTCATCATCAAGATTTGTGCGTCCCAGGTTCTGATGTCACTAGAACTTGGTTGCTACAGCCAATGAGAAGCACTGGGAGGAGTCTGAGGGTGGGAGGAAGGGAGAATTAAGGGCATTTCTCTCTCTCTGCTTGCATCAGCAGCTACACCTCCTCTGAATCTCTTGATTACCCCAGACAGCCCCACTGTGGTTTCAGTTTCCGATGGGTGACCTGAACCTTGAGCTCTCGTAACCCCACAGCCTCCCTTTGTCCTTGCAGTCTCGGGGTAGCAGCGGTGGCTTGCTCTTGATCTCTGAGTTGCCTCACTGGCCTTGCTGAGTTTTCAGTTCTTCTAGCACTTGGGTAATTAATTTCTTGGTTTAAATTTCCTCTGGTTTTAATATTCAGTGATTATTATGTTTCTGATTATTTTTTACTCTAGTAGATTGTCTTAGTCTGCTTGGGCTGCCAAAGCAAAATACCACAGACTGAAGGCTTAAACACCAGAAATTTATTTTCACAGTTCTGGTGGCTGGAATCCCAGGATCAGGGTGCCCGCATGGTTGGGTTCTGGAAAGGGGTCGCTTCCTAACTTACAGATGTCCCCCCTCTAGCTATGTCCTCACAAGGTGAAGAAAGTGAGAATGAGCAAGCTCTCTAGTGTCTCTTCTTATGAGGGCACTAATCCTATCATAAGTGCCCCACCCTCAAGACTTCCTCTAACCCCAATTACCTCCCACGATGCCATCTTCAAATATCATTACACTGAAGGTCACAGCTTCACTATATGAACTCGGGAGGGATACAAACATTCAGTCCATAACACAGCTATTATTATTTTTCAACTAATGCTGCTTTGCAGAATTGGAAACTGAGGCTAGGAGAGGTAAAGTATCTTTCCCAAAGTCTTAGCTAGTAAATTACAAAATTGTTATTCAAATCCAAGTCTAGTTGCCTTTAATGGCATACTATTAACTATTGTACCTGATTGCTTCACAGTGTGTCTGCAAAAGAATCCAGTAACATGCTAACACAATACAGTCAAATTCCTATGACTTGTACTAGCTTGTGGGAAATGGCCTACGCTAATTAAATCACAATGTGATTGATGGGATATTTTAAAATATAGAGCTAACATCTGTATCTCTTTTCAGTTCACAAAGAGCTTGCCTACTCATTACCTCATCTCCTCATTTGATCTTTATAATATGCTTGTCAGGATGGAAGGACAAATCTAGACGGAAACTGAAGGTCAGAGCAAGCAAGTTAATTGGTCCATGTCACATAGCCAGTGAGTGACAGAGGAAAGGAACACTTAAACCCAGATCTGTGGCTCTTGATCCTGGCGCTCCCCCATCACACCAGGTATAGGAGTGCAATGTTCTTTAGGGATCTACCAGAATAGCAAAGGCCTGATTGAGTGGGAGCTGCTTCTACTATTATATTAGACTTCCTCAGTATCATTAAATTCATTTACTGGTTTTTCAGATAAGAGATCTGAGGGCTTGCCAGTGTACCACGTTGCCTCTTTGAAGTTACCTACTTGAAGGGAAGTTCTGTTCACCAGAGAAGGGGCTTTCTAAGTACAGTGGGTCAGAAGGGTTTGCAATGAGAACATCCAAAGCATTTGCCTGATGGCAGCTGGCTCCCCTGATATTTTAATGATCCCATATGTGTAAAAATAGATACCGTTAAGCACTTGAAAGCATTTTGTTCTCTTAAAATAGGTTAAAAACATTCCTCTTTTTTGTTTGCACTCTTAATTTGCTTAACAAAACCTCTTGGCATTTATGGTCTAGAGTAGAAAGTGAGCTTAAAAATCATGTTAAAGATAATAGGGGAAACTGAGGGACTATAAAGTTTTAATGTCTTATCCTATTTCACACAATTCATTGAGATAGATTATTTGGTTAACAAATCAGTTTTCTCTCTGTACATTTCACTGTATTTTGGGAGTTTGGGGAGAGAGTTGAATTAATTAAAAGAGGGAATCCCATCCTCAAAAGTGTACCATCTAGTATAGAAGTTTAGACATGTACACTTACCAATTCTTGTATATCAAAATAAATAAGGAAAATATAATGAAGACATAATATGGGCAGTAATGATAATTCAAGGTCTGTCCTTGGAAATGGTTACTAATCTTGACAGTTTTAAAAGAGTGAGATTTTGAAGTATTAAAAAGAAAAAACTATCAAAAATGAATTAAGGCTGTGCTAAGGAAGCTCTAGTTGAGGCTACATCTGGCCTTTGGCATTATCCATCTGGCTTGCAGCAAGTTTCCTAAATTAAGTACCCAGAGACCTCATCCCTTAATAACAGATATGGCGCTTCCCAGGCCTGAGAAGGATTCTTCTTGCTGAATGTCCTGTTTTCACTGTTTAACTCAGAGTCATTCTCTTAAAGCCACAGCAGATAGCTCTGGAGGGGGTTGGAATCCAGCCTTCCTGGTCAGGAAGCAGAGAGGCCCCAGTGTCATAGGATTCTTGGAGTGTCGCTTCACCAGCTAGAAATTTTGTGGCCAGTGGCGCCCTTGTCCAAGTTTTGCTCAGGAACACAGGGCTCGTTCTGCCCACTCGGCCTGGCTGGCTGTGTTTGGCTCGCGCTACCGGCCTGGACCCCATGCCTGCCAAGGGGGAGCCAGGGGCAGAGCAGCAAGGGGTGTGTGAGCAAGTGTAGGATCCAGCCACTGTGCACAGCCAGGCATGCTGGCGATGGCAGGGAAGGCAGCTTCAGGTGCCGGCACAGGCACTGGCTCCCTGCGAGGCTGCAGCTGGACCAGGCGTACTGTAAGCAATTTCCACAGCTGACACCAGGGAATGCAATAACACCTGGAAGGTTGGAGACGCCAGGAACTTCAAAGCCCCAGAGAGGATGTTTCACTGCCCTGGCTTAGTCAGGGAGCTCCTAGCTCTGGGGTCCCTGAAGGGCAACAGCTCTTCTCTCCTTCTCTTTGCTCTCCTTCTTGGCACCTGCAACATGGGGAGCCAGGGGTGTGTTTCAGCCCTGTTTGTGCTACAGCTCTTTTAGCTCTGCTATTTGGTGGGTCCCAAGTTCCTGTCCTGATTCCAGGAAGAATGAAGTTCACAGACAAGTGGAGGGTGAGGAAGGTGAAGCGGAGCTTTATTGAGCAACAGAGCAGCTCAGAGGAGACCCACATTGGGTAGTTCCTCTCCACGGGCAGGTGTCCTGATGAGTGTTCAGCTCTCAGCAGAGAGGAGACCTTGGAGTGGGTAGCTTCTCTCCACAGCTGGTTGTCCCATCATCTCCTCAAGTTTGGCTGAGTCCAGGGCTTCTATGGGTCTCAGAGGAGAGGAAGTGTGTGCTGATTGGTCCATGGGGGGCCATGGGCTGGCCCAGAAAAAGGACCACAAGTTCCCACTCTGGTCTTTGGGAGTCCCCAAGCTCTGTGGAACACACAGCGAGGCCACACGTCCCCCACTGTAGTACCCACGCTTCAGGTCCTCCCCACCTTGAAAGTGGGGCTTCACCAGGGACCTGTCCCCTTTCCACCCAGGATCCTGTTTGCCTGCTGCCACCATTCATGGCACCCAGGCTGTTCATGCTGAGGGGTGCCTGCAGGCCAGCACCAAGCTGCCCTCAGCTCCCACCTCGGCCTCCCTCTGATGCTCATCGGCACCCAAAGCCCGGAGGGGACCAAGGCAGCAGAGGGCAGGCACACACCCAGCTGGGCTGTGACAGGGCCTGTGCTTGGCCCCAACCTTGCTCTGGTATTGGAGTGGGTACCAGAAGCAGGGAGCAGACACCTCGGAGCCTGCAGGGGCAGTGAGGGGAAACCTTCCGAACTTCCCAAGCCCCCAAGAGTGCAGAGATGCCAGGTCCACAGCCATGGCTTGGCTGGCTGCAGCTGTGCCTAAGAAGGTAGGGCTCCTGCCTGCTTCCAGCCCCCAACAGCTCCATGGAGCGCACAGCCCGGGTCACATCTTCCCCACTGCAGCCAGTGTCATGGCAGCAGCTGCTTTAATGGGCCACTGCTGCCATCAATAGTACATAGGATGTGCTTTGGGGGAATGAAGACTTGGGCCTGAGTTGGCTAAGTGGGCCAGTACTTTACTTGCTTGGGTCAAGTAGATGGGACCCTAAGGCAGCCTTGGGGACAGAGGACAGGTGCAGGGGGTACAAATCAGGCTGGATGAGTACTTTCAAGTTCAGTTCAGGGGAAGCACTCATTCTAAGCTTCTTGTGGAATGGGGGTAACATCAAAAATAAGGGGCTTGGGGAAACCTTGAACAGTACCAGGGATGTTGTAGGATGGGAACCCTACTATGTAAAAAATTCTGTCTTGGGCTTCTCTCTGCTGGGAAATACCTCTTCCTTTTTCCTTCCAACAGAAGCTGACCCCCTCTCTGAAATATCACTGGTTCCTTTCTTCCCTTTGATCTAAATGATTCTTCTCCCTCCCATCGCCTGTCCCTTACTAGCCCCCTCAAAACACAAATACATACAAATGTAAACATATGTATATGTGCTTCTTCTTACCAAATGACTCTTGGTTTTAAGTTTGGTTTTGGAGAGTGATGCTAGCCTATGAACCTGTGTGGAAAAGCTACAGTACCAAGAAATGATCCACTTCATGGATGGATGGAGATATATCCATATCCATATCCATATTCATATCCATATCCATGTCCCTTTGTCTTAGAAGGTTGCAGTGGATAAACTCTAAGGTATCCCATGATCTTTGATGTCTGATATTCATACCTTTGTATAATCCCCTCCCCTTGAGTGTTGCCTATGACTTGCCTCAATGAGTGGAATGTGGCAAAGGTAAAGAGATGCACATGACTATGTGCACGGGATTATGTAACCCCATAGCACCCATCTTGCTAGGGCCTCTCTCTCTGTCTCAGTTGCTGACTTTGAAGAAGTAAGCTGCCATGAAACCTATAGCTGCAAGGAAATAAACTCTGCCAACAATCCAAGGAAGGTGGGAAATAGATCCTTTCCTATTTGAGCCTCTGATGAAAACCCAGCCCTGGGTGACACCTTTATGGTCACATTCCTGGCCCAGCTAAGGACCCAGCTAAGCTGTGCTCACATTCCTGGCCCACAAAAACTGTGAGATAATAAATGTGCATTGTTGTAGGCTGCTAAATTTGTTGCAAATTATTACACAGCAATAGGAAACGAACACAGATTTCAGTAGCTGGGAGTAGGAAGCACTAATACAGAGACTCGTGGAAAGAAGGAGAAACAAAAATGGAGATGTGATAAAGAGAAATAACAGATAGCTTTACACTTGCACACTGACAATCTTTTATGTCTTTTGTCAATATTTCAGTAGCAAACTAGCACCACTCCCTCAACCCTAAAGGGTTATAAGAGCTTTATTGACATCGATCCCTCCATTCATTCAATGAACATTTATTATATGTCCATCAGTGTAGGGGTTTCTGCCACAATGGGATTTATACTCTTGGTGGGTGCTTCCACATATACGCAAATAATTACAGATAAAGCAGTGTCAGCTTTAGTGTCCTGAGAACACTACCATCAGCCCTCCGTATCTGTGGGTTCCGCATTTGTGGATTCAGCCACTCACAGGTCGAAAATATTTTTTAAAAAGGCATCTGTACTAAATATAGACTTTTTTCCCATCATTATTTCCCAAACAATACCGTAAAACAACTATTTACATAGCATTTACATTGTATTAGGTATTATATGTAATCTAGAGATGATTTAAAGTATATGGGAAGATGTGTGTAGGTTGTATGCAAATTCTACACCATGTTATACCAGGGACTTGGGCATCCATAAATTTTGGAATCTGTGAGAGGTCCTGGAACCAATTGTCCTTGGATGCCGAGGGATGATTGTGTTTAGAATATATACGTACAACACATCAATCCCTTCTGGCCATTTACTCATGGAAGTTACAGTCTGTTGGAGGACATTGACAATAAGTTGCAATCATTAAAAACAATTGTATAATCCCATTTATGATAAGGGATATAAAAGTAAATACAGGATTATCTGAGAGCAGTTAGTTGGGGGGGACCTTACCTAAGTAGGGGAGTCAGGGATGATTACCTAGAGCAAATAATACAGAAGGTGAGTCTTGAAGGATAAGAAGGAGCTTGCCAGGAGAGGAGGTGGGAGTGGGAGAATAGGCTCTGTGGTAAGACTCTGCCAGAGGAAATCGCATCCTCAAGACGATGAGGTAAGAAAGAACTTGGTGTTTTCTAAAAAATAAACGAGGCCAATGTGGTAGGAGCAGCAAGGGATAGTGGGGAAGAAAGGACTTGGCAGTGGAGGACCTCAGAAATCACCTGTGACTCTATTTTTTTTCCGAAAACTTTTAAATGTGCAGATAAAGGACAATTTTCTGTCTCCATTAGAAGGATTTAAAATGGGGAAAGGCCATGGAAGGCCAGGAAATATAAGGACCATGGATCCTTGGCAGGGCATGAGAAAGATACAGAGGGAGGTAAAATGAGTTCATTACTGTGAGAATTAGGTCAGAAGACAGACTCTTTAGGTAGGTGGCAAAATAGGTAGGTAGTTTAGATTGGGAGAAATGGGAAATTACAAAACCCAGGTTCCTGGAAGAGCCTGAAAGGGAAGGAGAAGAGGTTTATAGTTCACCTGATACAGAAAAAGATACCACCAGCTTCTTGGGCATCCAGCAAGAAGCAGTAAAGGGAAACTTTGACCAAGACATCTTGGTAGGATTTTTAAAAAAAATGAATAATAGAGTAGAATCTGTTACCAATTCATGTACCTGGAGTTGCACACCAAAGTGTGGTCTAGCAAAAAGACTCTCCAAGCTTGAAGGCTGTAGGCCTGAGTGTCCTGGCTCCCTTCCTAACCAGCAGTTTGCCTTTGGGCCAGTCATTTAAACTGTCTGGCCCTGGTTGCCTCCCTGGGTATGGGAGTAGATGATCTCAAAGATTCCAACATGGAGGATTATTACATCTTCATAGATTGTCACTGCTGGTGACAGTCAATCCCATGAAGACTGGCCTGAGAGTAAATAATGGGGTTCAAGATCCTTAGGAAGAAAAATCTGAGGCTGTAGTCAAGGGAAAAATTCCGCCTGGGAGGGTATTGGGAAGGGAGGGAGCTGGAGTTCCAAGGCTCTGGGGCTCTGCAGTGTGCTCCTATGACCAGTGCAGCTTGCATGATTGAAGATATTGTAGCGTCAACTGCCTCAAAGACTCATAATCTGCTGTTGTTTTTTTTTTTCCTTTTATCTGCCCAATTTGCCCAAGTCCTCAGATTGCATTATTGTTCTTATCATTAATTCCTTCTTTACAGTGCAGCAGTTTTAATTAGATTCATTTCCTGTTTTTCCCTCTCAGGGAGCAGTACATGATGTCTGATGGCTCCTGAGTGCCTGGAGAGGGTGTGATAAAGAAACTCAGTGCAAGTGGATAGTTCAAGGAGAGAGGAGGGTAGGCAGGTCAGGATAGGGGTGAGGATGGGAGAGGAAAGAAGAGAGCCCAGCAGGCAAATCTTGCTCTAGCTGTTGATTCCTCATCAGCACCCAGTGACCCAGCCATGAATAATGCTGTTGGCTTGGAGAGACCACCCCCTAGTTGAGTCTGGAGTATTTCCCTAGCCTTGCGTCAGCCTTGTTATTTATCTGACTCTTCATTTCCTGGACGGTTTCGGCTGGGAAGAACCTCTTTAAGCATTGATATGCCAGTCTAATTACAATTAATAAGGTCAGAAGCTGAAAAATTTATTTGATATTCCCACCTTGTGGACGGATTCAGACCTGAAGAATCAAAAGCTTGTCTGACCTCAGTTTTGAGGCCTCTGACCTTGCAGATGCCAACCACTCTGGGATGCTCTGTGGGAAAGTGGATTGTTGCATTTTTTAGGATTCAATTTTATTTTTTGTCATTAAAAACATTTTTTAGGGAAAGGCCTTCCAAAGTTCCAGGCCAAGGAGCAAGACACAGTACAGCATTCAACTATGTTCAAATGTGCCTCTCATTAGCTGTTTGATCTTGGCCAAGTTATGTAACCCATCCAATCTCAGCTTCCTCTCTGGTAAAATAGAGCTAATAATACCTACCACATGGAAGTGCAATGGAAAATAGATAAGATAATGTATATTCTGATGCCAAATAGCTAAGTATTATCAGCAGTTTAGATCCAGGAGAGCCAAAATCAACATGGTGAGAGTCTGTGTAGTGAGGAAGGAAAAGAGAAAAATAGGAAGGAAAAGAGAAAAACCTCAGTTATGAAGGTCCATAACTTAGTGGGTCTAGAATATATGCTTTAGAGTCAGATCTAGGACCAACTTTCAATTCTGTCATTTATTAGATGTGTGATATTGGGAATTATTTTAATTTCTGAGCCTCAAGTTTCTCATCTGCAAAATGGGAATAAAAATCACATCTGCCTTATCAGGCTGTCTTGAGCACTAAATGAGATAATGCTTTGTGGCTGAGACTTGCTAGATACCCAACAACCTTTTCCCTTTTCTTCATGAGTCACCAATAGACTACATTTCCCAACTTCCTTGCATCTAAGTGAGGCTTTGTGACTAAGCTCTGATGAATGGAATGTGGATAGAAGAGATATAGGCTACATTATCGAAGGCTTATCCCCAAAACCTTCCTTATAATCCTCTATACCCTCTCTTTCCTCATCTACTGGTAGATTCAGAGGATCCAGAAGAGAACTCTAGGGTTCAGAGAAGGCAGAGCCACTGTATGGAAGGAGCCTGGGTCCTTGAATGACTGGAGCATAGCACTCCCCGCTCTGCCCCTCTCAATCTGTATTGGATTATGGTTTAACTACTGATATTTTAGAATTGCTTGTTAAAACAATTAATCTGTCCTGACGTATTTATTCTCATAAAACACATGGTAATTCTTCAATAAATGTTAGTGATTATGATTATGATTATTTGCTCCTTGGCTGGAATGGCTGAGTGAGCAGTTCCATAATTTAATAAACTTAATACTACAAGTGTGTTTTTGTTTTCTCTCCTGGCTGGAAGATTAACTGCTAATCTTTGGATTCCCTAAAAATGATATTAATAATGTCTTCATTTATTTGTCTAATTCATAAATATTCACTGTATGCCTACTCTTTATACAATTTTATTAGTTGCTGGGTAATGCAGGGATAATATCTTCATGAAATCTTTAATTTCACAAAGAGGGACTGGTATACAACTAGCTCTATTATGATGTAGAATAAAATGTGTGCTTTAACTCTCACCTAATCATCATAAACTGTGGCCTGTAACACTTCACTTCTTAAGAAATCTATAATACTCTTTCAAAGTTCAACCCAGGGTAGGATCTATGGGAAAGTTTTGCCACTTTCCTGGCAACCTAACCTCAACCTTCCATGGTCAGGAAAAGAGAAGGAGGGTTAAGTGGGAGCTGTTGTTTCATTGGAAACCACGTATGTGTTTACATGGTGCTGCTTTGTGGCCTCTAGAAGCCTTCCCAGCCCCTCCCTTCCTTTCTCTCTTCCTCCCTACGATTGTGCGATTGTGTGGCATCGCCGGCATCTCCTGGAGTTTGCTCATCTGTCCTGCTCTCCCAGGGCAGGGTGAGCGAAGGCTTAGCTGTGACAATCTAGTGCCCATTTTGTTCAACTTTGCCATCTCCTCTTCCCGGAACTCAGCTGTTTTATTTGTAAAATAGGCCAAATTAGATTGGAACTCAGGTCATTGGATATGTAGCATTCCCTTCTATCCATTACAAACAGCACTAATGAATCAACGCATTCCTTTTGCTGAGCCTGAACCCACGCAAGCCTTCACAAACTCAATACCCACTTCCAAGCAGCTCCACCAAGCTATCAGACTTGGATCCAGAGTCAGATGATCTCCAGGCATCTTTGGTAATGACAATAATACTCTCTGACCCCCTTAAAATGTTTTTTAAGGCACTTTTAGGTAGATAATCTCATAAGCACTCTGAGAGTGGGGTGGCATCTGTTATTTTTGTCCCCTAACCTCACTGTGCTCAGCTCTCAAGTCTCAAGGAAAGCTCAGCAAATATTTGAGAACTGAAAAAGACCCTGCTCCTCCTGACCCCTCCTTCTGATCTTTGCTTCTATTCCCTCACCAGTATGTCTTTTCACAGTCACAGGTACTAGTCTCATTCTCACTGCCTGTTTGACCTGGAATTACGTGAGCTCATAGGTTCATCTAGTCCATCCCTCTGCTCCCAAATAGGCTATTTCACATTCCAGCACTGACAAGTGCTGAGCCTGTTGAAGAAGGACAGCTGTCAGGCCCAAGAGCCCTTTCTTGGAATGCCTGCTGGTAAAACCAAGATCATTGGGCCTGTTTGTGGATGACTAGTTGGCTTAAAGGATTCCAAATCTTGCCTGTGGATTTTTCTTTCTGAACATATCATTAGATCTGAGGGTGTGCCAAACCAGCTCGGAGGCAAGGCTTTGTCACTGCGCCTTTTCATTCATTATTATTTCTCAGGCAGATCTATTTCTCATTGACTGGGGCCTCTTGGGCCCCTCCCTTGCCTTGTCATGCTCAGAACAGCCTGTTTGGCCGCCCTCCAGGGACCGCACTGGCCCAGAGGTGCTGTCGCCTGCCTCTCCTGACTGGTGGGGACAGGCCTGAGCTAAGGCTGCCTTTGTTCTTTCACAGTGGGTTATTTTCCCTTGGGCTTGGATGGCTCAGCAAAAGTTACTGGACGCTCGGCAGGGTGGGAGCCCTGAGCTGCACAGTTTATATTGGAAACTGTGGACATTGTTCTGGATCATCTGCATGGTGCCAGCATTTTTCCTTTTTGTCTGACAGGGTGAATAGTATGGCATGGGAATGGGGTGGGGATAGGGTCAGGCACGAGTCCATGCAGTCTGCCTTGCATTGCGCAGAGTTCTTTCCCAGCAGTGCCAATGCCGGCTCTGGCAAAGGAGGGGAGTGACCCAGGGAGGGCGTTGGTGAGACCGCTGTTTAGACTCAATCTTTAAAACCATAGACACCTTCAGGCACAGGCAGGACAAAAGGAAAAGAGAGAGGATGACAGGGAAACAAAGATGGTAATAGATTTAGGGGCATAGGAGAGAAGGTAGAAAATGAGAAAGTGTTTCTTCAATGAATCCCTTCTAGATATTACTCTAGTCATCTCATTTGAGGTCCTACAGCATCTATTATATATACCAAATCTTTCACTCCCTACTGTATACAAGTGTGTGACTTAAATTCCGCTCTAGGCTTGCTTTCCCCTCAGAGATTCTCCTACTCTTTGGCCTGAATTCTACTTCACAGTGAGTGTCCATCAAAAGCTCTTTGCTATACTGTCTCCCAGCCTCACTTCCTAAGCATTCTCAGAGCTTCCACTCCTGAGACTACGTGGCCTCCCTTATCGCATGTCATCTACCTCAAAGCTGCCAATTTACTTGGGGGTAAATCAAATCCACTTGAGCCACAAATCTCATCAATGCAGTGAGTTCACTAAAGAGTTGGGAGTAAAGGCATTATCCCAACACAATTTATGGCTGCAGTCTTGCAACTAGCTCTTCTCTTTTGACTTTGCTACCTTTCTCCTAAGTCTATGCCTCCACCTTGCATTTCCCTTGGTGTGAAGCTATCTTTTAGCTCTCTCTTTTCCCTTCTGACACTATTTGACAGTGAATATTTCCTGTGCTAACCTCTGGAAAATAAATACATGTCCTTCCATTTGGATAGCACTTTAGAGTTTACAAGATGTTTTCATAAACCTCATTGTAGAAAAATCTTCACAACGATCTCATGAAACTCAGATTATAATCCAGCTGATTTCTGCACTTTAAATCTAGGTTGTTTTCCCCCATGTTTAATGACCATCTACCTCTCAGGAAGAACCAGGAACTCTTGCAGAGTTAGGACAGGGAATGGGGAGCTGGGTCTCTGAGGGTGGGGTAGAGGGTGAGAAGGTCTCAGCGGGTAGAGGCCTTGGTGGTGAACAATGCAAATCTTACAGAAAACTTTTTACTTCAAGCCACCCACATTTTTTTTTCTTTCTCAGGCCCCAATATTTGCCTGGTTTATTTCATTTTCTCTTTTGTAAACCACAGCTTCTAACCATGGTTACTCTTGATTTACTCATTCATTCCTTCATTCATTCCCTTGCTCTTTACCCAACATTTCCTGGTGTCTACAACATTCCAAGCAGTGGTGCTTCTCTTTCCTGTGGAGAAGCACAGGCTGCTGCACAGCAGTGGGGCTGAGGTTCCTGTCCTGGGAGCTGGAAACAGCCCCGTGGAGAATTCTAGCAAAAGGACGTGAAAGGGCCCCTCCTCTGCAGCAGATCAACTTCCCTGTTTTTCATGGACATCCTCTGGCAAAGATTAAGACCATATGTTTTTCTATTAATATACATAAGATTGAGGAAAGACGTATCTTCATTCCAGAGAAGCACCCAGAGCCCTCCGTCTTCCAAGAATTCCTCAGCCGGAAGCTCAATGTGGTGGTCATGCAGCTACTCCTCTTTCATGTGCCTTCCACACATGGCTTCCACAATACCACACCTCTTGCCTTTCCCTCAATCTCATTGGTTGTTGCTGCTCAGAGGCTTTGAAGCTTTTTCCTCTTCACATTGGAGGGCTCCAGGACTCAGTCCTTTGTCTTCTTTTCTTCCCGAACTACCCTCTCTCCCTCGGTGATTTCATTTGCTCTCATGCCTTTAAACACCATCCACATGCCAACAACTCCCACATTTATTTCTCCATCCCAAATCCAGGCTAGCATGTCTAACTGCGTAACCGACATTGCCACTTTGATGTTTAATAGATATATGAAGTTCTGTATGTCCAAAAGAAGCTCTGAGTTTTTCCTCACAAGCCTACTTTGCCCATCACTTTCTCCATTTCAGTTGATGGCCACTCTACTTTACTAGCTGCACAGGCCAAAAGCCCTAGAGCCATCCTTGACACCTCTCTTTCTCTAATTAACACATAAGTCATTGGCTCAACTGTAACCTAATCCAAAATATGCTACTTCTTATCAACTCCACCACTAGCATCACTTCCCAGGTCACCATTCTCCCTCCCAGTTTGTCACAACACTTCCTAACCTGTGTCCCTGCCTCTGTCCCTACCCCCTATAGTCTATGCTCAACACAATTGCCAGAGGAATCACTTTACATGTAAAGCGAATCATATGACAACCCACTTTTCCTCCAAATTTTAATGGCATCCTTTAATACTTGGGATAAAAGTCAAAGTCTTTACAATGGTGAGTAAATTGATTGCATAAACAGCTGCAATTATCCACCCCTTCCTGTATCTGCCTCCCTTGCAAAGCCACTGTATAGCCCCTCCCAGCAAAAGGTGGAGTCTATTCCTCACCCCTTGAATCTGGGCAGGCCCTGTGATTTTCTTTGACCTGCAGAATGCAGCATAAATGACAATGTGCCACCTCTGGGCATCTTGGAACCCTGCCGTCCCCATGTAAACAAGCCTGGGCCAGCCTTCAGGATGATGAGAGACATGTGGTCTAGTCACATGTCCTAGCTGGCAGCCAGTCAACAGTCAGATATGGGAATGAGACCACCCCGGACTAGCCAGCTTTGAGCCAAGCCAACACCTGATCCTCAATGTGCAAGACCAGCTGAGGTAAGCTGAGCCTTGTCAAGATCATCAGAGTTCAGCTGAACCATAGATAGTCTTATGAGCAGTAGAAGATGCTTATTGATTTAAGCCGCTTGATTTTTTTTTAAATACAGAATTATTGTGGCAAGAAATAATGGATATAAATGGCCTATAAGGCCTTATGTGATCCACAACTCCCCTTACAACTCTGACTTTATCTGCTACATTCCGGAAGGCTTGGTCACCACGCTGGAGCCACAGCGGCCTCTTGCTCTTCCTGGACTACACCAAGCACGCTCCAGCCTCTGGGCCATTGCATTTGATGTTTCCTCTGCCTGGAATACTTTGCTCCACATACCCCCATGGCTTCTGGCCTTACTTCCTTGGAGACCTGCTTAAATGACATGCCAGCAAGAGTGATATTTGTAGTATCTTTTAAACATTTTGGCATGAGAACTGACCAATCACAACAGCCAAGGGTACAGGGCAGGATCAGGGACCTGGCTGTCCCCTCCTGAGCCAGGAATTTATCTTTTCATGGCTGAGCTGGGGGAAGTATTCCAAAACAGGAGCCAGGACAGCCAACGTGGTGGACAGGGCAGCAGTAGAGTGGCTTCAGGCCATGCTTGTCTAACAATCGGTAAGGATATATTTTAATATTTCAACAGTAAGTGTGGTGATCAGCTCTGATGATCAGGGTGGTGTCTCCACCACTCTGGCCTCATCCCCCTTATCCCAGAGTACTCTCTAGGTCCCTTATTCTACTTAATATTTCTCTAAAGCACTTTTTATTGCCATCCAACATATAATATATTTTTCTATTTATTTTCTCATTACTTTTCTATACTTCTCCTCTTTCTAGAAGACTGCTATCCAAAGAAAGTGTCTGTAATGATGGAAATATTCTATTTCTGAGCTGCCCAATAGGGTAGCCATGGCCACATGTGACTACTGAGCACCTAGGATGTGGCTCTGAGAAAACTGTGCTTTTAATTTTATTTGATTTTAATTACTTGAAATTTAAATAGCTACATTAGCTAGTAGCTTCCATACTGGACAGCACAACTCTAGATTGTTAAGTCTCATACAGTAAGAACTTTAAAAAATTTTTATTCACTACTATATCCCCAGTGCCTGGAACAGATGCTGGCATTTAGAAGTTCTTAAATACTTAATTGCTGAAAGAATGAATGAAAATGGTGGGTGGGAGGGCAGTAGATTGCAAGAGGAGGTGTCCATGCCAAATGCTTTGGTGCCCTTTCAAGGCTGTGACTGTAATGGAGAGTGGTTTGGGGGACATCGAAGGTGGCCTTCTCACCTGCTCCCCACGCCAGCTTCCCAATTTGGTGGGATATAATGAGTAGGGGAAGATGCCATATCTGGATCAGGATGTATGATTTCTCATGCTCACCCCAACCAGTCGACAAATGGGCTAGGCAGAAGAGAATATTTTCTCTGGCCTGTCCTTGTGGAATACCAGTGGCGGGGGGGGGGGGAAGAGGAACTCTGTGATACTGAGGCTCTCTAAGCTCCAGTCCTTACGGATGCCTGTGACGGAGCTCATGCTGCAGAATGACTCCCCTACAACCACAGAAAGAGCCCACTCTTCAAACTGTTCTTTCCACTGTCCTTATGAGGACAGGAGGCTCAGCAGAGACCCACCTCCACACGTGTCTCAGGCAGTGCTCACCGACTCTGGTGACACAGGGAACCAGACCCAGGCACACCAACAGCAACAGATTCCCTGTCATTGGTGTCTGCATATCCAACTGCTGAACAATATTAGATAATATCATGTCCTTACAATGCCATTCATCTTGGCAGTGCCTCTTTCACTTTAAAAAGTTTTCTATTAAATTATAGAAGATGTGGCTGGGTACAGTGGCTCATGCCTGTAATTCCAGCATTTTGGGAGGCCGAGGCGGAGGGATTGCTTGAGACCAGAAGTTTAAGACCAGTCTGGGCAACTAGTGAGACCCCATATCTATCTGACAGAAAAAAGAAAAAATAGCCAGGCGTGGTGGCATGTGCCTGTAGTCATAGCTACTGGGAGGCTGAGGTGGGAGGATCCCTTGGGTTCAGGAGCTTGAGGCTGTAGTGAGCCATGATTGTACCACTGCACTCCAGTCTGGGCTACAGAGTGAGACCCTGTCTCAAAAAAAAAATTACAGTAGATGATAAATTATGTGATCACCCTAACTATAATGCATCAGGCATTGTTCTAAGCACTTGACACATCTTTTGACACTGACACCTTGTACATAGGGCAAATATTACCTCCACTCACACTGGAACCACAGAGGCTAAAAGATTGGTCTGTTAATCTGGGAATCAACAAGTTTAGACCTTGGCAGTGCCTGGGTAAATAAGCAACGGAGCCTCATTTCCCGGAGCCTTCAGGAATGCAACACAGGCTGAGCACCTCCTGCCACCTCCTGAAAAACATGTTTCTAGTGGACAGGAGGCCCAGACAGGGAAGAGTGTTTTCCCATAGCAGATAATCACTTCTCTCTCAAGCAATCAACCACGTGATAATTTCTAGGCTGAAAGCATGAGGCTGCTGTTGTGGGATCAGTTCCCATATCCAGTAGAACAATACTTACACTCTGGCCTCATTTCATGAGAGCTGATGTTTCTCACATGAGAAAATTCGAAACTCTTGGAAGGAGATGGAACTTTCTAGGGTGAGTTCCAAAGAAAGCCAACACAGGTCCTGCTGCACAGCATAAATGGAGGGGCTCAAGCCCCCTGCAAACATGACACCTTCTTGATGAACTCTGGGCATGTCAAGCAAGGACTGAGATGTGAAGGGCAAGCCAGAATGTGCCAACCCGCAGTTGTGTGATTCAAAGCAGAATCTAATTAACTCATGGAGTTGGATGGTTTCCAGATTCCTTATAAATGTCATAGAAAGGCAGAGGAAACAACATGGCTGTAATCCCTCTTTTTTTTTTTTTTTTATTTTTCTTTTGAGTCCTTTTTAAAAGATGCTTTCAGCTCAGTGTATCATTGAAAACACTAACAACAGCTTACCGTTGAATAGCGCTTTGTAACATTTAAAACGTCTTTCACATCTGTTATCTCAATGGATCTGACACCAACCTTATGAGGTAGACAAGTGTGTTATTAATAACTTTGTTGTAAAAGCAAGGGCACTAGGGTTCAGTGAGGTTAAATGATTTGCTCAAATTTACCTGTATTATTATAATAGTAAGTATCATTTATGGAGTGCTTAAGTGTTCTATATACATTATCCCATTTAATGCTCACAGCTCCCCATGAGGTGGAGACGTTCTTCTCCCCAGGACCACAAGGTTCTGAGCAGAGGTGCCTGCCCACAACCAAGTCACCAGCTGGGAAGAGGTGGAGCTGGGGCAAGAACTCAGAGTCCCCACTCAGAGCCCAGCGTAACTTGAAATTTTGTACCCTTCCCAATACATGAGGGAAGATGTATGTTTCCAAAGCATTGTTTAAAATGAGAAAGACGGAGCGCAGTGGTTCATGCCTGTAATCCCAGCACTCTGGGAGGCAAAGGCAGGAGGATTGCTTGAGACCAAAAGTTTGAGACTAGCCTGGGCAACATGGTGAGACCCTGTCTCTAAAAAAGAAATAAAAATAAAACGTAAATAAAATAAAATGAGAGGAGAATTGTCTTACTGAGAAGGCTGAGACTTTTACTGGGCAAAGAAGGTGGGCTAGAAGGAATCCCAGGGGTGGGATAGGAAGAAGGAGGGCAAGGGTCTGAGAGGTGCCGCAAGGGTGCAAATGATGCTGCTGAAAACTGTCAGCATGAGTCCTCGTGGGGCCAGGGACACAGCCTGCTCCCCGAGGAAGGGGCCACATCGTCTTATTGTCCCAGAACCCACTGTGTGCTCACTAAATACTTGCTGGATAAATGGAAGAACAAATGGGTCTTAAATTCATGAGCGATATAAGAAAAATATGAAAACATTTTGACAACTACTTAATAAAAAATTAATAAATAATCATATTTGATGACTCCTCTGTACCTGGGTAAATGCTGGTTATTACTGACATGCCAGGTGCTTGGTTAAGGACTTGCCAAGCATTATCTCTTCTCCTTATGTAATAATCTCATCTCATCTCAGTAGGCTATAAACATGAAATGAATTTATTATTATTTTAAAATCACTGTTTCAACAGGGCTTGGTGGCCATTTCTTCCAATTCCTCAATGATATTTTGGGCACAAGGTATATTTTTGGGTTGCTCTTTGTTATTGAAATGTCTGTCTAGTTTCAAACCTGAAACTCAGTTCGAAGCTCACTTTCTCCTTTTCATCTAGCATAGGCTACCTGGGGATAAGGTGGGGCAGGCAGGGCATGGCCCAGCTCTAAGATGCTTCCCTACCACCTCCTTTTCAAGGGCTAGTTCTTCTGGTAGGAATGGGGGCAGATGATGAGGGAAATTGAGATGTGATCTTCTGTAACTGGCCATAGGGTGGTGGCCAAGTGTCCTAGGCCCTGTGGTAGTTTGTTCTGGTTCTGTCTGCTCCTACTGACTCTGCTGTAGAGTAGCAATATGAGGGTGGGATGGGCCAGTGTAAACACTTCACCTTGACTCTTCATGATCAAGGACCCTTCAGAGAGGGGACCCATGCTTCCTATCCGCCCCTCCCATATGTCCACATTCCCAACCCTTTCTCCATGTAGGGCTTTGCCTTATTTGGCCACTATATGACTCCTATGTTCTCCTGTAAGCCATGGACCCCTTCTAGTAGGTCCGGAGAACCATAGGGGTCATCATTCCCATGCTCCAGTGGTCAAACAGGATAGATTGAAGGCTTCCTCCATCTTCTTCCCTGGTGTAGTAAACCAGGGTCCCTTCTTACCTTGCTGAGGCAGGCTCCCTAGCAAGCCTACCTCCTTCAGAAATCTCCAGAAAGAAGTAGCACCAGTTTCTATGTTTATTTAGATCTCAACACTTCAGGGTATATATGGCAAACCCTTCCTCATTGTTCTCTGCTTAGTTCTTGTGGCAATAACAGGTGGACTGCAGATTTTGCATTTCAGCAAGAATTTAGCAAGGTGATAAGATACCAGCTTCCTCTTTTTGTAGGTACTCTCATATCTGTGAGTGATTCTCTTACAACATCAATGTTTCCCTTACCTTTGGGGGAAGTACACCTCTCTACCCTTCCCTCTTCCTAACCACTGATTGCACAGAAGGCCACAGACTTGACTCTCCCTCTTTTTTCTCTTCCTTTTCCCCCATCCTCTTTGTGTAGACCAAGGGGGATAATGAGATACAATGCTAACGGTTGGATTTTCCTATGCCAGTCCTGCTTCCCTTTAGAAAGCTAGGAGTCAGGGGAGAAAGGGTGATGGATTACTTCAATAATTAGAGGTACACCCTTCTAGTCTCTTTTAGCTTCATTTAGGTGCAATTTATATGCAATCCAATGAACCCATTTTAAGTGTGTATTTAAGTGTGCATTTGAAAATTTATGTGACCGTGTAGCTACCACCATATTCAACATATAGAACATCTTCATCACCCTTGATATTTCCCTTGTACCTCATCCCAAAGTCTCTTTTCAGTTTTTTTTTTTTCTTTTTTTTTTTTGGTCTATGGTCTCTAGTTGCTCCTTTGGAGACACGCAATGTCCTTTAACATGTTTAACAAAATTTTGATATTAGTAGGTAATATTTTTATTTTTCAGAAGATGAAACTGAGGCTTATACCAAATTACTTTTCCAGGGAGGGACAGGAGAAAAGCATTAGCTGGGAGAGAAGGCTAGAGTAAAAGATTATGAGACCGTGTTGGAAAGATGTGCTGAGATAAGGTGGATCTGACCTTCTTGTGGCAGACATAAGCAGGGGCCCAATCACAAGGACCTTCATGGGCCATGCTGTGCCAATCTTTTAGTTCTGGAAATTAAAACAACCTCCTATGTCTAGTTAAAGTTTAATTTTTCTATGCCAAAATGATGTATGAACAGATAGATACTTTGTGTGTGTGTGTGTGTGTGTGTGTGTGTGTGTGTGAGAGAGAGAGAGAGAACAGGTGGAGGGGGTGTGTAGAAGGAAGAGGTGGAGGGAGGGAGATAATGAGAATGATTACATATGGGTGCTCTTGGCAAATATCCCTCATCCAAAAATATCTCTCATTGGTCTGTCAGCTGCCCCAAATTGTTTTACCATTGGAGAATTTATCCTTCTTGTACCAATAAATGTGGTAACGAAAAAAAAATACCCAGGACGCACGACTGGCAATCAGAAAATCAAATGTTGCCTTAATGCTCTCATAAAAATCTGTTAATTCTGTCCAAGTCATTTCTCTTCCCAGTTTCTCATAAACCTCATTGGTAAAATGTGCATAATAATAGTTGCCTTAATGGGGTAAAAGCTCTTGCAAAAGTAAGAGACATGTTAGAGCTGGTCTTTGGTTTTCATGGCTGGGACTTGATTCTTCTTTTTGCAATCTACTTTCTTTTAGATCAAAGAAAGGCCCAAAAGTTACTGCTGATTTGTTATCTAAATAAAGAGCAAATATGTCTCAAAATATAGAGGTGATATTCAGAGTGATTTTTTGTTTTCCCTAAAGGATATTTATTTTATCCCTTGTCAAAGCAAGAAGGGAAAGGAAAAGAAATTTAGTTATCAGAGAGATATGCTGAGAGGAATATTCTTTTTTACTATAAAACTGTAGGGCAGCAGCTAGGTGACCTCTTTTACATCTCTAGCTCTTAATAAGCATAGAGAAGTAGAGAATTTTAAAAATATTTAAATTAAATATTTACACATACAAAAGAATATTAACAGCATGTAAGTAAGGTATTTTTAAAAAGACAAAAATGAACATCTGAACACACCACCACAGTGTAAGAATGAAATATTTAGCAGTAGGTTATTAAGCCCTCCCTGATTAATTCCTCTCCCTCCCCAGAGTTAACCTCTAACTGGTGAACATTGTATTTGTCTTTCCCAGAGCTTTTTTTAAAACCACATATGATAATATTATTTGACTTGTTATAAGTGGACTGATACTGAATGTGCTATTCTGCAACCTGCTTGTTTGGCCCAGTTTTACATTTGTGAGATTTATGTATATGGCTGCATGTCATCTCACTCCAGAGATTTTCGATTCTGCATAGCATTGCATTGTATGACCACAGTTTGGTTACTGTCCTTCTGTTGGTAAAACTTTGGGTTGTTTTCCATATTTTCTATTATAAACAGCGTGGTATTGAACATTCTTCTTCATGTCTTCTGATGCATATGAGCAGGAGTTTTTCAAGGTCTTAGTCCTGGTACTGACACTGTCAGGCTTCAGTAGGACATGCTCAACTTTACTGGGTAATGCCAGGTAGGTTCCAGGATGATAGTGCCAATTTAAACTCCTACGACAGTGTGTAGGGGTTGCCATTGTTCCTTGATCTTGCCAATTGTGTATTCTCAGGCTTCTTAATATTTTCCAAACTGGTGGGAATAAAATGATATCTCATTGCGGTTTTACTGAGGAGGATGAAAATATTTGCATGCCTATTTACCATTTGTTTTTCCCATTTTCATTGCATAATTTGTTTAATTCTGATGCAAGAAATTTAGCAATTCCTTATATATTTTGTGAATAATAATACTTCACTGGTGATATGTTGCAGCTCCTGGATTTTCTTTTTATTCCCTTTGTGTTGTCTTTTCATGAATGGAAAAGACATTCTTTTCATTAAGGAACAAAATTCTTAACTTTAACATAATTGAATTTATCAATCTTCTTTTACAGTTGGTATGTATCATAGGAAGTCCTTCTCTAAACTGAAGGTGTATTCCCTTAGATATCACTCTAAAATTTTATGTTTTGCCTTTATATTTTGCCTAATGCATTTATCAATTTAGTTTTAAATGCACTTGCCATTTACCTTCATGCATTAATCAATTTAGAACTGATTAGGTTAGGTAGTAATTCAGTTGCATTATTTTCCATAAGTATAATTCACTGTCTGCACCATTTACTGACTAGTCTCTCCTTTCCTTACTGATTTGCAGTGACCCTTCTGTTATATGTAAGGAGGACCTATACATTCAAGGCTGCTTCTGGGCCCTCTCCATTGAACTGTTTGTCTCTTGCTTGGTCAATACCACCCTGTCTTAAATTTCATATATTTATACAATTTATACCTTTATAGAGTAGGGTAATCCCTCACCATACCACATTCTTCTTCTATAGGACTTTTTGGAACTTCTTGGCCTTTTGTATTTCCATTTAAATTTTACAATCACATTCTCAAGGTTTATGAAAATCCAATTGGGATTATAATTGGAATTGCGTTAAATCTATACAGATACACTAAGGAGAAATGACATCTTTGCCACAGTGAGTATTCCTGATCTAATTATTTAGCTTTTAATAAAGTTTATAATTTTTTCCACAAAGTTCTTACATCATTCATTAGATTTATCCCTAGTTATGTTTTTATATTTGAAGATTTTACAAATGGCATTTTCAGTTATGTATTTTGATCTGTATAGCCAGGTATATTAAAATACAATTGATTTTTTATATTAGTTTTTTATCTATAAAGCCTGCTAAATTTTCTTATTAATTGTAATGTTTTTCTGTAGTTTCCCTTGGGTTTTTTATATAGCCAGTTACATCAAATGTGAAAAAATGGTAGTTTTGTTACTTTCTAATCTTTTACATGTTTTACATTTATTTAATTTTGTGTTATTTGCATATCAACTATGACCTCCAATACAGCATTGAATGTAAATAGTAATAATAATTCTTATCTTGGCTTGGTCCTCCTGATCTTACAGGGAAAGCTTTAGTGTTTTACCACTAAGTATTATGTTTGCAATTAGTTTTGTTGCTGTCACTCTATATGAGGTTAAGACAGTTTTCTTCCTAGTTTGATAAATTTTTTTCAGAGTGTGTGATAAATCTTACATGATTGTTTTCTCTATCTGTTAAGATGATTGATGCATTCTCTCCTTTCACAAGCTAACGTGAGAAATTACACCCTGTTATTAGGATGCTGCAAATACTGGCTAGCTGTTTTCCCAATACATTCCGTTTCCTCCTGGGCGCACAGCAAAGCTGTACTTCCTGGCTGCTCTTGCAGTCAAGTGGCACATGCAACTGAGTTCAGGCCGGGGGACTGTGAGCGATGTACTCCACTTCCAGGCTTGGGCTAATTACCTCCTATGTGCGGTCCTAGCTCCTTGTTCTTCTTCCACAGCGGATGTGCATGAGCACAGGACTTGGATGCTACTTACTGAAGGTAGTAAAGCCAGAAGATGACAGATACCTGGGTCTCTCAGTCTCTCTACACGGCTCACTCATTTTGGACTTTTCATGAGCAAAAAGTAAACTTTTATCATGTGAGTCAGTATACGTTTTAAAATTTAGTGCAGCAGTTAGCCGACCCTATCCAGTAAATAGGAAAAACCGGAATTGATCTTAATGTATCATCTTTTTAAGCATTGTTAAACATGGCTAAATTTAGTTTGCCAGTATTTTCAGTGTTTTACTTAGGATTTCTTGGAACTAATTGCATGAATGAGACTGACCCATAATTTTATTTTTCTCATATTGTCATCAGTTAACCTTCAAGATTATGCTAGCCTCATAAACTGAGTTGGGGAGTATTTCCTCTTTTCTGTGCTCTCAACTAGTTTGCAAATGTTAATAATTATTTTTTTCCTTTAATGTTTAGTAGAACTTTTTCAGCTTGCTTTATCTGCATGGGAAGATTTTTTTTAACATGGTTTTTGGTTATTGGCCAGGTTTTTCATTTCTCTTAGGTAGGTTTTGGTAAATTATATTTTTCTAGGGATTTGTCCATTTTATCTAAGTTGTCAAGTTTTTGACACAAAAAGTTCCTCATATCTTCTTATCTTTTTAATCTCTATCAGATAAATGCTTTGGCTCCTTTATGTACTTTCTCTCTTTTTTATGGATCAGTCTTGCTGATGATTTGTTGATTTTGTTAGTCTTTTCAAGTACTAAATTTTTGCTTTGTAGATTCTCCCTTCATTTCTGCTCTTTATAATTTTCTTTCTTCTGTTTTCTTTGTCTTCATTGATTTTATTTTTTTAATCCTTAATTTCAATGTTTAGCTCATTAATTTTTGAATAGTTGGCTTTATAATGAATAAGTTTAATGCTAAAATTTTTTTCCCCAAATCACTTTACATCTCATTATGCTTAAAAACAATATTTTACTTATTGTTTCATTCTAAATATTTTAAACTTTTACTTCTTTATTTCTTCTTTGGCCTATACATTACTTAATTTCCAAATGTATAGTCTTTCTCTAGTAATGTGTTATAATTTCTCACTTAATTTTGCTGTGATAAAAATACTTGATCTAATTTATATCAATCCTTCAACACCTATTCATTATCAGTGGAGTGGAAGTTCTATCACGAAAATGTTAAGGGTGGGAGACAAATTCATGCAACCTCTAAAGAAACTGATGTCCAGGGAGAGTGAGGGGCTTGTTTAAGTTACTATTACTAGTTAGTAGCAGGGCCAGAACATTGAAAAAGGTTTCTTAACTTCCCACCAGTGTTCTTTTTACCAGGGTTATCACCTCCAGGACAATCTAAAATACTGTTATTTGTTTTAAACAAACATATATATATATATATATATATATATGTATCACTATATATAAACTTCACACACCCAATAAAGCACATATATCTCTTGGGTGACTCCGATTTGTGTTAAACAAAGAAGAATATTTTATTTGTGTTCCATTAGCATACTAGTTACTACAATGTTGAAGTACCTAGACAGGTCTGCTTCATATTTTCAAACAGAAAGTTGCATTATTTTATTGATAAAATTATTTTTCAGCTTTTCCGAAGTGGTTTGCATTTTATTGGATATGTGAAATATATATATATATATGTAACATTCACATACTGGGACATGTAAATTAATATATTAAACTTCTAATTAGATTCTTAGACACCTGCATGAAGTCAATAGCTAATGAGTCATGCTCAGATGATTTATTCTTTAAATAATCAAATCATATGTGTGTATATGAGATACATATATAGAATTCTATATATAGATCATAGTGTGTGTGTATATATATATGTGTATATATATATGTGTATATATATGTGTGTATATATATATGTGTATATATATATGTGTGTGTGTGTGTGTGTGTATATATATATATATATATATATATATATATATATATATATATATATAAAATTTAATCCCCAGAACAATTCTATGGGGTTGGAACTATGACCCTAATTTAAAAGCGAGAACTCTGAAATTCATAGAGTTTAAATTGTTTTTCTAGAATTAATAAGAGAAGCACTGAAAGAATTGGGGAGATGCATTCTATCCTCTACTACCTTGTAGTTTGGTTGGGCAAAAAAATTAAGACTAACACAAAGTAGCTAAATACAATAAAGTTAGTAGAATAGTGGGAGAAAGAGTGGCAAGATGGATGGAGGCCATATTTATGAAGCTCTTAAATGCAAAGCTGAAAAGTTTGATTTTTATCGTGTGTAAAAATAGCTATAGATAGAATGTATTGAATGTGTACACTGTGCTCATCTCTTTAAAACATACTCCCATTTTTATACTTGTATCTTTCCTGTGAAATTGAAATTATTTCCATTTTACAGGTGAGGAAACTAATACTTAGAGGGATTAAGGAATTTGTCCAGGATCACACAGCTAGTCAGTGACAAATTCAAGATTTGAACTGAGGTCTGTCTGATTTCAAAGACTATGCTTTTAACTGGAGGAAAAATTTGTGAACAGTCAAAAGCACAGACCTGAAGTATAAAATTCTGAGTTTTGACAAAGGTATATACCCATGTAACCAGCTCTAAACAAAACAGAGAGCATTTTTCTATCACCTCATACCCCTTCCAGTCAATCGTCACTTCCCAACAGAGAACAACTGCTGTGTTTTCCATCACCGTAAATAAACTTTGTCAGTTCTGGAACTTCATGCAACTGGAAGCATACAGTAAATATTCTTTTATGTCAGCCTTTTTTCATTCACCATGATTCTTTTGAGGGTCATTTATGTTTTGCATGTGCCAGTAGTTTGTTTTTGTAATTGCTGACTAGTATTTCATTGTAAGACTGTACCATGATTTATTTATCCTTTCTGATGTTGATGAACATTTAGTTGTTTCTAGTTTGGGGCTGTTAACTATAAAGCTGGCATAAACATTCTGTGTAATCTTTCTGTGAACATATGCTTTTATTTCTCTTGGATAAATAACTCAAAAATTGAATTACTGGTCAAAGATTAGGTGTAATTTGTAAGAAACTGCAATTTTTCCCGAAGTGGTTGAACTCCTTTACACTCCCAAGAGCAATATGGAGTTCTTATTGCTTCTCATCCTTGCTAACATTTGGTGTTGTCTGTCTTTTTAATTTTAGTCATTTTAGTGGGTGTGAAGTGGTATCTCATCATGCTTTTAGTTTTCATTACCCTCATGATTAATGGCAATGTGTATCTTTTCATGGGCTTATTAGTCATTCACATAGAATTTGTTGTTGTTGTTAAGTGTCTAAGTCTTGTGGTCATTTTTATTGGGTTATTCGTCTTTTCCAATTGAGTTGTAGGAGTTCTTTTTTTTCTTCTTTTTTTTATTATACTTTAAGTTCTAAGGTACATGTGCACAATGTGCAGGTTTGTTACATATGTATACATGTGCCATGTTGGTGTGCTGCACCCATTAACTCGTCATTTACATTAGGTATATCTCCTAATGCTATCCCTCCCCCCTCGCCCCACCCCACGACAGGCCCCGGTGTGTGATGTTCCCTGTCCTGTGTCCAAGTGTTCTCATTGTTCAATTCCCACCTATGAGTGAGAACATGCAGTGTTTGGTTTTCTGTCCTTGCGGTCGTTTGCTCAGAATGATGGTTTCCAGCTTCATCCATGTCCCTGCAAAGGACATGAACTCATCATTTTTTATGGTGGCATAGTATTCCATGGTATATATGTGCCACATTTTCTTAATCCAGTCTATCATTGATGGACATTTGGGTTGGTTCCAAGTCTTTGCTATTGTGAATAGTGCTGCAATAAACATGCATGTACATGTGTCTTTATAGCAGCATGATTTATAATCCTTTGGGTATATACCCAGTAATGGGATGGCTGGGTCAAATGGTATTTCTAGTTCTAGATCCTTGAGGAATCGCCACACTGTCTTCCACAATGGTTGAACTAGTTTACAGTCCCACCAACAGTGTAAAAGTGTTCCTAATTCTCCACATCCTCTCCAGTACCTGTTGTTTCCTGACTTTTTAATGATTGCCATTCTAACTGGTGTGAGATGGTATGTCATTGTGGTTTTGATTTGCATTTCTCTGATGGCCAGTGATGATGAGCATTTTTTCATGTGTCTGTTGGCTGCATAAATGTCTTCTTTTGAGAAGTGTCTGTTCATATCCTTTGCCCACTTTTTGATGGGGTTGTTTGATTTTTTTCTTGTAAATTTGTTTGAGTTCTTTGTAGATTCTGGACGTTAGCCCTTTGTCAGATGGGTAGATTGCAAAAATTTTCTCCCATTCTGTAGATTGCCTGTTCACTCTGATGGTAGTTTCTTTTGCTGTGCAGAAGCTCTTTAGTTTAATTAGATCCCATTTGTCAATTTTGACTTTTGTTGCCATTGCTTTTGGTGTTTTAGACATCAAGTCCTTGCCCATGCCTATGTCCTGAATGGTATTGCCTAGATTTTCTTCTAGGGTTTTTATGGTTTTAGGTCTAACATTTAAGTCTCTAATCCATCTTGAATTAATTTTTGTATAAGGTTTAAGGAATGGATCCAGTTTCAGCTTTCTACATATGGCTAGCCAGTTTTCCCAGCACCATTAAATAGGGAATCCTTTCCCCGTTTCTTGTTTTTGTCAGGTTTGTCAAAGATCAGATGGTTGTAGATGTGTGGTGTTATTTCTGAGGGCTCTGTTCTGTTCCATTGTTCTATATCTCTGTTTTGGTACCAGTACCATGCTGTTTTGGTTACTGTAGCCTTGTAGTATAGTTTGAAGTCAGGTAGTGTGATGCCTCCAGCTTTGTTCTTTTGGCTTAGGATTGTCTTGGCAATGCGGGCTGTTTTTTGGTTCCATATGAACGTTAAAGTAGTTTTTTCCAATTCTGTGAAGAAAGTCATTGGTAGCTTGATGGGGATGGCATTGAATCTATAAATTACCTTGGGCAGTATGGCCATTTTCACAATATTGATTCTTCCTATCCAGGAGCATAGAATGTTCTTCCATTTGTTTGTGTCCTCTTTTGTTTCGTTGAGCAGTGGTTTGTAGTTCTCCTTGAAGAGGTCCTTCACATCCCTTGTAAGTTGGATTCCTAGGTATTTTATTCTCTTCGAAGCAATTGTGAATGGGAGTTCACTCATGATTTGGCTCTCTGTGTGTCTGTTATTGGTGTAAAGGAATGCTTGTGACTTTTGCACATTGATTTTGTATCCTGAGACTTTGCTGAAGTTGCTTATTAGCTTAAGGAAATTTTGGGCTGAGACAATGGGATTTTCTAAATATACAATCATGTCATCTGCAAACAGGGACAATTTAACTTCCTATTTTCCTAATTGAATACCCTTTATTTCTTTCTCCTGCCTGATTGCCCTGGCCAGAACTTCCAACACTATGTTGAATAGGAGTGGTGAGACAGGGCATCCCTGTCTTGTGTCAGTTTTCAAAGGGAATGCTTCCAGTTTTTGCCCATTCAGTATGATATTGGCTGTGAGTTTGTCATAAATAGCTCTTATTATTTTGAGATACGTCCCATCAATACCTAATTTATTGAGAGTTTTTATCATGAAGGGGTGTTGAATTTTGTCAAAGGCCTTTTCTGCATCTATTGAGATAATCATGTGGTTTTTGTTGTTGGTTCTGTTTATGTGATGAATTACGTTTATTGATTTGTGTATGTTGAACCAGCCTTGCATCCCCGGGATGAAGCCCACTTGATCATGGTGGATAAGCTTTTTGATATGCTGCTGGATTTGGTTTGCCAGTATTTTATTGAGGATTTTTGCATCGATGTTCATCAGCGATATTGGTCTAAAATTCTCTTTTTTTGTTGTGTCCAGGCTTTGGTATCAGGATGATGCTGGCCTCGTAAAATGAGTTAGGGAGGAGTCCCTCTTTTTCTATTGATTGGAATAGTTTCAGAAGGAATGGTACCAGCTCCTCCTTGTACCTCTGGTAGAATTCAGTTGTGAATCTGTCTGGTCCTGGACTTTTTTTGGTTGGTAGGCTATTAATTATCACCTCAATTTCAGAGCCTGTTATTGGTCTATTCAGGGATTCAACTTCTTCCTGTTTAGTCTTGGGAGGATGTATGTGTCCAGGAATTTATCCATTTCTTCTAGATTTTCTAGTTTATTTGCGTAGAGGTGTTTATAGTATTCTCTGATGGTAGTTTGTATTTCTGTGGGATTGGTGGGATAACCCCTTTATCATTTTTTATTGCGTCTATTTGATTCTTCTCTCTTTTCTTCTTTATTAGTCTTGCTAGTGGTCTATCAATTTTGTTGATCTCTTCAAAAAACCTGCTCCTGGATTCATTGATTTTTTGAAGGTTTTTTTGTGTCTCTATCTGTAGGAGTTCCTTATATATTCTGGTTTCAAATTCTTTATTAGATATATGTAAAGCAAATAGTATTAACCAGTTTGCAGTTTGCCTCTTAATTTCTATAATGGTGACTTTGGGTAAACAGAAATTTTAATTTTGATGAACTGCAACATTACTTTGGTAAGAGTATAGATTTTTGGATCCTGTGTAATCTTTACCTACCCCCAAGTTCAGAGATGTTCTCCTAGGTTTTCTTCTGGAAGTTTTATAGTTTTAGCTTTATGTTTACATGTGTGATTCACGTAGAATTAACTTCTGTGTGTGGTATAAGGTAGGGGTAGAGGTTTATTGTTTGTTGTTGTTTTCTTCTTCCATGGGGTTATCCAGTCATTCCAACATTACTTGTTAAAAAGACTTACCTTTCCCCATTGAATCACTTGCATATTTTGTTGAAAGTTGATTGACTGTATATGTTTGGATCTATCTCTACACTCTTAATTCTATCCTATTGATATATTTTATCTAGCTTTACACCACTTCCAAACTGGCTTGATTTTTATAGCACTGTAATTTATCTTGGATTCAGGTAATGTGAGTCCCAAAACTTGTCACCAATTTTCAAAATTCTTTTGGCTATTCGCATCCAAACATTTACCAAGTGTATTTATATCACACTTCTATATAAACTTTGGAATCAACTCTAATACTTCTTTTATTTTTCAGAGTAGTCAAGTGTATTAGTAAGAAGGGGGAGCAAGGAATTCAATCTGTGACTGACTGTGAACAATCAATTGAGATAACTCACTATTTTCAGACCAGCCTTAACTCTAAATTTTTATTGGAATTTCATTGAGTCTGTAGAGCAATTTTGAGAGAACTGGCATCTTAACAATATTGAATCTTCTAAGTCACAAACATGATATATTACTCCACATATTTAGGTTCCCTTTAATTTCTCTAGGCAATATTTTACAATTTTTAGGTCTTGAATGTCTTTTTAAAGATTTACTCCCAAGTATTTGATGCTTTTTTGATGTTACTGTAAATAGTGTTTTGTAAATTCCATTATTTTATTCTTTGCTGCAGCATATAAGAATACATTTTACTGCTGTATATTGACCAGTTATCCTGTGACCATGGAAGTGTTTTGACTAGTGCAATGAAATGATCAAAGAGGTATTTCAGAAAAAACTGAGCAGAAGAATTGCTCACTGACATATTGATTAGATGTGTCCCAGGAGGATACATGAGCCTTACCGTGAGGCATAATCACAGATCATAGTTCTAACCTGTGGTTGCTGCCTATACATTTGTGCTCATAGTCAATTGTGTTAGCTCTTGGGCCAAAGAATGTGGATAGCTGATTGCAAACCCATCCATCACTCAGAATGGCAAAGCAACTCAAAGCATACCTCCTACGAATGGAAGCACAGTAGTGTCCTCCTCATCAGATTGGTTGAACACTTCTCTTAAATTGCACTCAGTGCCAAAGCTCATTTGCACATAAGTTGGGTGTGGTGAAGTGTATGTGTATGAGGGACTACAGGTTAATATCCCTTATCTAAAATGCTTAGGACCCGAAGTGTTTCAAACTTCAGATGTTCTTAGAATTTTGGAATATTTGCATATACATAATGAGATATCTTGGGGATGGGATCTAAGTCTAAACACAAATTATTTATGTTTCAGATACACCTTATACACATAGCCTAGAGGTAATTTTACACAATATTTTAAATAATTTTTGTGCATGAAACAAAGTTTGTTACCTTGAACCATTAGAAAGCAAAGGCGTCACTATCTCAGCCATCCATATGGATGATCTGTGGTTGTTTGGCAGCAGCATCATTCCTGACTCTGAATTTATATGCTACCAATAAGCAATCACTTTCTTACAATTATTCACACATAAGTATTTAACAGTAAACAACATGACTTACCATTAATATAGTGATATACCATTAATGCAGTGAAAACTCAATGTGTTCAGGGTAACTCAGCAGCACAGTAGCATCACCACAATACCTGTATCCACTGTTCAACAACAGCAACAGCAAATAACAGCAGGCTTTCAGGTCCACCTATGATGTGTTTTGATTAAAAGGTTTAATGTACACTGAATTTTATTTCTAAGGTAAGAAAAAGCATCAGAAGCAATTGAGGGACCAGGAAGTGGGCCCTCTAAGGAAGAGGAGGTATTTTGCTAGATGGCTTTTGAAGTTGTTTTCTCCAGAGTCATTTTCCTCATTAACAACAGTTTTTGCCTTAGAAGTCTCTCTTTGATTTTATAAACTGACGTTATTTATTGTTCTGTTGTGAATACACACTGCTCTAGTCCTTCAATAATCTCATCACACATTTTCACCATGTTGTCTATAGACACTTTTTCTGCAGTGTCAACATCATCTTCATCATTACTATTACTACAATCACCTTGATTCAGAACCCATCAGTCAATGAATGAACAACTGGAGCCTCACTATTGGTGTGAATAATTTCTTTGATATCCACTTCTTCCAGCTTGCTGATAGACTCTGAAGGTATGTTTTTTGCAAAAGTAAGGAGGTTGGGTTTTATTTTTTCTCACTTGACATACAAAGTTTTTAAAGTCACCATCTTCTTCATCATCACTGAACACAGTCACAGGCTGGAGGTTGTGACAGGCATGTGTCTTTAGTCTGTGTACCAAGCATTGGCAGTAGTATATATGACATCCTTCATGCTAAACTCCTTTTGAAAACCTTCCATATTCATACCTCTGTTCACTGCTGCTAGCATGCTTTTCAAAAAGTGTTTTTATATTTACTTTTCATTGATAGAAGGATGCTCTGGTCCCATGGCTAAATTAATGAAGTCATATTTGGGGGAAAGTATATGGCATAAACATTATTTTTAATGAGAATTCCAGCTGAAGAATGAGCAGAAAGTTGCCAGGGAATAACAAAATCTTTCAATAGTCATTTAGTCCAGTTTCCCTGCAGTGAGCCTGAGCAGCTGGTACAAAATGTTTGTGAAACCAATCAGAAAGATGTTCCTGGTGATCCATGCCTTTCTGTTAGCATAATAATGGACTGGTAAGAAATTCACTCCTTAAAAACAGTGAAGATGCAAGCTGTTGCCTATCACAGTATGTTTACACTTATGTGTGCCTGCTGCATTAGCACATCCCAGCTCAGTTATTCTGCCTTTGGCATCCTTATTCTCTGTAGGAACTGTATCATCAGTTCTACTCAGTGTAGTTCCAGGGCAATAATGCCAAAACGGTAATGCTTCATCAGCATCATAAGCTTGTTCTGGCATAAGATTTTCATCAGTAATGACGAAGGTCATCATCAGTGATGACCTTGGCAAATTTGTTAATGAATTTATTCACTGCTTCATGATCAGCACGTGCTTTATTATTACAAATCTTTAAAAATGTAATACTATATCTAAAAAATATCTGCAACCAGCCTGTTGAATATTCACAGTTCCCTTCAATTTTCAGTTCATCATGACAGATCTTTGCTTGTTTAATGATCAGCACACCCTTAAGTGGCATGTGTTGCTTGCAGCACTGATGGATCAACTCTTTTAATACACAATTGAAATCTCCATTTTTAGGTTTTGTGGTGTTTTTCCATTTTTCATTAACTTCTGTTTATCACTTTCTGTGTAAACTTCAACATTTTGTCCTTCTGTTTCTTCAGGTCATATGTGGTGGTCATTTCAACACCATAGTCTTCTGTAAGACATTTCACACTTATATCACCGTCCAGTTTCTCCCCAGTTTAACTTTCAGTGCCATAGATAAATATAAATCCTTCCTCTTTTTTAAATTATTGTTACCCTTGGGGGTATCTGCAGCCCTTTTTAACATTTTCAACAATATTTTACAATACATATCAGAGAATAGGCAAAAACACAGTGAGTAATGCATGTTGGTCTTAGCCCCATGTGGGGCATTGTGGGGAACCTACCCTTGGTGTGCCTGATTATCTCAATGCCATTTTATTATCCCTTGTGGGCATGATTGCATGGGGGAATCTGGGCATCATCAGAAGAGATAGGGGCGTGAAGAGTCTTTTTTCCCTCAGAGATGCTAAATAAATGATGTGCTGCATGCCTGCATTTTGACCGCAACCCATCACATATGGTCAGGTCTTATTTTCCACGTGTCAGGTCATGTGGGTGATAAAAAAGTTTCAAATTTTGGAGCACTTCAGATTTCAGATTTTCACATTAGGGATACTCAACCTGTATATATATTTTTGAAGCTCAAAAGAATTCTGAGGGTACTCATTTATACAAGTTTTTCATCAGCTGCTCATTTTTTCCATCCCAACTTTTTGGTAATGGCTCAAGAATCTAGCTAGGGTCCTCATAATTCTGTATCATATTTCATTTTGCCCTCTGTGTATCTATCTTCATAAATTATTAGGTTGAGCTTGGGAGAATTTCCAAATTCCTCTTTGCATGTTTTTGTGTGTATGAACAATCCAAAACTTTCAGCTTTAAGCTTACTATTTTACTAAAGCAGGGAGATTGATAGAAAGTTTTTAATTTCCTTAGAAAATAATAAAAGACAAAATAAAAACACTCTTATATTAAACATCCAGTTCTTTTCTTTCTTTTGGTAACTTACCTTCTTATTTTGATAAACAAAATTTCATGTCCTTCCTTAACATGATTCAAAATTTTAAAATAAATTCTATGCTGGGAATAAAAACAAACCATACAATGGTTGAAAAAATAAACATTTTCAAACTCTGAGTAATCACAAAAGTTCTGACATGCCCCTCTCCTACCAGTTGAAACACATGGATTTTAAAGGATTACATGCAAGGTAGCTTTCCTGGTTTTGAACTACAAAATAATGCAGAATACAGGTATGATTGACTGGTGCCTTGGGACAACAGACACTGTGCATGGGTTTATAAAATATAGATATTTATCTTGACTTATTTGCAAGTCACCTTATGCAGCTCTGATGATGTTTACACTTGCAGAACTTATCAAAGTTTCTCTTTATACTATAAACTTATTACATATACAGGCTGGTTTAAGGAAAGTTAGGAAGCCTTTGTCTTTGACACTCCTGGATGGACCCTAAGGGGTAATCTGATCCCAACCTATCACTTTATATTGAATAAATATATGGAATAAATACCTAGAGAGAGTGAGTGACTTGTGAAAGCCACACAGCTAAGGCCTGAGCTTGGATGAGGACTATGTTTCTTGGTTCTTTAAGCAGGAATCTTTCTATTGCCCTGTGTGGTTTTCATCTTTTTCTTTTGCTTTTAGATATTTCTCCAACAGGACCCTGATGTCCTTATCTGGTCCTTATTACAATGCCCTACTGATCTTGCCAGCACTTATCAACTCCCTTCATCTTTCTAATCAGACCACCTCCCTTTTCCTCCATGTCCTATTCCTAGTGGTCCTATCCAAGCTTAATATTGAATCTAAAGAGCCAGTAGTGTTTATGGCACAATATGTTGCTCCTTGTTTGAAGTAGCTTCAATGCCTCACCTCATATAAGCAACTATACATAATATTCCTAAGAGTTAAATGTATTGATTTCTCACTATGTGTCAGACACTGCTAACATTTTATATAAATTATGTCATGGATATTGCATGCATTATGTCATTATCTCATTTGAGTAATGAGTTATAAAGAGACAAGTCCAGTGAGTGATGTATTTAGAGACAGGTGGGGTTATCCTGCCCCATTTTTAGTGATATCACACAGGCAGTAGCCCTGATGCCCTGGGCAGGGGCCAACACATGAAAGGAGCCTGCCTTGTCTTCCAGTATCCTCAGCTCTTGGCCCAGTGAGTCTTCTGTGCATGCTGCTGGGGGAAATCAGCCAGAACTGCTCTGCTGGACAAGATTCTCAGAATAGAGGCTGCTAACAAGCCCAGGTATTCCCATGCTCTGAAATTCATTGTTTGCCACAAACTGGGAAGCAATACCCAGGCTACAGGGCACCATGTAAGGCTTAAATAGAGAAGTATCTAGAAAAGACTCCCTGGATACAGAATGTCCATGGTTATCTGTTATTTCTGCTGAATAAACTTGAGGGCAGGAAGAGAGAATCAAACTGGTTTTTGTGAATATTGTTCTGCTACTGTCAGGTCTTGCTTCTTGTGTATTCAATGAAATGTTCCTGTTGATAAATGGAAATGTGTAAATGGACAAGAGCCACTGTAGAGTTTAACACTAATGGGAAGAAAAATAATACCTTCATATACAAGAAATAATTAGTCAGAGGCCAGGATAAGGATGAAGTAGGTCACAGGAAGCTAGAAAATAGGAACCATTTGCAAAGGAGTATGTGAGACAAAGCTAGTAAAGTTAAGGAAGAAAGTGGAGAGACCTGAGCACCAAGGAATACGATAATAGCTTAAGTGTTGATTACTTGCTCTGAAGTAGACACATTCATTGTACCTGAAAAAAGTCAAATAGACTTTGGCTCAAATATTTGTAAGCCTCTATGTGAAATGGGAATCAGACTTTTCTAAGGAGGCTTCAGAGAGGAGAACTGGCACCAGTGTGCCAAGCTCCAAGGAGGCAAACTTTGGCACAGTATCTGAAAGAGCTTTCTAACAATCACTGCATCTGAAGGTGAGCTGGCTGCCTCCAGAGCAGAGAATTTCCCAGTGCTGAAATTGTCCAGGCAGAGTCAGGGCTGTGGGAAAAGGAATGTAAGCAATAAAGGTGGAGGTTTGGAGACTTGGAGACTTGGAGATTATAGTAGTCTATATTTTTCTGAGGGCAGGAGAACTCAAGAACTCTCCAGTTTAAAGTAAGAATAAAAACTAGGCCAGGCACAGTGGCTCATGCCTGTAATCCCAGCACTTTGGGAGGCAGAGGTAGGTGGATCACCTGAGGTCAGGAGTTCAAGACTAGCCTGGCAAACAGCAAAACCGCATCTCTACTAAAAATACAAAAATTAGCCTGGCGTGGTGGCAGACGCCTGTAATCCTAGCTACTCAGGAGGCTGAGGCAGGAGAATTGCTTGAACCTGGGAGGTGAAGGTTGCAGTGAGCTGAGATCATGCCACTACACTCCAGCCTGGGTGACAGAGCAAGACTCTGTATCAAAAAACAAACAAACGAACAAACAAAAAATAAGTGGCAGGAAGAGGCTGGGTTTTGTACCCACACAGATACAGATCCCAGCTCAAATTGCACCTCTGCACTTACTTGCCGAGGGCCCTCGCTGTTTTCTACACTCTCTGGGACTCAGTCTCTTCTCTGTCTATAAAACAGTATAGTCACAGCTATCCTACAATGTTCCAGTGAGCATTAAGTGGTATATCTCATGGAAATTGTCCTAACACACAGAAGTGTGTTTTAGCAAGATAGAGAAATATGGCCCAGGGAAAGGCTGACTTTAGAAAATCCAAAGCTGTGGAATCTCTAAGAACCGCCTCTGAGAAGTAACTTTATATGGGAAACAATGTTGACCTCTCTCTACATTTTTTATATTGTATTTCCTTTCTTGGGCCTGAGATCCTGGAGATCTTCCACTCACTTGAATAGCAATTTCTTGAACCATCGCAATGGCCTGAATTTAAATGGGTAAGAATCAGTTAGTACTAACAAGTCTTACAGAAAAGAAGAGAGGGTTAGGAGCTCAAGATTATTCCTCAGAAAGGATATCCCTTCTCCTAAGGCTTAGGCAGCAACAGTGAACAAGGATGACAACACAGACATCCCAGTATTGTTCAAAATACAGAAAGCAAAGTAAAAGTTGAGACAAATAGTTAAGATATTCAGTTCATAAGCTTATCTATTCATGGTGGATCTGGGTTTGGAAAGAAGCATATTTTATTCATCTTTTGTCCAAAGGTCTAGGCATAACTGAGCTTGTCTGGGGAAACTTTGTAAATGTAAGTTCTTCCTGAAATTGCAATGTGTAGATGGATTATGGTGCCCATCACATGTTATCAGGCTAAGACAGAGGAGACTATGAAAAACTTGTTATAAAAGGAGCATTGGCCAGAGGCAGAGGTTGCAATGAGCCAAGATTACACCAGTGCACTCTAGTCTGGGCAACAGAGTGAGACTCCATCTCAAAACAAAAGGTTGGGGGGCATTCAGTTTGATAGAGTATCACTGATTTGGTCAATCAATGCCTGACATTTCATTGGCCACTGTTAGTCATGGTGGGGAGGGGGCCATGATCTAAGATAACCTAATAAAGCTGAAGGAAGGGTGTCTGTTCCATAAGTGGGGACACCATCTCTTTCTCGCACTGCTCTCAACAGATGGCAGTTGCAGCCATCTTGTGACTAGAAGAAGAGGAAGCTCCATACTCAGGGGCTCCAGAACACTAGAGTCACAGTCCTGAGACACATACCTGGAGGCTGCCCTGCGTGTGGACTTCGGTATGTTTAATAATAAATTTCTTAATATTTTAAGCCAGTTTTAACTGTGTGTCTTACACTTAAAGCCAAATGTGCTCTAACTGTAAAAAGTAAGATGGGGGAATACTAATTCTCATTATAATCTTCTCCAACCAACTTTTAAAAAATAAATTCTACTGTATATATTTGAGGTATACAACACAATGTTATGAGATAGTAAAACGATTACTGTAGTAAAGCAAATTAACATATTCATCATCTCACATAGTTATCTATTTTTTATGGCAAACACAGCTAAAATCTACTCATTTGGCAAAAATCCTGAATACAATACAATATTATTAACTATAGTCCTCATGCTTTAAATTAGATCTCTAAACTTGTTCATCCTGCATATCTGCTACTTTATATCCTTTGAACTACATCTTCCCATTTTCTCCCAGCTTCCATTGATTTTCTTCAAACACCATGTACTTGTATTATTTTGATTTTTAAAAAATAAAATTTTAAGAAATCCTGTTTCTTTCATAAGTGGCGGCCACTGACATAGATCTTAGTCTTTCTCATGCTTCATAGAAACTGAGAAGAGCTTGGGTTCTTGGAATTTCAAAGGCTAAATCAGCCAGTTGATTTAATCTATTTATTTTTTAAAAAATCAATTCTGTAAAAAATTTAGTCAGGTTAAACCTTTTAACACTCACATAAGGGCAAACACTAGTTTAAATGTCTTCATTATTTCATGTTCTAACCAGTTGTGTGGCATTATGCATATAGGATATTATAACATTTGAATTTAGTGGCTAGCAATGTTGTGGCAAAATGTGATTAACATATCCTGTGGCTGTCCTCTCCCTCTCCCTCTCCCTCTCCCTCCCCCTCCCCCTCCCCCTCTCCCTCTTGTCTCCCTCTCCCCACGGTCTCCCTCTCCCTCTCTTTCCACAGTCTCCCTCTCATGCCTAGCCGAAGCTGGACTGTACTGCTGCCATCTCGGCTCACTGCAACCTCCCTGCCTGATTCTCCTGCCTCAGCCCGCCGCGTGCCTGCGATTGCAGCCGCGCACCGCCACGCCTGACTGGTTTTCGTACTTTTTTGGTGGAGATGGGGTTTCGCTGTGTTGGCCGGGCTGGTCTCCAGCTCCTAACCGCGAGTGATCCGCCAGCCTCGGCCTCCCGAGGTGCTGGGATTGCAGACGGAGTCTGGTTCACTCAGTGCTCAATGGTGCCCAGGCTGGAGTGCAGTGGCATGATCTCGGCTCGCTACAACCTCCACATCCCAGCCGCCTGCCTTGGCCTCTCAAAGTGCCGAGATTGCAGCCTCTGCCCTGCCGCCACCCCGTCTGGGAAGTGAGGAGCGTCTCTGCCTGGCCGCCCATCGTCTGGGACGTGAGGAGCCCCTCTGCCTGGCTGCCCAGTCTGGAAAGTGAGGAGCGTTTCTGCCCGGCCGCCATCCCATCTAGGAAGTGAGGAGCGCCTCTTCCCGGCCACCATCCCATCTAGGAAGTGAGGAGCGTCTTTGCCTGGCCGCCCATCGTCTGAGATGTGGGGAGCGCCTCTGCCCCCCCGCCCCGTCTGGGATGTGAGGAGCGCCTCTGCCCAGCCGCGACCCTGTCTGGGAGGTGAGGAGCATCTCTGCCCAGCCGCCCCGTCTGAGAAGTGAGGAGACCCTCCGCCTGGCAACCGCCCTGTCTGAGAAGTGAGGAGCCCCTCCGCCCGGCAGCCACCCCATCAGGGAAGTGAGGAGCGTCTCTGCCCGGTAGCCACCCCGTCCGGGAGGGAGATGGGGGTCAGCCCCCGCCAGGCCAGCTGCCCCGTCCGGGAGGGAGGTGGGGGGGTCAGCCCCCCACCCGGCCAGCTGCCCCATCCGGGAGGGAGGTGAGGGGGTCAGCCCCCCGCCCGGCCAGCCGCCCCGTCCGGGAGGTGAGGGGCGCCTCTGCCCGGCCGCCCCTACTGGGAAGTGAGGAGCCCCTCTGCCCGGCCGCCACCCCGTCTGGGAGGTGTACCCAACAGCTCATTGAGAACAGGCCAGGATGACAATGGCGGTTTTGTGGAATAGAGAGGGGGGGAAAGGTGGGGAAAAGACTGAGAAATCGGATAGTTGCCATGTCTGTGTAGAAAGAAGTAGACATGGGAGACTTTTCATTTTGTTCTGTACTAAGAAAAATTCTTCTGCCTTGGGATCCTGTTGATCTGTGACCTTACCCCCAACCCTGTGCTCTCTGAAACATGTGCTGTGTCCACTCAGGGTTAAATGGATTAAGGGCGGTGCAAGATGTGCTTTGTTAAACAGATGCTTGAAGGCAGCATGCTCGTTAAGAGTCATCACCACTCCCTAATCGCAAGTACCGAGGGACACAAACACTGCGGAAGGCCGCAGGGTCCTCTGCCTAGGAAAACCAGAGACCTTTGTTCACTTGTTTATCTGCTGACCTTCCCGCCACTATTGTCCTGTGTCCCTGCCAAATCCCCCTCTGCGAGAAACACCCAAGAATGATCAATAAAAAAAAAAATAATAAAATAAAATAAAAAAATAAAAAAAAAAACATATCCTGCGGCCAGAACTCAATGAAGCAATTTTAAAATGCTCCAGAAATAGCAAGCACTCCTTGCAAAAAGAGGGTCATATTCCCGGAAAATGTGACACAGCTAATGTCCATCAACTGACTAATATTCATTAGCATTCAACACATTAGTAGATTGTCCTTCTGTGAGCACTTCTGTTCTTAATTTATAATGCTTTGTAGGGTAGTAGAAATAGCATGTTTTTAGAGGCCAAATGTGGGCTGAAATCACAACTTGGACACTTATTAAGTCAGTAACTTTGGTCAGGTTACTTGATGCCTCTAAACTTCAATTTCTTCATCTATGAAACCAAACTCGTTCAATAGATTGCTGTTTAGATAAAAGTTATAGGTAAAGAGCAATGTGCCTTCACTTATTAATACATGCCATTTTCCTCTATTTCCTTTCCCCTGATTTTCCTCATTAGAAATTCTGAGAACCTCACACATTTTTTGTTTTAACTAACGAATGTTCAGGAGGGAAGAGTGAATATAAGTGTGGCCTGAGTGAAAAGGAGATTCAGACACGTCTGTAAGCTGGTGAGGCCGGGCATCGGAAACCCTATTTACGCGACTCTGAGGAGCCTCCTGAGAAGCCAAGCTCTGTGCCGATGGGATCAGACACCACTGAACATGTCCACGGTGCTTGGGGGCTTGGACAACAGCAGTCCGACACTGAGACACCTGCAGGCACGGAGTTCATCGTCCCAGGGGAAGTTTGTTACAGTAAATGTACATCACAGTTTTGTTTTGTTTTGTTTCCTAGTCAATATCTGAATCCTACAACAAAGGGCATATTAAAAAGCAGAAATTGGTTTTCACTAAATTCTGTAACTCATTTGGAGATGGGCATGCTGCTTGAGGTCACTTTCAGCAGACTGTGGCACAAGAAGACTAAAGTCACTCTTTCTCTTCCAAGCAACCCATTCCATGTCCCCCTCCCTGTCTTCCCTACCTCCCCCTGCCCCCTGCCACCCAACCAACAATACAGTCCTGGCACTGTAAGAACTCAGAGCATCGGGTGGGAGGTCCATCAAAAATATGGGTATTCAACAGATGTGGAGGATCAGCAGTGGCACCAGCAGAGTACTTCTGAAAAGCAGTAGAGGAGACCTCGGTGCACATAGTAGGACAGCTGCATCTGGGAGCAAGAATGAGGGCTCATGTGTTCAGCTATGTATGTGAGACACAGGCCTCCAAAAACGCTGTGCTTCAAATGCACTGAGCTCTTTTGGGCATGAAGATATTCATAGAATGATACATAGAAATTGTGTTAACTCATAATTTCTAAAAGTATATTTATGGGAGCACATATATATCAACATAAAGTTCACGTATTTTGTGACTGCATGAACGTTTTAGCATCTGAAAATTATGAAAAGCAACATGTTAAATTATTTATACATTTCATTTGTACAACAGTAGCCCTCTGAGTGGGAGGTATAATGAGCCCCATGTTACAGATGAGGCTCTAAGTGTTTAAGTGTCTTAAGTTACTTCAGTCGTTGAGCAGTTGAGTTGGGATTGAAACTCAGGTATTTCCAGCTATGAACCTGTGCTCCAGACCACTCTCCAGCATTTCTCACCTGTCTCAAGGTCATGTGGAATTCTAGTTTAAATGGATAACTGGGCCCATGTCTAGGGCCTTGGTGTGGCAGCATTATTACCACCTGGGAACTTGTCAGAAATGAAGCATCCCAGGCTTCACCCCACATCCACTGAATCAGAATTTGCATTTTAACAAGTTCCCCAGGCAGTTTGTATATACATTAAGCTCTCGGAAGCACTTTTTTATGTTGTTTTCATCTTCTCTGTCCAGATACCTTTCAAATATAACCATTTGGTATAAAGGCATTAGTTAACTCATTGAGATAATCTCACAGCTTTGAGGAAGGATTAGCTAATGCAAAATTTATTCATTTCTTTCTCTGACTGGACTGACAGTATATGATATTAAAACAACTGGTTGAAAAGTGCACAATTCAGGCAAGCCAATTATCTTGTACCATAGTTGTCCAAAAAGACTCTTTTAAGAAAAAGTCTACATTTCCAAATAAAGCACATAATTCACAGTAGTTGTGTGAATAGCAACAACCAGCATCTTTCTTAAAGAATAGGCCAGAGGATGACTCCATGCCTGTCATGCCTTTTCCCACTGTAAGGTTAACCCAGCATGAAGTCAGACTTGCATCAACTGGTTGTAGCTTGTTTGCCTAAGGAGGCAATTCCAGAATAGATCATATTCATGAGACTCTGTGTCTCCAAGGATTCCAGAAATGTTAACTTTGAATTACTTCTTTACAAAACCCAGAACAAAAAGCTGTGGATTGGTAAGTGTCTGAAGAATTTGTGGTAATTGTGGTAGAAGTCATTTTTTTCATTGTTCCGGGCATTTGGGACTCTATGACCTGACCACATTGTGAGGGAAAACTTCAGTTAATTTGCTCCTAAGATGACAATCCATGTGAAATCTAAGGTACATGCTTTGCAAAAGAGTTCAAAAGTTTGGTTGAAAGCCCATTACTGGATGAGAGGGAAGGAAACCAATTACCCGGGAATGGTAGTGATAATTAAGACAATGTTATGATTCACTAAGAAGAGCCTGGGTTATGAACAATGAACACTGTGGCATATAAATTACCTGACAGAGTTTAATGATGTGTTCTTTCTTATTAATTGCTCCTTTGGTGACATGGTCTATAAAAGTTATTTTTTACAAGAAACAAAAAGAAGTCCACCGTCTCATCTTAGTCTTCTCAAATTTTACACATTGCTAAATTTCATGACCTTGGAGTGTCTTTACCTAACCCAGCATTTATTAGTGTGAACTGCAGTTTGGTTTTATATTTTTGTATGATAATCATGAGACATGATCCCATGTAGAATTTCCATAACTTTAAACAGACTTCTATTAAATAGCATCAGTTGAATTTTATAATTGAGCACCCTGATTATGTTCACTTATTCATGGAAAATGTTCTCATTTTGATATTATCTCTTCTAAATCAAATCCAAAGTAAAACTTATTTTGTCTAGATTCATATATTTTGGGGCATAGGCTGGGTGTACATGCAGCTGTTGAAGCAGACTGTGGAGAGCAGGATATGATCATTTTGGCCACTTTCCCAAACTATCCCAATCACAGAGACTAAATGCCAGATGGAGAGGTGCAGTGGTCACGATGACAGGATCGCAGCTCAGTCAATCAGTGGGCATAACTGACATCCATCCAGCTTTGCCAGCTGGTGGGTGAGAAGAAGTATTAACATTTACAATAATGTTTCCTACATTTCCACAGCTCTGGTCCCCTGCCCCCAACATGTTCACATGGGTAGTCCAGTTCATTTCAGAGGTGCCCATCTCTAGATATTTCTGAGTTTTTTAAGGGGATTTATATGAGTAGCTAGAAAATCCCTTAGTACCCTAAATTGTATAGTCCTGGGAATGTTCACTGTTTCCTCAAGAGCCTTTATGGGAGGAGGAGTAGCCTGCCTTACCTTGAAGCGGAACCACTACTTATAGCATTCGTTCAAGACCTTCTGCTTTGGGAGACTGCCGCCACCCACCCACCGCCCCCCACCCCAAAACCCAACCGCTGGCGTTGCCCACCCATCCACTGCTCCCTCCAACCCCTAGCGTTGCTCTTGTCTATTGTTCACTTGTGTCTGCCCAGAGCCCTGCCTCCTTGTCCCGACACACAATGGTCCATGCAGCTGCCAGCCTCCTCTGAGCCACCTACTCTGGTCCTTCTTCCATCTGGGTGTCTGGTGATCTTTTTTTTTTTTTTCCACCCAATGAAAGAACTGACTTTTCTTTCTCGTGTTCCTCTCTCTCAGGGAACAATCCCAGAGCAGAGACGAATGGGGCACTGGCTGACAAGTTTCTCTTCTATTTAGTAAGTCTTCTCCTTCACAGAGCACAGCCTCATACAGTATTTAAACAACTTGCCCTAACACGTGAGTGCTGAGGGTATCAAAGGATGGACTTTGCTGAGTGAGGCTTGTTCAAGAACTTTCAGAATGCATGGCTTTCTGGTAAAGGTGGAGTAGAGAATTGAACCTCTGAGGCCAGTGTGTGGCTTCCCACTCTCTACTTGTTGAACTGAAGATGACTGAGCCTGCAAGTTAGAGGTTGCCTGACTTCTCTACCCAGTCACAGGTGAAACTAGGAGAGCAGTGAGGCATGGCTTGGGGGAAGCAGAGGAGTGAGGCAACAGCAGCTGAGTCTGAGCTTTGACTCAAAAGAGCCAACAAGTTGCACCGGTATTCATCATTCATTCACTCTGTGAATGTAGTCAGGATAACAATGGCATTTGCATCCCAGCAAGAGATTAAGTTATGAGAAACATGCTCCTCTAGGATGCCATTCTTTTACCCATTCATTCATTCATTTAGCTAGTATTTATTAAATGCCTACCTTGTGTCAGGGACTGTGGGAGTTCAGTCAGGCTGGTGGGAAAAATTTTAAAGATAGTTATAAGAAATAGACACAAACCTTCTTGGAAGGTGGAGGGGTTTGCTTAAACTCCAGTAATAGATCGGCTGAAGGCAGCCTAATCTTTACCTTAAGTAAATAGTTTAAAGTAGGTACAAAGGAATGTAAGGAAGTTTATCTAAATAGCTTGTTTACACATGTGGTCCTAAAACTAACCTTTGATCATTTGCGGGCAGGATGGCTGTCTCGGGGGTCGGGGGTCGGGGAGGGCAACCAGGTTAATTACCCTCTTGTGGTGTAGACTCAAAGCCTTTGTTTTTTAGTGTGTGCTGAATAAGTGCCAGCAGGGCCAGCTAGTTGTGGCTGCAGTTGTGACTCTTTACAGCACCCTCCTTGGTGTCTGTGAGTGGCCCAGACCCTCAGCCAGACAGGCAAAATATCTGCATCAGTGTATGTCTCTCATCCATCGCTGGGTCAGGGTCTGTGGGTAGAACCCCTGCAAGGGACATACATAGTGTGAATATATAGAGTATATATAGATAGATAGATGCTATAGACTGAATGTTTTATCCCCCTCTCTCCCACTAAACCCCCAATACGTATGTCAAAATATAATTCCCTAATGTGACTGTATTTGGAGATGGGATTTTGGAGAGGTAATTAGGTCATAAGAGCTCTGCATAGGATTAGATAATAGGACCAAAACCCTTATAAAAGAGACCCTAGAGAACTCACTTGGTCCCCTTCTGCCATGTAAGGGCACAGCAAAAAGACAGCCATCCCTGAACCATGAAGCAAGCCCTCACTAGACACTGAATCTGCTGGTACCTTGATCTTGGACTTCCCAGACTCCAGAACTATGAGAAGTATATTTCTTTTTTTTTATAAGCCACCAACCTGTGGTATTTTTGCTGTAGCAGCCCAAACATGCCAAAATAGCATACAGTAGACGGACATAGTATACAAAGCAAATACTTTACTTTCTCTGGAGCTGGATATTAAACAAACACACAGATAAATACATTCATACAGATTTTATGATGCTTATGAAGGAAAATAACAGGAGATAGTATAAAAAGGAAGTTAGGGTAGACCTCCCTGATGAACTATGATGCTACCTTATACTTATATAATGTTACTATGAGCTAGGCATACTTATTTCCTCTTGTAATCCTCAAGGAAACCTTATAACATACGTACTATTAATATCTCCGTTTTACAGATGAGGAAACCTACAAAGACGTTAATTAATAAGCCCAAGGTCATACAACCAGTAAATGGTAGACCCTGGACTTGAACCCAGTATTCGAAGCTTAAGAATGAGTAAGATTGAACCAGATGAAGAGTGTGTAGCTTTTCAAACAAAGAGAACAGTATGTGTGAAGGAGGCAGTGACAGCATGGGGCATTTTAGGAGGTGAAGAAGTCCAGTGATTGTAGTGACTGAGAGGACAATCACAAGACAAGAGGTAAACTGGGGCCAGATCATGTAACTTTTTTTCTTGCTTTTAAAAATTATAATTTACATAGAGTCAGAGTCACATTTTTAGTGTATAGCTTTGTGAGCTTCTATATGCCTGTATAGTCATGTAACCACCACTACAATTAAGATATAGAAGAGTATGAGAACCTCAAAAAATCCTTCAGTGTCCCTTTCTTAACAAAACTCCCCTTCACTTCCTCTTACGTGTCTTCTGACCCTATGATTTGGCCTTTACAAAAATGTTATAGAAAAGGGGTATATAATATGTAGCATTTTGAGTTTCCCTTCTTTCACTTGGTACAATGCATTTTTTTGTTTGTTTGTTTTTTGTTTTGTTTGTTTCTTGGATTCAGGGGGTACATGTGCAGGTTTGTTACATGGCTATATTGTGTGATGCTGAGGTTTGAGGTATGGATGGTCCCATCTCCCTGGTAGTGAGCATAGTACCAAATAGGTAGTTTTTATTTATTTTTTTTTTTTGAGACAAAGTCACACTCTGTTGCCCAAGCTGGAGTGTAGTGGCGTGATCTCAGCTTACTGCAACCTCCACCTGCTGGGTTCAAGAGATTCTCCTGCCTCAGCCTCTCGAGTAGCTCTGACTACAGGCATGCGCCACCATGCCTGGCTAATTTTTTTTTTTTTGTATTTTTAGTAGAGACGGGGTTTCGCCATGTTGGCCAGGCTGGTCTTGAACTCCTGACCACGTGATCTCACCACCTCGGCCTCCCAAAGTGCTGGGATTACAGGTGTGAGCCACCACACCCAGCCCCAAGTAGGTAGTTTTTCAATGCATGCTCCTTTCCCTCCCAACTATTGCTCCCATATTTTTGTCCATGTGTATTCAATATTTAGCTCCCACTTATAAATGAGAACATGTGGTACTTGGTTTTCTGTTTCTAAGTTAATTTGCTTAGGATAATGGCCACCAGTTGCATCTACGTTGCTGCAAAGGGCATGATTTCTTCATTCTTTTTCATGGCTGAGTAGTACTGCTTGGTGTATAAATATCACATTTTCTTTATCAAACCACTGTTGATGGACAAATAGGCTGATTCCATGTCTTTGCTATTGTGAATAGCATGGCAATGCACCATACAAATGCATTGTCTTTTTTGGTAGAATGATTTATTTTCCTTTAGATATACACCCAATAATGGGATTGCTGGGTCAAATGGTAGTTCTAAGTTCTTTGAGAAATCTCCAAACTGCTATCCATGGTGGCTGAACTAATTTGCATTCATACCAACAATGTATAAGCATTCCTTTTTCTCTGCAGCCTTGCCAGCATCTGTCATTTTTTGGTTATTTAGCCATTCTGACTGATGTGAGATGGTATCTCATTGTGGTTTTGATTTGCAATTCTCTCATGATTAGAGATGTTGGGCATTTATTCTTATGTTTGTTGGCCATTTGTGTATCTTCTTTTGAGAAGTGTCTGTTCATGCCCTTTGCCCATTTTTAAGCTGGATTATTTGGTTTTTGCTCGTTGATTTGTTTAGATTCCTTGTAGATTTTCTTATCAGATCTTTGTTGGATGCACAGTTTGTAAATATTTTCTCCCATTCTGTAGGCTGCCTGTGTATGCTGTTGGTAATTTCTGTTGCTGTGCAGAAGCTCTTTAACTTAATTAGGTCCCACTTGTCAATTTCTGTTCTTGTTGCAATTGTTTTTGGGGACTTAGCCATAAATTCTTTGCCAAAGCTGATGTCAAGAGGATATTTTCTAAATTTTCTTTGAGGATTTTTATAGTTTGAGGTCTTACATTTAAATCTGTAATCCAGCTTGAGTTAATTTTTTATATGGTGAAAGGTAGGAATCCAGTGTGATTCTTCTGCATACGGCTAGCCAGCTATTCTAGCACCATTTATTGAATAGAGAGTCCTTTCCTCTTTGCTTATTTCTGTCGACTTTGTCAAAGATCAAATGGTTGTAGGTGTGCAATTTATTTCTGGGTTCTCTATTCTATTCCATTGGTCTATGTGTCTGTTTTTGTACCATTACCATGCTATTCTGGTTATTGTAGCCTTATAGTGTAATTTGAAGTCAGGTAATGTGATGCCTCCAGCCTTGTTCTTTTTGCTTGAATTGCTTTGGCTATTTGGACTCTTTTTTACTTCTGTATGAATTTTAGAATAGTTTTCTTCTAATTCTGTGAAAAATGATGTTGGTATTTTGATAGAGATAGCATTGAGTCTGTAAATTGCTTTGGACAACATGGTCATTTTAACAATATTGATTCTTCCAACCCATGAGCATGGAATATTTTTCCATTTATTTTGCTGTTTCTGATTTCTTTCAGCAATGTTTTATACTTCTCCTTGAAAAGATCTTTCACCTTCTTGGTTATACATCTCCTTGGAATACACCTTTACTTAGATATATTCCTGGGTATTTCTTTTCTTATATGTGTGGCTGCTGTAAATGAGATTGTGTTATTGATGGGTTCTTAGCTAGAATGTTATTGGTGTATAGAAATGCTACTGATTTTTATACATTTTGTAAATTTGTATCTTGCAACTTTACTGAAGTTGTTTATCAGTTCCAGGAGGCTTTTGGTGGAGTCTAGAGTTTTCTATGTATAGAATCATATCATCAGCAAAGAGAGCTAGTTTGATTTCTTCTTTTCCTATTGATTTCTTTCTCTTGCCTGATCATTTGGAGTAGCACTTCCAGTACTATGTTGAATAAGAATGGTGAGAGTGGGCATCCTAATGCTTTTGAAATTCATGTTGTGTGTATGAGCAGCTTGTTGCTTTTTATTGCTGAGTAGTATTCTGTGGTGTGGATGTACCTCAGTTTATTTATTCATGCAGCAGGTGAAGGACATTTGGATTATTTCTGGTTTGTAGTAATTATGAGTAAAACCACTATAAACATTCAAATTAAGATTTGTGTGTGAACATAAATGTTCATTTCACTTGGGTAAATACCTAGGAATGAAATTTCTGGACCATGTGGTAAATGTATGTACTTGGCAACGATTTTTCAAAGTGGCCGTACATTTTGCACTCACACCAGCAACTGATAAAAGTGTATTTGTTTGTTTGTTTGTTTGTTTGTTTGTTTTTACGACAAAGTTTCACCCTGTCACTCAGGCTGGAGTGCAGTGGTGCAATCTCGGCTCACTGCAACCTCCTGTACTCAGGTGAGCCTCCCACCTCAGTCTCCTGAGTAGCTGGGACTACAGGCATCTGCCACCATGCCCAGCAAATTTTTGTATTTTTTGTAGAGATGGAGTTTGCTATGTTGCCCAGGCTGGTCTTGAACTCCTGGGCTCAAGCGATCCGCCTGCCTTGGCCTCCTAAAGTGCTGGAATTACAGGCATGAGCCATCGTGCCCAGCCAGTTAATGTCAAAAAACAAACAAACAAACAAACAAAACTGTAGCCATTGAAATAGATGTGTAGTGCTATCTCATTGTATTTTTAATCTCCATTTTCCTAATCAAGATTTTCCTATGTTGAGCATCTTTTCAGGTACTTATTTGATAGTGTTGTTCAGGTCTTCTGTATTCCTATTAATAATTTCCTTCCTAGTTTTTCTATCAATTATTGTGAAAACAATCTTAAAGTCTCCAACTAAAATTGTGAATTTGTCTATTTCTCCTCATTTTATTAGTTTTTACTTAATGTCGTTTGAAGCTCCTTGTTAGGCATATGCACAAATAGAATCATTATGTCTTTTTGGTGAAGTGAGCCTCTTTAAAATCATGTAATCATCTTCTTTATCTCTCCTAAAATTCTTTGAAGTCTACTTTGTCTGATATTAATATGTCCACTTCAACGTTTTTTGACTAGAGATTTTTATAGTATATGCATATAGGTTTATATGTATATATTTTCATCTTTTATATTTAACATATAATTCTTTACAGGCAGTTTCTTACAGACATTGTATAGTTTTGGGTCTTGCTTTTTAACCCAATTTTGCAATCTCTTTTAATTGGTGTGTTTAGACCATTTATATTTAATGCAATTATTAATATGTTTGAAACAAAATGGACTATTTCTATTTTTAAAAAGTTTTTCTCTTATAATGTCTTCCTTTGAATTGAATATTGTTATAATTTTATTTTATTTCCACTATTGTCTTATACCTTTAAATAATCTTTTTAGTGATTGTCATAGGGTTTACTATATCCAAATTTAATTAATCACAGTCTACCTAATACTTTACCACTTCAAGTATAATGTTTGAATGTTACAGCCATATACTTCTAATTTTTCCCTCTTATCCTTTGTGCTACTTTAGATATCCTATAATATATTTTAAGTTTGTACATACAGTTGTTATTTGGTATCCATGGGTGATTGGTTTCCGGACCTCGCATGGATATCAAAATCCATGGATACTCAAGTTCCTTTGTACAAAAAGATGTAGTATTTGCATATAACCTACTCAAATCCTCTCATATAGTTTAAATCATCTCTAGGTTACTTATAATACCTAATACAATGTAAATGCTATATAAATTGTTGTTATAGTATATTGTTTTCTATTTGCATTAATTTTTATTGTTGTATTTTTTAAATATTTAAATCCACAATTGGTTAAATCTATGGATATGGAACCCATGGATACAGAGGGCCAACTGTCCTATAAATACACAATATATTACCATTATTTTTACTTTGAAGAGTAAGAAATTTTTCAGAGCAATTAAAATAATTTCATATTTAGTTTTATTAATGTCACATACATTACTTTTTTTCTTTGTGTAGACCAAAGTTTCTGTCTAGTATCATATTTCTTCTGCCTTAAGAACTTTTAGCATTTCTTTTAGTGCAAGTCTTCTTGCAACAAATGTCTCAATTTTTGTTGGGAAAATATCTTTACTGTTCCTTCAGTTTTTAAAGATATTTTTGCTGTGTATGAAATTGTCCAGGCTGTCAATTTTTAAATACACTTTAAAGATGCCATTCCACTGTCTTCTGGCTTGAATAGATCTGACAAAAAATCTGCAATTTTTAAATTTATTCCTCTGTATGTAATATGTTAGTGTGTGTGTGCGCGTGTGTGCATGCGTGTGTGTGCACGTGCACTCATGTTTATTTTCTGGCTGATTTCAAGGCCAATCCTTTTTCTTTGTTTTTAGAAATTTTAATATGATATGTCTAGAGCTGTGTGTGTGTGTGTGTGCATGCATGTATGTGTATGTGTGTGTATGTGTGTGTTTAATGTATCTTGCTTGGTGTTCTCTGAACTTCTTGGATTTGTGGTTTGGTATCTTTTATTAATTTTTGAAAATTATCAATATATCTTCAAATATTGCTTTTTCTTTTTTTCCTTTCCTTCTAGGATTCCAGTTACATAGACTGTTATTGTACCACAGCTCCTGAACACTCTATTTTTTAAAAATATTTTTTCCATTTGTATTTCACTTGGGTAATTTCTAGTGATTTGTCTTCAAGTTCACTGATTCTTTTCGTAGTTTTTCCAGGCAACTGATGAGACCATCAAAGGCTTTCTTCATATATGTTACCGAGTTTACCATTTTTAGCATTTCCATTTCATTTATTCTTTCAATTTCTATTTATTGGTTGATATTACCTATCTGTTCATGCTTGTTGTCTACATTTTACACTACAGTTTTTTATCATATTAGTCATATTTACTTTTGTTACCCTGTCTGATAGTTTGGATTTCTGAATCATATCTGAGTCTAGTTCTATTAGTAACTCTGTCTCTTGACAGTATATTTTTTCTTGCTTCTTTGTGTGAATCATAGTTTGGGGTACAAGCCTGACATCTTATGTAGGACAGTAGAGAGTGTGGAAAATCCTATTTATCCTTGGAAATAGGCATAACTCATCTTTTGCTAAGTACTAAGTGTGGAGGTTTGAATCAATCTAATCAGGAGTTAAGTTGGCTTTGTTGCTGATGTGTTTACCTTGGTGTATCACAGGCTTCAAATTCATCTAGCATTATTTTGTATTTAGGGTCAGGGATTAGTTTCTGGAGGACGTTTCTCAATGCTCCTGTTCTACGTATAGCTTTAGATTTTCCCTGTGACCCTATGCCTTGAAGAGAAAGCTTTTCTCCATGCTCTGGCCTCACACCCAGTAGTAGGCTTCTGTTATTTGTTTTTTAGTGCTTTCTAGTCTTGTTTAGGGGCTAGGATGTAGGTGTTTTCTCTTGTCTTGGTTTAGCCTCAGTCTTAGGCAGACACTGTGTTCCTGGGTCTCAGTGGTGGGGGCTTCTTGGTTATCCTACCCCTCCTCATTGGCAAAGGATCTCTAAGGCCCTGTTCTGGGCCCAGGACATTTTCCTATGCTTACTTGAGAGGTAAATTTTTTTTCTGTGTTCTTACTCCAGCTGCAAAGGGTCTTCATCTGTGTCCCGAGGGTGACAGAGTTTGTTTTGCTTCCACCAGAAGCTTAAGGGTTTTTTTGTGCCATGGGGGAGACAGGGAAGAACTATCCAGGAGCGGTCTTGTGCTTTTCTCGCAGTGTCTGCTGTTTTCCTTCCCTAAACCTTCACAAGGGAAGCTTTCTCTAGTCTTTTGCCTTGACCTCATCTCTCACATGAACACTCAGTGAGAGCTGTGAGGAAAAAACTGCAAATGGCTGCAAATTCCAGTTGTGTCTACAGCTACTAGGAGATCTGTAATCTAATGTTAGCTCATTTGGACTAGAGGTCGTTGTTAAAAATAAAAATAATAATGTTAGCTCATACTTGGCCTTTTTTAATTTGTTAACATTTTCAACTTAACCAAAATTTTCTCACTAGCTTGTGTGTTAAGCAAGAGCTCCCATCTCATCTCTCCATGGTTTTTTCTCCTGTCTTTTCATAGATTTCAGGATAGTTGGCTGCCCTGTGACTTTGATGAGTTCAGTTCTTTGATGAGTTCAAGAGCGTTTATGGTTCTGTAGATTACATAGTTTTTTATTCTTGTAAGTGTGGGCGTGACTCTCCAATTTCTACTTGCTACATAGAAGCCAGAAGCCTTCTCATGTAGAACTTTTAAGCCATGTTAAAGAGTTTATATTTTATCCCAAATGCAATAGGAAGCCAAGGAAGGGTTTAAGCAGAGGATTGATTGGCCTGGATTTGTATTTTTTAAAATCACAAGTTTAATATTTACTGGGTTTGCATTGTATGCCAGGAACTGAGGTTTCCAAGATAAATTTTAAAATAGTGGGAAGAGTGTCCTCAAATAGTTCATAATCAAGCAGATTAGTCTTACTGACTGTAACAAATAACTCACAAAATTCAGTGTAAAGGCTATAAATGAATATCCAAGCAGAGTGCTCTGGGAGAATTAAGGAAGGGAAATTTCATTTTGGCACACAGGGTAGAGATGATAGAAAATGACAATCAAGTTATATCTTGAAATTTAAGCAGGATATATAAGGTTTCAGAAGAACCTCACACAGGATGAATGTCCAAGGTTTTCTTATAACTTGCTTTCTAAGTAACATTATTTTAATTCCTTGTCTTTTATTTTTGGGTAATGACTTCCTAAGAAGGCAAGGAAAATATTCAGGTATACCAACCAACCACCACCACCATAAACTTACTTTTTATCAAAAGGCATCTCTAGGCTTTGATATGTATAAATGATGGCTAGTTTCCTGATATAGAATAATAGAAATTTTTTTAAAACTTTTGGATGTTATTACTATGTATTACTGTAGTTCTCAGGCTGGCTTACTATCAGAATTCCCTTAAATGCTTTTACGAATGGAGATCTCTGGGATCCAAAGGTTCTGACTCATGTTGTGGAGGCCAGGATTCTGTACTTTTTTGAAGCTCTTACAGTGAAGCCAAAGACAAGCTAGTTTAGGGCAGATTGTCTCCCATATTTAGAGTCTTTTTGTTTTAGTTTGAGTTCCCCCAAAAGCAGATTCTGAGACAAAGACATAATTTTAGACTGTTTATTTTGGAGGTGACCTCAGAAAGCATAAGTGAGGAAGTGGGGAAAGTAAAAGAGGGAAAGGAAAGAAATCACTACAGTGCAAGTAAATGAGTGTATTGCTTCTTGGGGCATGTGGGGCTCAATCCCACTGAAACTTTCTGAGAAACCTGTATATAGTCCTTCCTGAAAAGGCAACCTTTGACCATGTAACTGAGTTTGCTTACCATGTTTTGACCACTATATCTCTGTCTTCAGGGATGAGCACCTGACCCAAAGGCCGCCAACCAATAAACTAGCCAGTGTCGTGTGTGATACGAAACAAGTCCACTTGATCAGATTCTCTCAGAAGAACAAGGATGTTTGAAACTGGGTGTGATACCATGGATTACAGATGGCTCCATGATAATCAAGTTGAAGAACGAGAGAGTAGAGATATCCTGGAGATGGAAAGGTCAGTCTCAAAAGATCTCTAGGGTGTGGATGGCTACTCTGTTCTTGTTCCCATGAGCCAGGCTGAATCAAGTGTACCTATTCTTCCTGAAACTAAGTTGTCATCTTTTCTTAGGGCCCATGAAGATATATCCTTACAGAGAAATTCCCATTGCTTGAGGCAAATTAAGTGGGTCAAAAAAGCTTTGACTGAAAGAATTAATGAAAGTAGCCACAGAGCCACAGATGGAAAATAGGGCCTCAGCATCCACAAAATAATCTCATTATAAATACCTTTAAAAATCTTGGAGCAGATAATCAGAACCTGACTGTAATATAATTATAGTCACTAGTTTTAAGTGAGAGCACTTTTTCTTTCTATATTACTATTAACTCTGTAGTCAAAACAAACTGATTGTAAAGCTATTTATGCCTATATGCAGACTGTATAGAAAGCAGAGCTTATTTTAAAGAAATTCTTCCAATGTATTTCCGGAAACCTGAGCCAGTCATATGGATTGTTTTTATATATGTGTTCTGATTCCTTATATAACCAATTCAAGGGGAAAACATATTACCATTTTAGATGGTTTTTCTTTTCAGGATACCATGTGAGTGAGAAGTGCAGTGCCCTGCATTTCTTTGGCTGGGTCTGGTTGTCAACTTCACACAGCCATTTATTAATCCCCAGGTAATCTTCTAGTCACAGTTGATCTTTGGAGCAGAGCACTTGGCCCACTGCAGTTGCCCCAGGCCAAATTCTGTCTTTGGAGGGACTTTCTGCTTTTGCTAAAGCCAGTAGGAAAGGTACCTATTCATGCACATAGAAAACCAGAAGATTTTTTTGCAAAGAATAGCTCTCAAGAAGAAAGGGTTGTACAAACTGGAATTAACAGAAAAAAGGGGGGAATTTTAATGGCTTGAGAGTCTGGACTTTATATTTATTTTAACAAATATTTATTGGGGACCCACATGTGTTTAAAGCTGGGCTCAGCACTATTCTAGGATAAAGAGAAATATAAGTCCCATGATTTTCCTCACAGCCTACACAAACATGAATGATTAATTATGAAATAAACTAATGTTTCTTCAGCACTGCATAATTTATGAATTGCATTTATATGTGTGTATGTATGTGTATATGTATTATGCACACATATTTGTATGCATTATAACTCTTATTTAGTTCTCACAAAAACCCTCTAGGGTAAGTGGTATTATCATTACTCATTTTGCAGGCATTAAAAAATGAGTTGAGTAAACTTGTGTACACTGTATCACTACACTTAACATACTATGTAAACAAACCTGTATATGTGCTCATCATTCCCAGTGAACAAGGAGCTGGTGAACTTGGGCAGGGTCTTCCTTACCTTTCTATTGCCAGCACCTAGCCCATGTTGATTGCTATTGAAGCTGAGCCCCTGGTCTCCAGGTTGTCCGCATTGTCCCATGATGTATTCTCCCTGCCTCCTGAAGCTGCTTGTCAATCTGCACTCCTGATGCCTGAGATCCCACTGCCCCCAGCTGTGCTGCATTCTTCAGATCCCAGATCAGCATGCTCTGCCCACTGCCCTCCTCCCATTGTTTCCTCAATTCCCTGACTACAAAATACCTTCTAAATGCGGATGGCTTGGGCTGTCTCAGAGGCTTCAGCAGGTTTCCCATATTGGTTAGCTCATCAGAGCTGAGGAACACAGGACAGCAGCACCAGACACTTCTGGGGCCTATCTGTAAGTCTGTCCCTATCCTCATTTCTCTATCTGCAGTATTTCATTTGCACCTCACAAGAACACACATATTATTACAGATGGCAAAATAGGCTGAAAGAAGTGGTAATTTCCCCAAGATCACATGACTGGCAAGTAGCAGAGCTGGGATTTGAAGCCAAGTCTCCCTGTCATGCCTAATTCCTTAACCATTAAGAACAACTATCTGGATTTCTTACCTTCCTGGATGCCCTTGTTAAAGAGCTTGCCTTGCTTTGGAATGTTGAGTAGGATGTTTACAGGATGTGATAAATCTGCCCAAGAACAAGGTGTTGAAGAGGAGTGTGTACTACCATTGCAATGACTCATTTTATCTATCATTTTCCCCTCTCCAGACTCTGAGTTCCTTAAAAGCTGGGACTGGGCTTTATTTACTCATGCCTTATGTTGAGCACATTGCTTAGAACAGAGTAGGTGCTCTAAAAATGCTTGTTGAATGAATAAATGGATTTTCCCCCACATACAATTTGATCTTGGGCATGTGGCTTATAAGTGCTGATGCTCCAGTTAGCTTTTCCCTCCAACCACAAATAATTTAATAAATAGCTATCACACACCTAAGAATGACAAAGGAGGAGCCACACTTTTGAAGGAAGCACATGGGATGATTTAGTTGGCATCCATGTAACCTTATCAGGACCTCCAGTAACATAGCAAAGGAGAGAAGGTGAATCTTTGGGCTCCATCTATCTCTTTCAGTGCCCCTATCCTGTGTTCTGAGTCATCCTCTCTTTTGTCATCTAAGAAACTGATGCTTAAAGTCTTACCTTTCCTCTTTAATTGATCCATGTTCAAAAGTTTCTCCCTTCTTCCACTCCCTCAACATATCTATATCCCCACTGGCTAACATCTACTGAGTGTCAAATTATTTTATTGTGTAATTTATAGTGATAGACAAATGACTGATAAACATCTATATGTTGGTTTTCTTTCTAATTAAGAGAAAAATATTTAACTAAAGTTATTTTAAAATAGTAAAATAAGAGGGGGTATTACTCTTCTGGTTGCTGAGGATAAGGAGGTGAATCAAGCCAAGTCCTTGCCCTTGTTAAAAGAGAAACTTCAGATAAATTAAATTTAGAAGAGTTTATTTCTGTGGAGAACAATCGATGAATTGGGCAACACTCAGAACCAGAAGAGGTTCAGAAAGCTCCACCCAGCAGTATGAGTGATGAGCTTTCATAGGCCAGACACAGAAACACAGTAGAGAAATCACCTGATTATTTGCAGCTAGCATCTGCCTTATTTGGGCATGATGTGCTGAGTTAGCTGCCTGTGACTGGATGAAGCTTGGCTGTTTTTTATACTCCTAAGTTAGCTTTTGGTTTGTTTATGTACAAGTTAGATTGCAGTTCATTATGTAGGAGCTCAAAGAACAGAGACAGCCTCAGGCTAATGGTGTACTGCTTATATAATTTAATACCCTCATGAAACTTACATTCTTAATGCAGAGAGAGATGCAAGACAAGGAAAGACATAAGTAGGATAATTAGCAAGCCTATTTAGTTCTGATCTTATGCGTCAAGACCTTCAGTAGGGGGTCTACTGGAAAACTGTGGATACCAGGTCACACACTATTGTTTTACATTTTGCAGATAAAGAAACCAGGGCTTGGAGTGGTTAAATAAGTTGCCCAGAATAACTAATTAATTAAGTGGCAAAGTTACAATTATCTCACAGGACATCCAGTTCGTAATCGTTCCATGACACTCACTGTAATTTTCTGGAGAGCTTAAGCCACACCTTTTTTTTAACCTTTATACAACAAGTATTAGAAAAATAGAAACTTATATTGCTGCCATAATGAGGGTGAACATGCTGAAGAACCGTGTGTGGAACTTTTGCTAACAATGAGACTTTGCTTAAAAGGATTCCTCTACTCCATCAATATTTTTGTGTTTTTGTTTGTTTGTTTGTTTGTTTGTTTGAGATGGAGTCTCGCTCTGTCCTCCAGGCTGGACTGCAGTAGTGCAATCTCGGCTCACTGAAACCTCTGCCTCCCAGGTTCAAGCGATTTTCCTGCCTCAGCCTCCCGAGTAGCTGGGATTACAGGTGCATGCCACCATGCTCGGCTAATTTTTGCATTTTTAGTAGAGATGGGATTTCTCCATGTTGGCCAGGTCCATCCACATTTTGATGGGAGTGTTGGATTTCCTGACAGACCCAGAGCTGATTGGTCCTATTTGCCTTGTTTTCTCTTGCAGTAGCCACCTTTCGGGAATCTGATTGGAGTCACACTTGAACTTAGAGAACTTGTGGCCTTGAGTTTTGAAATTCACTGAGCAGGGAGACTGGAGACAGTTCTTAAAAAATAATTAGTTCAGTTGACCCTCCTTTCCCTCCAACACTTGAAGAACTTGGCTGGAGGAGCTGTGGAAAGTGTGAGGCAAGGAATTGAATTCATCCTGCTCACCAGTCATCAGTCAGCAGGCAGAGTGCTTTTTAACAGAGTGAGCTGTCTGCCCTCTATGTACAGAATAACCCTACTGCCTGGGGTCATCTCAGGAAGACTGGTGCACTGATCTAAGCATTACCTCACTACCCCACAGGAGATTTATGGGCCCTGGAAGGAGGACCCGTGCTGGTGGAGGGACTCCAGCTCATCCCACCTGCCCCAGGGTCAGGCAGCCAGGAGACAGTCTCCGCAGCTCTGACAGCAGGGTCAAAAATCAGGAGACCTAAGCTCAAGCCCATGCCCCTATAGTCACCTTTATGGGCTGATGAATGTAGGCAGGCACATCTCTCCTGGGGCAATCACACACATTTATTGATGTGGAAGCACTGATCTCATTGCTTTTTAAATAACTCACTGTCTTGCTAACTCATTAAATCCCAGTCATTTGCAGCTGGCTTCCCAGAAATCAGGAGAAGGAAGCTAACTTCTTCTTAAGGTCTCTAATAAGACCTTGACATTACAGAACACCTTCCTGAAAGGACCTCAAAGCTTTAGTATCATTCATCCTGCCCTCAATTTACAGGTAGGAAAATGGAGGCATCAATTAAGCAACTTGCCTGCAGCACAGAGTGAGTCTGGGGAAAAAAGATAGAACCTGCACCCAGCCGGTCTGGAATCCTTCCTAGGAAGAACCTTCCTTATTTGAGTTACAGAAGGTGCCAGGTCCTAGCATAATCACCACATCGAAGCAATTTCCTCATCCCTGCAAACAAACCTAATTGATTTTCATTCATTTTAAAGTAACCGATAGTAACTTTCTTTTCAAAACAACTAGAAAAACCCATGGGAGCTTTCTTTATAGACTGTCTGGTACTGTGTTGGGGTTGTGAGGGACGGATATCGTGTGCGTAATTTTTAAAGCACTTGCATCATATGCTAGGCCAATATTTTATCCAATGTTTTCCTTAAAATCAAGAGTGACTTCCAATTTATCTGTAATTCCTTGACCCAGTCTTCAGACTAAAAACCTTGGAATCATCCTGGACTCCTTTCTTTCTCTCCCCCTCCTCCCCCAATAGTCAGGAAATCCTATTGCTTTCACCATCAAAGTAAATCCACAATCCAACTACTTCCCACCTCGGCTATTGCTCCCATTGTGGTCTGAGCCACCAAGATCTCACACCTGGATTTCTGAACTAGCATCCTGATTCTTCTCGTTTGAGTCTATTCCTAACATTGCAGTCAGAGTTATTATGTTAAAATATTAAGTTAGATCATCTTACTTCTCTTCTCAAAACCATCTGGTAACTTCTGGTCTCCCTCAGAGTAAAAGCCAAAGTACACACACACACACACACACACACACACACATACACACACACACACTGGCCTCAAGACTCCACATGCTATAGCCCTCCTCAGAGTTGGCAGCTGCCTTCCCTCTCTGAGGTCATCTTCCTCCCTTGGTGACTCTGTTCCAACCTTAGGCCCCTGCCTATTCCTATCCAGCACAGTTCTAACTCAGGGCATTTGCACCAGCTGTTTCTTCTGTCTGGTTTGTTCTTCCTATAGATATCCACACAATTAACCCTCTCCTTCAAGTTTTTCTCAATTCTAAAGATGACAAGCTCATTCTCACACTAAGTCCGTAGAAATTATAGTAGAGGTACTTTTGAATTAATAAAAATGTATATCACTGCTCTCAAAAATAGAAGGGGGCTGGGCATGGTGGCTCATGCCTATAATCCCAGCACTTTGGGAGGCCAAGGCAGGTGGATCATTTGATGTCAGGAGTTCAAGACCAGCCTGGCCAACATGGTGAAACCCTGTCTCTACTAAAAATACAAAAATTAGCCTGGCGTGGTGGCGGACACCTGTAATTCCAGCTACTGGGGAGGCTGAGGCAGGAAAATCGCTTGAATCCAGGAGGTGGAGGTTGCAGTGAGCTGAGATTGCACCATTGCACTCCAGTCTGGGCAACAGAGCAAGACCCTGACTAAAAAAAAAAAAAAAAGAAAATAGAAGGGGAACTCTCAGTACAGCAGAAACAGTGAGCACTTTCTGAAAGATGGAAAGCAATGAGTTGGATTAGAGCAGGAAACTGAAGCCCAGGATGTGAGCAACAGCAAGTAGAGAGCATTGCCATGGAAAATGGGGCAGCAAAAACTTGAAGGAGGTGAGACAGTCAACTATGCAGATAACTAAAGGAAGGGCATTCCAGACAGAAGAAACAGCTGGTGCAAAGGCACTAAGGTAGAAGTGTGCTTGGAAGTGATAGGAAGGGCTCCTCATCTAGAAGCAGTGGGAGCTTGGACCAAAGGAAGATTCCTAATATAGCCGCACCTTTAAAACTCTACCTCAGTCTTCCCAGAGAGCATGTGGGGCTCAGATCCCTGGTATCCAGACTCCAACATGACAGATATTGAGGAGAATAAAGAATGGGGAAAGGTTGGCCACTGCTTTCTGTGAGAAGGAGCTCACTGGGAACCTTAAACAGAATGGTTTAGATGCATGGTTTGAGCACAAGTTAAATTTCAGAATTCTTCAGAAGAAACTAGAAGATCAGAGATCAGGGGCAGTGAGTTTAAAGTCTAGAGTCTAGACTTTAAACTGGTATAGGAGGCTTGGAGATCTAGGAAAAGTGAGCTGGTGTCCAGGCGGAATAGAGATTATCTTCCATGTAAAGGCTGGTGTGTGCTGCCCTTTGAGGCATGTCTGTCCCTGTGATTAAGAAAAATATTTGCCAAACAGGAGGAACTTCTTGAGAAGAAAGGATAGGGTACGCACTTTAGTGAAGACAGAGGCCCTGGTCCTTAGGAGGGGTGTGAGGAGGATGCAGGTGAGAAGGAAGGAAAGTGCTGTGGAGAGCCATTTTTGGAAGGGCACCCACCCCCTGCCTCCTGGTCCTGCTCACCTGGGGTGGGGAAAGTAGCCCTTTCCCACACACTCATTCCAGTAGTATGGTGAAGGCAAAGCAACCAGGAGGGAGAAAGGAAATTTCTTTTTGTTTTTAAATAAGTGAACACTCACTAGTTACTTATATTTTAATACAACTTTAATATTTGCCAAAGGTATGTAGCATAAGACACACAGAATTAATCACATAACATCATATTTAATAGCCATAAATGATAACATATTACGTGAAGTCAAATGGAGGGGAAAATTAGGCCTTACCAACATCAAAGTATAAGCATAGGATAGATAAATATTTATAACATACTTTAACTGTAAAAAAAAAAATCAGAAACTTCCATGAAGGTGAAACCCACTTACACTACTATTTAATAAAACTTTCTCTCATCCACATTTCTGTGAATAAAACCCTGGCCTCCTGCCCTTAGCTGAGTGGTTCCCCCATTCCTTTTTGGAAAATGTCATAAAATGGCTTCGTTGCCCAATAATCATGTGGGACAGGATAGAATAGATGAGTTGAGGGTTGATCTCAATGTAGAACACCTAATAAAACCACCTCATTTTCAGCTCTGGAAAAGAAGTTGTGGAATTATCATCCTCTTTTTCCTTTTTTCCCCTCATTTTCAGAGTCTGAAGAGATCAGGTCCTTACTTCCTATCTGGCCATTTGTTCATTCTCTCACCTATAAACCACTTATTTAGTGCCAGATCCATGCTAGGCTCTGCAGATAAAACAATAAGCTGGGCATGGTAGTTCACACCTGCAATCCCAGCACTTTGGGAGGCTGAGGAAGGAGGATCACTCAAGCCCAGGAGTTCTAGGTTGCAGTAAGCTAGGATGTTGCCACTGCACTCCAGCCTGGGTGACAGAGCAAGACCCTGTCTCAAAACAAAAAACAATATGACACGGATCATATCTTCAAGAATCTTGCTGTTTTGGTAGAAGAGGAAGGCAATTCAGGTCCTTCCAAGACAGAGTATTAAATATCATTAGTGTAGTTCATTGTAGGCACCCTAACCAGCCTGGAGCCAGTCAAGGTGGGGGTCCAGGTGTACATGCAAATTGAATCTGGATTCAAAGGGACGAAGGGAAGATCATTTCAGGCAGATGGAGTGGGTTGCACAGGGCTCGGAGACCAAGAGAATATTGTCTACGTGGACAACTTCTCTGAATCTCCTTGTGTGACAAAAAACTTCTCTGAGTCTTCCCCGGAGAAGGAAGCAGGGGGCTTTCCCTGGTATGGAGATTCCACTTCCTCCTGGAAGCCCGGCTAGTCTGTGGTTGGGCTCCATGTAGAGTAGCCCTCGCCTTATCTGTGGTTTCACTTTCTGTGGTTTTACTTTCTGTGGTTTCAATTACCCGAAGTCAACTGCGGCCCAAAAATATGAAATGGAGAATTCCAGAAATAAATAATTCATAAGTTTTAAATTGCATGCCATTTTAAGTAGTGTGATGAAATCTCATTCCATGCTGCTTCATCCTCTCTGGACATGAATCATCCCTTTGTCCAGTGTATCCACACTACGTATACTACCTGCCCGTTAGCCACTTAGCAGCCATCTTGGTTATCAGACTGATTGTGCAGTATAGCAGTGCTTGTGTTCAAGTCACCCTTATTTTACTTAATCACGGCCCAAAAGCACAAGAGTACTATGCTTAATTTATAAGTTGAACTTGATCATAGGTATGTGTGTATAGGAAAAAACAGTATATATAAGGGTTTGGTACTACCATCTGTTTCAAGCATCCACTGGGGGGTCTTGAAATGTATCTCCCATGGGTAAGGGGGGGACTACTGCCTAGCTTCTCTCCCATTGCTTCCATAAGGAAGGCACATTTCACTGCAGCTCAGAAATTATATACTTTAATGGTGAACTCTGAAAAAAACTCAGATGTGAGAAATATATTGTGATAAAACAAGTTGTCCAATGCCCTTTCCACATGGAGGAAAGTCTGATACCTGCCAGGCACTACACAGATGCTGCTGTTACTGCTTCTGGAATACACACAATGGCCACTCAACATGGGCTTCAACCAGCAAGAGGCCTGCAGTGGGAAGGAAATGCAAGGCAGATTTCTGTAAGAGAGTAGAAAGCTCTGTTTCCTATTGTCCCTGTGTGGTGTGGTTTGTGGAGCCCTGGAAGACTTGCCTAGACCATATATCTGCTCATCAATTTCTTGAGTTCCTTGATGGTTAAAGTTTTGAAGACATCTGTGAAAAAGTACAGATGCTATTGGGGTGAGATGATTCATTAAGCTGGTGTCTTGTGGTTACTCTAAGCACGGATTCATTGATACCAGGCAAGATCTGAGGAATAGGATACAGAAACAGGCAAGATTTAAAGAAGGTAATTCAAAAGGGTACAGAGCATAGGGTAGGGCAGGGAAGGTAAGGGGTAGGAAGAGGCTATTTATGTCCTTTGGGCGAAAGGTTCTGCACGGGGACAGAAACCATCAAAAGAGTAGGAAAACAAATTTTCCCACTTCACAACTTTGCATAGGGCAACTTTCCATATTGACAGACTGGGAACACGTTTTGTCATCCTTTGGTCAGTAGTACAACAAATGGATTCTATCTCAAGGAAAGTAGGAACATTCAGAGGTGACAAGAGCTTAACATTAGGTGGGCCTTGGGCCGTGAACATCAGGGAAGTCTTAATGTAATTTAATAGTGACACCTGGCATCATGACCACTTTCCTATTTGTGGTTTACAGGTTATATGATGCCCTATTTTATTCTTTTTCACCTGTTTCCAAGTACTACACATTTAGTGACTTAAACCAGCACACATTTAGTATCTCACAGTTTCTGTGCATCAGGAGTTTGGGCATGGCTTAGGCGAGTCCTCTGCTTCAGGGTCTCACAAAGCTGCAGAAAAGGGGTTCAACCAGCCTGCGTTCTCATCTGGAGGTCAACTGGGGACTCCACATCCAAGCTCATCAAGTTGATGGCAGAACATTTTCTTGTGGCTGTATGACCTCAGGTCCTAGAATTTCCCTACAGTTCCTGGAGATCACCTGTAGTTCCTTCAACAAGCCAACTGCTTGCTTTAACAAGCCAGCAAGGAGAATCTCGTGCTCCAGTCTGCTAAGATGGAGTCTTATATAAATAGCCTAAATTAATCCTGGGAGTGGCACTACCACCTTTCTCAGAGTCTATTGCCTAGAAGCAAGTCACAGGTGGGAGTGTGCCCCACCCACACATAAGTGAAGAGGATTATACATGGTGTGAACACCAGGGGGCAGGAATTAGGGAGCCATCATAAGGTCTGTCCACCTTCAGAATTGTGCCTGGGGTGGCTCCTCCTAACGTTCTCCTCTTAATTGCCTTCTTATCCTCCACCCCTAGGGAAAGATCTTCAGACCAAAAAGGCAATGTTATTACCGAGTCTATGATTCTGCCTGACACATAAGCTTGAATTAATCATCTTATAACATGAAGGCATTTATATTAGAAGCTCCCATCACCTTAGTGTTTTTCCCTTCAATACCTGGGACTAATACTTGGAGCTGGAATCTGCATCTCATTCGGAATCCAGGCTTGCTCTCTTGCCTCTTGTTCCTTCTATCCCAAAGCATCTGTATTTATAGCAGCTCCTCTCTCAGAAAAACAATTTCACCACAGTATCTGGCTTCTTGTTTTCCTTTCTTGACTGAGTGCATGACGAACTGGCCCATCCCAGGAGGCTGTTTTTTACTTGCGGTCTTTGAATTATTACATTACTGGCCAACGCTGCCTACTCCATCTCCTTGCACTCTTCATTTCTCCATTAATACTTTTTTCTCGCGAGTCCTTGGTTTTGTCTTTCTGCAGCTCATCTCCCTTCAGGGAAATTACCCTCTGTAATTTAGCATAGTCTGCACCATACCCTACCTCTGAGGAATGCTTTTCACATAGTCAATTGAAAAGGTAGCAGGCTTAGAAAAACACCACCAATGGCAACTTAAGCCCCAAACAGCTGCTGGTGAGCCTAATGAATACTGTGCTCGCTGGGATTATATAGCATGTCTGCATTTCTCACATACTGAGCAGGAATCTAATCTTTCTTACTCCTGCTTTTTTTTCTCTCTCATGCATTTGTTTAACTCTCTTCTTTCCACTTTATCATAGTCTTTAGTTTTGGCCAAATGTTTTAGATCCCATAGATCAGAATTTTCCAGTCTCTACCATGAAGCAAGGACTCTGATCCGTTACCTGGTGGCATCTCCCACGTAAGACCGATCCTTTAAGCTGCAAAGGGACCAACTAGAAAACTATTTCTCCTTCCTCTTGTAAAGGAATTTGTCATGGCTTAAAATAATTCAACCACCTTCCAGAAGCTTCTTTCTCCCAGCATGTTTAGCAGCAGGAAGAGTCAAATGTTCCACAGTGCCTATGGCTCACTCCCTATATACACAAACAGGTTTGCTGAAATTAAGGTTTTAAAAAACATTCCAGTTAAGATCAGAAAATCACAAGCGTTTTCAGCTTGATGTTCTCACTTTTCAACCAACTATTTTTACAGTCTATTAGCTCAGCCTAAGCCATTACTATCATGTGTATATATATATATATATATTTGGAAACGGAGTCTCGCTCTGTCACCCAGGCGGGAGTGCAGTGGTATGATCTCAGCTCACTGCAACCTCCGCCTCCTGGGTTCAAGCAATTCATGTGCCTCAACCTCCTGAGTAGCTGGGACTACAGGTGCACACCGCCACACCCGGCTAATTTTTTGTATATTAGTAGAGATGGGGTTTCACAGTGTTGCCCAGGCTAGTCCTGAACTCCTGAGCTCAAGCAATTAACCTGCCTCAGCCTCCTAAACTGCTAGGAGCCACTGACTATTTGAAAGTTGTATTGGTAGGAGGCTTATTTTCTCACCCACTGGAAGACCTTTTTAGGATATAATTTTATAACTCTGTATTAAATTCATCAATAATTATGTGTGTAGTGCAATAGGTATTGGCAAGACTAAACCTTGTTTAAGTGTTTGACGTAAGAGACATTGCTTGATGGGTTTATTCTCAGTGGGTAATAAACATACAACCTGCAAATACTACTTTTAAAGACACATACACAGATAATATGTAATATATATAATAACTACATATGGTATTTCATGTAATATATAGGTTATATTATGTATTGACTCTAATATGTATTGATGTACATATTTTTTATTTATTTTATATGTGTGGATATAGCTATAGATGATATAGACATAGATATTTATCCGAAGTAATGCTTGCACACTGACGATAAAAATTCACAATCCCACCATACGGCCCACTCACGTCCCTAAGTCCTGCTCCTCAGAGACAACTAATTTTTAATGGTCCCTGTTTTTAGGTCCTCTGTTGGTTATCCTAAATAATATGCTTATGTTGTTGTCGCAATTGTTGTAGACTTTCGAGTTTTAGCTAATAGCTTCACATTATGATCTATGAGGACTTAGCTCCTGTTTTCCTCCATCTCTCTGTCTCTGACAAGGTGTAAGTTATTCTCTTAATCTTTGGTGTTCTGAAATTGTAAAATACTGTGTGAATAATACTTTGTTTATCATGCTGGGCACTGTGCAACCTCTTTATATTTAAAGATACCCTCCCATCATCTTCAGGAAATTCTTTTTTATTTTGTTTTTGATCATTTCCCACCCTCTGTTATCTCTAAAATTGTAGTTAATAACATGTCAGATCTCCTAGGATTGATCTTTAATGCCTCTTATTTTTTTGTTTATATTTTCTTCCTAACTCCCCGTTGTTCTATTTTCTAGAAGCTTTCCTCAACTCAGCTTTGTACTCCATCTACTCTGAATATTCAATGTTGTCAGGGTATTTTTAATTTCTAAAACAATCCTTTTTGTTCTTCAATTATACTTTTTAAAAAATAAAACATTCTCTTCTTGTTTTATCCATGCCACAGATTCTTCAGTACTTCTGAGTACACTAAATTAATTATGTTCTGTAAGTTCTCTTCTATTCCCCAAGTTCTCTTTTTCCTCTAGGGAATAGCTGGTGTGCTTATCTTGGCATTTCTCTTTCTTATTGTAGGTTTTCCTCAAGTGTCTGGTGATTTTTGGTTGTCTCTCCAGACATCAAAATGAGCAATAAGCATACTGCCCAGGAGCTCTGTGTATGCCTGTAGGTGTGTCCACTGGTAGGTTTTCTCCAAGCTGAGTGCTATAGGACCTGTCTTGATGATGGGGAGCCCCAGGGAATGAATGAGGAGGGCCTTATGCTGGGTCACTAACACCCACATTGGCTACCCTAGTTCTTCCCCAAGCAGTATATTCTATTCCATTAGAGAACTCTCCAGTTATTTTGCTTATGGGCAAGGACCTGGATTTATATAGCATGTAGAGGTGAGAGAAAGGTGTGGCTAGGGCCAACTCTTTCTATATATACATCTTTGACTTCAGCTTACCTTTCTCCCACCTCCTTTTTGAATCCAGAGCCCTTCTTGATTTTACCAGGCAGGTCAGCTACTTCCTGTGCTGCAGTAACCTGCTCACATTCAAGCTTGAAGTTCCCACTTTTCAAGGTGGTGTCTTTCTCCCCTCTCCTTCATCACTTGACATTATTCCTTCCACCTTCTGAATTCTACACATTTATTAAAATCCCCCATGGCGCTCTCCTATTCATTTTGTTGTGTGAGGCTGTTTTGCTTTTTGAAAATATATCCTTTTAATAGGGTCTCTGAAAAAAAGAGGCAATAGACACATAGGAATATTCAGCAATCCAGAATGTGAATCACATAGATCTCCAGTTATTTCTCTTGTACACCTAGATGAGGTTAATGACTGGAAGGTTCTTTTACTCAGAAATGTATGATATCAACAAAGCTTGAAGTGATTGGACTCATCCTGGAATAGGTTACTTAAAAAAAAATTTCGTGATCATCCATGTCCTCTAAAATGCAGATCATAATAGCTGCCTTTGATGATTTTTATGAGAATTTAACGATAACATAAATGTATGAACTTGCCCAGCATAATACCTAGATCACAGAAAGAACTAAACTGTTATCAGTTCTTGCTCCTCTCCCTTGTCACCTGCGAAGTATGAGTGCTGGCTGAAATAACTCGATTGTCTTTTAAATTGAAGCATTTTATATCATCTCACCCCCACTCCTAGTAGCAGCTGAAGATCTCACATGCGCTTTGTATAGATTCTTACAGGGCGCTCTTCTAGGGATTTGAATGTTGGGGCTGCTGATTCCTTTTTGGTTATTGTAAGTTGTAGACTAAAGAAAATAGCTCACTCAATGGGTTTTGGTTATTGTAATTTCTTTCTTCTTCTTTATGATTATTATTAATATTACTATTATTTTGTCTCTACCACTTGAGCTCCAGTTAGGCAATGGAAGGAAATGCTCTCTCCAAATTTTGTGCAGTAAATGGATTTTGAAATCACTGGTTTTAGAAATTTCTTTTAATAGACTTCAATTAATTGCTTCATTTAGAAGGAGTTAGTAACCACTGAGTCCAAGTGATGAAAGAAGGAGCAATGATCTTGTGGTTCCAGAGGTAACTCCAGCCTGGAGGACACAGTGCTTAGCATCAGCTCATGAATCAAGAATGAACTCCATACTGTAACTAAGCCCAGAAACGTTATCCCGAGCCAGGGCTTAGTTGACACATGCTCTGGGCATCATTAGCTGGTTAGGTCTTGCAGAAATATGAGGATCATGGCCAGGCAGAGACCTTTCAAATGATTCATTTATTCCCAAAGCCATCTTTGGCTGAGGCTCCGCAGTGTAGGGAAGCAGTGTGATGGGTTAGGATGAGCGAAGCATAGGAATAGTGACCTCAACCTTACCCTTAGCTTTTGTTTCTTTAGGTGAATTACCTCATCTCTCTAAATCTTGGTTTCTTCATGTGAAAAAAGTGAGAAATAATATTTACCAGGTAGGACTGTGACAAAGATTGAATTTTAAAGTGCACAGCAGTGTGCTTAGCACATAGTAGATTCTCAGTATATATTAGTTGCTGCCCTGTTTACCCTGTACGTTTCTAGCTTTTCCTATAAGGAAACAAGACAATGATTACTAGACTAGCCAGGGCTGTCTGTGTAAACACTGAGGAGCCCAGGCGTTGTTTGGCTGGATCTCAGAAAAACTTGCACTGCTCACGACTGGTGACTCATGAAAATGATGGGCCTTGGAAGATAGGAGCACAAATTTAGAACTGGGAGAATTGTAAAGTGGATTAAAGCTATTTACAAAACAGTGGCATTGTGCAATCAATGATCTTTGAGTTTTAATTTCTGAACAAATACATAGGACCCAAAGTTTTGTTTAAGGCATTACGAAATCATAATTATTTTTCTTTGATCCCACAGAAATAGCAACTCTTTTCTTTTCTTTCTTTCTTTTTTTTTTAAGATTGAAGATTTTTCTTGACATTGAGGAGATGAGGAAAGAAAGCTTTCTCTGCATATTTAATTTACAGGGCATTTATCCCTTCTCTGGCTGATGACCTAAAACCAAACAAATCATTATAAAAACTAGAAGAAGGAAAAAAAAAAAGATAGCAGGTTTGTGAGAAAGGGTCTTTAAGCCTAGTTAGGGAAGACATCCAGAAGAGAATCGACTCAGACAAATACAAATACTAGAATTCGAAGGGCATAAGAACTGTGAGTGGCTGAACCATTTTCCCATCCCCTGCCAGGATGTCTGAGAGGAACTTTTCAAGATAAACAGGCCTAGTACCCCGAAGGGCATTTTTTGATGCTAATAGATTTCAAAGGCTGTTTTGAAGAGGTTGTGGGGCAGGACAGTACTCAGGCATATCCAAATTATTCTTTGCATTCTTAGCAAAGAAGTTGAGCAATTTTTTAAGTCAGTCTGCAGGAAGCTCAGAATGGGTATACTGATATATTTTAGAGGTTTTCAACTCACAATGCACTTTTCAGTTGCATGAAGAGTTCACCTACTGAGTTGATTCGAGAAGGAAAAAAGCCACATCCCCACTTACTCCCCATATTCCAAGTTGAAAACATGTCTCTTTTACTCACTTAACTCTGCAAATCTGAAAATCTGCTGCTGTGGATTAATTTGTTGGACTCAAGATTTTGCTCCCTGTGGAGATTCCAAATCTTGTCATGAGCCAGTTCACCATTTTTATTACAGTTTGCCTACTTTGAATGAGTATATTAAATTCTTACTTGACAGCCAGTTTTGATGACAGGCAAAAGATGGAAGAGAGAAGAGAATCCTTGCTCCACTGTGAGAAGGAACTTTCATGAAATGGAGAAATGCTGGCTATTCCCTTATGTAATGCATCATTTTATTGAGAGTCACCCTCAGTAAAGTCACCATTTTATTGAGAGTTCTATCCCCAGCCTTACTTTACACTTCAACTAGGATGTCTGATTTGAGTTACTAATAGAGAGGCACTGTAGGACAATGGTCAAGTCAGACCCTTTTGGATTCACATTCCAGGCTTATCTACTAGCTGTACCACCTTGAACAAGTTAATTGAATTTACTGAACCTCTGTTTCTTCATCTTTACAACAGGAATAGCAAAGGCTACCATATAGGATTATTGTGAGAATTTAATAAAACAATGTATGTCAGGTCTTTTGAGTAGTGCAAAAGACTTTTGGTACATAGCAAATACTCAAAAAATATTGACATCATCATCATTATTATCGTCATCACCATCATTATCATCTGGTCCCAGTAGGTATGAGCTGGGAGCAGAAATCATTTTTTACTGGTTAATCTATGACTTAGGTAATTTAAGTGTTTGTCACTAGCCTAGCCAGACTTAGTTCTGTTTCATCCTGAATCTTCACTTGTCCTTCCTGGAGCTATGAAAAATAAGCCACACATACTGCACCACCCTATTTGGCCTTGGGGATAGGATTAGACTAGTAGGAACACGTACACATTTCTATGATTTCTCCTGGATCTGAAACAGCTCCCTTAAGTCTCAGCCTTACTGAAGATCCTAAAGCTATAAAAAAGAAGCTATAAATAACCATAGAAATTTGTAGACAAATTTAGTTGGACCTAGACATCTGGAGTGGCCCTTCAAAGGTACTAACTATCCTACTTTTCTGTTTTAAAACTGTTGATGTGTAGGTCTCACGGGACAAAAAGACAAGTAACAAAGTTTTTGGCCTGCTTCACATCCTATGGAATCCCTTGGGAATTTTTTCTTCAAGGTTTACCCAGTATGTGAATCTGACCCCATGATATAACATTTGTGAACAGTTCTGTACAAACAAGGACTTGTTTCTCTCCCTCCCTCTGATTCCCCGTGGAATTTTCAGGGATGAACAGTCTTTTCATCTTGAAATCAAGCAGGAATAAGTCCGTCTTGACTTCCCTCTTCACTGCCTTTCCTCCCCCACTCTTTTCAAAATCTTCATTTAAGGATCTGTGGAGTGAACAAGACAGATCTTGATTTGTTTGTGTTGTGTAAAAGTTGAAAGGAGCCAGGAAGAAAGAGTACCATTTGCTAACCTCAGGAGACTTGGAAAATATATTTTAATCCGAGAAATTCATTCAAAGGCACATCTTTCTAGTATCTGTAAGATGAACTATTTTTAAAAATCACAATTGCTCTTCCAAGAGCCTCCTTGAGATTTATTGGAAGAGCATTGAGAGTCAGTCTGGCAATGCAAATTAAGGGTCAGGGAACTGAGAACACCAATGTGGTCCTCACTTTGCACAAATGATTTATAACTCAGATGATGACTTAAGGTATGACTTGAGTAATTTAGATACGACTGACTTGATTCCCCCATTCTGCGCTCTGTGAAAAGTTCAGTGCCTTTCCACAATTTCTGCAAATCCCCAGGGGACTTATACACTCATGATCACCTTTGAGCTGAACAATTTACACTCAATTTCAGTTCAGTTCATGAATCCTAAGCTGACCTCACTCTGAATCATGTATTCAACATAACTTCTTTCTCCAATTTTTTAACAAATCCACTCACATGGGCCTTTTTAAAGGTTTGTGAAGGCATAGAAATAAATATAAAGCAGCATAAGCAACTGAAATTTCCTTATCAGCTATATCTGCCCTTTAGAAAGTATTTTAGATACCCTCCAACTTGGACACTATCTTCCCACCATGCTGCTAGACCCTACCCTTTCCCCTCTCCTATCTTAGCTACTTCTATGGATGATTTATTGTGTGTTCTCTCTTTCTTTCTTTTTTCTTTGTTTCTTCTCCTTTTGATTGTCTCCTGCTAGTCTATGTTCACATGGACCACACTTTCAACCTCTCAACCCCAGTGATTTACTAAGGTATTTTCCTATATAAAAGCAGTTCTTTCCCAAAGAAAAGTACTAAATAAAGAAAGCCGCTAAGATAATAATTGTTTTGAAACCTTTACAAATATGTTTGGAAAGGTATGATAGTTCACTGAAAAGTGACTCCAATCTTTAATTAATTCATGGAAAGCTCACTCTTTCAAGGACTGACATGTTGAATCTGCAAGCAATATGAAACATTCTTATTTTGGCTTTCCAAACCATTTGAATAAAATAACTCTGAATTGTTCTTCTTTCTACTTGGCACCAAGATGGATAGAAAAGGCTCTGTGAGATTTCTTTCCATAGTGAGAAGGATTATGGCCAAGCTATTTATTAGCCTCAAAAGGAAGATGCATACCACGTGCTTTTAAGCTGCATGCTGCTGTCCACCGGTGTCTAGGTCTTGTTCCCACATGGAATGCATACATAAATGTTCATATTCATCACACATCAGAAGAATCCCTTTTTGTATGCATGGGGGGAGAAGGAGACACTTACATTGGCATAATTTAGAAACATGGAGGAAGAGCCCTTCTTTTCCCAAAATAACCTCTCCAGCTTTGTTCTGACTCCTACTATTCCTTTAATACCAGATAAAGTCCTCTAGTCTGCAATTTGTTATAGAGCTTAAAATGCAAACCAAGAGTGGGGGAGCCTGGGTAGCGTATATTCATACAAAGATGTGAATTAATATCAGATCTTTTTTCTTAAGAGCTATTTTTTTAATAGGGAAAAGAAACCCCAAGATCCTTGAAGTAAGAGGAACTTTAAAAGGAGAAATAATGTTTATTGACCACCTGCTTTATGCCATGTAATGTTCTGGGATTTTGCCTATGGAGTATATCTTTTATAACTCCAAAAACACTCTGAAGGATATGAAAGATTGCCTTTTGTACTGAGCTACATCTGCCCAACTCTTAGTCATCCTAACCCATTTCCTAACCATAATGCATAATTCGACAAACATCTATAGACACTCCTCCCCCTTACACATGCACATAAACACAAGTATGTGCAGAGCATCTGGTATGGATCAGTAGGAACGTAAAAGCAGCATTACCCAACATATACTTACCCTAGTTTCCACTTGTCTCTATTTAGACACATGCAAAAAAGAGCCACTCTTTTATACCTGAGAAGGAGAAAGGAACTTTATATTTATGGTTGAGTCAGGGATGGCAGGGGAGAGAAAGAAAGCAGAGTATGAAGGGGATAGAATTGTGCCTATTCTTCCTCTGTACAAGACAGAGCCAGATAGTGTTTGTGTGTGTGCGCGCGTGTGTGTTTACATGCATGTATGTGTGTTTTCAATATATGAACGAGGGTGGATAATGCTGGTCAGCTTAAAAGCACGTGTTGAACTCAGCCATTAGACCCTAATAATGGCTTGACCAAAAACCTCCTTTCTAGGGAAAGAAATCTCACAGAGCCTTTTCCTTCGATTCTTATGCCATGTAGCAATAAAGAAAAATCCGTAGTTCTATTGTTAAAATAGTCTAGAAAAAAATTAAGTAAGGAGTAATTATTCACAGGCTCAGCATAGCAGCCCTCTCAAAAAGGAATTTTCTCTGGCTCACTTTGGGGGTTTTTGAACTTCATGTGGAGAGCAGTCAGAAAAGCAGCTGATTTAACTGTTCAAGAGAAATTTCATCATGCAGCTGAATTCAAGCACAGCTGTTGCTGGGCCTGAGTGACACATTGTGACAAAGAGTAGTATGCTCCATCCCCACCCCCATATCACTACCTCAGGCCCCAGGTACAATTAACTCCAGAAACACTCCAGCACCTGGAGGATCAGGAGGTTTGGGAGAGTGTAAAGGAAGTAGTCCAGATGTGGACATTGGCATTCTCAAGACGGGCTATGAGTGTGGAAAGCCTTTTTCCTCCTGCTTTGCAAACAGCCAATGGGGGACAGAAGGGAACTGGGGCCAAAGAGAAAGGACTGAGCTGATACCACCTGGTAACTACAGCTAACAGACCCTTATAAGGAAAATTGCAGGAAGCTCCTTCAGGGACTCTTCAGATACAGTAAGTCTCACTTCATGTCATTCACAGCCTCCTGGAAACTGTAACTTTAAGAAAGACAACATGTAACAAAACCCATTGTATCATAAGCTAATTGATAAAAGGAAGAGTTAATTCCTATGACATAGTTTTGGTCACAAAAACATCACTGGACTTCTAAGTAAAGACCAAAATACTTCTAATATTAAACATTGAAATAAATGTGAATTATATATACATTTAAGAAAGATTGATAGAACAAGTGAGACAATTATTTACCCAATTTTTCCAGTTCAGAGTAGCAGGTGACTGGAGCCTATCCAGCAGCTCAGGGTGCAAGACGGGAACCAACTCAGACAGGATGCCATTCCATCACAGGGCACATTCACATACACACTCACACTCATTCACACTGAGACGATTCAGACACACCAGGTGAACCTGATGTGCACAGCTTTGGGATGTAGGAGGAAACTGGAGTACTCAGAGAAAATTCAGGCAGACATGGGGAGAATGTGGGAACCTGTAAACTCCACACAGACAGTGGCGCCAACCAGGAATTGATTTTTTTTCTCATCAACGTTATAACAAAACATCGGTCATGGGAGACGTTAAGGCCCCTACCAGGCCCAAGGTAATAATCAGAGAGATTTAGGTGCCCTCCCATATCTTTTGTTGCCTGTACTCCAACTTCAAAAGCTCCCTCAACCTCAGCGTGCCTGGAGCTAGACTCTTTTTGTTGGTCATCAGGACAATTAAGAGAGGAGTGACCTCAGGCATACAGACCTCTGTAGCTCTTGGTGCTGCCACATGGCAAGCTTCCATATCCCTGTGCCTTGCAAAGCATCCATGAAACAGCTCTTCCTGAGTATCTGAATACCTGACACTCCCTCATAACCCGCACCCCACGGAACTCAGAAAGGAGCCATGAGGACTGGCCCAGGAGATAAATCCTATGAGAAATATCACCTTCTTCTTAGAATTATCCCTCTTCTCTGCCTCTAGTGCCTTAGAGTCCATTTGTCAGTCTGACTTTGCCCTTGGCCTAAGTTCTCTCATAGTCTTTCATGCAAATAGATTGTTGGCAGAGTCATCCATCCAACCTGCCAAATATACTCTGACATGTCTTAATCTCACCAGACACAATTTAGGTCAAGGTTAAGAAGACTAGTAAGATGAGATAGAACCTCACTAGTATCAAAAGACATGGCTGACAGTTTCAAAGTCTCTGGCCACATTGCTTTCTCCCTAATTACCTGAGGACCCTCATTCAAAGTATCCATGTTTGCAGAGTGTTCTTGAGATGGGGATGCAGCTTGTGTTTCCCTGCATCTGTTCTTTCATACAGGACATAATTGTTAAAATAGTGATACAACCAATAGAAACAATGACCTATGGTAGCAGCAAGATAGAACCAATTTATTCCAACTTAGAGAATAAGGTAAGATTTTACAGAAGCGGTAAATGTGCAGTTAGGCCTTTTAAACATGGGCAGAATATCAACAGGTGAATGAAGCAGTAAAGGCATTCATTATTTCACCCATTCTACCAACATTTATTAAGATTCCATTATGTGTCTAGGCACCAAGGTGTTCTAGGCACCAAGGACATGTGTGAATAGGACATCATTCCTGCCTTCAAAGGGCATGCAGTACATTCATCTTGGGCTGAAGATACAATGTAAGCAAAGGCACAGAGTTCCAGAGGTATGTGGCAAGTTCAGTGAACAATATGGCTAAGACCTAGGGTCCACTGTGTATGAAGGCAAGTAGGAAAGTACCAGGGAATACGAGGCAGGGAAAAAGTCTGGGGACAGAATACAGAGGATTTTAATATGGCAGTAATAAGTTGAAAGTTCATTATGTGGGCTATAATAAGTCATTAACAGTTTGGAGTTGAAAAAGGGCATGGTCAATTTCTATTTTAGTATAAAGCATTCCATTGGCCTCCTATTGCCTAAAAAATGTCAATGGCTTCACATTACTCATGGGTTTAAGACCAAAATCCTTAGACGGATTCAAAGGACTTGCAATGTCTCCCTTTCCTTGCTGCATGTGGACTTCAGTGATCTTGTATTATCACACCATGCCACTCCCCACCACAGGGCCTTTGCACAGTTTGTTTCATTTTTCAGTGAACCCGTTCCCCTTTACTTAATTAGCTTCTTCTCCTTCAGATCTCAGCTAAGTATTTCTTTGAGAAAGCTTTTCGTGACCTCTACCGTTAGTCCTTACTAGGTCTAATCCCTTAGTATATACACATAATAGATTTGTGATCTTTTGTTACTCTCTATGTCCTTCAGTAGGCTATAATCAATGGCAGAGACTCTGTTTTGTTCATTATTTTCTCTCCAGCGCCTACTACGGTGCCTGGCATATTGTAGACATGCAATAAATATTTGTTAAAAGGAAAGGAAAATAGAAAATCTTTTTAAAATAACATTGTAAAAAATGGTTGTGGGTGAGGGGTTTGGCTGTAAGCGTTGCAATCACAGAAGAGGCTTCACCCACTGACTTCATAGTCAGGCATGCAGTTGTAAATTAATAATAAACTCTCCATGTGGCAGCCATGGAATCATCAGAGTGTTAAGTCTTTCTCTAGCAGCTGATTAGGCTGAATTCATGGGCTGATTAATCTGTCTCTCCAAGAATCATCTCAGTCCAACGCCTGGGTACGAAAAGGCCCTATTGTTTTCCGTTGGTTAATTAAGTGCAATGGCCGGTCACAGATCAGAAAAGCGAAGGTATCATATTGAGTGAGAATGTGCAGAGAGTGGAAATGCAGTGTATTTTAACTGTGTGTGAATAAAGGGGTTAACATTAAAATTACAGAAAAGAGACAGCCCTAGGAAAATTGCTTTATCACAACTGTCTCTGAAATTGTGAAGGGTTAGAATAAGTGGGATGATGAATCTGTGCTTCTCCCTTCCCGCTGATGACTGCATGAGAGGAAATGGGCTCAATCTTCAGGGAGAGAAATTTGAGCAAATTATTTCTCAACAAATTTCCAGAGGAAGTGTGTAAAGTCTTTGTCTCTGGATAAAGAATAAAGGAAAACTGGTAACTATCACTGCTCTGCTGATGAGCATTGTCCTGCCTTAGAATGGTGTGGGTGGTGAGGAAGGTACACACCGTTCCCCTAACCAACACTTCCAATATTAGGATTTTGTTGCCATGCAGGGTTCTGAAGCCATAGAATGACGGCTCTGCATGACATTCCTTGTTTTAATCTGGTAATGCTTTGCAAACCCCATGAATCATCAAATATGCCATGCTTGAGAGATTTTGACAAGTTTTATGAGTCCACCTAGTGCTATTTATTTTTGTTCTCTTTCATTCCTTCTCTGTGGGGAGGAGCACTTTCAAGGGCATCCTTCACAGAATTGGCCAGATGCCATGGTGGCAAATCTAAGTTCTATCATCCTGAGGCAAGAAGTAGCACGTTTTGCTCTTGCCAACTCCTTGGTATGGCATTAACATGACGGATGGAGCCAGCTATTTGCACAACCAGTAACCAGGGCAGATTCTAGGAACTGGGGGTGAGAAGATAAGACACTCCTTTTAAACATAAATATCCCGGGAGGGGTGTCCCAGATCCATGTGTTTGTTGGGGATCTACCTGTTACAGTTTTACGATTCACCCACAGGCTCTATTCAAAATATTTCCAGCATGGCACAGTGCCTGAATTATCTTCCATGATAATTCCTTCTTTGGGGCCTGGCATTGAAGGAACTGCGAATAGGCAAAATCACTATATGGAAGTAGTAGCAAAATAGTGCTATGAGTTTTATCATTTAAGTATTAGTTTAATTGGCTTAATTATCTAAGTCTGTATTGTCCAATTGAGTGGTCACCAACCACATGTAGCTACTGTGCACCTGAAATGTGACTAGTGACTAAATCATCACCGTCTCTTTCATTTTAATTTCATGAGATTTTGATTAATACTAAATCCCAAAACAGAGTGGGGAATCTATGGTCCGTAAGTTTGAGAAATTAGGTATTTTTTAAAAATTAACATCATTCTATATTGCGCAATTTTTAACATGCCAATGTTCAATTTGTCTTTCTCAGAAGGGGATGTCATAGGCAATTTAACAATGATACCTAACCACGGAATAAATTTTGTTGTTTCCATAGGATATCTTGAGGAATACCATTTGGGAAATAACTCTCCACTTGGAAAGGACCAGGAAACAATAGTCAGGCAGAGAGCACCGAGATCTATGCCTTTACTGAGAGAAGATGTGTCTCAAAAGCAGAGCCCTGGGCTGTGAGCTGCAGGGAGTTAGGACTCAGCTTCCTTGCTATGTACGTGTTCGTGTGGTTTTGAGGAACTTTGACATCCCACCAACTTCACCTATCACGTTCATCCCAGCCTAACCTTAGTGTCACTTTTCCTCTTCCAAGGGATGAGTGGGTTTGACCAGCTGAGCTATATGATGTTTTCCAGGTTTAAAATTCTATGGTTCATTCATTCTGATGCAAATCTTTGAAATTTCCTACTTTTTTTTTTAACACTTTCAACCCCTAATTGGATAGTGTCTAAGTAAGTCAGAATATATGCCAAGGTGGATCACAGAAATGTTTTTCTCCTTTGAATACCTCCTAAATTTAAGGGAGGAAAGCAGACCATGAGGAAAAGCATACAATCCTGGGGGAACCAAATATACCACCTTGGTTTGTGAGACCAAACCAGAAAGGAGAATGTAGAAACTTGAAGAAAAGATAAAGCCATTACTTGTAAGGAAGCAAAGTGGTCTGCAGGGACTTTAGATGATAGAGTTTATCTCGATGATAATTTCTAATTCACTGATAGACCAGGAGCAGAGAGTGGCTGGTGAGGTATCTATGTGTAATTGAAAGTGGCATGATTAGAATCAGAGGTACCAATCGTCGACCATAGCAATTATCCAACTGAGAGGTGTTGGCCAAGGAGCATGTTTAAGTCTTTGGCTTGGACAACCAGGAAGATGGAGATGGGAGGTATTCATTCCAGGAAAGAGAAAGTAATGAAGACTGAGCAGGCCTAGATAATAGTAGCTTCAAGTTAGGACATGTGGACTTTGAGATGGCTGGGACACTGTCCAAGTGGTGATGCATAGTAGGAAATTAGGGATCTAGATCTGGATGTTAACAAAGAGGACTTACCAAGAGATAGTCGATATTAGAAGGGAAACGGCTCACTGAAGAGGCAGTGTAGGGTAATGGTTAAGAGAGGGACTTTAGGAACTCTAACACTTCCTTGCTGTGTAACTTTGACCAAGTTACTCTACTTCTTTACGCCTCAGCTTCATCATCTATAAAATAACTGTTTAGTTTTTACCCAACAGAGTCATTGTGATGATTAAATAATGTAGAACATGTAAAAGAATGCATGGCATTCCTAATAAACATTATCGTTACTATTTTCTCCTTTTCGAAGATAAGGAAAATAAAGCTAAGAGTGGGTATATAATTGGCTGACTGTGACACAACTACTAAGTGGCAGTGTTGAGATTCAAGTCCAGTTCTTCCTGAGACATATCCAATGTCCTTTCCACTATATCACTGCAGCCAAAAACTTCAACCATTCAATGCATCACTCCTCATTTGTGAAGTGGGAACATAACCATATGTACTTTATAGGGTTAATATAATATTTATAAAGCATTTAGAACAATGTTTGGGACATTTTATGTGCTGTCGAGTGTTGCTATTATTAGTAGTAAGTAATAGCAATAATAAACACTAAAAACATTTTTCCTACACTCTGCTGTCTGGTAAAATAAAAGTGCCTCCATTTTAAACTAACTCAAGCAAGATATATTTGGGCTAGAATGGGGTAGGTTGAAGGAATCAGCAGGGGTGGGTCCGGTGTTCCCTTTGCATCAGGAAAAGATGAATCCTAGGAACATTGTGAAGGAGCTGAGTGGCGCCGGCAAGGCCCAATTCTTTGGTCTGAATACATGGGCTTGGGAGGGGGTGGGTAAAGTAGAAAGAATTCAAATCTGCACATCTCCAGTGACAGTTGCCACATTTGGGATCAACTGAAACACACTTTCATCCAAGTACTAACCAGGACCAACCCTACTTAGCTCCGGAGATCAGACGAGATCGGGTGCTTTCAGGGTGGTATGGCAGTAGACCTGAAACACACTTTCAAAAGGAATAAATACCTCTAAAAAAATAAGGCTTGGAAGATAGGCATATGGAAAAATGAGGCCAGGGATACAGAAAAAGTACAAGTCAAAATAAATCTGACTCCTGACTTCCTGCTCTCTGATCTGCTCATGTAGCTTCAAGATTTGTTTATGATTGTTTGCGTAGTTGAGAATCTCTGGGGTTTTTTGATTGTTTTTCATTACAAAATTCAACACAGCGGGATACAAGTTTTATGCTTCTATTCCCATTTTGTCAGGAAAGAACAGAGTGAAAACTTTTTAATCTCCCCCCGCCCCCACTATCAACATCGCTGAGATGATTTAATGCCTCATAACAGAAGTAATTTTGTGATAATGACACAAAGGCAGCAATTAAAAAATATTGTTTGTTTCGGGGCCTATAAATTGGCTGTTGGTAATTGACAACAGAATGTGTTTTCTAATCCTCTGAAATGATATCTTATTGCAAGCTGGCATGGTAATTACTGTATTTGTACAGTACCAGAGGAGTTCCAGCCTGAGTTTGACAGGGAGTTGATTAAATCACCCAGGTGTAATTGAAGGTTTTGATTGCATTGCCTCTGAGCTGATCAGCATTAGTAATAGCCTGGCTTTCTGCTGTCATGTGTTTTTAGAGCTGGTGGTATATCAGCCCTTTCAATCTCCCTCCCAGCTCTCAGCCTCTGTTGTGCCAATGTCAAGAGAGAGCCAAGAGAGCTTCTCAGCACAGAAAAAATGAGAACAGACAGCAGATCCCTGGTGCTGGACCTGAATGACATCATTTGAAACAAAAAAGAAACCTGTTTCTAACTGCCTGCTTTGTTTCTTTAGATGGAGAGGACAGGGACTATGGTGGTCACAAGATGTGGCTTGCACATGGCCTAGTCAGTGCAACATAAGGACGTATGTCATGTAACGCAAGAAAAGGGCTTCTGCTCATAATTTGCTCCTTTGGTGATTTCAAATTTTTAAAGGATCACTTCTCAAGAAGGAGAATTGAATTTGTCAATCTTAAATGCAACATTTTAGTCAGTTATCAAGAGAGATATCCTGACTCTATGCTATGAAGAACCTTTGATTTTTTTGGTATTATTCCATTTACTTACGTGGTATTTTTCCATTAACTTACGTGGTTGGTATTATTCCATTTACTTACATGGTATTTTTTGAGTGATGTTTCAGAAAGCACTTTGCAAAGGAGAAGGACAGATAAGATACATTAATAAACTCCAATACAAAGCTGAACATGATAAAGCCCTTACAAACAGTATAAACTAATTGAGATAGAAGAAGTACAGAAAATATTCGTGTCTTACAAATTTACTGGCCATCAGCTAAGATTATCTATGATAAGAAGGTGAATAAGGTTTTTTCCCCTTTAAGATTTTATAGTCTGATCAAGAAAACAAAAGTTACAAGAATAAAATGATAACAGCTATTATTTTTTACTTTTTGTGGATTATTTCTCAGTTTTCATAAGAACCTCTGTGGTAGATGCAACTTTTATTTTCATTTCACAGATAAATAAAATGGATTAAATAGCAGAGAAATTAAATAATATCTCCAAAGCAGAATTGGAAACTGGTAAATTTGCAATTTGAGTCAAGGTCTTTTATAATAACCTGGCAAAATAATCATTATTCCCATTTACAAATAAGAAAATGGGGGCAGGAGAGATTAAGCAAATTGCCCAAGTTCAGCCATTAAAAAGCAGTCAAGCATAACCATAATCCAAAGCAGAGATAAATAGATGATTTAGCATATCCAAGAAATGTGCTATGTGAGCACCAAGAAAGGAGGAAATAATTCAAATTGTGGTTAATCAAGGCAGCCTTCATAAAGGGTTCAGCTTTTGAGTTGAGATGTGAGAATGACAGATTGAGAGATCAAGAGGTTAAAAAGGTTTCTTGACATTGGGGAGGGCAAATACTAACGAAGCAGGGTTCTTTGCTACCTGTCATCATCAAATTCAATAGAAAAGTTGGACAAAAAGAAGAGAAATTAAAAAAAAAATTTCTGGCACAGTTGGGAATTTCAGAATCTCTGTGGAACTGCTTTTCCCACTCCCACCCCTCCCCTCCTGTTAGTGTAAAACACTGAGCACTGGTTACAGAATCTAGATCTCTTCCTTCCATTTATTATCTTGGGTAAATAGTCTCCAAGCCAGCTCCAGCCCTGTTTTCTGGAATGGGTTAAAGCTTGAAAGAATATCCTTTTTTCAGAATTCTGTACTTTTTTTAGCTTCGAGAGGAAAACGGAACCCGGGATCAAAGGGCTACACATGCTCAAGTGCGCACTCAGACCTCGAAGACATTGGGTCACTTCTGGGGAAGGTTAGAAGAATGTAATGGGAGTACGTTGGCACTTGGAGGTTCCAGGTAGACATTCCAGTATGTCTGAATGTTGCTTCTGATGTGAACACTAGAGGGGTGAAGGTTTGGGAAGAGTCCTCCTTACTAGGATGACATCTGTGGGTAGATCTGGCTCTAGTCAGCCTTTAGAAGCCAGCATTCATTATCTGAATTTGTTTTCTCAGCGTCTCTGCTGGTGGGACTCAGCTTCCTCTCCTTTCTAGCTGCATGTCAGGGTACCACCATATGTTCACCCCTCTGCAGTGCCATGCCATGCCATTGGAATGTAAGGCAAAAGGAAACATCTGTAGTACTGATCATACCTTTACTTATGTTCGTCATAGAGTATTAATTTAGATTTTGATTTAAGGTGCCCCTTTATATTTTGTGCCCAAAGCTAGTGCCTCTCTTGCTTTACCCTAGTTCCCACTGACCCCTTCTACAAAGGACTGAAGAATGACTTGGTCCACATTAGCACAGAAAATGGCAAGATTCCAAAATGTTCTTGGACTAGCCTTTACCAGATATTTTGCCTAGGAAACAAAGCCCAGCTTGGGGGTCATTTTTTGTTGTTGTTGTTGGAGTCTTGCTCTGTTGCCCAGGCTGGAGTGCAGTGGTGCAATCTTGGCTCACTACAAGCTCCACCTCCTGGGTTCACGCCATCCTCCTGCCTCAGCCTCCCGAGTAGCTGGGACTACAGGCACTCACCACCACGTCCGGCTAATTTTTTTTTTTTTTTTTTTTTTGTATTTTTAGTAGAGACAGGGTTTCACCGTGTTAGCCAGGATGGTCTCAACCTCCTGACCTTATGATCCACCTGCCTCAGCCTCCCCAAGTGCTAGGATTACAGGCCTGAGCCACTGCGCCTAGCCCTATTCTTTATTCAATATGCTCAACTCTTAGGAATCAAGTCTAGGTCTTCAACTAGCTTTCTGAAGACCTGATGGACTAAGACTTGATTAGTGACAAGAATTTTGTTCTACTACTCAAGTTATTAGAAGGGTCATAGGACATCTCACACCCAGATCCCACTGCCACCTCACTCTGTTAGGTTCTCCTGTTATTGTTTGCAGTTGTGTTTTGGCAACAAGACACCAGATCCCTACAAATACTGTTAGACTATACATATGTAGTCATAGTATGTGGAGAATAACAGAAATATCGACTAATATAGTGACTAGTTTATTCTCTTTGGGGAATAAATACATGGATAAATAAGTGAACAAATGGAAAAAAATATGACAGAGATGTAGGGCATTCCAGGAATCTTCTATGATATGGCTATCGGTCTATGCTAGTTTGCATGCCTACAATGACAGCACACTCACTTACATAGTAATCTTAAAATAGTAAAGATGCTATTATAGGATAGCGGTGATCACATATTTAATCAGCACCCACTCTACTTAGCTGTGCAATGGACATTTAATTTTTTAATTTTTTAAATTTTTTTATTTCTATAGGTTTTTGAGGAACAAGTGGTATTTGGTTACATGACTAAGTTCTTTAGTGGTGATCAGTGATATTTTAGTGCACCCATCACCTGAGCGGTATACATTGAACCCAATTTGTAGTCTTTTATCCCTCACCTCCCTCACACCCCTTCCCTTGAGTCCCCAAAGTCCACTGTATCATTCTTATGCCTTTGCATCGTCATAGCTTAGTTCACACTTATGAGTGAGAATATAAGATGTTTGGTTTTCCATTCCTGAGTTACTTCACTTAGAATAATAGTCTTCAGTTCCATCCAGCTGCAAATGCCATTAATTTGTTCCTTTTATGTCTTAGTAGTATTCCATCATATATATATTTCTTTACTAACTCATTGATTGATGGGCATTTGGGCGGGTTCCATATTTTTGCAATTGTGAATTGTGCTGCTATAAACATGCATATGCAAACATCTTTTTCGTATAATGACTTATTTTCCTCTGCGAGATACCCAGTAGTGGGATTGCTGGATCCAATGGTAGTTCTACTTCTAGTTCTTTAAGGAATCTCCACACTGTTTTCCATAGTGGTTTTACTAGTTTACATTCCCACCAGCAGTGTAGAAGTGTTCCCTTTTCACTGCATCCCCACCAAAATCTTTTTTTTTTTAATTATTTGATTATAGCCATTCTTACAGGAGCGAGGTGGTATTGCATTGTGGTTTTGATTTGCATTTCCCTGATCATTAGTGATGGTGACCATTTTTTCATATTTGTTGGCCCCTGTATATCTTCTTTTCAGAATTGTCTGTTTCTGTCCTTAGCCCACTTTTTGATGGGATTGTTTTTTTTTCTTGCTAATTTGTTTGAGTTCCTGGTACATTCTGGATATTAGTCCTTCATCAGATGTATAGATCGTGAAGATTTTCTCCCACTCTGTGGGTTGTCTGTTTACTCTGCTTACTGTTCCTTTTGCTGGGCAGAAGCTCTTTAGTTTAATTAAGTTCCACCTATTTATCTTTGTTTCTGTTGCATTTGCTTTGGGGGTCTTAATCATGAAGCCTTTGCCTAAGCCAATGTCTAGAAGAGGTTTTCTGATGTTATAGAATTAAATAGTTTCAGGTCTTAGATTTAAATCCTTGATCCAACTTGAGTTGTTTTTTTATAAGGTTAGAGATGAGGATCCAGTTTCATTCTCCTATATGTGACTAGCCAATTATCCCAGCACCATTTGTTGAATAGGGTGTCCTTTCCCCACTTCATGGTTTTGTTTGCTTTGTCAAAGATTAGTTGGCTGTAAGTATTTGGCTTTATTTCTGGGTTCTTTATTCTGTTCCATTGGTCTATGTGCCTATTTTTATACCAGTACCATGTTGTTTGGGTGACTATGATCTTATAGTATGGTTTGACGTCAGGTAATGTGATGCCTCCAGATTCGTTGTTTTTGCTTAGTCTTGCTTTGGCTATGTGGGCTCTTTTTTGGTTCCATATAAATTTTAGGATTGTTTTTCTAGCTCTGGAAGAATGATGGTGGTATTTTGATGGGAATTGCATTGAATTTGTAGATTGCTTTTGGTAGTATGGTCATTTTTACAATATTGATTTGACCTGCATGCATGTGCTTCCATGCAGTGGACATTTAAATTTGTTTTGCTGTTTTTTAAAGCTTGGTTTCTTGCCTGGTAAAATGGAGACAATTAAGTCTATTCCCAAGGTTTTTGTGAATATTAAAAATAAATTTTGGTAATTTTTATTATTGAATTAAATTGAAAAGGGATATAGAAGAAATATCAAATATAGTCCCTACTTAGTATCTTGACCTGAAATTAAATGGGAGCTGATCCCGTATTTCTGTACATTTTATTTATATAAAATAAATAATTTTATAATATTCACATTGTTAGTACTCAATAAAGTTTAATATTTTAGAAAATGCAAGATGAAAGACATTCTATTCATTTAATATCTTTTAAAGGAATCACAAATGCTTTTTAAAAACATTTTAACAGGTGCCAAAGAAGAAAATACATTACAGTTTTATATACATCTACTAATTATGTGCATTAACTTTTTCAATGACAAGTTTAATCTGTCAATCATGGGATGATTAGAAATAAGGTTTTACTGATGTGCAGTCTCTCCATGTATAACCATGGTAGTTTTATATATTTTTACAACATTTAGCCATCATTGTACCAATTCTCAAATAAATATCAGATGATTTAGACTGGAAGATGCCGTTGCTTGAGTGGTGGTGGGGGGCCAGGGAAATCAATTTCAAAAAGCAAAAAAAAAAGCATCAATTTTAGCCATGGTTTTACCCACTGACACACAATGAGGAAATAAATCACAGGAAAAGGAATAGAGCAAACTGTTGCTCATCTTCTAGGAAACAGACTCAAGTGGGTAAAGTGATTTGCCAAAGGCCGCATAGCAAGCAAGTAAGCAGTACCAGGTTTTGGAATTGGTTCTTCATATTCCATGACTTTTCCACAGTGTCACTGCATAAATGGTCTCTCTACTTCTCATTTCCAAATAATTTATCAGCTTAGCCATCCCACTCCACTATTCCGCTCACCTCTCTCTCTATCTGTGACAGCTATTTTTCCAAAGCCATTAATTACCTTCTAATTTTCAAATCCAATTACACTGATACAATCTTTTTTTTTTTGTTTGCTCTTTAGCATTCTACCATGCACTACTCCATCCTCCCTGAAACTTTTTTTTCCTTAACCTTGATTGTAAACAAAATGACCTATCCGGTTTTTCAAATCAGAAACCTGGCAGCATCACTGTTATTAATGACCCCTCTTCTAACTTTCTCTTTCAAATACACACAAACACACACACACACACACACACACACACACACACACACACACAGCACTGTTTGTTGGGTCAAATATGTCTTCTAAATATCCTTCTATTCCCCTGTTCTTTATCTCAACTGTCTCTGCCTTTGTAGTCTCTCTCTTGAATGAAATCTGTTGCAACAACCCCCTACATGTCTAATTTGTTTCTAAGCCACCTATCTTTCTCCATGCTCCCAACCACTCCATTCTTCAATAGACCTCAAAACATGACTCCATGGAAGACACAAGCAAAAGGAGAAAGGTGTGTGCTATAGTTTGGATATTTGACCCTCTAAACCGCATGTTAAAATTTGATCCCCAGTGTTGGAGATGAGGCTTAAGAGGAGGCGTTTGGGTCGTGGGAATACATACCTCATGAACAGATTAATACTCCCCACCAGGGGGAAAGAGGACTGAATTATCACTCTATTAGTTCTCCCAGGAGCTAGTTGTTAAAAAGAGCCTGGCACCTCCTCCTCTCTCTTGCTTCCTCTTTTGCAATGCGATCTTTCCACATACTGGCTCCATTTTCCCTTTCACCATGAGTGGAAGCAGCCTCAAACTCTCATCAAAGCCAGATGTTGGTGTCATGCTTGTACAGCCTGCAGAACCAGAAGCCAAACAAACTTTTTTTTTCTTTATAAATTACCCATTCTTAAGTATTCTTTTATAGCAACACAGATGGACTAAGGCAATGTGCTATTATATGGCAGAATTTCCAACACATCTTTAATGGATCAACAGCCCTTAGAAAGGATCTGTAATTCTAGAGGCACCATTTTATCTGCTGGACCTTCCCCCAACTCCCCCCAACTTCTCTCCCTCAAGTCCTTTATATTCTGCCAGGAGATCCAAAGAGAGGAAAGTTATGAGCCCAGAGAGCTATAGGGAAGATATGAAAGTGAGATGTGGGTTACGGATGCACCACAGGATGGTGGAAATAGCACTGGGCTTGAGTTATATCTCAACCCCTTCCTAACCATGTGGTTTTTGGCTTGTCCCTGAATTTCAGTTTTAAAATAGTGTTATAATTAAGAATACCTGCCTCTGAAGTTGTAATGAAGTTTGAAATAAATATTAAATGTAATTAATGTAAGAGCATTTTGTCATTCCCATATATATTACATAAACATTAGTTATTTTATTATCAGGTTATAAATTGAAGGAAATTTGAAAACTATAGATAAAGAAAAGAACTGGGTGTGCTAGCTCATGCCTGTAATCCCAGCACTTTGGGAGGTCAAGGCGGGCAGATCACCTGAGGTCAGGAGTTCCAGACCAGTCTGGCCAACATGGTGAAACCCTGTCTCTACTAAAAATACAAAAATTAGCCAGGCGTGGTGGTGCATGCCTGTAATCCCAGCTACTGGGAAGGCTGAGGCAGGAGAATCACTTGAACCTGGGAGGCAGAGGTTGCAGTGAGCCAAGAATGCGCCATTGCACTCCAGCGTGAGCGACAGAGTGAGGCTCCATCTCAAACAAACAAACAAACAAAAACAAAACAAAAAACCGAAAAGAAAACAGTGGTGGTAACATAAGTGAGATGCGTAAAGATATAATGCGAGATGCGGTAGAAATTGAGTAATCCCAGTGGTTTCAGTCAAATTGAGAGAAATTACTGCCTACAGTTTACAAGTTTAGACTGTACTGGGGTGGAATTCTAACTCTGTTGTTATTAGTTAGGTCCTTCAGACAAGTTAACAATGCTAAAAATATAATTAACAATAATATTCCCTAGCCTTTATTAGTATATGTGCTAGGCACTGTTCTAAATGTTTACATGGATTATTTCTGAGTTTCAGTTTCTTCGTGTATCAAATGGCATTAGTAATTATTGTACCTTCCTCATAAGATTACTGTCATAAGTAAATAAATTAGCATGATACTGGCCATGTAAACAGCACTAAAAACATAGCAGTCGTTATTGTTATTATTAGCTCTGAAAATACTAAGGATAAAACCAAGTGAGTGGATATATATACTTCTCTATATTCCTCCTGTTAAATACAAGCAAAAACTCCGGACATTATGTATAAAATAAACATGCGAAGGCTCAAAGGTGGGGCAAAGATAGCAGACTGGCTAGGGACCTGAAACTGGAGATCTAACATGGCGAGTTTCTTGGGTTTTCTTTTTGTCTCATATATCCTGGACATGAAACCAAGAAGCTAGCAGCCTGGAAATGCCAATGTGAGCAACAACAAAAGCCCCAAGAAAAGCATGCCGTTTCTAGCTAAAGGAACAGCCTAGCTAGACAGAAAACTTTTAGACAAAATCCATCCTCTCCTAGTCAAACACCGTAGAGAAAGCACACAGCCTCACCCTCATCAGCAAAGGCAGAGTTGGGAAGCCAGGATTTCCACCCTTGCTTGTCTGTAATATGGCACTCTTAAACCGCCTCCCACCCTGTAGTATCAGAGAAGACAGAGTAGGGAGCTGAGACTTTCATTTCCATCCCATGATAATGAGACACCTTCCCCCAAATCCCCAACACAGTTTTAGTGGAGGCCACATGGAGACCACATCTGGCACTAACAAGGCATTTCTACCTCTCCCATCTAGGATAGTGTAAGAGGAAGAATAGTGTAAGAGGAAGATAGTGTAAGAGGAAGAATTTCACTCCCATGTGACAATGATGAGGAAGCGCCCCCCATGCTCACCCCACCACTTTCCCTCCCAGAGCAATGTCAGAAGAGGCCTGCTGAAGAAAAAGATTTAATTAAGATACAGAAGTTCGTGACAAAATACTAAAAATGTCCAGATTTCAATTTAAAAATCACACATTATACAAAACACCAAGAAAATCTTAATTTGAATGAGAAAAATAAGCCAACATACACCAACACTGAGATGACACAGTTGTTGGACTTATCTGAAAGGCAATCTAAAGCAGCCATCGGAAAAATGCTTCAGTGAGCAATTATGAACATGCTTGCAACAATTGGAAAAAATTGAAAGTCTCAGTAAAGAAATAGAAGGTATAAAGTAGAGCCAAATTGAAATGTTAGAACTAAAAAATGTTATAAGTAAGATAAAAACTCAATGGATAGGTTCAACAGAATAATGGAGAGGACAAAGGAAAGAATGAGCTTGAAGGTAGGACAGTAGAAATTACCCAATCTGAACAACAGAGAGAAAATAAGGAGGGAAAAATAAACAGACCCTTGGAGACCTGTGGGTCTATAACAGAAGATCTAACATTTGTCACTGGACACAGGAAAAGGAGGAAGATGGTAGGGATAAAAAAATATTCAAAGAAATAATGGCTGAATATTTCCAAAATTTGGGGAAAGACTTGAACTTACAGACTCAAGAAGGTGAGCAAATTCCAAACAGGATGAATTCAAAGAAATCTATCAAGACACATCACACTCAAACTTCTGAAAACCAAAGTCAAGGGGAGAGTATTGAAAGCACTGACAGAGAAAAGACATGTTATCTACAGGAGAAAAGTAATTCCAATGACAATGGATTTCTCATCAGAAACTATGGGAGACAGAAGGAATTAGAACATTTTTCAAGTGCTGAGATAAAAGAATTATCAGCACAGAATTTTATATCTAGTGAAAATATGCTTCTAAATGAAAAGAAAATGAAACTTTCCCAAAGAAATGAAAACTAAAAGGATTTGTCACTACAGACCTATTTCAAAAGAATGGCTAAAGAAAGTTCTTGAAACAGAAAGGAAAGGACTTTTTAAAAGAACCTTCAAACATCTGGAAGGAAGAAGAAAAAACAAAAAGATCTAAAAATCTTAATACATTCAACAGTCTTCCCTCTCTCGAGTTTTCTAAATTGTGCTTGATGATTAAAGCAAAAATTATAACAATTTTTGATGTGGTTCTCAGTATAGGTAGAAAAATATTTAAGGCAATTACATTGTAAACAGGGGAGGGTAAAAGGTAGTTAAAAGCAGATAAGAGTTCTATGCTTTATTCAAACTGGTAAAGTGTTGACATCAGTTGACTTTGATAAGTTACATGTGTATGATATCACGCTTACAGCAACCACCAAAAATCTGTATCAAAAGATACATAAAAAATGCTACAGATAAATCAAAATGAAATTCTAAAACCTGTTGAAGTAATCCATAGGAAGGCAGGAGAAAGAATAGAGAAGTAAAAAACTGAAAGAACAAAAGAGATAAAAAGAAATAAAATAGCTATCTTAAGTCCTAACATAGCAATAAGTACATTAAATGTAAATGGCTTATGATTCCATTTATATAACATTCTTCAAATGACAAAATTAAAGAGATGGAGAACAGATTAGTAGTTGTCAAGGTTTAAGGAAGGTGGGAAGAGGTGAGTGGTGGGAACTATAAAAGGGTAGCCCAAGAGGATTTTGTGGTGATGTTATGTGTATCTTGATCTGAGTGGTGGTCACATGAATCTACACATGTGATAAAATGGCATATAACTGCACACACACACCATACCACTGTCAACTTTCTGGCTTTGATACTGTAGTATCATTATGTAAAATACAGCCAGTGGAAGGAAATGGGTGAAGGAGACAAGGGACCTCTCTGTACTATCTTTGCAACTTACTGTGAAACTATAATTATTTCAAAGTAAAAAAGTTTGTTTGTTTGTTTGTTTGTTTTGTTTTTGGTTTTGTTTTTTTGAGAGGGAGTCTCGCTCTGTTGCCTAGGCTGGAGTGCTGTGGTGCAATCTCGGCTCACTGCAACCTCTGCCTCTTGGGTTCAAGCGATTCTCCTGCCTCAGCCTCCCGACTAGCTGGGACTACAGGCACCCGCCACCACACCTGGCTAATTGTTTGTATTTTTAGTACAGATGGGGTTTCCCTATGTTGGCCAGGCTGGTCTTGTACTCCTGACCTTGTGATCTGCCCGCCTCGGCCTCCCAAAGTGCCAGGATTACAGGCTTGAGCCACCACACCCAGCCTGTTTGTTTTTAAAGTTAGTACAGAAAATAGAGGCAAGTAAGGGAGCTTGTGTTTGTACCCTGGCTCAAAATCCAGTAAGTAAGGATTGAGAGTGAAACTTTGAACACTTATAATTCCCTTTAGGTTTAATTTGAGTTTATTTTTAAAAACTTGAATAGAGAATGGGGCATTCAGTGCCTTCCCTTCACTGCTAAGCACTTGAAGTTGCTTGTAGTAAAAAAATAAAAATTTCTCACAGGCCAGTGGGCTGCCTCTGAGTCTGACCGGATCAAACCCCAGAACATCATCATGCACAAAGATTTAACCACCAGCTAAATGTATCATCATAGCTATTCAATGCTGGGGTAGTGGAGAGGGTGAAAAGGGGGATTAAGAGTGTGCCACATTTTTCACACAAGAAATACTCCATTTTCTTATGACTGAGCATGTTCTCATGCTCTGTCAACGACAATATTCAGCCCTGAGATTTAGTTTTGGATGATAAAACCACCAACACTTTACAAAGCTAGTTTTTCCATTGCAAGAACATGGAAATTCGATTACCTTCTGAGAATGAAAAACAATGAGCTCAACTCTGTGGCTAAAATTGTTTGAGAACATCCATGAGTAATCATATAATCTTGTGTGGCAATGGGGCATGCATAAATTGCATTCATATCTAATCAATTACACTGTCTTGCCTGAAGAAAGAGTGCTAATGAAAGGCCCAGTAATAAAAAGAAAGTCCAAGCAGCATGAATTTGTCAATGTTTGCCCAGAACTGTACAAGAGACATAGACACTGCGTCTCAGTTAACCAGCCCTACCCTGACCCTTTGCCCTCTGGATCTGTCATATTACCTGTCTTCTCACTTTTCAGCCATGACAGATGGCTCCCTCTTCTGTTCCCATGCATCTTTCCCTTAATAAACTATCAGTACTTCTAAGGAGAGACCTCAAGCTGCTTCCATTCATTCCTACCCATATATTGGTGAAGTAGGCTTTTCTTTCTGTTTTTTGGGTAAAAGCTATTTTACTCCATAAACAAAAATAAGGCCAGAAATTACAATGACTTAAGTAAAAGAGAAGGCAAGTCCAGCACTGAGTTGTGCAATTGGAGGAGATGCTCTGCTCCAAGAACCCAGGTTTCCTCCTTTCTATTGCTCTGCCATCCTCAGTCTGGGTCTTGCCAAGTCAGTGTTACAGCCTGTGGTAAAGGGAATGATGGATGAAGAAATACTTGTCCAATGTTCTAAGTCTATATCAAAGCCCCCAACTGGCACAACTACTCACCTCCTGACACATGGATTTACCTGGCTATACGGCAGTTGATAAAATGCAGTCTCTAGCTCTATAGCTGGGCTATGATGAATGCAAGAATAAAAGAGACACTAGATATGGAGGAGACAGTAGTTTTTCTATATTTTCTAGATCACCACCATTTCCCTAGAGAGACCTTGCTTCCAACTCAGAAATTTATCTGTGTCCTGTCATGTTGAAAAAGTTATGCATACCAGTAAGTCCGGTAAGTCAGTACAGATAGAGCACAGTCTTAGGACACAGGTGGCATCAATCAGCCAGCCAACCAGAAACGCTCTATATATTTTTGTAGTTTTCACAAAACATTAATAGAAAAAACAACCAATCTAGCAGGTGAAGGATGGATGGAGCTTCCAGTGTAGGCTTTCCTGCTATTGATTCCATGTCCCTTTACATTCCTCTGAGATCTTCTTTTCTAAAATTCAGGGGTTAACTTTTCTCTCCCTGTTTTCCAGCTCTTGTCTTCCCTTCATGAAGTAGTGAAGGAAGACGGCAAGGTTGAATAAAAGAGGGGAGGGCCACAGGGGCAGAAGAAAATTACAGTACAAGAACAAAATTAATAGCAAAATTAGCAGCATATTCTTCATTCATCTTTATACTCTCAGAACCTGGAATAATGCCTGGCATATAGTAGGTCTCAATAATTATTTCTTGAACTGAATTATGTATCATGAGAGAAAAGGCAATTCTGAATTAATCTTCTCAATACCAAACAGGAGATTTTGATCACTAGCCATGGCTATGAGATCCCGCCAGGTATTTAGTAACAAAGCTTTTGCTCCGGAAACCTCAAGTACAAATCAACCAGACACTGAAATAACACAGATCAGGACTCAGCTTGCATCTATGTTCCAAATAAAAGATAAGCTGTTTCCTTTAGACAAATAAACCACTTTAAGTTTACTATGTTATTGTATCAACAACAAATAACATGTTGATGGCCAAGGAGAAACATGTAACTCTTGTTTATTTAAATAATCCATTCACTTCGCACAGATTTCTGATGAAGTTAAATAGATCTCATTTATCCCTCAATTTGTTTCTGACAGACTTCTAAAAATGTTTGCCCATTTTTACTTTAAGGGCTTTTTGTGAGTTTTTCATATAAACTCAATGACTTTCATCTCTTAAAGACTTTTTTTAAAATTAATTGGAGGCAACCTCCCTGGATATACTTGGTCTTAATCAGTTCAGGACTTATCAGACTTCTTTCCTTTCACAAAACGATTCCATTTTCTAAATAATAAGAACTTTCAAAGAAACCTTTACATAGCTTTTCTGGATATGTAATACATAGCACAAAATATTACATCATAAATCAGAGCCAACATTTTTTTGCCCTTTATACTTTACAAATCACCCTTTACCTTCATTATCTGACAATTTTTCACAACCTCATGAGGTACTTTTATTATCAAAATTTTATAGATGAGGAAATTTGAGCTCAGAAATTGGCCTTCAGTGACACAATCAAGATCCAAACTCAGGTCCTCTGACTCCAAATCGCTACACTTTAAAATTTCCCCCTTTTGTGCTTTGTTTACAAAACCTTCTTCCTTCTGTGCTTTTGTTTGTCATTAAAAGTCAAAATTGGCTATGGACGTCCTCCCATAAGCTGTGAAATATATTAAGAACAAAAGGACCCTTTCAAAATCAGTCCAGAGACATTTGAGAATGACTTGGAGTGTTGTCAGCATAGAGGATACTAATTTTTGCCTGCTGCAACATGTGGTGAGAAGTATCATTAGTGATAAGGGCTGACTCTGGTCTTCTACTCCACAGCCTCCCAGTTTCTGCTCCCAGATAATATAAAATGAAGCCATGCTTTTATTTTTAATCCAAATCTCTGATTACAGAGATTTGCACCATTAATATGCTATCCCATCTCCCTAATTATATTTATAGTCTCAAAAATATGTTAGCACAATGACAGGTGAAGATGATCTTCTAAGAATTAGGAATTAAAAGGTGAAAGTAACAGGTTAGGATCTAATGTAGATTATTTAAGGATAGAATTCAAATTTTTCATTCCAACACTAAAATTTGTTTCTCTCTGTGATTCATAGTAGTAGACAGGAAGAGGTTACATGGTTAAAATTTTTAAAGATTTAAAAGACTCCTGCTAGGACAGTCACAAGTTTTATATACTGGTCACTTTATAGGAATAGTTTGATCCCTATCAGACATAGTTACAGAAGGAGGTCTGGAAAGAAGGAAATGGAGAACCATCATAGAGAAGGGATTTTTGTATTTTAAGAATATTTGTTCCTATTGGGTGACCCTTTGTCAAGAAGTGAGTTCTTCCTTAGGAATCACTGGAGTAGATGCCTTTTCTCCCAAATCATTGTTCCTTTTATAAACTTATCAGATCCTTTTTAGCATCTCCAGTATGCCAGACTGTGTGTTAAATGATGAGAATACAATAATGAATAAAATGTGGCCCCTGCCCTCAAAGATTTTGATCCCTGGAGGAGTAGGGATGGAGTAAAATTTAGGTGTGATAAGGGTCAATTTCAGTACATTGTGACCATGGAAAGGGTCCCGCTCAAAGCCTCCATGACAAAACCCATCCAGGCTTGGAGGATCAGGAAAGACGTCCTAAAGGAGTAATTCCTGAAGTGAGTCCTGAATTAGGAATCAGGAAACTGAGCACAGATTGGATACATCAAATATATTTTCAGAGAGCAGTGGGTTTGAAGGAAGATGAGGAAGCTCAAAGCCAAAGCCTTTCACTTACACAGGTCCTTTCCAAGACCCTGAAATATGTTCCCATGGCCATGATTTTTCCAAAATTTGCAAAAGTAAGATATCATAGTTCCAACAGATTAAGAATCTTTTCCCTTTCTACTCTGACATTCCCTCCATCACCCATCCTCTTCAGTCAGGTGTGTTGGAGTGGCCACAGGCATTTTGTAGAAGCTGAGTTGGGGATACTTTTAATTTGCATTGAGTTGGATAAATGTATTTATTTACAGTGTCTTTCTTGTATCTCTTCTAGTCCCCCACATACTTCCATGCCAACAAACACGTTTTCTAACCATATGACCCTGAGTCCTCCCACCTGTATGTTCCCCCTCCCCCAAGCTCTCCTAAACAAACTCTGCTATAGGAAAGGCTGAACTATTTTTCTGTTCTTTCTATAAAGAATAATATTACCCAACTGTTATGTCACGAAGAGTCAGTTACAGAGTATGCAGGGAACAATATAGAAAAAATTATGATGGAGGGTGTATTCAGAATATAATTAATAAAACTAGTATGCTTTTGAAATGTTGTGATACTTAGGGTATTTGTCAGGCTTTTTTTTTAACTTGCTATTTGTTGTAATTTTTTCTTATTCTAAATAGATACACACAACTATACCTAATTTTGTACTTGTAATTGTCTATTTCTTTTCTTAAAGAGGACCCTGCAAATTGTATAAGCTTTAGGATCTATCAAATCGGGGCTACCTCTGTCGGAAACATAAGTTACCTACACTTGAACTCCTGGCCCCAAGCAATTCTCCTGCCTTGTCCTCCCAATGTGCTGGGATTACAGGCATGAGCCACTGTAAGCAGTTTGGAGATTTCTCAAAGAACTTAAAATAGAGATACCATTTGACACAGCAACCCCGTTACTGGATATATACCCAAAGGAAAATAGATCATTCTACCAAAAAGACACATGCACCCATATGTTCATCGCCGTACTATTCACAATAGCAAAGACATGGAATCAGCCTAGGTGTCCATCAACAGTGGATTGGATAAAGAAAATATGTTGCATATACACCAAGGAATACTACATAGCCATAAAAAGGAATGAAATCATGTCCTTTGCAGCAACGTGGATGGAGCTGGAGGCCATAATTCTAAGGGAATTAATGCAGGAGCAGAAAATCAAACACCACATATTCTCACTTATAAGTGAGAGCTGAACATTGAGAAAACATGACATAAACATGGGAAAAATAAATACTGAGGACTGCTAGAGAAGGGAATTGGGGAGAGGGATGTGAGTTGAAAAACTGCCTGTTGGGTACTATGCCCACTATCTGGGTGCAGTATACCCATGTAACAAAACTGCACATGTACCCCTTGTATCTAAAATAAAAGTTGAAATTAAAAAAAAATAATAATAAATTGCCTGCATAGTATCCATCAGGCTGGTTAGAATAGAGAAACGTGTAGCCAGGAGTTACCATGGCAGCCAGCATGAATGTAAAGATGTGTCCAATGGGGATCCTAGAGAAAGATGGACTAGGTTTGAATCTGTAATACAGCATCTTCTCTATCTCTCTTTTCTCTGACTTGAAAGGGAAACCAACCATGTATCTGTAGGGGTTCTGGGACTGTAGCTCAAAGCAGCTAGCTCCAAACCCTAAATTCCTTTGAAGTCAGTCTCTTATGAAAGACCATTGGGAAAATTCTGGGACCCTCCAACATCATTGAGTAATGATGTATTTTTCTCTCTTTCTCACAAGAAAAATTAAGGTTAATAGACTGTTGCCATTGTTCTTGAGTAATTATAATAGGAGTAATAATTTTAATATTAGCAATGTTATTTTATCTCTTGCCTTGGTCCACTCTCCAACATTCATCTACTTGGGAGAAGGTTAGGACTTGCTGGAGTAGCCATAAAAAGACAAACATTGAATTAAAATTCCATTTCTGACATTAAAAAATAGGATTTTGCTGCAAGACCAGGAAGACTTGCAAGCAGGCTATTGAGAGAAGACTTCCAAAATTCCTTTAGCTTGAACTTTAGCCTCTCAAAGCCCAAGCCTGGAGGCATCAGTGCATAGTTTTCTCAGCCTGATTTCCACCTAAGGCTTGACCAGAGTTAGAAGTAGGAGGAAGAAAAATACAACTTTGGGGAAAAATCACCCTTTCATCCTAGAGTGATGATAGGAAGGAAGAGACAAGATAAGGATCCAACGGCATCCATATACATCCTGTGGACGGAAGATGAAGGAGGGGCAGTGCTTTGGACTGAGCAATACTGAGGACAGAGCAGTCCATCACCAGCCTGGTCTATAGCCCCATCAAAGTAAACTGGGTGGTACAGAATGGGGAGGCAGAGAGAAGGATTTGGGGTCAATGTTTCTGGGCCATCCGTGGCTTTCGTTGGAGGAGCCTTGGCAAGACAATAGCTGAGAGCCTTCATTGAAGGGTTTGCTATGGTAGAAGTTTGAGTGATAGTCACAGAGAATCACCAGATAGATCTACGGCACCTGCAGGAGCAATGGAGAGGTCAAGATAGCCTCAGAGTTATGACTAGCAATGCAGCAATCTAGAAGTTACCCCAACCTCAGACTCCAGACTCAAATGCCATCAGAGTATAGGTGGACAAGGGATATCACCTCAGAGACCAGAGGAGAAGAGGCCTTGAGGCATGAGATGTCAACTGTTTTCCACTATCGTAAGCATGCTTGGGCAGGTAATGGAGAGGCTATGTATACCACAGAAAGACTTAATACTACCTGAAAGTCCTGCTTTAAATTATTAAAATTATTGAATCAGACTAGGCTCAAGCCAGATTATACATTTAGCTAATAATGTTTCCCACTCACCATGAGTAGGGTCAGGAAAAGTATAGATTAGTTACAGGTAAAATAAAAATATGCTTCCCCCTCACATCCAGTTTGGGGTATGGTTGACTTTTGCCACCATGCAACACAAATGACTCCCAGATTTTGTGAACATGTAGAAAATACCTTTGCTGCCTTGTTCATACCCCCTCAACCTACTCTGGAGGTCACAGGCAGACAGTTCCCAGGCCTGTGGATATCTTCCTATGTCTCTTTGCTTGATGGCATTCAAACAGCCATGAAATCATGCTCAGTTTGAGTAGGGCAGGACAGGCTAAGAGCTGGTACCTGAGGAGCAACACTGAGCCAGCGAGGAACTGGTGTTTGTGCTTAATAACCCAGCTTTCTCTCCCCTCAGTGGGACAATTCTAACTTATGTTCTTGTGGCTGCTATGAAAATACAGCCCTCATATCTCCACCCCTGCATCTGCTTTGCAATGACAGAGTCTCCCAGATGGCTGTTCTGCTGTGCGGAGATTATGTCTGTGGGTCAGATATTCCATAAGCCCTGGCTAGTGGTGCTATCTGAGGTTCTGTGGGCTGGAAAGGCAAATCCATACCTGGAATATGTATCTGTCCCTGTGAGGGCAAAGCACTGGCCTTTTCAGAATAGAAGGCTCCAATATAGTTGTCTTACACTGAGATGGTCTCTTGGAGCAGTAGGGATATATCAGAGACTCAGCCTTGCTCACTGTTGCTTGCAGGTTGGATATGCAGAGGCAGAAGGAGCTAGTGGTTTGGTAAGTGAGTGTCACTTGTTGGGCCCACATGTAACTTTGTGCCACTGGCCACTCCATTCATGTGTACAAAGTGTCAGTTCTGGAGGGACTGATAGCAAAGGCTGGCTTATGTCAATTAGCTGAGTCATTTTGTCTACTGGGTATTCTGCATGTCTTCCATGGAGGATGCTTTCTGGCAGATGTTTACATATAAAGCAAAATCTTTACACTTCATGCCCACTGCATACATCCACCCACAGTCTGTACCCCAGACCTCTTTGTCCTTAGTTTTCAGCCCTTTTCATTCCAGGCCCCTGACCAGACATCAAAGCCATTGACCATGAACTAAGAACCTGCATGCGTTTTCACCTCAGGCCACTTCTCCTTCCACACAGAGTGGATGGCCAGATGCATTGCTCACAGCTTCACCCATTGAGAAGATTGTCCCCTTCTCCACCGTCTTTCAAGACCACCCTTGAATGTGGCTATAATGCAGCTGCTTGTACTCATGTACCAACCTGCCGTGAACTAAGCTCGGCCTTATCCCTCCTCTGTCAGCTGGTTTTATGGGGCATTCTTGACCCAATATATGTGAGCTGGTACAACTGAGGCAGTGACATGGGAGTCTGGGCTACCTGCTGAGACAGATAGATACTCAAGCCCACAGATCCTGCTCAGGCTTTATCCTGAACATACCACTTCCATCTTCCAATAAATAAATGCTGTGTTTGTCTGACTTTGTGACTTAGGGAGGTCCAACAGAATTCACCTCATAATGGACAGTTCCACTGCTACGGTCACTTGATGCTCCATACTTAAGTATTCTGTCTTTACCAGGGCAATAGAACAGATGCTGTTTCTCAAAAGGCATCATCCTTTGCTGTAGATGGAAAGGTTGTGATTCTCTCCCCGAAGCTGCCATAAGCTGCATGCTGGGTCTTTTCCCATCACGGGAACCTCCAGCACCACAGAGACTGCTCTATCGTATGGCCAAAATGGTAGGGCTGCTTGCTCAGCAATTTTGGCTTGCTGCACAGCCCCTTTCTGTTCTAGACCTAAAGCTGGCAGCTTCATTAAGTGAACTGGAGTAGTATTGCTAGTTTGTGGAATACTCCAGATTCCAAAGAGGTCTGATAGCTGCTGTATTCCCTTCTTTGTGGTAGAAGACAGATGATGCATTGATTTGCCTTTTACTTTGGAGGTCATGTCCCTTAGCCCTGCACCCCTAAAAACTTCAATGAAGTGACAGTTTTTCTGAATCTTCATAAAGTTCATTACTCATTCTCTGCAGCTCATGTGTCTTAGAAGGCTTCAAGCAAATGAGTCACTTTTGCTTGTCTTGTGTGAATAGCATGAGGTCATCCACATTGTATATTAGTGGTTATCTATGGGATATTCAGATTATACATATCTCTTATGAATATATCATGACACAAGACAGGAGACCTAACATATCCCTGAGGCAAAACCCTGCAACTTCAGCCATATGATCCAACAGATCTTATGAATATTGCTGTCTGTTCTACATGAATGCAAAGTCTTTCTGATCCTCTTTTCTAATTGGAATAGAAAACAGCACATATGTCAAATCGATGGCTACATACCAGGGATTTAAAGGCTTATTAATCTTTTCTAGCTACAACACATGTCTGGCACAGCACCTGCAACTGGGGCTACTACTAGGCTATGCCTTCAGTGAATGGGTTATGCCAGTGAAGTCATTCATTCTCCATGATCCATCTGGTTTCTGCAGGAGCCAGACTAGCATATTAAATGGACACCTGATGATTACCACCACTCCTGCATCCTGCAGCTTTTTAACGGTGGCCCTAACCTCTGCCATGCCACAGAGGATGTAACATTGCTTTTGATTTACTAGCTAGGCCAGGGTCATGGGCAGTTTCATAGGTATCTACTTATACTTCCTCACTGTAATAGCTCTTACCCTACAAGCAAATGACCCAATGTCAGGGTTATTCCAACTGCCCAGTATATCAGTTTTAATTATACACTCTAGGACTGGAGAAACGGCCACTAGGTGGGTTCCTGAACCTATTGAGTCCACTGGGAGCCACATTTTCGCCAGGACTCCATATTACCTGGCTCCCCTAAGCTCCCTTTCTAACACAGGGGCCATAATGTGCTTTAGGTCTTCAGCTAACTATGTTGACTCAGACCCTCTGTCCATTAGTCCTAAAAAAAATCTGGGTACCTCTATTTTCACAGTGTACAGTCATCTAATAATAGCTATAAATCCCTTTGGGAGGAAACTCAAAGAATCATCATAATTTATATCTGCCGTGGCATCCTAGGGCCCTGTCTCCTAGAAAGCTGACCTCCTCTTCAGCAAACGAGCTTCTGATCTGAAAATTGGCTCAGGTCCAGGATCATGACATTTTACTGGGTGACCACCCTCAGTCAGTGTCCTGCTCTTCCGTTAATTTGTTCTTTCTTTCTTTTTCTTTTTGGTCGTAGATGTTTAGCAGCATCTTTGTTGGCTATTCGTCTATCTTGCTCACACGGATGCTAAGCTCTTTTAACCATTTCCACGATTCCTTCTGTGTCAACCTCCTTGCCTGTCATTATGGTAATTGTGGGCTCCTGCCTTCTGGTGGTTGAGTGCTGTACCGGATATTTGTTATCTGGGGACTATATCATTCCCATAGCTATTAAAAACTCGGTGATTACCTCTACTACCATCAGCCTGCAGAGGATAGCCACCACTGAACTTCTCACTCATGCTGGTGGCCTCTCACCTGTGCATGCCTGGCAGCCTTCATGCAAGGTATGTCCTCTGGACCCTCCTGTGAAGCATACTCTTCTAGTGCATCTTCTGGTCTTACAGAATATATCCATGTCAGGATTCTCACTTTCCTCAACCTCTTTGTTTCTTCCTCTGTGCTCTTTCAGGGCAACTTAGGCACTTCTGCTTCATTCAACATTAGCTATCACTTTTTCTGAGCTTCTAAGAGCCACCCTAGCAGCAAGTTTATCCCATTCTCTGGGGTTCTTTCTGGGATGTTAAAGCCTATGTCCAAAGAAAGTGCCCCCATATGAATGAATTCTTGTTTATGCAGTTTTACAGCTCTCTTGATCAAGTACTCTCAAAATTCAATCTCAATGATACTGCATTTGCTTCTGCTGGCACGTGCTAGCTAATTCATGAAAATTCCTAGGTAGAGAGTTTCTGTCCATCTGTTTCAGGCTCAGCATACTCCCTATTGGGTTATGGTGGCTTTTAACCCTAGTTATCTGCCTGACAGCCAGCATAAGAGACTGGGGAAGCTCCTGAGGAGGGCATTTGCTGCCTTGCCGAAAAGAGGCCTCTGCAGTGTCTTCCACTGCATTGAAATGCTAGCTCTTGCTAGGTATGAATGAACCACCTCTGCAGGCTCTGAGGATATGCAGAGGTCTGCAGAACCCATGCCCTCAAAACCTTCATTCAGATGTCCCTATCCCATGTTTCAGTGTCCCAAAGTTCTCCTAACCAGGATCGTAACTTTAAAACAACAGATCTTCCTTAACTTAGCATTCATATGTCCTTTGATCCCTGTAACTCTATCAGAACTTCAGTCTGTTCAGCTGTGTGTGCTTTCTACTGCTAAAGATGAGTGATTCTTTGTAAGCTACCAAAAAGGCTTTCTGGTTCTCACATTTAGCCTTTTACTACTTGTCAATAACCTTCTGTTTTTCATGCTCTTTGAGGTATCAGTATAATTTAGCAGTCTCCAGCCAACTCCACTGTCATTGCAGGCATTTTTCCCCAGATCTTTCAAATACCTGAATGGTTGCACCCACAGTGGTGACCTCTTCCACTAGGACATTTTTCCATGTCACCATTGGTGACATTGTTAGTAAATGAGCTGCCACTTTGTGCCTGGGACTACCCAGGCCCCAGTTACCATTCAGGATGGCATCCTCTTTGTCCAGTGAGTATGAGTATGCCAGTCCTGAGGCCTCATTTTACTGTCTGTCTTCTTGGACAGCTTTCAGTACCACTGTGTTCATTTAGATTATTTAGGAAGTAGACGATAACATGGGATTACATTTGTAAGAGACTTGTTGTGGGAAATGCCCCTGAGGGAAAAGGCTGCATTCATGCTGAAGTCACAGTTCACACACATTAGCTCCTAGCCAATGACTAAAAGCAGCTAGAACACTGAAGCAAAGCCCGTTTCTGAGAGATGTGGATCTCCTCTGGCAGATGGCTTTGGCCCCATGCTTCTTATTGGCTGGACTGAACTTTTCTTAGAACTGCACTGTAGTCTGAGAGTCATCCTGTGTGATCCTCTTTACTTCTCCTTGTCTTTCACAGGGGACACCTCCATTGTGGTCTGATCGCTCTCCCCACCTCCACCCGCTACATTTCTTTTCCGCCTCAGAGGCATTTGTTCTACCAAATCTCTTGCACATCTGATGCTGTCTTGGAGCCTGTTTCTTGCAGGACCCAGCTAACACATAGTCTCTCAGATGAACCCTGATAGGTTTGTCTCACTTGCCCTAATGGTGACTTGATTATTAACACATACTTTATTAACATTTCTGTCTCCACTGCTTAACTTTCCAACTGTCTTACATGTTTCCCAGGACCTCCTTCCAAATAAAATACTGGCACCCAAATGCTTGTCTCAGAGGCAGATTTTAGAGAAACCCAGACAAAGACAATCTCTCCCTTAAAGATAGCTACTTAAAGAGAACAAGAACAAGTAATTTCTGCAAATGGTTATTTGTTAAAATCTTTTTTATTTTAGTGGATTTTTTTCTTCTTTGTGCTTCTTTTAGAGTTATGATAAGTTATTATTGGATGTCATTTAAGGTGACATCCTTAAATCTTCTGCCTTCTAGCAAGTTCAAACAGAGACATAACCCCCCTACCTTTTAAAACCACTGCCTTGCCACACCCATGGCCTTGTCTGCAGGTTGTGGCAAACCCTTCTGAGCTCCTTCAAAGACCAAGGAACTATGTCTGCTCAGCCATCCAAACCATTTCAATTTGCAAATAAATCCTACCTTTGGTAAAAAGCAGGGTGGTCTGTAGCTCTTGAAATCATGAAGCTTCTACTTTATTGTGAATAAAAGAATCTAGTTAAGATGTAGCTTGGAAGTATGTGGAATAAATGATTATTTTTCACACATATTTCATCCTTAAAATTCTTGAAGGTCTTTCATTTTAATATAGTGTTTCTTTTTTAATAGGAAAAATATCCAAAAGATCACCAATTAAAATTGATATTTCAGAAAATATGCTTTGTTTCCCTAAGACTTCATCTTTTCCCTCAAACACTAATGCATATCCCAGCTTGAGAATTGTGGTTTTGTGTTGGAAAGATTCCCTTGCCCCAAGACCTTTTCTCTGGGGCCCAAAGAGAAAGTGAATTCTTGCCAGGAGATATATGAATGCACATATAAATATAAATATATGCAGGATATAAACTCTCCTTTGTTCAAGGAAGTTTCCAAAGATATATATGTGTGTGTGTATATATATATATATGAAATCAAAATGATGAGAAAAATGGAAAAAAGGGAATAATAAAGCCAGCAGTGAAGTGAGTCTGTGAAATGTATATTTCCAAGACTTATGCACCGGCATGAACAGCAATAGAAAAAGAGAAAATTTAATCAAACCCAGGGCAGCACAAAATGTGAGGGGATAATAGAGAAGAGATTCTCAATAACAACCTAGAGAAAAAGTACTTTTCTGAACAAAAAAAAGTGGTCACAAAAACTTCTAATAAACTTTCCACAGTTAAGATAGCAAATCCCATTTGATAAAAGGCCTTGATGTTAAATAAATATAGAGCACTCTCAAAGTCGCTATTAGTCTCACTAATGAACTCTCAACTAAAGCCCTACTTTCTGCTACTGTCCTTAGAAAAAAACACTTGAACCTGGTTGAACTGATTAATCATCTGTTTCTTCTTTGGTACCTGATGAAAGATGGGTCCATAATCGAATAAGTATTACCCGGTTTGGGATCTTGAAAGTGTCATATTTGATTGGTCCACCTCTCCCTTTACCCACTGGGATGAGTGGTGGGAGGTGGTTCCATCTTGGCAGTAGAACAGCAATGCCAGTGTTCTACAGAACTGGCACCTGTACAGGGATGCTGAGCTCATTGTGGTGCCAACTTTGCATGCCCCACTACCTTTGTCCCTAATTACAATTTGCCTTTAGCTACTCATTTATAATACAGTGTCCTGAAACACTGAAGCATAACAAGTTTCAGGAGAAATTCTGGCAGGAGTACAGATTGGCTTTCTGTGGTATATACAATAACCCAGGGGTGGCAGGTGAGGCTGTTAGAAGGATGAAAAATCCAGCAGTGTCTTTGTCAGTCTTTCTGTCAGGAAAAGACAGTGGCTGCTCAAGGCAAAACACATTAATCATTTATAGAGAGACTCAAATTCCGTCTTCTCGTCTCATAAAATGGCAGCAGAACCTACCCAATTACTTAGGCTGAAAAATCTAGGAGTCATGATCCTTTTTCATTTTTTCTCCCTCATACACCATATCCAAACCACAAGCATGTCCTGTCTTCTGTATCTCTGAAATCACTCTGAGTCCAAGCCCTTCTCTTTGCCTTTGCAGATCTCACCATGATACAAGCACTATCCGTTCTTATCAGTCTACTAGAACTACCTTCTCAATGGTTACTCTGATTCTTTCTCTTGCTCCCTTAGGATACATCTTCCTCATCTTCTGCTAGTTATCTTTTTGAAATGTAAATTGGATCAAGTCACTCCTCTGCTTAAGAACCTAATGCCTTTCAAATAATATCTATAGTTCTCACCGTGGTTTACAGTGCTCTGCAAAAATCTCACTTCTGCCCTACTTGCTGAATTCATCTTCTGCCCCCATTTTTGCCATATTCTAGACATACAGGGGTTTTTCCCAAGATTTTCCCCATTTCATAGGCTTTGCACTTTCTATTGCCTCTGCCCAGATCTTCCCATCTAGAAATTTATTCAAAGATTGCTTCTTTGCCCAAGATTTTATTGATACACTTGTCCAGAATAATTTTATATTACATTATCCTCTTTTATTATCTCTATAACCCTTACCACTAACTGAAATCAACTTACTTATTTATTTGCATTTATTTTCTGTCTCTTCTCTATTTTTCTGTCTAGAAAGTAGACTTCAACAGGCCAAGTTTTTAGTTCCAAAGCAGCCTGGATCAGCGCTTGAGACATGATAGGCACCCGAAACACATTTGTTGAATGGATGTATGAATAAATGAATGAATGAATCAACTAATCAACTGGAACTCTGTTTTTGATTCTCTGACAGAAAAAAAAACCCTATCATCTTTAATTTCAAAGGTCTAACATGGTGATTAGAGTAGCAATGTGATATTTCTGGGACAAGTCCTTTAGGGGTAAAATTCTAGTGACAGATGAAATCATTCAGATAATTTGAAGGAAAGAATGAAGTTTCAGTCAGACTCCCATAACAGGATAGAACCTTTCATGGACTAACAGGAACATGCTTATGTACCTCCAGGATCAGAGCCTGGGATGGAAAAAATGATATAAATGAGTCCTTTCCTCCTCCTGATGCTTGCCCTAATCTGACTCTACAGAAGAGGAGACATGGGTGGATTCTCTAGGAAACAGATTCTGAGATAGAGTTGGGCATCACTATGGTCTAAATGTTTGTGTCCACCAAAAATTCAAATGTTGAAGCCTAATTACCCATGTGATTATGTTTAGGAAATGGGGACTTTGGGAGGTGATTAGGCCATCAGGGTGGAGCACTCATGAATGGGATTAGAAAGTCTTACAAAAGAGGCCCAGATTGCTGCCTGGCCTCTCCCACCAGGGAGGGACACAACCTGAAGGCACCATCTTTGAACCAGAGAGCAGCCCTCACCAGAAACCAAATCTGCCAGTGCCTTGATTTTGGACTTCCCGGCTCCCAGAACTATGAGAATTAAGTTCTTGTTGTTTATACGCCACCTAGTTTAAGGTATGTTTTTATAGCAGCCAGAAAAGACTAGGGTAAATATGTGGGAGGTTTATTAAGGAGTGCTATTGGGATCAACACCTGCAGAAGGGAAGAGAAGAAAGAATTGTGTGGGGGGAGAAGTTGAGCTGTGATTCAGTTTCGTTGGAGACCGCAGCCAACCCTAAAGGGAGTTTTGAAGCTGGACTGACCCTTCAGGGTTGTCCTGAAGGATAAGGAAGCCAAGATTTTATATTTCTACTTGGAGCAGTCATTAAATGTGAGCTGCTCTGGAAAGGGGCACAACTTTGGGCCAAACAGCCCTCTCGAGCAGAGGTAATCCCCATAAGGGATGCTGGGTATCCCAGCCAGTAGCATTCCCAGCAGCTGGGAGGGTCAGTCAGTCATCTCTATGGTGGAATCTAGGTGATGCACCACTATGTCCATCAGAGACCCAAATCCCAGAAAGGACTGAACTTAATCCTCTCTCACCAGGCACAGAAGGAATGAAGAATTTCTGCTCCCTGCTTTGAACCAACATTACAGAGACACATAGCAGTCTGGGGACATCCTAAAATATGACATTTAGCAGCTACTTTTATTTTTTTTTAAACTTTTGTTTTTCTTTAAGAATATAGATGGAATTCTTCTTACCTTTCATTTTCAGAAGTATCATCCCCCGCAACTTTATTGAGATTGACAAATAAAAATTGTACATACTTAAGAAGTACAACGTTTCGATGTATGCATCACAGTTAAGCTAATTAACGTCCGTCACCTCACATAGTTAGTGTGTGTGCATGTTGGTGTGTGTGTTAAGAACACACACCTAAGATCTATTCTTTCAGCAAATTTCAAATATACAAAATATTATTTCTAAACTGTAGTTACTATACTATATATTAGGTCTCCAGTACTTATTCATCTTAAAACTGAAAGGGCTGGAGGCCGAGGCCAGCAGATCACAAGGTCAGGAGTTCGAGACCAGACTGGCCAACACAGTGAAACCCTGTCTCTACTAAAAATACAAAAATTAGCGGGGCGTGGTGGCAGGCGCCTGTAATTCCAGCTACTAAGGAGGCTGAGGCAGGAGAATCAATTGAACCTGGGAGGCGGAGGTTGTAGTCAGTCAAGATCACATCACTGCACTCCAGCCTGGGTGACAGAACTAGACTCCATCTCAAAAAAGCAACAACAACAACAAAAAGAAAACTGAAAGGGCTGGATGATAGGGAAAATGGGGAGATTTGGGTCAAAGGGTACAAACTTCCAGCAGCTGCTTTTAAAAAGAGAGGTTTTGTTCTTACTTTGTTTTTGGTTGCTGTTGATTTTGTTTATTTTAGCTTGTTTGTTTTCCCTTTAGGACATAGAAAGCATTTTCTCTTTGCTGTTTCAGACTGTAGCTAAGCTCTTTTCAATCTAAATCCATGTCTTTAAAATTGAGTCTTCTCATTAAAATGACTCTCTTCCATCCATACTAAGCTAGGTTACTTCAGGTTCTCTAGGACACAAAAGAGTGTATCTAAAAGGAATACTTTCTCTAAACTCAGGAATGACCAAACTAGTTACAGGAGTCGACCTGAGAAAATCTATGATGAATATACTTCTAAAGTTCTGATAAAAGGAAGTAATTAAATCAACCTGCCTTACTCATATTATTTGCTCTGCTCTTTTTCTTAAATTCACTCTTATGTCTCTGACAATTTCTATTTCTTTGGACCTCAAACTGTAATGTGTTTTAGAATAAGCTGGTATGCTTTGGAAAACAGATTGTTGGACCCCATTCCCCATAGAGTCAGAAGATTCAAGTGGGACCCAGGAATCTGCATTTTAGAAAACACCCCAAGGCCGGGCGCGGTGGCTCATGCCTGTAATCCCAGCACTTTGGGAGGCCGAGGCAGGTGGATCACGAGGTCAGGAGATCGAGATCATCCTGGCTAACATGGTGAAACTCCTTCTCTACTAAAAATACAAAAATTAGCCAGGCATGGGGGGCGCGCCTGTAGTCCCAGCTACTCAAGAGGCTGAGGCAGAAGAATTGCTTGAACCCGGGAGGCAGAGGTTGCAGTGAGCTGAGATCACTCTGCTGCACTCCAGCCTGGGCAACAGAGCAAGACTCCATCTCAAAAAAAAAAAAAAAAAAGAAAAGAAAAGAAAGAAAAGAAAAGAGAAGAAAACACCCCAGATGATTTCGGAAGCAGGTGGCCCAGAGACCACACTTTGAGAATCACTAATTGCTTTCATAGGCTGGCAAACACTATTTTACTAATAAGACAACACTCTCAGTGATGTATTCTTATAAGCAATAAAAATAATGTAATTTGAGCAATAGCTTAAAGACAAGGCTTTTGCCTTTCACAACTCCTGGGGACTCCATTCACAAAAACACAGTGGAGTTATGCTCCAGAGGTCCCGTTCATGTTGTATTCTCTCCCCTGAGAATGGTGCTGCTAGATTGGTACAAGAGGTGGCTCCGTCAAAGAAAATACAAACATCTCAGTATCATTTAAATGTCTGCATCTTCACTCAACTGCTGCAAACACTGGTTTCTTTTTATGTAGAGAACGGCAACTATGTTTCTCTCATCAGTAAAGTTACAAGCCTTTTTTCCCAGTTCCAGGTGTAGCCCATTCCCCGATACACTCCAGGAAATCTTTTATCTCCACCCCACCCCATTCACACCACGTTACCCAGTACATAAACTCTTCCCAATTTCTCTCCAAAGGCACCTTGAACCCTGCTGCCATCTTTCCCGGATGAGTTGAGCCTCTCCTTTAATGGAGGTGTGAAGAAATTATTTGTATTTTCTTTCTTTTAAGCTATTCACTCGAAAGTTTCTCAGTTACAGACTGTTTCCTCTAACTGGCAACCTCTAGCTTCTTTGATGGGTCAAGCTCTTTAGAATATTTGTAAACCATCAAACAAAACACGACATGTTATGAATAAGGTTACACAGTTTTACCACAATTACAATGTGCCCAACCTAAGGAAACTGTTTCCTGCCTAGGGTTAGGTCAAGAAAGGAACCATATTCACATTTGCTATGAAAAACTCCATTCTGAAGAGCAGCTGTGTAAATTAATCTCTCTTTTGGTCAAACAAAGAGACTTTGTATTTGTACAAACAGATTTTTAGAAGATATGATTGTGTATTTGAAATACATCAGATACTGTACCAAATGTGCTACTTGCATGAACTCATTTAATTCTTATTAAAAACCAGAAAAGAAGTAGCATTAGTCTGCCCAGTCTACAGATGAGGAAACTGAGAAACGGTTACTTTTTGGAAATCACATAGCAAGTAATTGGCGGGGGCCACAATTTGTACGCAGATCTGTATGATTCCAGAATCATAATTAACCACAAAATTATACTTTCTAGAACAAGAATGCAGCCTATATTGTGAGATTTTGTTTTCAGGTATCACAAGGTTTCACCTGCCCCTAAGATATCTTTTCTCAGTCTTGCTTTTAAAAATTGATGTTATTATACAAATTACTTGAGTTGGGACCATATTATTAGATAGCCATCACTAAAGCAGAAATATAGCCTGAGAGCAACCAGGCTTTTTCCCCCTTTACACACAAGCACCACTAGAAAACATTCCTGGAATAGTTTAGGAAATAAATCGGTCTAATCCTGAAATGCAGAGAATCAGAGGCCTCAGGAAAGGGGATTTAGGATTACTGGTCAACTTTGATTAGGAAATGAAAGGAAAGTTCTGAAGATTAAATCATTGATTAAATTTCACCGAACATCTCTGGGCAGCTATAATTAGCAAACATGATTTTAGAAGTAGAATTAGAGGAAGGGACACATAATGTCAAGTCAGGAGATGTGCTGCCCAGGACACATTTAGCTTACTTTACCATTTTACTTCCTTCTTCACAGTCTTCTTTCTAATTGGACATTCAGAAAGGAACATGTCATGCACAGCTTCAAGCTTTCCGATGGGTTGCCAGTGAGCCTCTTTCTCCAGATTTGGCAATTAAATGCTTAGTGAATACTTAAAATGTGTCCCCACCCTCTCGTAGACTAGTCCCCCATCGCACTTTATCCCCTATGCTGCTGCTCCAGTGCTCACAACATTATCTGAAACCATATCCTATTATGTTGTATTAAATTATGTTTTACCATGTTATTTATTTATTTATTTATTATATGTCTCTCTGGAGAGTAGATTCCATGAGAAATAGCTTCATCAACTTTGTTCACCCCTGCATTACTAACTTGTAAAATGGTCCCTGAAATATAGTAGCCACTCAATACACATTTGTTAAATGAATGAATCAGCTATGGTATGGACTGCTGTGAGAGGTATTGAGGGAGTTAATATATAGCATTATTTAGTGCTTACTGTCTCCTAGGCCTGTTCCACACAGTTCACATCGATTAACTGCTTTAATATTCATTACCTTTCTATGAGATAGATATCATTACTAGCCTCATTTTACAGATAAAGAAAGTGAAGTACAGAGAAGTTAGGTAACTTGCTCAGTGTTGCACACCTAGAAAGTGTCAAAGCCACACTGGAACGCAGATCATCTGGCTTCAGGGTTCTGTTAAACTTTATGATAAAATAAGACAAGACACTACCGATTTGAGAAGAAAAGTCTTGCCCACACAAAAAAATAAAGAAGTTCACAGTGAATAACAAATGAAGGTTTAATCAATACGTTTTCTAAGGCTGAGAGGAGAGAAGGTTCCCAGAAGACCAAAGTTGCCGAGGAAGGGCTCATAAAGAATCCGAGATTTCGACTGGTTCTTGAATAATGTTTTGGCTAGTGATGAAGGTATCTTATCACTGAAGCCCCAGTGATTACAGTAAAAAAAAAAAAAAAAAGCAAGTTCCAGTAAAGACATAAGGGATCCATGATTCTATGACACACAGACATCTTTTTGAAGGTTCTGTTGGCCTTGGCTTTAATATATTTACTGATGTTTATAAGAAAGCAGGGAAATGAGAGAACAAAGAGTAAGGGCATGATGATGTCATTCTTCTGAGATGGTTCTGGAGAGGATGGCATTGCTTCTGGGACACCAGTAGCCCAGAAGTCAGGAATTCCCCCTGGAGAAAGCAGGATTATCCAGAAACAATCACTCTGCCTCCCCACTCTGTCTTCCGCAATGAGAATTGAGCTACTGATACCAGAGTGTTTAGAAAGTCAGAGCTTTCTTAATAAAGACTCCTCTGCACTGGATGGGAATTTCCCCAGTGAAGTCTAAGTTTCAATACCTGATTCCCCACTGATTGCTGTGATGATTATCAGGATGTCAAAAGATTGGCATTCCTGTCACTGAGAACTGGGTTGCTCATTTTCTCCTGAGTTGGGGTCTTCAAAGTCATCTTAAGCACTGCAGGGTTTCAACGAGCTGGAAAATGTGTGAGAAAACAACATCCAAGTCGTGGCTCCCATTTTTGACATCTGCATTCAAGACTGGGCCACAGGACTCCAGTGGTGGTTCTTTCAATCCCTTCTATTCATCAGGGCAGCAGGATTCGTGATTCAATGAGCTACGAATTACAATCCTTTCTCTAGAAAATTGGTTTTTGAAAGTGCCTACTGGGTATGACTAAGAGGTTTTGTGCACTGGGGTTTCAGTTGATGTTTGTATTTTTTCTTATTATGACTTGAAGGAAAAAACCAGAATCTAAAATTAGCCCTTGTTTTTTCAACTTGGAACTTCATAAACACATCAGCAGTGGGGTGTGTGTGTGTGTGTGTGTGTTTTGCAATAAGCAATATTACAATTTCTTGACATTTTCATTGCTGTTTCTTGACATATTTAGTGAGGCTTTAAAGGTTTCTTTAGACAGAAAAAAAAAAGAAAAAAAATGGCTATGTTCCAAATCACCATATGTTTCCAATTGCAAATTCAAAAGCAGAAGACAGGCCTTAACTTAAGCTGTACAGCCTTTTGTGGTGGTTATGGTGCTGGGGAGGTAGGTTGTCTTTTTACATTTAGTTATTAGAATTTCAGTGTTACCCAATGACATAAAAGGAAAATAAAGCATTTAGCAAATATTTGTTGAGTGCCATCTATGTGTAAGACACTGGGTCAGGGAGGGTGCAATCTAGTTGGGGATACAAAATATTAAAGAAAGCAAATGTTCAAAACGGGATGATAAATGGATAGCTTTCAGCCATAAGTTCTCCAGGAGATCAAAGAGTTAGGAGCTGACCTGGTAAAAGAACGATTCATAGAAGAGGTAAAATTGAGCTGAGTCTTGAAGAAGGATAATAGGACATTTCAGGTGAAAGGAACTATAGAGTCAAAGTCACAGTGATGGAGCTGTGCATGCACATTCAGATTGGTGACTGCATCTGTGAGGTTGGAACTGATGCAGTTTCATAAGAATGAGGAAGTTTCCATAAGAATGGGGAAGGAATCATGGAGAAAGATGGGAAAATCAAGTAGAAGTCACATTATGATAAACTGGAGTGACAGGCTTGGTGTACCATGATTATTGTTGTTTAGATTGTATTTAGTCCAAACAACAATTACTTGCATTGGGTACTGATTATAAGCCCCATTCTATAGATAAGGAAACTAAAGCTCATAGAGGCTAAGAAGTTGCCCAAAGTCAAATAATGAATTATTTGGTTAACCCAGATTTGAACTAAAGTCTGTTGGATTCCAACTCCTCTTAATCTTTCTAGCTTAAGTGGTTAGGCAGGCTTGAGTGATAACTGCTGTCAGCCAGTAGTTGATATTCCAGCAAGAATAATGATGTTTTTAACCAGGATGAGGAAATTAGGATGAGTAAACTAAAGAGTAGCTGCCTAGAACTAAGGTGACCAGAGGGCATGGTGGAAGTAGCAAGACCCCTAGAGCTGGCATGCTCTTGATGCATCCTCAGAAGGAACCTTATCACTTACAGCTGGAGTTCTTAGCCTCAGAGTTGGACAGTTCTTCCATATGAATGTCCCCGGCAAGCATTTATTAAAGAACAGATGCAGGGTAGGGAGTCAGAATAGTTGAGGGCACTTGGAGCCATAAAGGCCAAACATGTCCCATTTGAGTAACTGTTCTCCTCGGAGCACTTAACGATTTCTAAGACTGAGGTTCTTGAGTTGAATCAAGTTATCAAATGCTCCAAGGCACTGTAAGTCACTGAGGTGATAGGGAGCTAGGGCCTTAGAGGCCACTGTGTTTGCAGGTAACATGTATCTAATTGTAAACAGGATTGTTTCATGTTACAGAAAAACAAGGAGCTGAAGTGGCTTCATCCATAGCTAGATCCAGGTACTCAAAAAACAAATGTCATTTGTCTTTCTCCATCTCTTGGCTCTATTGTCCTCAACATTGCTTTATTCTCAGGCCAGTTCTTCAAATGGCAGCAAATATAATTAAGAGCACCTCCAGGCTTAACATCTTTCAGTCCACCTACCCCAAAGACAGGAGGGTGGTGTGATTTATGGAGTACTTCTTCCTCTAAAGAGGCAGAAAGATTCCCAACATTAGGTTCAGGACCCAACTTAAGAGTTAGGAGATGAGCCCAGCTACATCCAAACTCCATGGTAAGAGAGTGAGAAATGGATGGTTCTCCAGGGGAAATTAGGTCACTGCTACTAAAGAACAATGGTTACTGGGCAGCTGTCATAACAATGTCGTGATAATTCAACAGTGTTGAAGGCACTGTTGGTATGAAGAGTAGAGAAAGAGCAAGAAGAATAGGAAAAAGAGAGTCAGCTACATGTATAACAGAGCAGGAATGGCTTCTGGATTTCCTATTTTCTATGGTAGGCCTGAGCCTAAGAATATCTTCTCTGGTTCTGTCTCTCACAACTTCCCTGCTATTCCCCTTGTTCCAGCCTTGCGAAACACACTGGGCTCCATCACACATCCAGGCCTTTGCACCAGCTGCTCCTCTTTCTGGAATTCAGACCCACACCATCCACTCCGATATCCACCTGGTAAGTTTGTACTTTCACATCTGGAAACGTTATCTCCCAGCAGAGCATCAGACATTCTTTTCTGTCTGCTCCCATAGCAATTTAACTTTCTTCTTTTTTTTCTTTCCTCTTCCTCCTCTTCCTCTTTCTTCTTCTTTGAGTGACGATTACTTTTTGTAGGTTTGCTTGGGGAACATTAGGCCACCTTGATAGGTTCTAATAGTATATTGAATAAATTGTTTTATGATGCCATCTGTGAGGGGACAAGAAAAATGCAGCTCCTTCCTTGCAGCTGATGTGTCATAGACCCTACACATAGACATGCATACATGTGAGAATTAATATGGACCCTTCATAAAGTCCTATAGCAAGTTCTGTGACCTGATTTTCTGCTCAGTTTTCTCAGAGGCCCAACTCTGTATTCCTCATGGAGCATAAATGTCTTTTAGAGAGATATCAAAATTTAAAATTTTCTAGAACTTTTTAACAAGATTAATTTAGATTCTTTTCTTACTGCTATGGCTCAGTGCTAAGTAACCCTTTGAGTTCCCTTCTAGCCGCATTTGAAGTGACTCGATCTTCCTCACAAAAGCTGCCTAATCAGATATCATAATTTCAAAGACCATTAGGGAAGGCTTTAAAAGATGGCAGAATATTCCAGGTTCCAGGCTTGTCAGCATGAAAGTCAATAGCCACTGTTAGGTAAGCCAGCTTATTCCACACAAAAGACCACAGGCAAGCCTTCTTGGGATTAATAATTTTGCCATTACTTTTTACAATGTGGCATATTTAAAACAGGAATAGTCAGACACTTTATAACGCTACTTTATACGGCCACTGACACCCTCCCAAGCCTTACCTCTTCACTGGCCAGAACTCTCACCTTTTGTAACTTGCAAGAATTGTGACAGTGAGCTTGCCAAGCTCCCAGAATGCAGCAAGTCCTGCCCAACCAGCCTGTCGGAGAGTGAGGTGATTTATAAGCCAGAGTATGAGGGAACCAAAAATCAAAACAGAAGGGAAAGCCTCTGAGGAGGACAGCTAAAAATAGCTTTCCTTCACCATTCTGTGATACTCGGGGGCAGCCTTAGCAAATAGCCTGCTGCCTTGCTCCTGCAGAAGCCCACTCCATAGTCACAACAGGCACTGACAATCCATCAGGGCATTCCTTCTCCCAGGACCTGAGCTGGGGCTCACCATCCTTCTCATCACAGCCAAACACTTCAGGAGGCACGTGAAATGAAACCCATTGACCAGGGTTTGAATATCCCTTCCAAAACTTATGTTGAAACTTGCTGTTGGAGATTCATGTTGCATCCCTGGCAATATTGAGAGGTGTGCCTTTAAGTGGTGTTTGGATCATAAGGGCTCTGCCCTCATAAGTGAATTAATCCATTCATAGATTAATGGATTAATGGGTTATCAGGAGAAGAGAACTGATGCCTTCATAGGAGGAAGAGGGACTAGAGATAGCATGTGAGCACCCTCAACCCACTTGCCATGTGATGCCCTGCACCACTGTGGGACTCTGTAGAGTCCCCCACCAGCAAGAAGGCCCTCACCAGATGCACACTGTCAACCTTGAACTTCCCAGCCTCCATAACTGTAATAACTAAATCTCATTTCTTGTAAATTACTCAGTTCCAGGTATGTTGTTTTAAGTAACAGAAGATGGGCTAATACACAATTCTTCTCTTAGAATACTTTTCTATGGCTTTCTTTTGTGTTCTAGTATAAATTTTTCCTAGTCTAGCCAAATTTCACTGATTCTCTATTAATAATTTCTCCTCTCTAAATTCTACCTGAGACTGTTCAGCATTCCACACAACTTAGAATTGATTTGCCCTCTGTTTATGCTAAGGCTTTGCACCAAGAGTGTAAGGATCTTAATGTGCTCTTCTGCATCCATAGCTTTCACTGTACCAGCCAGATTACATATACACAAATAACTTACTGTTTGGTTTCATAAGTTTTGGATGAATAATTTAGCTGCTGAGTAAGGGGGAAGTAACTAACATTTATTTACCAATAGCTGTGTACTAGGTAGGATGCTAATTAACTGCTTTACATACATTATCTAATTTAATACTTACTGCAGAACTTTGAGGTGTTATCATCCCCATTTTTACAGGTTAAGAAACTGAAGGTCAGAGAATTTACAAAACTTAGTAGTATAAAATATACCCCAGAAGAACTAATAGACTTAGGAAGAGATGGCAGTACTCAAAGAAGCCCCTCATGAAAAATTGTGATATATAAGACAACTCCGTGTGTTCACAAATGAAACTCAGTTTACTTGATAAGTTCCATATTCTGATAATGAAAGAGAAAAGAATAGTTTAAATCAGAATTGCCATGAGGCTGGGTGGGTGGCTCATGCCTGTAATCCCAGCAATTTAGGAGGCCGAGGTGGGTGGATCATTTGAGGTCAGGAGTTCGAGACCAGTCTGACCAACACGGTGAAACCCCGAATGTACTGAAACTACAAAATTAGCTGGGCGTGGTAGTGCATGCCTGTAATCCCAGCTACTCGGGAGGCTGAGGCAATAGAATCACTTGAACCAGGGAGGTGGAGGTTGCAGTGAGCCAAGATGGCACCACTGCATTCAAGCCTGGACAACAAGAGCAAAACGCCATCTCAGAAATAAATAAATAAATAAATAAAATATAAGAATTGCCATAGAAAATTCAGGAAATGTGGCAACTGCAATAACAGAGAAATTAAAAGCTCTGTACTGTCGATGGTTAAAAATGTGCATTTTTATATGTTCATTTTTTTCCAACAAAGATGAATAATGTGCTGTTCTCAGCCTCAAAGTGCTCAAAATCTACTGAATGAGAAAGACCAGAACATAAACAGATAATTATATCACATAAGATAGATGAGGGGTAAATATACAGAGAGGATATTCAGAGACCTCAAAGAAAGAAAACTGAACCTAGTCTGGAGGGTCTGGAAGTCTTATTGGAGAAGTTGAAACTATATTTATCTTACTCGCTACTATTTCACAAATACCTAGAATGATGCCTTATTCGTAATATGTTTGGCAAGCATTTGCAGGATAGTTGAATGAACGCATGAATGAATGAGCTCTCAGTATTAATGTTCGGGAGGAATTACCCAGACAAAGAAGGAAAGCTTGGGAAAGTGGGCTCAGGGAGTGGAGCATAAATAATATTATTCCAGGTAAAGGACACTGCAGAAGCAAAGACACACAGGAAAGAAACCAGATAGCTTGGGTGGAGATTATAATTAGTCTTACATCACTGGAGCATAAAACACACAGATGAGAGTGAAACAAGATGGAGCTGGAGAAATAAGCCTGGGTCATATTCAGGGTTTATATTGGAAATCATTGACAGGAGATGCAGTGTGGGCACCAGGCTTCAGAACAGTTGCTGGTCCAGGAGACACCCAATGATGACAGGTGTTATTACCTTTTCAGATGCTTGATTATGGGAGAAAGTCTGCGGAGCTTTGCGGTGGAGCTGGGTTAGATGGAATGGGATCTTGAGCTGAAAGGGAGGAGTTGGACAGAATCCTAGACAATTCGTCTAGAGTAACCAACAGAGTCTATACACCCATAGGGAGATGTGGTCTGGAGCTCATTGAAATTCTTTTCTAATTGCTTCTCTTTCCACAGTGAAATATGAAGCCAGGTCTCCAGCTAAGAGTGAGGATGGAGTAGGAGAAGTTGGTGGTTTTTTGAGGGACAAGAAGCTATGGCGTAGTCATGTAGGAGAAAGGGAGGGTAAATCAAGCAGGGCATACAATGGGGTGGGGACAGGACTAAAACCTGCTTGAGGTTAATATTCATGAGACTAAAGTAAAGCTGATCACTACGATTTTGTGTTTTTCTCTAGCAATGTGGAGCTGCATGAGTGCTGGTGTGTAGGAGGTAGAGTGTTGGATTTAAACAAAATTGTGTTTATTCCAAGTGGGTGTGAAGTAGAAGCTAAGCCTGATGCTATAGAATTATCTATAGTGTTTCAGTTAGTCTGTATTATGAAAGGGGACTGAATAGAGAATTTCAGATCCTATCTCTTGAGTCAGTTTCATATATGCACCCGGCCACCCTGCTGCTCCTCTTTGCTCCTAAGTTTCTTGGAAATATTGTCTACATTGACTGGCTTAGTTTTCTCATTTCCCATTGAGTTTTCACCTTAGTTCTCTGGATGTTCCATTTAGTCTTCTTTGTGAATTCCTTTTCACTTGCTCATCTCTGCCTTACTTCCTACCCTTCACGTTAGCTCTGGGATATCACATCCACTCCCATGGTTTTCATTACCATATGCTTTCAGAGTGTTTCCAAATCTGTGTCTGAAGTTCATCTCTTCTAAGCTCTAACCAATCTCTCCCACTCCTTACTAGATCTAATCATTTGGATATTCTTTTTATACCACAAACCCAAATATCCTAAATAATTTATCTTTCATCCCAATATGTTCCTCTTGGAGTACTCACTATCTCAATGGTTTCACTATCCACCAGTTTGTTCTAGTTAGAAGCCTGAGAATTCACTCAATCTTCTCTCTTACCTCATCACATACATTTTATTAATCATCATGCTACCATCAATTCTACCTTCTTTATATTTGTCTAAATTTCCCAAATTGCTGGCAATGAATATGTAATCAGAAAAATATCTTAATTAATAAAAATAAATATTTTAATGTTCATTTGGATTTGGTGTTCACATCACCTCCACGTCTTTGGAAAACTTACCACAGACATTTGGCAAAATTGCATTTGTCTCTGTGGACAGCCTGAGAGCTTTTGGCGTCTGCAAAAAAGGACTAGGGACAGAGCCATGAATATTTAATCTGTTTCTTACTGAATTGTCCAAAAAGAAAAAAAAAAGCAGGAATGGAAACACCACCCACTGACCTGCCCTAGTTGCACAACTCAACATTCTCACATTTTACAGTTGGGGTCACAAAAGAAAAGTCAAAGCAAAACTATGAGTCCTTTATCTTACTTTTTCAGAGCCTTCCACAGGCTCATGGGGTGAGAATGTACCTTTCCATTTAAAGCTACTGTGCTTCATAACTTCTAGAAGCAAAGGAAGCTGAGCTGCATTCTTCGAAAATGCTGGGTAGCTGGGGCATATCAAAGGGAATTTGGAATGGTTTATGTGGTTTGAAAATTCTTGGGGGCAAAACTGCCTTCCTGTTGCTTTTGGAAACTATCATCCAGAATTGGAAAGGAGGTAAACAACAGGAACTCCTCCACCATTTGGTTTGCTTCCCCTTTGTACTTAGCTAATTATTTTATGCTAACAAGAGAGCGTGTTTCTCCATAGTTACTTTTTTTTTTTTTTTTTTTTGAGGCTTGCTGCAACCTTGGGACCCTTGGAAGATGAAAGCCAAATCAGCTCACTTTCAGTTTAGGCACAAATGAAGCTGGGTGTCTTCTGCCATACAAACCAATGAAAGTGCTTTCTCACCAGCTTCCTTCCACTCACTGCTCCATTGTTCCTAGAATGGGTGAAATTCATTTGGTATGTGATTAGCCATCATCCAAGGCTAATAGTACCATTATAAAAAGTGCAAAGTAGTGGTTGGTGGTCATACATTTAAAGTGCAGTCAGTGGCTGGGCGTGGTGGCTCACACCTGTATTTGGGAAGCCAAGGAGGGCAGATCACGAGGTCAAGACATCGAGACCATCCTGGCCAACATAGTGAAACCCCATCTCTACTAAAAATACAAAAATTAGCTGGGCGTGGTGGCACACACCACTCGGGAAGCTGAGGCAGGAGAATCGCTTGAACCAGGGAGGTGGAGTGAGCCAAGATTGCGCCACTGCACTCTAGCCTGGCAACAGAGCAAGACTCTGTCTCGATAATAATAATAATAATAAAGTGCAATCAGTAGTCATGTCTGATGTCCCCACTGCCAATTCCCAATATGTATCCGTAACAATGTATGGGAAAATCTCTCCCTTCCTTTCAGCTTCAGCAGGCCTTTGGGTGGTAATATCTTCCATTCCTCTAAATCTGCTACTTCTCTTCTATCTACTTTCTTTAGTTTGAGAATTTGTTCATTTACTGTTGTCTCTTCTTCTATTCCTTTTTCCCCTGTGGATTAATACCTGTTTCTATTCCTTTATTATTATGTAATTTTAGCAGGATTTGAGGAAGGAGAGGAGATAAACCAGTGGTATCCATCAGGGATTTTTAACCGGAATCCTTAATTAATTTTGTGCTTATGTTTTTCCACTGAACTTTTAATTCCTTCAGGGCAGAACTGGGTTGATTAATTTCTGTCCTGACCACTCTGTGCAGTGCCTAGTATTTTCAGTAATTCTTACTGAAAAAAAAAAAAGATGGAATTAATTTCTCCAAGAGTCTTTTTGCCAAGCTAATACCTAGAACAGAATGTAAGCTATATATAAAAGTTCAGACAGATAATGATTACAGAGTGGAAAATGATGTTAGGAATTGGGTCAAATATGCTTTGGGATCTACAGAAAATCCAAAATGCATTTTTCAAAATTGTGTTTTCAGAGATTTGATGCTTATCTTTGACTCATATGTACTTAGGTCTCTAAGAAAAGTTTCCTATTGCCCAGGGGTGGGGACGTGTTTATGTGCAAAATGCCTTGACCCCTGACTGACCTTCCTCTACCACCACTATCAATGCCCCACCATAGTTACATCTTCTCTGAGTTGTTCTCTGAGGGTGCCTGCCAGCCTGAACTCCTGGCTCAGGCAGTTGAGTAGGAGAAGAGGTGGGTGTTTCAGTAATTTATTTTTGCGTGCCTGATTTAAACCATCCCCTTCTCACCAAATGGGAGCTTTCAGCTATTAGAGAAGACAAGCAGCCCCTTTTGTCTCTGTACCTTTCAAGCTGCAAAGATGCCTTTCACCAGATTAAAAGATTAAGGCTTCTTCCAGAATTCCAAACCAGCTGGTTCTGAGAATTTTAAATGTGCCTGAAAAAAAGCATCTGTTCTTTCCATGTTACTTTTATCTTCCCTTTATACTAACCAACTATTCATTTATGTCCACTAAGCCTGATAAATGGAGAATCTATAGTTTATAAACTCAAAGAAGAACCCTATTCCATGCATTTATTATTTTCCTAATTTTGCTGATTTCATAAAGACTACAAAATCAGGCTTTCTATCCTTGTTTTTGAGAGGCTGCCAGCCTGACATGCTCAATGTTACTGCAGCTATCTTTCTCAGGGTGGAACATGGCATTTGCACAAGAACTTGGCTTATATATTTTGAGAAACTTAAAGCCTTGAGAGGCTTTCTTGAACTGGTGTTTTGAAACTTCCTAATGCCCCAATTAAAAAGGTTTGTAGTTTTCTCTGAGTTTTGCAGCTCAGCCTGGTGTAATCTGGATTGGGACAGTTCCAGCAGAGGAGGTCAAAAAAAGTGCAAATTCATACATAATGTATGTAGGTTTTAATAAGCATCCTTTCATACTACAGCTTCTCTTCGTGGCTTCTCATAAAACTTCACAAACCACAGGCACTAGGATTATTAATTTTTAAAAGAGTAACAGAAGGAAATGTTCAACCTTTTGCAATCTAAGTTGCTCCAGGAATTAAAATGTCTTTATATAGATGCCTCATAACAAAAATCTGTACTCCATGGCAGTAATCTCCACTAAAACCAGGTAAACTCAAACTGTATCAATTTATATAAAGCTTGAGAATTCCCAGTACCCACTTACTATTTATGAAATGAAGATAGATTAATGCCCGGTGGAAAAAGGGGTTAGAGCAACTACGTACTAACTCTAGGATGGAATAGGCAAGAAGATATCATTTAAACAAAATAGACTAGGAAAAAGAACTTTTAAGTTGATTTTGTTTAATTTTCATTTTGATTTTATTTTACTTTATTTAATTTTTGAGACTGGGTCTCGCTCTGTCATCTAGGCTGGGATGCAGAGGCACAATCATAGCTCACTACAGCCTTGACTTCCTGGGCTCAAGCAATCTGCTCACCTCAGCCTCCTGAGCAACTGGGACTACAGGCACGCATCACCATGCCTGGATTTTTTATTTTATTTTGTGTGTGTATGTGTGTAAACAGATTCTCACTATTTGCACAGGCTGGTCTCAAACTCCTGGACTCAAGCAATCCTCCTGCCTTGGCCTCCTAAAGTGCCGAGATTACAGGTGTGAGACACTGCACCTGGCTGATTTTGTTTAATTTTTATTTTATAGAATGAGAACATATAAGGTCTGAATGGAACCTTAAAGAATGAATCAAATACTCTCTATGAAATTCTCCGGGGTGGGGGGAGAGCATTAGGAAAAATAGCTAATGCATGTCACCTTAATACCTAGGTGATGGGTTGATAGGTGCAGCAAATCACCATGGCACATGTTTACCTGTGTAACAAACCTACACAACCTGCACATGTACCCTGGATCTTAAAATTAAAAAAGAAAGAAAAAAATCTCTGCTTAGTGGTATGGCACGTATTATTGATGGTTTACTTAAAACCACCTCCATCCATTCTTTCTCATTCAGGAACCCGTGGGAATATATCCCTCGGCACCATGTAGAGTCATGTCAGACTTGACGGAAAGAATTACTCTTTCCTAGGGCAATACACCTAGAGCAATGGACCTAGAGCTGGGTATAGTACTGGATGAAATTTAGAGATGTCTCCCTTTAAGTAGCAAACAAACGCATTTCATATAGAGATACAGCCATCCAGTTACTGGATCACCTCCAGGGAAAGGGAACTCAAAATAGACCACTTCATTCCTGGTAAGCTCTGAATGTTAGGAAATAGTTTCATTATAAGAAGCTGAGTATTAGTCATGAAACTTTCAGTAACAAGTCACAGCTCTTAGACTCAAATTCTCTTGATTTTTAAGAATGGAGTAATTGAGAAGTCCACCAGAGATGTTTATGCACAGCTGAATCCAGCAGTTTCAATGACCCTGGGAAGACTACCTGACCTGATGTGTGTCACACATACATCTGTCAACCAATCACTGTAGCTATGAGCATGGGGGATTCTGACCCACCAGTTCTTGGTCGAACACTCATTCCTAGGGACTGAGTAGGTAGGGAGAAAGGAATCAGCTCCCCTTGAACTATAGGACCGAACAGAATTACTATGAAATAAGACTATTTACTCAAAAAAAGGGACCCTGGATAGTAAAAAATGTTTCAATTGCCCCATATATGCACTCCCCTCACATGATGCCAATTCCTCCCATCTATGACAGGAAAGAAAGGACATGCCTCTTCTACCAAAGGAGATACTTAGCTGCCCATGTTTCCTGCATCTAGCTGTAAATTGAGGATCTCCAAATGACAAGCATTCTTTTAGTGCAGAACCAGATGTGACTCCTATGGACTTTAACCCATTACTAAGTGATGATTTATTAAAGCATTCCTCCACAGGAAAAGTGTGTTCAATATAAAGGGGAAATACAATATGACTAATTCAAACTCCCAGTTGGAAAAAGAGAGAAGTTAAGGCAACATGCAGAGATCTACATCATATCTCACATGCATGGACAGAATTAGTGAGGAATCCCCACCTGCAGTGGACTGAGACGGCCAACCCAGCATTCCCAGTTCTGCTTCTTCCTTGTCATCTGTGGCCATGTCCAAGAAGAGTGTTGTATGATTTCTCTGTGTGGAACCACCCACCTTTAGCAAATCTAACAGTTCACTTGCTAAGGGTGCAGACTTGGAGCATTATGGGCTCTTTGGATTGAGAAGTTACAGGCTTGGGGTTTTTCTGGTAGTACAACTTCCTTAAAAATTCAATCAATAAGTGGCCAATTTGCTAATAAACAGTGCCAAAGATCTTATTGATTGAGCCATGGTCTTTAAAGATTGTGAGAAATGGGAAAGTTCTTCAAAGATTATAAAAAGTTATAATTTCCTACTATAAGATTGCTATCCACTATTAGTATATATATATATATATATTCCAAATCAGCTGTCCTAGCTTGCTCTGGCATGCCTGGACAGAACTAGACAAGCCCCAGCCCATAGCGCATGCCATTCCTTATTTGGAGATGCTTCTTTAACTATCCCTGGGCAACTTCCTTTTCTTTCTTTGTTCTGTTCCCCTTACCCAGTTAAAAAAAGTTTTAAACTAATAGCCAACCAGATAAAGTGTAAAATGTGAGGTCCTATTCCAGCCAATGGAAACTGGACACAGAATAGGGTAGACTCATCAGGTTATAAATAACTTTGTCTCCTTTGTTTGGTGTGCTCTCGTGACTGGAGAGCTGTTGAGTAGCACCCTTTCTGCAGAAAGTAAAGCTTGCCTTGCTGAGAGATCATTTGTTCCCATTTTAATTCTTCTTTTTTTTTTTTTTTTGCAACATCAAAAACTTTATTCCCAACAATAATTACCCTGTTCTTAGGGTTTCTGTGTCTTAGAAATAGACCTTGCTCTTTATCATCCTTCTAGCTCTCAAAGAACCGCTTCCATTTTGTCCCTGCCTCAGAGGGACTCAAAACAATATACCAGACAAGATAAGGCACAAGTAATTTGAGTAAAATACACATCAGGTGGTCTTTGTGTATTTCTCTGGATCTTCCTGGGTCCCAATCTTATCTTCTGCTATTTTTCCCACCTCTTTGCCTGGTTCCTACTAACATTTATTTGAGGTAGAGAATTCAGATTTTCAGTCCTGTTAATAGCATGATTATATGACCCTCAGATACCTTGGATTTCTCGGCATGGACAGAAAGGTCCTCTTTTAGCAACATAATATCACAGGGAGAACTTTGCTGGGCTCAGAGTTACATGTCCATCACCGAACCTCTCCCTGTATCAGGTGGAGTATGCTGGTTAGACTGGGTCATGTGTCTGGTCCTGGGGTGCAGGAAAGAGAAAGCAAAAATCATTTTCACTGCTAGCACAGGGACATTGCCTCTTGTACCCAGCACCCCACATCCTAACTGTTTAGCCATCTACAGCACCCACGTGTAAAATGACCACACTTACCCTCAGTTACATTATACATCTGTGGCTTTCCTTCCTAAAACCTTTTTCCCCCACCTGGGGGGATGCCTGTAAAACCTGCTCGATTGGCCATCGAGCAATGTTTTTTATTTCTTTTCATAATTTTTTCATTTGTTTTTTTGCTTAAATCTAGGAGTATATTATATAATATACTCTATAAATATATAATTTATACATTTAATATATATTTAGAAGATATACTTTTTAAAACGTATAAAATTTCATGTAATTGAGTTCACTGTTTTAACTTGTCAAGATCATTTCGATCTGGATGATGTTCCTATACATTTTAGCTTTTCCTTCAATTTTGTTCCATTGATACAAGCTATAGTTTTAATAATTATGAGAATAGGAAAGATTTCAAAAATTTACAGGCATATGCTATCTTAACTTTAAAAAGTAATAGAAGGATCTCAGGAGAGGTAGGCCAATGAGATTGCTATTAATTTCTGGCAAAATTCTAAAATGAATTATTAAATAGATGTGTTGATAGCCTAAGCAAAGAAAGTGCTGATTGCTTGAAAACAGCATAAACCCCCTAAGAAAAAATATGCCAAACTAACCTAATTTTTTTCCTTCCTGGTGCTGCTAGAGACTAAGAGAGGAGAGGACTGCTGTAGACATATGCTATGCGAATTTCAGCAGGGAATTTAACAGATTCATTTCTTGCAGATGAGATAGAGAAAATGGACAAAATTATACCAGAGAAAGGCATCTCAACTAAGGGTATATTATTTAGTTGAAAGAGTATGAACCAGGGCTTCTTGTCAAAATGGTGTTGTGAGTTCCCTTCCCTGTTCAAACACAGCAAAGAAAAACAAAATATGGCATGAAAGTTAAAAAGACACAGCCTTGCTCAAAAACAAAGTAACTTCTCTGTCAACCAAAGAAAGAATAGAAGCATACAATGCCAAATGGAATACAAAGCCCATAGTTCCAAACAGAGGCAGAGACAACTGGACATTTGAGTCCTACAGGGAAAAGGAACCCCAAACCATCCGTGCATGCATATGTGGGGTGGGGGTGATGGGTGGAATATTTAATCAGTGTTTGTAAAAGTTGAATTTATAGGTTCTTTTACAAGAAAGAATAGAGCTGCTTGGAGCTAAATACCCCGAAGCAAATAACCTACTGGAGATGAGTAGAAGCTCTCTGCTGTAGATGGGGTTTTCCTTCATCCTGTCTACATCAGATTTTTGTCATTTGCCTCACATCTATAGCCTTTGGACTTCTCATCTCTGCCAAAGGTAATAGTAAAAACAAATGAATACCATTAGTTTAGAATTCCAAGCAGAAGTCAGCTGCTCAGGGCTCTGCACTTAGGTCACACCTGTTCTCCATGGCAGAAACGTGGGCCAGATGCTCCTTGAAGAAAGACTGCGACTGTGCATGTCAACCACTACTTCTCATACTGAAGCCTAGGAAGAAATGGTGAGATTTGTCTCCTGCTTGCCTGTTTCAATGCCTATTGCCTTTTACATTGCAGCTTTTCTGGGGAACTCCTATCAGTGCATGCAATATTTTCCAAGGTGATTTCTATTCAGTTACATGGTGTCTGAACCTTGTCATATGTGAGAAAATATGAATTTGTTTTAGAATTTATTCTTCTTTAACAACCACATGCTCCAGTGGGTTAACTGTGAAGGGATGAGTATCACATCTACCCTTCAACCCAAAGTTCGGCAGAAACCTGTCTGGATTCTGTGGTAAACAAAATTGTGTGGCAAGCTGGGAATTCAGTAAAAACCTGACATTCATAGAAAACCCTGAATATGCACACAGTCCACAGACAACTCCAGTAAATTATTCAAATGAATACCAAGCAGTGCTGCTGTGATCATTTGATTAAAATCCTGCTTTGAATGCTCACATATATGTTTTCTATTAGTGTGTAATTTCCAATTGCTGCAGTGAAAGGTAGCAGTCTGCTGTATGCCAGGGTGTGGGAAAGAATAAACAGTTCTGTTGTTTTGCAGTCAGAACTGGCCAGGGGAAGCTGACACCCTGCGAAATACACCCAGATCCTGCTTTCCTAGGACAGAAAAAATGACCTCTGGCCTCTCTTTGCAAACTTTAGTTAAGAGTTGGGAGTAAGAGATTCTTGACCACCAAGAAAGGTAAGTTACTCACATATGTATAGATACAATACTCTTATTTTGTGCTCTTTTTTCTCCAATCTTCAATAAATCACCTAAAATATAATAAGACTTCTGTGCAGCCCGATGGAGTAAACACTTCTGGAATAATTTTTCCTTCCCCATTTCTCCAACATCTTTCTTATGACATTTCTTTTTCCGAAATTCATTGGTCCTTGTCTGAACACCTGACTCCAACTCGCCAATGAGTCTTTTCCCTGTAGTTTTGTACTTAGGAAGGTAGAAAAGTCTGCCAGTCCTCCTGAGAGGTAGATACTGTGAGATATAAAACTCGGAAATATCATGCCCACCGCACCCCATGTTTTCAGTGATATGAACAAAAAAGAATGAAATCCCTGTGAGAAGCCCAGGCAAGAGTGAGAGAGAAAAAGAGAGAGAGATCTGATATCATATATCTCTGGTTCTAGTTGTTGTCTTGTCTAGTGACTACTGACATCCTTGTTCTTCCCATAATTTGGTTGTTAAATAATCTCTTTGATTTAATGAACAAAATTAATTCCCTTTAAATATTAATTCAAGTTTTAGTACTGTCATTGCAGCCAAAAGAGCCAACTAATACAACATTAAAATTCTTCCAGTAGGAAAATGTATTTTATCTATGATTAGATTTTCCTACGATGCAACATTTGGACCCATCAGGTAGATTTGCCAATACCACACATAGATGACAGTGCCCTTCTCAACCTTGAAAAGATTCCATTCTATAAATGCTTCAAGCAGGACATTTTCCCTGGAGGAGACTATATCAAGTTACACCTATGTGCTTCAACTCATCTACTCTTCCTTTCTCTAAATGGTCACACATCACCTAACCTAAGAAAAAATCTATCTTGGCATCATTCACTCAAAGCTGAAGAAGCAGGCAGCTGAATTAACTCGAATTTTAATCCTAAATGTCAGTGAAAGAAAAAAATGGCTTGGTAATACCTTCCAAAACAGTAATTCAGAGCCAGAGGGCTTAGGGAAAGGGCACTTCCAGGAAAACTGTATTGGAATCTCTGGAAAGGGGTGGGATAAGAGGTGCACACTTAAGAAATACTCATTTGCACTTATTTGGCCCTTCCCAATGTTTACGTTACCCCCTTCTCAAAATGAAAACCTAATTCTGTCTACAGTTTACAATTTTCTACTACCAGTCTATTTATTCCTAAAAGCAAAAATCATAGCTAGAAATGGTCTTCAATGAGAAATGTATGCCAAAGCCACTCAGAGCACAAGGGTGCTTGCCAAGGCCAGCTAAACAATGGCTTGCCAATTAAGTGGCATGATCAATTATATGTTTAAAACTCATTATCACTAATAATAAAGAACTGAAATTTATAAATTGTTTTATAAAATACAGTGGATACAAAGACATCTCATAGCACTTTTACTCATCTTCACTCTTCTATCATCTTTTTGAAGGGAAGAAAAATGTAAAGGTATTATATTTTATTAAAACACAAGAAACTGGATATAACCCTACGTAAGTCTAAGACGTAACTCTAGGAAAAGTTACATATGTGAATATCATTAATCATATCTGTTAGAAAAAAAAAGAAGGTAAGAAATTCTGAGCAAAGGGTGTGCTAGAAGAGGCCTGGACTATGGAATGATTATGTACAAAGATAATATCACATTTATAATGGTGAAAATTTGAAATCAATCTAAATAGTGAACAACAGAGGATTACTTAAATACATCATATGATGTAGATGCAAGTTTAGACATTGATTAAAATCTGTGTTCTCAAACACTAATGACATGGGAAAATGCTTATGATATACTTCGAGTAAAAATGGTATACTTTTATTATCTCTATTATAGAAAGGAAGATAAGAAAGCAAATTAGAAATATGTCAAGATGTTAGCAATGTCAGGATAGCGGGATTGTGGGAGATTTTAATTTTGATCTCCTAACTTTTTTGTATACTCCACATTTACTCTGTTGAGCATATATTATTCCTGTAAGTGGGGGTTGGTGAAAATTTGTTTAGAAAATAAGAATTAAGGACCACAAGGTTAAAATTAACAAACGGAGTGTACTGTTACCCCACAATCTGTCCACACCAAGTCGAATGTATCTGAGCAGCCAAGATGTTGGAGGAGGTAAATTGGAAGGAGCTATTGTGAAATAGCTCCACATCTTAACTGGAAATTAAGATTTTTAACTTTTCAGATTTTACTCTTTCTCTCATTTAGAGCAGGATCACTTAAAAATAGGTACTCTGTTTCTCAGACCAAAATCAAAATGATTTTGCCCTCTGACATTTACCCTTCTGATACCAATTTTTTCTGCCTTTTGGTTCTACTTTGATTCTACTTTCTCCAAAAATCAAAACAGCCACTTGCTATATTTTCTAGTTAATACTCTTTACTAAAATGGAGATAATTAAAAATGACAAAGGAGGGCCCTACACAGTGCTAAGGCTTAATGTGATACTGAGCTGACTTCTGGTGTTCCTTTCTCCAATTTCCTGCCCCTTTCTATTCTTTTCTGCACTCACCGGCTCTGTTCCCTCCACTTACCAATGATAAACTCGTTCACACTAAGGGGTAGGACTCTGTGCAGATATTTGATCACACTGCAATGCTCCTTTTCTCACTCAGTATCCTCCTGATTCTCAAGTTTCTAAACACAGCCTATTTTGCACTTCTGCTATCTGATGCTCTACTGGGATTTAGAAAAAGTTTTAAACCTGCAATTTAAAAAATGGACTTGATTCCTGGCTCCACTAACTACAAATTAGATGACCTAGAAAAATTTCTTAATTTGTTTGTATGATATTTCACTATCAAAAATGATAGTAATGTTACCCAGATCATGGATTATATTAAATAATTTATTAAATATTTTAGCACAGCACCTGGAGGATGTTCAATATATGTTGACTGAATCTAAGTCTGATTTCTGCAAAGCAATCTATGAGAGGCAACAACACAGAATATAGAGAATGTACGAGCCAGAAATTTCTGGGTTCAAATTCCTAGTTTATCACTTATTAATTATGTGAACCTGGATAAGTTTCTTAGCCACTCAACATATTAGGCTCTTAACCTGTAAACTGAGAACAATGGCATCTACCTTGCAAGTCCATTGTGAAGATTAAGTGTATTTGGAAGCAAATGCATGATGAATGCCCATTACATAGAATGCATTTAATAATAATAGCAACATTATTATTACTGTTATTCATTATTGAAGGACCAGAAGGAAAAGTATAGTTGAAGACTCTCTAAATAAAAAAAGAAAGAAAAAACAACACAAAATAAAAAAGGTTTTCAAATTTCCTTTTCTCCTAAAATTCACCCAAAAAAAGAATTCCATGCTAACATGAGTGAACGTGAAGCTATTTTCTTTCCCTCCTCCCCTGAGATGGTAGCAGAAATGGAACTGGTGAACAGGCCCAATTCAAACAAAGATAGCTACAGGAATAACACCGGGAGAGACACAAGATTTGTTTTGGCAAATAGAAGGGATTTCTGATTGTTTTGGTTTTCTTCTCTTGGAGCCAGTCAGCATCTGGCTTTGAGAACCATGGGTATGGTCACCATATGTCCCACATTTTTCTAGAGCAGTCACAATTTAAAATATTGAGTCATGTTTCCCCCTTAGGAACAGTTGTATTTGTGAGACCATGGATCTTTATTTGCAGTTCAGAAAATATGGTCATTGTCACTACAGAAGTTTGTATTTGACCGGGTAAAAGAAGAGATCACAGGAAAATGGGGGCAGGTCATGAACTACAGAAAAATAAACTGGGATTTTTTTTTTTCCTCTATATTATCACTCTCCTTACACTTAATACCAAGTGCTGGTTTGGCACTTTTCCTCTAAAAAGCAACCTAATAGGTTTCCAGGGTCATTGTGACCAATCCCACGTCTTTGAACCAAGTCAGGCAATTTTCAGGAGATTTCAGCTCCATCTAGTTTGATAATTCCCTATTGAGCGAGCAGAGCAGGGAAGGTTGTGTCAGTTATATCAACAACTAGCTAGCATTCATTAGTTTATTGAGAGACTATATGTGCCAGTACATGGCTGAGTGTTCTACATGCATTAGCTCATCTAATGCTTGCAAGAATCCTGTAAGAGGACACCATTATTCTCTCCTTATATGAAAACAGACTAAGAGAGATTAAGAAACGTGCTGAAAGTCACATGGCTGGTAAGTGACAGAGCTGGATCCAAGCCTGGTTGATCCCAGGATTTCTGAAAAGGTAGACTCATCATACATTTAAACAGAGTATTTTTCAGACAGGAAGGTTGAGGGTCAGGCCTAAAATTTCTGGGGTGACCATGCAGCTGTGGGAGTATCAGATAGGCTACTGCTCACAGAAGAGCGATTCTTCCTAGGAGTTGTTTTTCAAACTGGAAAAATCTTGGAACCAGAAATCCATTATGTGAAAGTAAGTGTGTCTGGATGGGATTACTAGAGATGTGCAAACCCGGGGGTGTTTGGGGTTTGGCTACACATTATGTTCTATTTTTCAAAGGTTCTGGGAGAGGCAAAACTCCAAACATGTTTCTGCACGGTAATTATCCACTTTGGTTTCAGATCCATGTGTGTTTCTAGAGGAATTAACAACCCTGGACCTGTTTCTTATTTTAGTGGGTGCCCCTCACATAAATATTCACAGACAGAGCAGACCTACAGGAACTGTGGAAGTCAGAGGAACCAAACTCAGCCTAGCAAGAACAGAAAAACAAAGCTAAACATGTTTAAGAATCTCCATTTACTATGGCCTTGGCTATGCAGCTAATTAGAGCAAGTCATTGGGTGGGAGAAGGAAAAAAACCCCAGCATATCGAGTGCTTACTATGAAAGCCACTGTTCTTGATACCATCCTCACCCTCAGGGAATTTTCACTAGGAAGATGATAAAGACCAGTGAATAGGTAATTTCACTACAGTGTGGTTAAAAAGACAGGGTTTCATAGAAGCACAGAGACAGCGCATTTAAAGCCAGTCTTGACGGTGTTCCAGTTACATATTGCTGTGTAACAAACTACCTCCAGAATGCAGTGGCTTGAAACAACAGCCATTTATTTATATCTGTTGGTTCATGGGTCAAGAATTTTGGCAGGGGTCAGCTAGGTAATTCTTTTCTTTCACATGGTGTTAATAAAGATCACTGGGCAATATGCAGCTAGGGGACAGATTCATCTGTAAGATCCCAGATGGCTTCAGTAACTTGTCTGTTTCCTTGCTGGGGATAATTGAATTCTACTGGTCACAAGTCTTCCCAGGTTCAACAAGAGGGGACTTAGACCCTACCTCTCAGTAGAAGGAGTGTTAAAGAATTTGTAGCTATGTTTTTAAACTGCCACAGTCATCTCTACCATCACAAATTTTTTTAATGTCTCATACATGTAAATATATTCACCTCCAACCTCCTTCAGAAGACCATCAGATTTAGGTCTGAGGTTCAGAATCTCATCATCCAAATTAAATCCAGAAGCAAATAAGTCTCCATAGGTCCAGTTCCTTCGATATGGGTCTTCTCAATCTGAATACTTATAAACCAAAGGTACACTTTTTCTATCATTCTTACAAACACCACAAATACCCAAGATATTAAAAAGAGGCAAGGCATGATACAAGGCATATGTCAGCCCCTGCTTCATGGCAATTCTGAAATTCAATCAGGAACATGTCTGTTCCTTAACTAAGACTTACTCATGCTCTCTGACTCACTGGTTCATTCTCTGGGCTCTTGGGTCCACCCTCTGAGTTATTCTAGCCTATGTTTTCAGCTGAGTAATTTTCTCTGTGTGTTTCTTGATCATGGAAGTGTAGAGATTCACATCTTCCTCTTTTTTGTACTGCTTTTGAATCTTTCAGTCTACAGTTTTAATTCCTTCAAAAAGTTGGTGGGTTTCTGTCAGTCAGTTTGTCTTCCATAATAAAATATCTGAGACTTTGTAATTTGTAAACAATAAAAATTTATTTCTTACAACAATCCTGGAGGTTGAAAAGTATAAGATCAAGTTGCAGCAGGTTTGATGTCTGGTGAGGGTGACACTCTTCACTTCAAGATGGCGTCTTGTCACTGCATCCTCACATGGTGAGGGACAGAAGGACAAAAAGGGATGAATGCTGTGCCCTCACTTGATGGAAGAGCAGAAGAGAACTAACCCACTCCCTCAAGCTCTTCTATAAGTGTTTTAATCCCATCCATGAAGGCTTCACCCTCATGATTTAATCACCCCTTAAAAGCACTGCCTCTTAATACTATCACACTGGCCATTAAGTTTCAACATATGAATTTGGGGGAAACACAGTCAAGCCATAGTAGTTTCTTATGTATCAATTTATAAAATTTATTTAATTAAACAAACAGCCACAGTCACAAATATCTTAATTCATAAGTGCTTCTCAACTTTGGGTTTCTTGTTGGGCTACTGTGAGACAATGCCCTTAAGAGTCTCAGAAACACAGCTGGGTGCGGTGGCTCATGCCTTTAATTCCAGCACTTTGGGAGATCAAGGCGGGTGGATCACTTGAGATCAGGAGTTTGAGACAAGCCTGGCCAACTTGGCAAAACCCTGTCTCTACCAAAAATACAAAAATTAACCAGACATGGTGGCAGGCACTTGTAATCCCAGCTATTAGGGAAGGTGAGGCAGAAGAATCACTTTGAACCCGGGAGGTGGAGGTTTCAGTGAGCCAAGATGGCACCACTGCACTCCAGCCTGGGTAACAGAGCAAGAATCTGTATCAAAAAAAAGAGTCTTAGAACCACAATAGTTTAATGAAGAGGGCCCACGAGACACAACCTTAAGATTCTTAGAGACCTTTTTGTTTAACTCTGAGGATCTATAAGGCATGAGACAAGGTCATCTGGTGGTGCTCATTTGGGTGACCTTTAGGATTCAGATGGCTTCACTTGCTTGTTGTTACATTGGCAGAGATTGCTGGAATGCTAGGCTTAGTTGGGACTGTTGTCCCAAGTGCCTACACATGACCTCTCCATCATGGAAGCTTCAGAGTGGCCAAATTTCTTTTTTTCTTTTCTCTCTCTCTTTTTTTTTTAGTTCTTATAAGAAAATACGAAAGAAATTTTTTTTAATTTTTTAATTTTTTAATTTCAATAGATTTTGGGGAACAGGTGGTATTTGGTTACATGAATAAGTTCTTTAGTGGTGATTTCTGAGATTCAGGTGCACCCATCACCCAAACAGTGTACACTGTAACCAATGTGTAGTCTTTTATCCCTCGCCACTCCCCACCCTTTCCCCTGAGTCCCCAAAGTCCAATGTATCATTTGTATCCTCATAGCTTAGCTCCCACATATGAATGAGAATATAAAATGTTTGGTTTTCCATTCCTGAGTTATTTCACCTAGAATAATACTCTCCAGTTTCTTCCAGGTTGCTGTGAAAAAAGTGACCAGATTTCTTACATGGCAGCTTAGAGTTTCCAGAGAAGGCATTCCAGGAAACATAGCAGAAGATGCATGGTCTTTCATAATCTAACCTCACAAGTCACATGGTGTCACTCCTACTGTTACTCTCAATGGCAGGAGTGTCAAAGAATATGAAGACGTACTTAAAACTACCAGAGCAGTCTATAGGGATGGCCTTCCGGAGAAAGGGATTTCTAAACACAGACTTGAAAAGAACAGGAATTGGGCGAAGAGATAGGGTGGATGGGGAAGGACGTTCAAGGCAAAGATGAAGGCAGAAGTAAAGCATAGACCATGAAGGATTGAAAAGGCCTTGTGGAGTTGTAGTATATGAGACTGCAGTGGAGGTGTAAGCAGCAGCCTTATGGAAAAGAGTTACCAGATTTGCTCTTACATATGGGCAAGAGAGGACTTTACTCTGGGCTGCACACTTTATTTTTTTTCTGTCAGAAAATATTTATTTATTTATTTATTCATTTATTTATTGCTTGTACTCTTTTATTATTATTATTATACTTTAAGTTCTATGGTGCATGTGCACAACGTGCAGGTTTGTTACGTATGTATACATGTGTCATGTTGGTGTGCTGCACTCCTTAACTCGTCATTTACATTAGGTATATCTCCGAATACTCTCCCCCACTCCCCGTGTGTGTCCCCATCACATGACAGGCCCTGGTGTGTGATGTTCCCCACCCTGTGTCCAAGTGTTCTCATTGTTCAATTCCCACCTATGAGTGAGAAGATGCAGTGTTTGGTTTTCTGTCCTTGCGATAGTTTGCTCAGAATGATGGTTTCCAGCTTCATCCATGTCCCTACAAAGGACATGAACTCATCATTTTTTATGGCTGCATAGTATTCCATGGTGTATATGTGCCACATTTTCTTAATCCAGTCTTATCATTGGTGGACATTTGGGTTGGTTCCAAGTCTTTGCTATTGTGAATAGTGCTGCAATAAACATATGTGTGCATGTGTCTTTATAGCAGCATGATTTATAGTCCTTTGGGTATATGCCCAGTAATGGGATGGCTGGGTCAAATGGTATTTCTAGTTCTAGATTCTTGAGGAATCGCCACACTGTCTTCCACAATGGTTGAACTAGTTTACAGTCCCACCAACAGTGTAAAAGTGTTCCCATTTCTCCATATCCTCTCCAGCACCTGTTGTTTCCTGACTTTTTAATGATCATCATTCTAACTGGTGTGAGATGGTATCTCTTTGTGGTTTTGATTTGCATTTCTCTGATGGCCAGTGATGAGGAGCATTTTTTCATGTGTCTGTTGGCTGCATAAATGTCTTCTTTTGAGAAGTGTCTGTTCATATCCTTTGCCCACTTTTTGATGGGGTTGGTTGATTTTTTCTTGTAAATTTGTTTAAGTTCTTTGTAGATTCTGGATATCAGCCCTTTGTCAGATGGATAGATTGTAAAAATTTTCTCCCATTCTGAAGGTTGCCTGTTCACTCTGATGGTAGTTTCTTTTGCTGGACTGTACACTTGAAAGAGCCCTCCTAGATACTCATTCATCCATGGCTCTCTCCTTGATATGAGGAGTCCTATACTAGAGTCAAGAAGACTTGGCCACCTAGAAATGATGTCCCTTTCTAGACTAGGACGCTGAAATAACCGAGACCCTGAAATTCCCTTGCCCAGTGACTGCACAAACCTAGGAAGTCACCAAGAGGTAGCTATTTTGGAGGACAGTAGATAGAAGTTGGACATGACAGCTGGGGTGTCCTCGTGCTGGTGTACAAGGCCCTCTGCAGTGTTAGGTAAAGAGATAAGAGATAAGGCAAGAGCTGCAGGTCTCCCAGTACTACAGTGTTCTGGCCTGGAACTCTGAGGAGCTCAAGAATTCTAAATTTGAACCAGGCCTTCTAAGCCCTTATACATTTATATTTGTCAAGGCATTCAGGTAGAGCATATTTTAAGAACAGTTTGATAGCTTGATTTATAACCTTACATATGGCATTTTGGCTCTATTTGTACTATTATCCTGGGAGCTTCAAGAGGCCTGAAGATTGTTTACACCAAACTAAGTAGTTTATATTACATCTTGAGGGCAATGTGGAATATTAAAAGATTTTAGTCAAACAAGTGTTATTGGTTTACTGATATTTCACAAGAACCCAGAAGGAAACCCATCACACTGCAGACACATAGTAAATATTTTTGAGTGAATGAATTACCATTTGAATTTTAGAAAGATCACTCTGGTGCAGTGTGGGGAATGTTTTGGAGAAGAACAGGATTGGAAATGAAGAGACTAGTTAGAAGGCTCTAGAAGTAACTCAAGATAAGAGGTGTTGATGTCCCTAACCCAGTTGTGGATATTAGGATGAATAGAATTGGAAAAACACACACACATCTACTGTTGTGTTTGTCACACTATGTTATAATATTTTTCCTATGGGCCCATCTCCCATAACAACTATGACATCCTTGAGAATAAGCCATTACTTCCTCACCACATTATTCTCAATGCCTAAAATTGGCATATGGTAGCCATTTGAAAAAGATTTATTGAATTAACTGATTAATGCGTGAAAGGATTATAATTTGTAATTCTCACAACGACCTTATGAGATTTCTTTATTTGGTTGAGAAAACTAAGTCTTGGAGAGATTAAATAACTTGGAATAAAATCTGAGCATCCACATTGTCCACAAAACCCAAAATGATCTGGCCTCTCCAACATCACCTATGCAACATTCACTCTCATTCACTCCATTCCAGCTACACTTGCTCATTTTTCCTTACCCAATGGCTATCTCACTTTTTTGGCACTTGTTTTATTTCCTCTGCTCTTTCCTTCAGCTCTTTGCTTTCCCTGGCCATTTTCACAACTTGGCTCAGATGTCACCTTTCCGGAAAGGTCTTCCCAGGCTACTCAGTATAAGACAGATCTTTCCAAACAAGAGTCAGAGTAAATCACACTCCATCCTATTACCTTATTTTACTTTCTTCATAGCTACTACACTATATGAAATGACCTTGCTTATGATGTATGATGTATTTATTGTTAGCCTTTCTTTCCCACAAGAAAATAATCTCTTTGAGGGCAGGACTTGCCTATCTCTTTAGGAACTGATACACCACCTGACACATAATAGACAATCGGTAGGTATTTAGCATCCATTAATGACTGGATGAATAAATGAATGAATGAATGATCTTGAGAACTTCATAAGGTATGGAGGCAAGATTTGAACACAGCATCATCTGATTACAGAGTCCTTGCTTCTGCCCATGCCTCTCATGCAGCTTCATGAAATCCCATAATCACAGGACCATCTGTCTTATTCACCACTATATTTCCAGCTCTAAATCAATGTGTGGCATATGATAGGTGCTTAATAAATATTTTGTGGATGAATTAAATATGAATTAACGTGACTGTTTTAAAGAACCTGCCTCATTACTTTATAATCACATGGTAAACAGGGTTACTATTACCTTGACCAGGACACCAGGAATATAGTGGGGTTTTATGACTGTTGACAAAATACACAAGACTATGATTCTAACTGTCCCAACACTGTCAAGCTGCGTTATCAGGAGACACATTAGAAACTCTTATAATTGTCCAGGCAAGAGATGATGAGAATCCGAACTAGGACTGTAGCACAGGGGATGACAAGGAGGAGCTACGGATTCAAGAAAGTGTTAGGAGTAAAACAGGCTGGGCTAGGGGATTTATTGAGTGTGGTGTGTGGGGGAAAAAAGTAGCCTTCAAGCTTCATACTGAGTGTGCAAGCCGGATTACAATGAGTTGATGGGTAGCTACATTCTGGAACATGGAATAAGTAAGGTGGGGTGGAGATTAGAATATAATTTGGGGATTCAAGGAAATGTCAACATCGAATGGGAGATAGTAGAGCATATTTGTAAATTTCTTAGAATCAGATGGGATTCAGAGCAAGAAGATACAAGAAAGAGAGATTGAATGATGGAGCAAGGCCCATAGATGCTTTGAAACTGTTTAATAGTCCCTGTGTGTACCTAAATGCATGTATGGTGTTTATCCAGGAGAAATGGTTTTTAAAATAAGGTTGCTCATTTCTTGCCTTTCCTAGGCTGCAAAGAACACACAACTAACAGGTGATATAGAATTTGAAGCTTAAAGACCAAGTCTACTCTAGGAGTTACTGTTCCAAATGCTTTTCTCAAGGAGATAAATTACCGAATTAGAAATAATGCAGGTTGGGCTCAGTGGCTCACGCCTATAATTCCAACACTTTGGGAGGCCAAGATGGAAGAATTTCCTGAGGCCAGGAGTTTAAGACCAGACTGGGCAACATAGTGAGACCCCATCTCTACACAAATAAAAATAAAAATAAATATTTACTGGGTATGATGGTGTACACCTGTAGTCCTAGCTACCAGAAAGGCTGAGACAGGAAGATTGCCTGAGCCCAGGAGTTCAAGGATGCAGTAAGCTAGGCGCAAATGCACTCCTGCCTGGGTGACAGAGCAAGACTCTGTCTTCAAAAGAAAAAAAAAAGGAAAAGAATAATGCCTTATTAAAGAGAAAGTACGGTTCTTTGAAAATTTTTTATTTCATTTTAAGAAGTTCTTGGCAGTATTAAAGTTTCTGATCTATCTTAGTCATACTAGGAACATGAATCACCACATACCTTCTTCTTGCGTGTGTGTGTGTGTCTGTGTGTTTGTATTTGTGTGTGTGTACAATCTTGAGAATCAGAACAACATTTTGGCCAAAGACTGACTGCATAAATGATGGTGGCCCCATAAGATTATAATGGAGTTGCAACATTCCTAGCACCTAGCGACACTGTAGCTTTAGTAAGATCGTAGCAGAAGGCATTACTCATGTGTTTGTGGTGATGCTCATGTAAACAAACTTACTGTGTTGCTAGTCATATAAAAGTAGAACACATACAGTTATGTATAGCATACAACACTTGATAAGGATAATAAACAACTATGTTGTTACTGGTTTATGTATTTGCTATACTGTAATTTTAATTATTATTTTAGAGTACCCTTCTTCTACTTACAAAAAAATTTAAAAAGTTAATTGTAAAACAGCCTCAGGCAAGTACTTCAGGAGATATTCTAGAAGAAGGCATTGTTATCATGGGAGATGACAGCTTCATGTATGTTAGCGCCCCTAGAGACAACCCAATGGAAAAAGATGTGAAAGTGGAAGACAGTGATGTTATTTTTAACCCTGATCCTGTGTGGGCCTATGCTAATGTGCGTGTTTGTGTCTTAGTTTTCTAACAACATCTTTTAGAAGTTAAAAAAATTTTAATACAAAGAAGCTTACAGAAAAAGGATATAAAAAGAAAATATTTTTGTACAACTACATCATATTTATGCTTTAAGTGTTATTACCAAGGAGTCAAAATTTTTTTTAAAAAATTTAAAGTTTATAAAGCAAAAAAGTCACAGTAATCTAAGGTTAATTTATTATTGAAAAAGAAAATTTAAAATATGGTACATATTTTACATGGAATATGGTACATATTGTACATGGAATACAATGCAGCCATAAAAGATAACAAGATCAAGTCCTTTGCAGGAGCGTGGTTGGAGTTGGAGGTCATTATCCTTAGCAAACTAATGCAGGAAGAGTAAACCACAAAGCACATGTCCTCACTTATAAGTGAGAGTTAAATGATGAGAACATACAGACACAAAGAGGGAACACTGGGGCCTACCTGAGGGAGGAGGATGGGAGGAGGAAGAGGAGCAGAGAAAATAAAATAACTATTGGGCACTAGGCTTAGTACCTCGGTGACTAAATAATCTGAAGAAAAGAAAAAAACCATGACACAAGTTTACCTATAAAACAAATCTGCACGTGTAGCCCTGAACCTAAAATAAAAGTTAAAAGAGAAAATTTAAAAATAAATTTTAGTATAGCCTAAGTGGACAGTGTTTATAAAGTCTGCAGTAGTATACAGTAATGTCCTAGATATTCACATTCACTCACTACTTATTCACTGACTCACCCAGGGCAACTTCCAGTCATGCAAACTCCATTCATGATAACTACCCTGTGTAAGTGTACCATTTTTGAATATTTTATACTGTATTGTAATTGAACCTTTCTATATTTAGATATGTTTAGATACACAAATACTTACCACGGTGTTACAATCGCCTGTAGTACTCAGCACAGTAACATACTATACAGGTTTGTAGCCTAGGAGCAATAAGTTATACCATGTAGCCTAGCTGTGTAGTAGGCTGTACTATCTAGGTTTGTGTAAGCACCCTCTAAGATGTTCACACAATGATGAAATCACCTAACAATGCATTTCTCAGAACGTGTCCCTGTTTTTAAGGAACGCATGACTATAGATAGATAGATAGATGATAGACTATGATAGAGATGATAGGTAGATAGATAGATGATAGATAGATAGATATATAGATAGATAGATAGAAAGTAGATAAATGAATGAACCTATCTGAAATAAAAAGACTGTAAATTAGTGTAGTTTATTAATTGGTTTACTCCTCTAGACACAGAACAGGGTAGGCAGGCACAGAAGCAGAGCCCCTCCAAGCCCAGCAGCGGTCTTTCCTGGGCACATGGCTAAGGCAGCTTGGAGCCACATCACATGCCTTTCTCCTGAACTTTCACAGGAGATTAGCTTTTGCTTCTTGGGTAACTGAATAAGTGGAAAGAAAAGATGTTTGTAACTAACACCAAAGAAAAGTCCATTTGTTCTCAAGACACTGAGTGTGTTGTTCAACCCAGTGAGTTCATGTATGCATTTTCTTGGACCCTGCAAGGGTCATAAAGGCAGCAGGGTGACAAGCCACTTGGTTCAAGTCATGCCCATTCAGGCTGCCCCCAGGGCAGTATTAACTTAGGCAGTTGCTTTTTTCCTTCTCTGGGTTTAAAAGAAAAAAGACTCAGAAGAATGTATATATGCATCTTGCTTCTTTGCTCACTTGCGCTCTCTCTCTCTCTCTCTCTCTCTCTGTCTCTCTCTCCTGCCACTGCCTTTGGGACAGTGATGACCTCAGCCTTCCTCATTCTCAATACTAACTTTTCTTTCTTATTTTGACGTTGGGGCCCAGGGGCAGTGCTGCTGGCAGAGATGAGCCCAGCTTGAAAACAGAGAGTCCTCCAGCCCCACCCTGGAGCTCAGCTCTCCCGATACCATGGGAAAATGGGGAGAGCAATAAGAGTCTCAAGGAGCCAAATCTAATCTACATACTCAGGATCAGGAATTCTAATCCTTGATTCAATCTGATTGCTGCTGAGGGTCAAAATTGTGTAAGTACTTTAAGGTGAGGCCCAGTTATGGGGAGTTCTTATCCTAATAAGGCCCCGAATCGCATACAACCAATTAGATGAGAAAAAAGAAATCTCTCTTAATCAGTCATGTGTGCAAAGATTAATGCCCAAGGATAAGTACTGCCATATTATTTATAGACTCCAAAACTGGAAACAATCCTAAATATCTACAATATGGAATTGATTAGATATATGTGTGGAACATACCTACAGTGAATTTATGCAATCATTTAAAATCATGTAGTATTGAATATTTAACAATATAGGAAAATTCTCAACATAAGAACATGTAGTGGCTAATCCCAAATTATAGAAAATATGCAATTGTTTGCAAAAGGAAAGAAAAAGGAATATGTGGTAGGAAGTTTTTTTCTACTTGATTTTAAAATTATTTTTTCAAATAGTCAACAATAAGCTTGTCTAATTTTTATAAGCAGAAAAATAATACTATGTAAAATAAATCAATCATTTCTGATTATGGTGGTTCATATGAAAAAGAACAAAGTTTAGGGGACTATTCTTGTCTAACTTCTTGGAAACCAAGTAAATCAAACAATCAGCAAGAATTTACTATGGGAAACTGAGACACTGACAAAAAATGATTTGTATAGATTTGCATGGCAAGAACAGAAGGCTCACTTTCTCTTCAAGTCAGGACCTACTTCTAGAAGAATGTCTGGCATTAGTATTTAATGCCCTAGTGTTACCAGAAGTCAATCTATTATGCTTTCTCTTTTTCTGGTATTTGCATTTAAGTCTTATCTCCAGTAAGATCCTAAAGGCTCTATCATTTGTTAAGAAACTTCAGACATTGGTAAGTATATGGAAGGTGTGTGTAACTGGTTTTATAATGACAGCATTAGATACAGATTCAGAATCCTGGGCCTTGAGCCACTGCTTTGCTAGCTTACTAAATTATCTGAACTTCAGTTGCTTCATCTGCAAGATGGGGATGATGATAACTACCTCAGCATGTGGTCCTGAAGATTTACTCATTTAATTAAAAAGTATTTACTGAGAAGCTACTTTGCACTGTGCTGGACACTTAGGGTGTAATAGTATCAATCCCTGTCCTAACACAATTTACAGTCTAGTAGGAGACATAGGCAGATACAAAGAAAATTACAAGAGTGTGGCAATTGCTATGATGGTGGCAATGCAGCACTGTAGGAATACATAAGAATGAGAACTAATCCGAAAGAAGTGGTGATATCTAAAACAAAAGACAGAGTATGGGCAGAACTTTTCTAGGCAAAGATGGGCAGAAGACAGTCCCAGGAGAATTGAAAAAATATATTCTAAGGCCTAGAAATAACAATGGATAAATAAATACGTAAATTTAATGGAAATTAAGTAGTTTTAAAGTGATTGAACACATTTATCCAAACTGTACTAGAACACATGTACCCAAACTGTACTACTTACTAAGGCCCAAATGTTATAAGACTTTGTATTAAGTTATAATATACTCAAAATTTTACTTGATGACATATAAAGATGCAAAATGTTCATTTGTCAAAATTTGCTAATAATGGGTAGTGGAAAGAGCCTATGAATACATTGAATAATGTATCCGAAGATATCTTGGTATTTCAGATTCTAAAAAAAAAAAATAAGCAACATCTTTTTAAGTTTCTTGTCATCCTGAGTCATTTTCCTTATTTTTCCTGCTTCCAAATGCCCAGAGTTAGATGATGCATGGGCCATGCCCATTTTACAGCATTGCTTTGTGGCCAGATACAACTGCACACATAAAAACACAAGGAAGACGTGGCATGGGGGCCATATTTTAGGCGTTTTGTGGCCAGGAAGCTCATTATAAAAGAACAGTGGGTTGTGACAATGGTGTGGTAGAAGGGTAATATATAGGAGTAAGAGTTCCCGGTCTCACTCTATTTTGAGGTAGTGGCACCACCCAGATATTGTATTCAGCTGTGGGTATCACACTTTAAGAGGGCTATTGAGGATCTGGAACCCGTTCACCGTCAGGATGTAGAGAAGACTTGACAGTCTCAGGAGTAATGATGGAAGTAAAAGGGCAGCTTATTTGGAGGAGATGAACATAACAAGACAGGATATCTGTCTTCAAATAGAAAAGCAACAGTCATATGAAAAGAAGCACATTTACTCTCTGTGGCTCTGAAGTGTCACAGAGAACCACAGGAGAAATACTAATGAAAAAATTTCAGCTCAGTTAAAAGGATCACTTTATAATCATGAAATCCGGCCAGAGATGGAATAAGTTATTTATAAAGGGTGAGCTCTCTATTACTGTGTAAGCAGATAATGGATAGCTTACTAAATTATCTGAACTTCAGTTGCTTCATCTGTAAGATGGGGATGATGATAACTATACCAAGATTCAATACTAACCTATAGGATATAGGTCTACCTATACTAAGATTCAATAAGATCTTAGCATCTTAGGTGATAATATAAAAAAAATTCTAGCATCATATGAATAATTAGACTATACAAACTCTAAGTTTTCTTCCCAATCAAAGATGCTGGTATATTTAGAGAAAATAATAATTACAATATCATTATTATCACAATATCATTATTTTCTCTGAATATGTCAGACAAATATACATTATATATTTGTATATTTTTATTATTTTAAAACATATTTTCTCTGAATATACCAGACAAATATATAATGTATATCATGTATATTTGTCTGGTATATTCAGAGAAAATAACAATAGCAATATCATTATTATTATCATCACCAAAAACAACAAAGATCAAAATCCATTTTACTCTCTGGAGAGAAACTGTCCAATAGAGTAGTCACTAGCCGCAAGTACTGTTGAGCACGTGAAATATACCTGATCTAATGTGAGCTATGCTGTATATGTAAACTACAGACCAGATTTAATAATTCTTTACGTAGATTACATGTTGAAATAATATTTGGAATGTATTTGAGTTAAATAAAATATACTATTAAAATTAATTTCACTTGTTTCTTTTTATTTGTTTAATGTGGTTACTAGAAACTTTAAAATTACATATGTGGCTGGCCAGAATGGAGACCATTATTCCCAGCTTGCCTCAAGTTAAAATCACTTCCCACATGCACAGTCTTGAGATAGAGCTTTTCTTAGGCTTCTCCACACTCCCTGGGGCAGGTTATGGGCCTACAGGAAAACCAGACCATGAAACCCGGTAGCCTGGGCCTTGCACCAAACCTGACTATAAACCATGTCGGGGAACAAACTGTGCTGAACTCAGAAACAAGCCCAAAGAGATCAAAAGGCTTCAATCTCTTAAAATACTCAGCTGAAATATGACCAAGAAATGCCTTCGGATTGGAATTGAACCTACCTACATATTTCCTAAAACTAGTGAACAACCGTGTCACACTGAGCCAACATTAATTGGATTTGGGAACTTGCTTGCAACCAAGTACAAAATATTTACCAATCCTGTGTATTTTGGCTTCTGGCATAGAGTCTGCTTTTATAGCAAAATGAGTAAAGTCAGCACTCTTTTCTACTAAGTAAGCATAAATGGTTGTTCACCGTTCACAAGTAGGCGGAACTGCCGTATCCACATTGAGACAACCTGAACAGATGGGGTGACCTTTTAACATGCTGTCAGACTGCGAGGCCAAAGACCTCGAGGTTGAAGAGTATGCCTCGGGAGTCAGAAGAACCTGTGTTTAAGCTGCTGTGTTTCCTGCTGACTGCTGTAGAACCCGATGCAAGTTATGTAATTCTTCTAAATCCTCAGTCTCTGCATCTATAAAGTAGACATAACACCCACTACTTCATAACTTCATATAGGTATTGCAAGGAGTTAATGATTATATGTGTGTATATATGACACTTAGTATTATGTCTTCTCATCACCCTCATTCTCATTCTCACCATTGTCCCCAATTAGACTATGAGCTCCTTAGGGTCAGGGCAGGCCTTCATTCAGTCATCATTCAACAACTGTCTATTGAGAGCTGGCTGTGTATCAGTTCTGTCCTGGGTGCTGGACATATGGAAGGGACAAGACTAGCAAAGTCTCTAAGTTGTCAGAGTTTATATTTTACTGGAAAATCATACATTAACTAGTTTGCAAATAAATACATAATTTCAGCAATAATAAGTGGTAAGAAGGAAGACAGAGCAGCATAAGGGAGCAGGGGAGGATGTGGAGGAGGATGAGGGATAGCTTCATCAGCAGCAAGCATGCCAGGGTGGCTCCTCTGCACAGGGATTTGAATGAAGTGAGGAAGAAAATATGGAGAAGGTCTGAAGGAAGCACGTTCCAGAAAAGGAAGGAGCAAGTACATAGGGGGAAAGAGCTTGGTGCTTTGAAGAATAGCAAGAATGAACAGAATTGGTGAAACAAACTGGGCAAAGTGGGAGATGTGATCAAACGGTTGGTTTTGGCAAGATGGAAATCACTGATGACCTTGATCAGAGCATTTCTAACAGAGTTTGCGATATAAATGTGACTGGTGTCAGCTAAAGGGAATATGGGAGGGAAGGAGTTAGAGACAGATATACCATATTATATAATACACTGTTTTGGAGAGCTTTGATGTAAGCAGAGGCAGAGAAATGGGTCAATAGCTAAAATGGGAGCTACTGAAGCGAGTTGTCTGTAATTGAGAATGATTCTGTAGAGAAGGAGAAACTGTCTCTGCAGGAGAGAGAGGGAATAACTTCAGGACAGCTACAGGAGCAAAGTCCTGGAGAAGATGAAAGAGGACAGGAGCCAGTTCATATGGAGAGAGCCTGGCTCCTGGTAGCAGCAGGACCTGTTTCTGCATCCAACAGAAAAACAGGCAGAATATGTGGGCTTGAATGCAGGCAAGGTTGCCAGTTAGTGGTGAGTAGATGAGAGAGGTTTGATGGCTTCCATTCTCTTAGGAGCTAAGGAGGGGCTAAGAGGGAGGAAGGGGTTGTGGAGGTCACAGTTGCCATCTTACCTCTTGCATTGAAAGTGGTGCCTATGCAAAGGCTCTCAGAAGTCTTGTTGACTATCCAAAAGAGTTTCAGCTATATGACCCACAGGAAGAGAAAACACGCACTTCCCTTCCAGCTTTCTTCCCACCTTTCCCCTGCCTTTTTATTCTCTCCTGCACCTGCTGAGCTTGGCTTATGCAGTTGTCATTTCAGCTCAGGTCAACAAGCACATAAGTGCTTGTTCCATGACATGCCTGTGCTGGGTATGGCCATATGGAGTTGAATCCATTGACATAGTTGATGCCTGCTGAGGCCACCCTCTTGTCTAGCTGTCTAAAAAGTAAGCAAAAGGTTACAATCCTGAAGATACATGCTTTGGTGAGAGTCCTAATGAGGGTGCCCTAGCCATTTGGATTATCACTGAAGAATTTTCCTGACCTGAGTCTCCATCCCTCTCCAAGTGTCTCTGCCCTTGTCTTCTCCAGCCATTGTCCTTCACTTTTAATGCCCTTCTCAGATCCCACCTCCCCAGTCAAAAGTGATCTCTCACCATCCTGAGTTTTTAAAGGACATGTCATGGTGCCTCATCCAGCTGCCCAATACCAAGTCCTTCCCTTAGGAGAGGTGTCACTGGTATCTGCAATTTGCCTCCAAGCCAGAACTGTGGATAGGAAGGTTCAGAGCTCTCCTTGCAGCTACCAACTCAGCAGAGTGTCAGGGCTGTGGGGGAAGGGTTACAGTGGGAGATGAGGGGAGGGGCCAGGGTTAGGATCCCATCCAGATTCTTCTTGTGCGGCTCTGTGGAGCTCTGCTGAGTGCTCAAGTTTCACTTAAGATGCTTGAATAAAGAACTGGAGCTGCTGTCCCGTGGGGAGGCCGTGGGCAAGGCAAACATGCTGTCTGGCACATTCACTTAAGGGAGAACAAGGGTGAGGGTTGTACGGCTGTTTTGCAGGATAAATCACCAAATCACTTGCTTGTTTTCAAGTAAGTAAAACAGGCCAGAGGTTTTGCAGAGGGTCCTGAAGCCCAGGGAGCATCATTAAAAGAGCTCTGGTATGTCTTTTGCTCAAGCCATGGCAAATACTTACTGTGTTCTCTTACGGCTATAATTTTTAAAACATGCTTGGAAAGGTCCACGCACATCCATACAATGCCATTGACAAGGGCGCATGGGTTCTTTCTGCCTCCTACCCCATGTAAGAAAGGCAGTTTAGCCTGAGCATGCTAGGGAAGATTATTTCCTCCCTTGTTCACCTTTTTCTCTCCTCCTTTGTCTTCTCCTACCTGACAAAAGAAATGCCTCAGAAGAAACCAACAGACTTGAAAGGTTAAGAATAAAAATAATATGGAAAATTTTTTTCTGAGTCAAGTTCATTTTGAGATTAGACTAAAGGTATAGACATTTGGTGTGCTGACTTTACTGGCATGATAGCCCAGGGCTGGGCGCCAAGGGTGAGCTCATGCAGTGATTTCTTTACCTACACAAGACTGCAGCTAAAAGCAAAATGCAATCCAAATCACGTCACTAAATAGGCTATGAGAGTGTGAGGCTGAGCCAGTCTTTCTTTAAAACTATAATTGCTTCTCCACCCCACACCCTTTCTCCTCATCCAAAGGCATAGGATAGGAATTTCCATGCCATTCCCGAAACATTTCAGATGAAAAAATATTTTAAGTGGTGGAACATGACAAAACTGTCTAATGGATATGAAGGTAAGTATGTAAATTATAAAATCCACTTCTATCTTGTTCTGAAACAACATAAAAATGATACGTTTCTTATCCAGATAGAAACTAAAAATCACTACTGCTGCAACATTCAAGTAATCTCCAATAAACACTTGGATCTCCCTGAACATGTACAAAGCCCATTTCAGGTGTACTAATTCCCAACCAGGATAGAAAATAGTAGATTATACTACCTGCTTCACATTGCAGTCTCCATACTGAAAGTTGACAAGTTTCTGTGATTTAAGTATCCAGAAAAATGGAAACATAAAGTGAAAGTCACATCTTTTTTCATATTCTTTTCTGCAGAAAGCCTTTGGTTGTCCTAAAATGTGCGACTTTGTTTCTCATTCTTCTCACAGCCACCTTTCTGTAGCTTGAATAAATGCTTTTGTTTTCTGAGACATATCCTGAGGGGCCTGGAAATATAAGAACCTAAGAATTTAATTTTGGGTACCTGGCATATAAGAGGTACTCCATAAATGACTGTTGGACAATGAATGTATGAATGCATGAATTGATCATCTTGGATATTTTACGATAATGACTACCTAAAATCATATAAAGGTTGCTCTCCCTGAGATAGAATACAAAATAAAAATAAAAAATAATATAAAGGTAGCATAGAAGTACCCATTCTTAGATGACAGATTAATTCTAGACCCTGAAGAGCAACATGGAAGTGTGTCCATGGTATGGGGAGCAACATAGAGGATGCCCTGCCATCTCACACACTCTCTTTTGGTGTCATTTTAAGAGTCTCAACACAGCTGCAACCATTGGCCTGACTTAACATGCCCAGTTTTCTGTCCTTAGGGGCCACATCTGAGGTCTGGTGGGAGTCAAACTTTCAGAAGAATTAAGTTTCCAATCAACATCTCAGTAGAAAAGCCTGGAGCTTCCCTTTCGTAGTCTCATGGTCTTCCCAAGTGTCTATGATAGTTTCCATTTTATCCACTGAGGCAGAGAGATGCTCGGCTGACTCTATCTCTGCCCAAGGGCTATGTCTTTCAGGAAGAAGGACAAGGCCTTGGCTAACCACCTCTGCCCTCGCCCTATAAGATCTTGATTCCCATTGGTAGAAGGAAATGCGACCATTTTCTCTGTTTAACACACTTGGGGCTCTTGGCTTGGTTACTGCACTGTCCATCCATGATGAACAAGAAAGGTCTCAGGAAGCCTGCTTAACAATGTTAATTCTGTGGATTCTCTCTTTCTCTTACCTTAATGATTCCTTGAGTGATTCCAAAGCTTCCTAGGTTGATTTTTTTAAAAAAACAAAAAGACTTATCTAGTCCAGTTGAAAAGCATAACCAATTCACTCATTGTCTCTTCCTCACATCTCCTCCATGAGCTGGGCTTGAGGAATTGGAGTGGAAAGCAAGCCTGCTTATTCCTGTTTTTTCCTACTCTGTCTCCTTAGAGATTGGGGGAAAGGGTAGTCAATATCTGGTTCCAGGACACCTTTCCTAGTTCTCTTTTCACGGCTTAAGGTGTATGGTGTTTGAGGCTGCTTGTGAGAGCAAGGAAAATGGAGCCCCTGGTGGTGGTCCCTGCCTGATGGATGAATTATTTCACTCATACTGACCATGTGGCTGGCATCCTCTGTGTGGCACAAACACTTACGCTTGGCCCCTGGAGGGTACATGTATCTAGTCCTTAAAGGGTCTGGTAGGTCTCCCCACACAGCCCAGTTTCCTCACACAATTCAGGTCTATGCATTGTTCTAATCAGGAAAGAGTCCCGTAGAGGCAGAAACTAGTTCTGAACACGTCACCATCGTGAGCTGTGGAATACAGTAGCTGAGGCAATTAGCACTGTAGTTAGAGACAGAGGTCCATTGCATTTTCACCACTTACTTAACAACTCTGAGCCTTACTTTTTCCATCTATAAATCGGGGAAAATTATGTTTATGGAGTTATAATGAGAAGGACCATAGGCTTGTGAAGTTTCACTACCTGGGTTCAAATCCCAGATCCAGCGGTTAGTTCCTACCTGTGTAATATTAGGTAGAGCTTACTTTTGAGACTGCTTTTTCATCTGTACCATGAAAATAGTATTTTTAACTCTCTTGTAAGGAAGACATAAGAATTAAATGAGTAACAATATGGAATGTTATCTGGAACAGTATGTGAGACAGGGCGTGTCTGTTATTGTTATTAAATATGCACGAAAAGTGCTTAGCTTGAAGCCTGGCTCCTGCTAGCTGTAATTACGGAGCTGAGAAGGGAATATCAAGTACTAGGCCCCTGTACTAAGGTTGGTATTAACATAGAATATGCCTCTCCTTACTCTCTTGCTTGGCTTTAAACATTTCCTTGGCCCTTGCCAATGCTCTTTCCACCATGTTCATGCCTCTTTGGATTTGTCAGCTTCCTCAGGTCTGCCTGAGAACTCAAGAGCCTGCACAAGCCCAAGCAGTGCTATTTCTGCCTTGGGAGCCAACCCCATCCACCTCCGGCTGAGTTACCAGAAATAATCCACTGTTTGCCCAGAGGGCAGACCTCTGTTTATCCCATAGTCAGACTCTAAAGGCTTCCACTCAGCAGATTTCCTCTCTGTCTGAGAGCTCAGGCCCAGTCAGTCACTGGTATTTCTGCAACATCCCCCATGTGGGATCAGACACATATCTTAGGCAACTGATTTGTCAGCAACCAGCCTTGTACTTTGAGTTGTTTTTCTAGTGTGGATATAAATTAATACCTCTTCACCCACATTCTCAGATTCAGACTTCCTTATGACCAAGAGGCCTAATAGCCTCTTCATTGTCTGAACCATGCCTGCCAGTCCCGCCTTATCTCCCCTGAACTCCAGTCAAAACAAATGACAGATACAGAAGGCACCATACTCCCCATACCTCCAGGGCTTCACAAATGCTTCCCCTCCCTCTGCACAGAACCTCCCTCCCTGCCATTACTTCCACCCCTGATGAGCTTCTATTTATCTTTCGGAATCCAGTTGAGCTTGTACTCAGTCTTTTAGAACTTACCCTCCCTGGGACCACTTCAGAGTGTTGCCTTTTATTGCTTTCCCAGTTGGGTAAGGCACTCTTCTTGACTCTCCCCTACATTGTGGCTTACGCCTATTACTATGTTATGTTTAAGTTATATTTTGTTTTTCCCACAAGACTGTGAATTCTTTACAGGCAGTTATTTATGTTGTGTAACTCTGTATCCCTACTACAGAGTCTGTAGCAATACACTTGTATAGAGTTGGTATTAAACAAAAAAATTGAACCCTGAATGAATTTTCAAGATGGCTGCCTAGGGTAGCTCTGTTGACTTGTAGCTCAAAGAACAAAAAATACAATAAAAAAAGAAACTGACCTCCACCATAGAACTCACTAATGTACACTGGATACCCAGGGAAAACAAAGTGAGCTTTCCAGCCATAGAGATGGCTCTGTGAAGAGATACACAAACCATCATGTCATGTCATTCTTTCTTCTTTCTTGATGTTTCAGGATTCCTTCTTTTATCATTTCTATTCTGTGTATATAACTTTCTTTAGCCATTCTTTTAGGGTATGTCTGCTTGTGATAAATTCTATTTGTTTTCCTTCATCTGAGAATGCCTTGATTTCTTCTTCATTTCTGAAGGATGTTTTCCCTAGATATAGAATTCTGTTTTAAAATTTTTCTTTTGGCACTTAAAAAAAGTTGTATCACTTTCTTTTCAACTTCATGATTTCTGAAGAGAAATTCTCTGGCATTTTAATTGTTTTTCCCCTGTAGGCAATGTCTCATTTTTCTCTGGTTGCTTTCAAGATGTTTTCTTTGTATTTAGTTTTCAGAAGTTTGACTATGATGTGTCTTGGCATGGATACCTTTGGGTTTATCTTGTTTGGATTTCACTCAGCTTCTTGAATCTGTAGGATTAGGAATATATTTTTCCTAAATTTGAGGAAATTTCGGTCATTATGTCTTTGACATTTTTTTCAGCCTTACATTCTTTCTCTCTTCTTCTGAGACTTCAAGGATATCCATGTTAGATATTCAGTTATAGCCTTTATGTCCCTGGGGCTCTATTTGTTTTTGTGTAATTTATTTTTCCTATTGTTCAGATTGAGTAATTAATGCCATTGTTCTATCCAAAAATTCACTGATTCATCTTTCTGCCCTTTTAATTCTACTGTTAAACCCATTCACTGAGGGTTTTTTTTTTTTTTCAGTTTTAAAATTTTTTAGTTCTAAAATTTCTACTTGATTCTTCTTTATGTCTTTTATATAATTGCTTTTACTTCTTTTTCTTTATTTTATGCATGTTTGTAACTGGTCTTTCAAGAATTTTATGATAGTTGTTTTAAAATCCTTGTCAAATAATTCCACATCTGTGTCTTCTTGGTGTTTGCATCTGTTGATTGTCTTTTTTTATTCAAGGTGTAGTTTTCCTGGTTCTTGGTATAGTAAGTGATTTTTTCAGTTAAAATCTGGACCTTTTGGGTGCTATGTCATAAGACTGCATCTTTTTTTTCGTCTTCTGATTTAACAGGCTTCCTCAGACACAGTGCTGGTGAAGTAAGCAGTTCAAATACAGCACAAAAGTAAATTTACAGCTTTGAGCGCTTAACTAGAATAAAATATCTAAAATCAATAAACAAAATTTTTGCCTTAGGAAGTTAGGAAAAGGAGAGAAAATAAATAGAAGAAAATAAATATTAAAGATAAGAACAGAAAACAAACACTATAGAAAATTAACAAAGTCAAAAGCTATTCTTTAAAAAAATCAATAAAACTCTCAAACACCTAGGTAGACAAGAAAGAAGAGAAAGAAAGAAAGAGACAGAGAGAAAGGAAGGAAGGAAGGAAAATGGAATCATCATTACCAATCTGACAGATATTAGAAGAATAATAAGAGAATACTGTAAACAGTATTAGGCCAAAAAGATGACAATTTAGACAAAACAGGTAAATTTCTTTGAAAACATAATTTATCTAAACTGACAACTAAAAGAAAAAATCTGAATAGTGATATATCTATTAAAGAAATTGAATTCATCAAAAATATTCCAAAATAAAATTTCTGGTTCCAGACAGTTTCATTAGTAAATTAATTATATTAAAATATAAGAAATAAATAACACCAATACTACTGAAACTTTTTCAGGAAATAAAGGATAAGAAAACATCATTCAAATTATTTTATGAGGCCAGTATAATTCTAACATTAAAAACTGACAAATACATTACCCCAAAAAAGGAAATTTAAAATCAAAATTCCTCATGAATATAAGCAAAAAATTATTAACAAAATAATAGAAAATCAAATCCAACAATTTATAAGAAAGTCAATATATCATGACCAAGTTTATTTTAATAAAGCACTAGCTTAATACTCAAAGAGAATTTATTCAATATAATTCACTATAGTAACAGAATGTAAGACAAAACTCATGCAATCTTTTCAATAGTTGTTAAAAAAGCAATTGACAAAAATGTAATATCAAATCATAATAATAAAAAAACTTAGTGAACAGAATATCAAGAAATTTCCTCAAACTGACAAAGATATCTACAAATTACTTATAGTTAACATCATATATAATGACAACTGAATACTTTCCACCTATACTTGAGAATAAGGCAAAGGTCTATGCTTTCACAATTTCTATTCAATATTGTCTTGGTGATCCTAGCCACTGCAATAATAAAAGAAAAGTAAATAAAAAGAAAAGTAAATAAAAACTCTCTACAATACAGTAATTAGTACACAAACTACCTGATCTGAAAAAAGGAAAAAGATTTGCATAGACATCCAAAGAAAATACATGAACAGCAAATCTACACAGTAAAACAGGCTCAGTATAGCGAAGTTCAGACCTGGGCTTCAGTCCTGAATGAAATTCCTCACAAATAAATTATCAATATTAATAGAACCTACTTCTTAAGATTTGGTGAAGGACTAAATTTAGAGTTTGAATGATACGAAGTGCTCAGAAAATGCCTATCCTATAGTAAGTTGGTTATAGTTATTGTAATTATATGGACGTCCTTGCCTGGAGATTTCACCTGGGAGAACTTCTGACAATAGTGCCTTTCCTATGGTGACACATATTGTACTTTCTAACCTATCCTAGGCGATGGGTTGGAATTGGGGGTGAGGGGGCTTCACCAGCTTGAGTCTTGACATGCTATTTTGAGCATTAAATGAAATAATCCTTGTAAAGTGCTTAGCTGTGTGCTTGGCACTCAGGCCATACTCAATAAATGTTAATTAGTGCAGATTTTCTTCCAGATGCCTAGCACAGGACAGGGTTTATAGATTGTGCTGTAAAATTATTCCTGAATAAATATATGGTATTTAAACTTAAACGTCAATGCACAAGAGAGGGTGTCTCTGGCTCTCTTGCTACAGCAACTAGTAGGACCCCCAACAGCACCCCCACCAATTCACTAGATGCTTAATAGATATTTTTTAGTTTCCTCTGAAGAGGAATAAGAAGAGAATATTAGTCGATTGTAGCCACTTGGCTGCAAATTTTCCACAGGAGCTGAGGTTAGAGGTTTAGTGGCAGTAACACTAAATGTTTCAAGCTTTCTTAGAAAACCACAATTACATTGATTACCCACTGTCAGTGGAACATTCACTGGAAGTCACACCCCTGCGAGGGACTGAGTGGTGATGAGCTTTCTTTAATCTGTCCAAAAAGTTTCCCTAGGTTTCTCTCATCAGAAACTGGCAATTGAGAAAGTGCAGCCCAGGGTTAGGGGGCTGTCTGTGGCTACAGAATGCAGTGAAGCTAAGAGGCCCATAAGGGGATTAAATCTATGACCTGCTCCTCATTAGCACAATGTTCTAGCTGAATGGGAAATAATGCAGACTCCTTGAGTGTTAGCAAATACTGACCTACTTAGATATGAGGATAAAAGCACACATTTTCCCTTGGACATCAGCACAATCTGTCTCTGGGAACTGAAAGGACAGAGAAAGCCCTTTTACAGGGAATTTCTGGGTCAATAACTCTCATCTCATGCTCCTACAGTAATTACTGGATTATGTTCCCCAATTATTCTCCTATCCAATAACTGCCTCTCTGCCTACCCACCCATGTTCCAACAAGTATTAGACAATGTGTCAGGCCATCTGAGTCTCCTATGACATCAGTCATCTTCATACAACTAGATCCCCCTGCCTAGAACATTTCCATCTCCCACCCACCCCACCATCCCCACCACCTTCACCAACACAACCTCTGCTCCTGGCCTCCACTCATCTGGCCAGCATGTGCTCATTTCTCCTGTCCCAGCAAGCTGTCCTGGAAGTCTTCAGGAATTCTGATGCCTGGATACAGATCCATCCATGTACACCTCTGCACACAGTACTCTCCCATCACAGTACTTACTGCATTGTACTTCCACGGTCTATGTTCTCTCTCCCCAATCCCCAGCACTGTAAGTGCCTAACGCAAGGACTATGTCTGGTGAAGAGGTGAATCCTATCTACTCTGTGCCTGGCCTAAAGTAGGAATTCAATAAATACTTGTTGAATGAATGGATGATGAAAGGAAATCCCAATTTTCCTTTTATATATTAAACTTCCTAAGTGATGCTAAATACGATCTGAAAATATTAAATAGTACTTACATTCAACCATCCTTAAGGGCACCCTTAAGTCTTGACATTTGCTGAAGTAGGATGAAAAAGTGTTTTAGAATCACACAGGTATGAATTTAAATTCCTAGGTGATCATTAACTACCTGTGTTTCAACTTTTCTAAATGAGAATAATAATACCTCCCTCGCAGAGTTACTTAGAAAGTAGAATAAGATAAAATACGTGAAGTTCCTGCTACTCAAAAACATTAGTATGTTATCTCTTTCTATTCTCTAATTAATGAGCTTTCTCCTGAATTTCTGTCTGCCCTATTCATTGTACACTAAATACTATATTTTAATACACACACACACACACACACACACTCTTTCAAGTTAATATATATTTACATATATACACATATGCTCTTTCCATTAACTTGTAAAATATATGTATGTGTGTATATGTGAATGTGTGTGGTGTTGTGTAGACATATATATAGATATATTTGCTTTTGTATACTTTTTTCAATTAACTTGGAAGAGTGTATGTATATGTGTGTGTGGTGTGTGCTTGTGTGTGTGTGTGTGTGTGTGTGTGTGTGTGTGGTATGTTCCTCTAGCATATCTGTTTATATATTAAACTTTATAATAGACTTTCCAGGCTTATTGTGAGAGCATTCGGGAGATAATGTAGAAAAGCACATGAGCTCCCTGTACATAGTAGGCAATAAATTCATATGTTTTCCTTCCTTCTTTCCTTTCTTTTTTTCTTCCTTCCTTGTTTTTTTATTCCTCTTAGCAGACATAGTCTCTAAATATTGATTGATTTATTAAGAGATTATATCCTTTATTCAAATTATATCCCAGTTTACCTGGCACAGAGAGGGCACCTGTCTTGGTCCATTTGGGCTGCTTTAACAAAATACCATCAACTATGTGGCTTAGAAACAACAGGAATTTATTTCTCACAGTTCTGGATGCTAGAAGTCTGAAATCAGGGTGCCAATGAGGTTGAGTTCTGATGAGGGTTGTCTTCCAGATTTGACTGCCTATTTCTTGCTGTGTCCTCACATGGTGGAGATAGTGAAGGGTCTCATTCTGGCTCTTTCATAAAGACACTCACGCCGTTCATGAGGGCTTTGCCTCCATGACCTAACAACCTCCCAAAGCTCCCACCTCCTAATACTACTATCATGAGGGTTAGGATTTCAACGTATAAATTTTGGTGGGACACAAACATTCAGACCATATCAACAGTCAGCACATAACTTATCAAATGTTTGTAGAGTAAAAACAAATAATAAAGTATTATTTTCAGCGTATCATTATTATGGATATCCACTACATTTTTAAGGATCAAAACAGCTTCTGAACAATGTGAATTCTCCTACAGTCTTTAGTCAACAATAACCACAAATATTTCCCTTCTTTAAGGAGATTTGAGGATGAGGTCCTCACATTACCTTCTCAATGAATATTGAGTGGAGCAAAGGAGGTCTTCTTTACAAGATAAACCTTATTTTGGAAATAATATTCTTACAAGAACAACATTTTTGTATCTGGAGAAGAAGCTTTGGTAATAAGATACAAGGTATGTTCAGATAATCAGATAATCTCTGAGGTCTTTTTTAGGGAAAGATGGGTCTTTGCTAAGAATAACACTATCCTGATGACAATGCAGCTTCTAAAAGGTGAGTTTAAGCTTGAGGGTGTTCCACATTGATTTTGTAAACACTGATAGAAGCATTCATATTCTGAACAAATAAATTACATTTATACAGAATAAAGAGGGACTGATAAAATCAAATCACAAAACCCAGTTGTCTTTTTTGGAGGGATGGGTGGGGGGAATAAGCATATACATTACAGAGAAGTATGATGTGGGGCTAGGAAGGAAGGAATAAAGTAAGGATGGTAAAACATTTTGACCTTGGGAATTCCTTCAAATTAATTGGTATTTTTATCAAACTAATATCTGCACATAAGAGCAAAATTTTAAAAATACTCAAAGACATAATAAAAGATAGCATAATAATAAAATAATTCATAATAAACACAATAAACATAATAAAAAAGAGCTCTAGCCCTCTTCACCTTCAAGAGGCAATCACTTTCACCTTTTCCAGCTTTTTTTAAACCTGGTATTGACCCTCACATTTCTAAGCAATATGCTTAAATGGCTGCATTTTTACTTCCACCAAATTCTTCTTTTAAAAAAAAAAACTGTATATTTCTAATAGAAAATAAATGCAGATGTACAAAATCTAGAGCAAAAGTTTGGAAATGAACTAAACATTTAGTCTAGTTCGACTAGTTAAACAAACTCTATGACTAGTTCGTTTCCATCTTTTGCTCTCACAAAAACACATTGCAATCAATATTCTTATGTATATATTACTGCACATATATTCAAATATATCAGTAGGATATATTTTTGAAAATAGAATTTGTGTCAAATATCATGTGCATTTTATATTTAATAATTGCTGTCAAATTGTCATCCACTGAGGTTATATCAATTACAATTCCATTAGAAATATTAGAACAATTTTTTCTCTACAATCTTGTCTACAGATTGTTATCACATTTTTTGATAATGGTCAATTGTCAAAGTGTTATCTTGGGTTTAATTTATATTTCTCCTACTATCTGAAAAGTTTAGCATACTTTCATATGCTTAGAAATCATTTATAGTTATTTTTGAACTATTTATTCATAAATTTGATTCTTTATGAGGATTTTTAGCTTTCCTTAAGGGAAAGAGAAATTTACACATCAGGAGAGTATCACTTTGTGATAAAAATTACAGTTTTTTTTTCTTTTTTAAGTTTTTATGTTTTTCATCTAAAAATGTTTTTAATGTAAACTTGTCATCCCTTTCTTCTAAAACTTCTACATTTTGATTCTGCTATGTATTAACTTACCAATTTTGACATTTTTTTTTTCTGACACATGGTCTCACTCCATTGCCCAGGCTAAAGTGCAGTGGCATGGATCACAGCTCACTGCAGATTGCAACCTCAAGCTCCTGGGCTCAAGTAATCGTCCTAAAACTATGGATAATTGAAGGACCAATGAAATAGAGAATGTGGCGTTTGTTGAGAAGTGAAATATGAAAGTGTCAGTAATTTCATAAAATCCATACAGCACAAGTGACATATGCTTAAGATGAGCCCTCATGACTTACTTATTGCTTACTTTTTTTAGTCTCTTTCCTAGATTAGTAAATAAAGAAAATGATTCTCACTTTCAAGATTAGCAGGAGATTTAGAACTAATGTGTATTAGTTTCTTCACCCAAAGGAGGCACTGAAAAATAATAGCTAATTCTTTTTGAATATTGGTAATGTTCTCTGAAAACACTCAGCTCGTTGCACACACTGAAGCAAGTCACAATTACTGCTAAATTATAACAATCAATGAGAAGTCTAACATGTTGCCCATGTTTCTCACACCACCATATTTTTTCCTTATTATCTCTCAGATGTTTTAACTCCCATGTTTTGATTTTATCTGTCATTTTTTTCTTGCATGCCTCTACTTTGGAGTACGTTTCTCCTTACTTTGAGTTGCTATTTCTCTGAGGGGCACCCCACTTGCCTCTACTTTTATATGTCATCCAGAAAAAATAGCTCACTGATAACAGTTATATTTTGGGTTTAAAAATAATCTTAAAATATAGAAGCTTTGCTCCCAAAGCCAGGACTGTTGGGAAAATTTCCTTTATAGTGTTCCTTTGGTGGGCATAGTCTGTCTTGAAATTCTGAAGGATACATAAATCCCTTTAGGCTTAAAGGAAATGGCTGGTCCTTAAATTCTTAATTAACCCTAAAAGGATCAATTTAATGTGGAGAAAACATCACACATTTCTCCAGGCATGCTTTTGCAGAGGCATTGGCAGCCCTAGAGGTTGTCCAATGACATAATCTCATATATGTCCAAGCAATACTTCTACACATGAATGTGGCAAAGAGGATTTTTCTTTCAGAATAAAATACAGTATAAATGTTATCCTTTATTCACTAAAACCAATATTTGCAAAGGAGTTGAAGACTTTATTTCTAAGCTTCCAAAATATTTAGATACAATGGTGAAATCTACTTAGACAATGACTGGTTCACTAAGCTAGTTTTTCTCTTCTCTACTTTGTAAAATTATCATATTTTAAGGTCTTTCTTATAAAGTAACTTTGCCAATTAACCCCAGGGAATTACACATTCCCACCTATGTTATCAGAGAACTTTTTTTCTCTGCTGTGGTATCTATGTTCATAGAGGTTTGCATAGTAACTCAGAGGAAGTGTGTGTGGTCCCTGTATAGTCTTTTCATGATGTACCAGAATCTTGGCTCATCCATCTACCAGTCAGAGACAGGTTTACTATGAAGCTAGCAAATCTCAGCCCTCATGTTCCACACACTTGCATAGGTCCCATTCAAGATGCTGAGAGGAGCTCTAGCAAAGTGTTCAGATAGCATTTGTTTTGTAAAATTTGCAAAGCTAAAATAGTCTAGTCAAAATTGACTAAAACCACTGCCTCTTATCAATCCCGTGTGCTCTCCTACACTTTCCCTATTATTAAGACGCATTAGAGTAGTCAACAGCATTTTTAATATCCAGAATAGAGGAAGTTGAGTTAGTCATATATTTACTTCCGTGTTTATGTAATTCACAGTCACTTTTATGTACAGTTATTTCTGGCTGTCCCAAGTTGTCTTCTAACAACCCTCTTAGAACCTGCTGTGCCAACTCATCTATCATGATGCAAAGGTGCAACATAAAATATATCCTGCAGTGCCTGGCATTAAAAATATGTGTAGAGTGAAGGAGAAATAGTTGGAAATATGTGGAACAGAATCTAGTCTGTGGAAAATTCTTCCATTAATCAGATATGAAAAATCATAAGCAGAAGGTCTGATTCTCATCAATACCTGGTCAAAATGGAAACTCTCTCCTGTCAGGAATATAGACAATAATGCAGCATATAAAAAGATAAATACACCTTACATTTTTTCATTTCGATGGAACTTGAGAAAATAAAACTAATCAGAATTCTTATTATCAGAATTCCTTGTAGAACACAGATCTATAGCAGTATTGTAATAGCAAGTATATGTGTATGTGACATCACATTAGTGTTGATGAAAAAAGCCAGACTCTGTAAAATATTTATTCTGAGCCAAATATGAACGATGACAGCTCAGAGTACTGTCTCAAGAGGTCCTGAGAACTTGTGCCCAAGGTGGTCAGGTTACAGCTTGGTTTTATATATTTTAGGGAGACAGAATGTATTAGTCCGTCTTCACACTGCCAATAAAGACATACCTGAGACTGGGTAATTTACAAAAGAAAGAAGTTTATTGGACTTACAGTTCCACATGGCTGGGGAGGCCTCACAATCATGGTGGAAGCCAAGGAGGAGCAAGTCACATCTTATGTGATGGCAGTAGGCAAAGAGAGAGCTTGTGCAGAGAAACTCCTGTTTTTAAAACCATCAGATCTCATGAGACCCATTCACTATCAGGAGAACAGCAGGGGAAAGACTTGCCCCCACAATTCAATCATCTCCCACGGAGTCCCTCCCATAACACATGGGAATTATGGCAGCCACGAGATGAGATTTTGGTGAGAACACAGAGCCAACCCATATCATAGAAGTTACAGGCAAAAATAAATCAATACATATAAAGTATACATACATTGGTTCAGCCTGGAAATGCAACATCTCAAAGCAGGGGGCTTTACAGATCATAGGTGTATTCAGTGGTATTCTAATTGGCAATTGGTTAAAACTCTTTGCCTAAAGAGTTGAAGTCAGCAAAAAGAAATGCTGGAGTTAAAATAAGGGGGATTGTAGAAGCCAAATTTCTCACTAGGCAGATACAGCCTCTAAGCAGGAGGCTTCAGAGATAATAGATGATAAATGATAAATGACTCTTTTTGGACTTTAACGGGTGTCAGACTCTTAGTGAAATCCTGCCTAGATCAGGAAAAGACCTAGAAAGCGAAGGAGATTCTCTGCAGAATGCAAATTTCCACTACAAGACATCGCTTTGCAGGGCCATTTCAAAACATGTCAAAGAAATATATTTTGGGGTAAAATATCTTGATTTTTTTTCTGGGTCTGCTATCTGTCATGTGATGCCATACCGGAGTCAGGTTGGAATTTGGTATCTTATTGCTACAAAGAGTCTGTTTTGTCAGTCTTATGATCTCTACTTTTATGTTAATGCTGTTTGCTGTGCCCAGACTCCAAAGAAAGGGGGCATAATGAGATGTGTCCAACCTCCCTTCCAGTCAGGCCAGAACTGATTTTTCAGGTTTCTTTGGGATCTCCTTAGCCAAAGTAGCATTCTAATTTTAATTAGAATTGAATTCTAAATTTAAAAAAATTGCTAATGTAAACCAAAAATAAAATTCTAAGTTCCTCAATTGACTGAACAAACCCCAAGGTTTAAAACAAATTTAAATGTTTTTTTTAATTTTAATAAGTGTGTACAGGAGAGACTAAATTATCTTTGTATAGAGATATATATCTTTGTATAGAAAGATATAGAAATAACATTAAAAGATGTGTCATAGGAAAAGGCAATGAATGTACATGAAGTCAAGAACCGTAAAAATAAATTATTATAAAGGACATGTCAGTTTATTAACAAAAACATTATGCTGCTTTTCAAGATTTTGTGATGTTAATGGTATTTGTCAGCTTTTTAAAGTTAATAATTTGTTGTGATCTATTTTCAACGTCAATAAATATTCGCACCCATTTCTAAATGTATTATTTATACTTTTATCTTTTTTCCTAAAATGCATACCTCAAATTCTATAAGCTTCAGGTTCCCCAAGACCTGGGTCCACCCCTGCCCCCTTCAGATGATGTCTCCTGCCATTCTGGTGCTGTGGGCTGCGTGGGTGCATGTACCAGTTCCTCCTGGCCCTTTTACCCCTCCACCCTGTCTAGTCTCGCTACAGTCTCCGAGGGGCTGCTACATATCCCCTTGGGAAGCCCTGGTCTCCTCTACTTTCCAATATTCATTCTAACCTGAGTTTTACTATTGTCACTCCCATCTTTCCTCATACCTAATGGTATCGCTTCCTTTCCTACACCTTCTCTCTCAGCCTAGGGAATCTTACTGCAAGTCAAAGGCAGGAAAACTGGCTCTCAGATTGCACAGCATTCTTCCCCAAACTATTGTTTGTGGCATACACATAAGCCCTTTCTTTCAACCTCCTCAACAAAACTCTATTTTGAATTCAAAAGCTAAGAATTGACTCCCTTGTTCTCTGGAGTTCTGCCACAGCCCTCTTTCCACAAATGCCTGAAATGGGGATTTCCCAATCAGGATGGTCAGGGAGGACAAAAGGAATCATCAGAAGAAAACCTCATCATTTAATATCAATAGATTTCCAAATACCTGAATGTTTGAAATTATGTGAATGAAACTTCTATGTGATTGATGAAACCGTTTATCTTTTAAATCAAGATGCTTAACCATCTACATAGATACATTTACAGAAATATAAAGAAGTTGGGCAAGTTACCAAAGAAAATTTCTAATAATTCTGATATTTCTGAATTAACCATGACATCCTAAGACTGATAAATGTAGCAGAATATTGTGTAATACCCTCCTTGCTTTTTCTTGAATATACTTATCTAAGCTCAAAAATTTTCAAATCTGTTCTTAGATGCTGGATTTATTTATTTTTATTTTTTGTGTGTGATTCTGGTTGTAAAAAGAATTCACATTCATGGTTGTAGTTTTAGAACAAAAGAGAACAAATAAGTACATGTGATAAGCACAAGCCTTGAGAGTCACTTGTGTGTGTAGGTCTGTATGAAATTGAAATTATGCCCTATTTATTGTATTGGCATATAAATGTTTTTTACTACATAATATTAATCAAGTAGAAGTATTATATAATAATTAACCAATTCTATCGTTTTAATATTGTTTAATTTATGACTGCTCACTTTTAAATAACACTATTATGAACTTTCTAATTTATAATTCTTTGTGTGCATTTATAATCATTTCTTTAGAATATATTCCTTGGTGATAAATTATAGTGTCAAAAGAAATAACATTTTAAGACTTTTATTATATATTTCCAAATTAGCCTCCAAATGTTATCAATTTTCAATGTGATGATGAATATGTAAGAGTATCTCTTCTCACACACTTTTAACATTAGTTATTAATACTGTCCAGATCTTTATCAGTTTGATAGATGGAAAAATAGAAAATAGTGTATCATATTTATCCTATTTGAATATCTTTGATTACTCATGCACCACATATGTAACAGTTTTCCCAAGGATAATTCTAAAAGGAAATCCACTCCATGAAGCATAAATGAATAATAGATTATGGTTCTATGTGTTACTGAGTCTTTCCATTGAGTTTTGTATTTATATGGCTAATTATTTTACATGTATTTAAGTTTTTATTTATGTAGCTAGTTATTTAAAATGTGTTTGTTTCGAGTTATTTTAAAAGATTTTTACCAGATGTTTGAGAAAGAAGATATGAACCATTATCGAACTTGGAGAGCAAAGATAGCTAATGCAACAGTGATAAAAGAAAAACTTCAGCCAAATTAAATTTAAAATAGTTTAATTGAGCAATGAACAATTCATGAATTCGGCAGCCCTCAGAATCACAGCAGATTCACAGAGATTCCAGGGGTGCCTTGTGGTCAGAACAAATTTATAGACAAAAAAGGTAAAATGACATACAGGAATCGGAAGTGAGGGACAGAAACAGTAAGATAGGTTACAACTCGGCATTTGCCCTATTTGAACACAGTTTGAACATTCAGCAGTCTATCAGTGGTTGAAGTATGGCCACTGGGATTGGCCAACACTCAGTCATTGTTACAGGTGCATACTATTAAGTTAGGTTTTCAATTTTATCTGACTATTAAGTTAGGTTACAGTTCATCCACAAAGACTCAAATATGGAAGTATGGGGTCCTTCTCAGACCATATTTAGTTTGCTTTAACAATTCCCTCCTTTTGTCATTTTCTCGGTTTTGAGAGATTGACCAAAATCTTGGCCATTGATGTTACTATCACTATCGTAAATGTACTTAAATGGTTTTGAAATCCACTGGGAAACAGTAGAACAGTGGGTTTTGAAAGAAGGGAATAAGGACTGAGTAGAGGGTACCTCCTTATGCTGGAACATCCTGTTTACAGGAGAAAAACAAAACCTGGTCTGTTCTAGAATCTATGTGTTTTCTTAAAGCCTTAGTTTGATTATGTCACATTTAGCATGAGTGACTCCATTTTAGTTTGGTTTGGTTTGTTGGGGTCTAGTGTATGAGCTCAGTCCAAAATAATGGTCTCCCATAATTTTGTTTACAAAAAAAAATCCCCGACCTGGCACGGTAGCTCAAGCCTGTAATCCCAACACTTTGGGAGGCCGAGGAGGGTGGATCACCTGAGGTCGGGAGTTCGAGACCAGCCTGACCAACATGGAGAAACCCTGTCTCTATCAAAAATACAAATTTAGCCAGTCATGGTGGTGGATGCCTGTAATCCCAGATACTCAGGAGGCTGAGGTAAGAGATTTGCTTGAGCCTGGAGGCAGAGGTTGTGGTGAGCGGAGGTTGTGCCATTGCACTCCCGCCTGGGCAACAAGAGTGAAACTCTGTCCAAAAAAAAAAAAAAACCCTTTTGGCCTTGGCCAAGTTCTCACGTAGGTGAGAGTGTGACCAAAACTTAGGGCCTTAGCGCCACTCTCAGTTACCATCATTTTGGGTTTCTGGTCTAAGCATGTGATTCATAGGTTATGGTGTCCTCATGGTCACACATTTCTTTCAGCTTTTGTCATTCCAGTTGAAAAGAAACCATTTGACATTCTAGAGATGGCTGCTTGCAAACATTTAAAACCTTTGAGAGAGTACAGTGCCCCAGAGAGACTATTATTATAACTATTGGGAGGATAATGCAAGAGTTCGGAGTATGCTCCTTACCAAGGGTCCCCATAAACCAAACCACATAAAATTAAATAGATTAAAGAATGAGCTAGATGAAGAGTCTACTCGCTTGACTAAGTGGTCTTTTCATTAATCCTCCGCAACTGAAATTGTATAATTTACATTTGATGTACTTCTCCATAGGCCACAACTGTCAGTAGCTGTGCAAGTACTTTTATGTTTAGCCAATTCTATTATTTAGCATATCTTTCACAAGAGAATTTAAAGTCTGTTGTCTGTGTATTGATGTATTGATGTGTAAATTCTACTAGAGCTTATTGTGAGGGTGACATTTCTAATTATTGCCTATTTTATTCTAAACCATGAAAAAAGGACCTAACAAATGATGTCCTTCTAGAAGAGTGAAGGTCTCCTGGCAAGGTTCTCTCTAATCCATGATGTGGGTTAAGAGGTGTTTTGACTGATTATGAGGCAACATATGTACCCCCAAAGTTTCTCACCTACATTGGGCCTTCATCTTTTATCTATTAAAGTATATGGTAATTCATGTGTAAGGCTGGCTGCAAAATCCCTCACAAATAAAAATACACCCTATAAATAAATGCACATAATAGACCCCCTTTTCATTTCTATTGTTCAGAGACATAAACAAGGAAAATATATTCAAAGATAAGTCTCTCAATAGTAGAAGTCTTGATTAGTGATCTTGGGAAAAGCAGTTTACATCAAGGATGCCATCTTCTTCTGGGGAGAAACTTTCCTGGTTAGTTTTACCTTAAGGGTTCCAATGTATGTACAGTTCTAGGAGTGTGGAGGGACCCTTCTCCATTGTGAGATTATGAACCCAAGGTTCAAGGCTCCAAAGTTTTGCTGTAGTGTGGATGGTAGAGATAGTCTTTTTCTGATGTTCTCAGAAGATCCTACCTTCAGGCTCTAGATCATGAAGGGATTGTCCTTAGTGAACCATGAAAAGATTTTTTTACTAGGTGAAAATACACTGTTGCACAATAATCTACTGTTGTAACATCAGCCCTCTTGCATGGGAAAGCTTTTATACAAACAGAAAACATGCATTGAAAATGACAATTGAATGAAATCCCTTTATAAATGTTAAATGGTCCATCAGGTAGCCAAATGTACCTGAAGCTTTGATTGTCTTCCCAGGACTATGGAACCAAACATTGGTTTTAAACTATTTCCACAATTTATGTCACCACATCAATATACTCAATTTGGGTTATTTTATCTTTTCCATGACAAGTCATGGAATGCAGAACCTTTAATAACAAAAGCTTTAAGGAATCAGGAAGGACAAGGTGGCTGTCCTGGTTCTTCATGAGTGCATGCTTAACACTAGGCTTATGTCCTCTTGAATACCAGTTGTTTCTTCAATTTAGGTGGGTTATCAGAGGTAATTTGACTTAGACCATGGAGTTCATTCAAACTGCATATTTAAACAATTTTAGTATTGACCAATTTAGCATGATAATCTAGAGTTTGATTTTGAAAGGTTTGTTAAATAACAAAATTTTAAACATTGGATATTACAAAATAGAATCTTAGGTTACTATAAGTCATTCATTTAGCCAAAACGATAGCTCAAAAATTTTTTAAAGGAAAAAACATTATTCTGATAGAGAGGAGACTCAGCTTTCCAAACAAGACCCAATGGAGATAGCATGAGGCCAACTGACTCTGTCTCCTTTCTTTCCCTTTCCCCCTTTTTCTTTTGTAGTTTACTTAAAAGGTAAATGAAAACGTTTCGTTATCTTTTAATACTACATAAAAATCCTTTTTAAAAGAGAAAACAAAATTTTATATTTCCATTGGTGTATTTGTAGTTGTAAAGCTAGTTTGTTTTTTAATAACATTTTATAAATCTATTCAGTTTAGTTAGTTTGACCATATGGTAAGATTTTTATAAACCTTTTATAACCCTTTACAATTTTTTTTTCAAAGCAGGACAATGTTGTAAGCAAACTCTGTTGTCCTTTTCTTCCAATGTCCAATTTATGGGAAAAAACTGAATAATGCCATTTAACTTTAGCCAATAGGTTCACACATAGAATTTTTATATAAACATTACACACAACACATATATAATTACACAGACAGACAGAAGAATATTACTACAGTAGTTGTAAGATTTTTCATTTGTCAATTTTTAAGTTTCTTAATTGATTATTGGCTTTAGGTTGGAGCCCTTGGAAAAAAAGGCCAGGAAAGGGGTTTCTGGTGCCTCCTGTTTTTCCCAAGGAGACCAGGCTGTTAGAGCTTGAATATCTGCTTTTAATTAAGCTGACTTTTAACCATAGCACTCTTTAATAACATCCTTTAAAAATTTTTTATTACCCAATTTTAGCCAGGCCAAACAGCCAATATTTCTGGCTGTTGAACTTTACCAAAGGTAACCTCCCAGGTGCTCAGAGAAAGGAAAACTTAAGATAGTACATGGAGGAGAAGAGACTAGACAAAGTCATGCAGATATTAAACCAAAAAGGACCTACTTCCTAAGCAGGGAATCAAACCCTGACCATCAGCGTGAAGAGTGAAAACCTTAACTACAGGACAGAGTAATATCTACTATATTTCCCAGAAGAAATCTGTAGTAGTTAATTTTGATCTTGAAAAGGGCTTTAACTACTCAAGATGATTTTTAGAGCTAACTATGACATAAAACCTAAAATTCCTGTTCTCTGGAAGGTAGAGACCAAAAGAAAGTACTGCCTCATGGTTACAAGGTCAAGCTCCTGAGGACATAAAATAAGATAGAGATAAACAGTGATTTTTACCATTCATTCAAACATTTGCACAGAGAGAGAGAAGCCAGAAACCTGACTAGTAAGAAATTCTTACCCTTTTGCTGGCACACCAGGCTTCTGGGTTCCCTTTTCCTGAGCGGCCCTAGTGACTCAGCTTGCTACACCATCTTACTGGGGCCAAGCCACATCATAAAGGAAAATTGTTCTGGCCAGAGTAAAATATGTGCGACAAAATATAGTCATTAGCTACTCTGATTAGCACCCAATGTCAAACTGGCAAGGCTCAAACTTGCCCCTGCTTGGGCCCCATCATTGTTAATCCAACCTCTGACCAGGAGTTTTAACCTGTGATCTCTGGGCAATATGGTCTCCCTGAGTAATAGAAAAGATAAGAAAGGGAAAGGAGAGTGAGAAAAGCATTGCCTGTGGCAGAGTGGGGAAGGCGAAATGATCAGGGAGGCCAGAGAAAGAGTCACCCATTGCAGTGACAGTGAAAAGTTCAGGTGGCTGCTTCTCAGTAGCAAAGGGATCTTTTCCAGCAGTCCCATCATCTCTCAAGTTTCCCCTTTTAGGGAGGGAAAAGTTCCCCATATTCCACAAACCTGTACATGTCTCATCCTGACACCCACAGCCATTGGCAAAGAATGCAAGGCAGATTCTCCCAAAGAGAATAGCAGTTGAGTTGACATGCTGTAGTGCCAAATCCATTCTTAGCCAAAACGGACTTTACTGAGAGCCCTCATTTTTTAAATGTACTTCAATGCATTGTTGTTCACTTCCACTGTAATTTATCTTTAGTAAGATTTTGCCATTTCTGTAAGATTTCGCTGCCTCCCAGGCCTAAAATATAAGCCAGAAGGAATTCAGTCTTCCAGAAATTAAGGAGCACAGTTTTACCTAAAATATTGGCTTCACACTCAGGTTCTCTTGATTAACTTAGCCAATGATTTTTTCCTACCTAAGCATGCAAGAAAAATGAAACAAAGGGGTATAACACAAAAATCCCTGTGAATTTTCAAAAGCCAAATTTTGTAACCCCTGCAATATTACTGCTTACTACCAAGTCCTTTTTGACCCAGTCAGATGTAAGAGGCCTCTGATTGGATCTAAGCCAGTTAATTCCCAGATCAAATCTGTTCCTGGACCCAATCCAGTTTCTGTAACTACTCCAAACCCAGTTTGGATTAGAAATTTGCTCAAAGAAACTTGGAGAGATGAAAACACAAATCCGTGGAGCTCAGAAATCCAAGAGGGAGCTTACCCAGGATCCCCAACTGCTCTGAGAGATCAATGGACACAAGTGGGTCATGCAGTGGTCCTGGGGGGCTGCTAGAAGTTCCACTTCGGATCCCGCTTCTGACACCAACTGACAAAAGAAAAACTTCAATTGAATTAAATTTAAAGGAGTTTAATTGAGCAATAAACGATTCGTGAATCGGGCAGCCCCCAGAATCACAACAGATCCACAGAGACTCCAGGGGTGCCTTGTGGTCAGAACAAATTTATAGACAAAAAAGGTAAAGTGACATACAGGAATCGGAAGTGAGGTATAGAAACGGTGAGATTGGTCACAGTTCAGCATTTGCCTTATTTGAATGCAGTTTGGACATCCAGCAGTCTGTGAGTGGTTGAAGTTTGGCTGCTGGGATTGGCCAACACTCAGCCATTGTTACAGGTGCATACTATTAAGTCAGGTTTTCAATTTTGTCTAACTATTAAACTAGGTTACAGTTCATCCACAAGGACTCAACTATGGAAGTAGGGAGTCCTCAGGACCCATACTTAGTTTGCTTTAACAACAGTTAAGACTACAGTTCTGGTACCCTACAATCTCCTCAGCCTGAATCCAAACTCTGCCACATAGCATTTGCAGGGCTTATGGCAATTTACTTAACCTGTCTATACTTCAGTTTATCTGCAAAAGAGAGCTGATAATAAAGACACTATCTCCTACAACTGTCATGAATATTAAATGGAATGATCATTCAAGGGAATAAGCAAACAAAAATTATTTAGTGCTATTGAACTGTGGTTTTAAAATTTGCCATGGTACTTCACTTCTCATCTATTTTGTTCTCCCATTTTAAGTATGGGAGAAAAAATTATATTATTATAAGTTTTATATTATTTTAAGTTTTATATTATATTATTATAATATATATTATACTTATATTATTATAAGTTTTAAGTGCTCAAGTTTGTTAACTTTACTAGGAATTCCAACAGTTATAACCCTTATGCCAAAAAGTTGTTTCATTGCTTATTAGTTTTTTGTGAGACATAGACTATTGAGTTGTACCACAGTTAAGTCACCTCCTACGTGAAATCATCTTTAACCACTCTTCCCTGATCCTAGCCCAACCCAGTTATAATTAATTATTTCCTCCTCTGGTTTCCCACGACACATCATTAATTCTCTCATAATAGCAGACATTGTAGCCGTATAGCCCAATTATAATTTTAAAAGTTTGTTTCCCACACACTCAGGTAGCTCTCCAAGATAGTGACTCTGTCTCACTCACTCTGTTTCCCTAGTGCCTCACAAACTTTCCAGCACATGGCATGTCAATGATGTCTAAACCATGACTGAGTGAATAATAGAGTTCCATTTGGGACACTGAGGATAAAATAACTTTGAACAGGGCCAAATGTAGGAAATGCAAAACAGATATTCATAAGCCATAGGCAGTGAACCACATGGACAAATATTTGAAACAATGACTTTTAGACATTGGACAATAGGCAGCAAAACAAATGAGGTAAGCCCTACAGATTCCCAGATGTTCACTTTGCAGACTGTGGTTCAAAGGGAAGAATCCAGAGCCTAGGAGACTCACTTAGTTGAAAAGAGGAATCAAAGAGCCCTGGAGATCTGCATAAAGGTATCCTTGAATCTTTAATTGAGTACTTAGCTGCAGACCTGAGAATGAAGCCACAAAGACTGGGGAATCACCAGAAAGCAAGAAGTCGAAAACTCCTCATAAAAAGCTGAGAATAGTTTGTGTTCTTACTAGCCAGAATGGAAAGATATTATAATACCTTGATCATTAAGTAGAATCCTCAGGACATCACCTTAGTATAAGAGCAAAATTATCCCCAGATTACAGGCTGCTCTAAAGTGGCAATTTTAAAAGCTTAAATCAAGTCTCAAAATAATAAAATTGATTTCAATACCTTAACTGGTTGTCAAAATAAAGTCTCAGCCTATTTAAAAATATGAGAAAAAAATCACACCGAACAATGTAAAATTTGTAATGTCTAGCATGCAATAAAAATATACTGGAAATGTAAAAAAGTAGAAATGTCTGACACATAACCAGGAGAAATATCATCCAATAAAAACAGACACAAAAAAGACAGAGGTGATAAAGTTAGCAGACAAGGACATAAAAACAGATATTATAAATAAACTCTACATGTTCAAGAAAATAGAGGAAAACTTGAAAGTAATGAAGAGATAAATGGAGGATAATAAAAAATGATCCAAGTAAAACTTCTAGAGAAGGCTACAATGAAAAATATATTGGGAGGCATTAACACAAAATTAGACACTAACAAAGAAATGATCGGCAAACTTGGCACATAGCAAAAAGCTATCCAAAATAAATATTAGCAACCTGTGAAACAATATCAAGCAGTTAACATACATATGATTAGAAAACAGATTTGAATTAATTGTACTCAAAGCTATTCCAAATTTGATAAAAATTATAAATGCATAGATCCAAGAACCCCAGAGTAAAAATAAACAAAACCATACCAAAGCACATCATAATCAACATACTGAAAACTAGTGATTTTTTAAAAGTCTTAAAAGCACTCAGAACTTCAGAACTTCCCTTCAAAAAACAGTTACATAGACAGGAACAAAGAGAAGAATGAATGCAAACTTTTCATTAGCTACTTATGCAAGTCAGTAGACAAATGAACAATACTTTTAAGGTATTGAAAGAAATAAACTATCAACTTAGAAATCTATTCCAAGAAAAAATATCTTTCAAAAATTAAGATAAAATAAAGAATTTATTAGATAACCAAAATCTAAGATAATTCACCACCAACAGACATGTACTGCAAAAAACATTAAAACAAGTTCTTCAAGCAAGAAGAAATGATACCAAATGCTAATTTTTATCTGCATAAAAGAACAAAAAGCACTGGAAATGATACATATGTGAGTAAACATATAAGATTTTTTCAATTTTTTAATTTCTAAAAAAGAAAATTGACTGTGTAAATATGAAGGATAATAATATATTGTTGAGTTTATAACACATGTAGAGTAAAATGTATGACAAAAACAGCATAAAAAATGAGAGAGAGAAAACAAAAGTACACTGTTGTAAGGTTCTCAGACCATTATAACATAATGGATATGTTATTTAAAGGTAGACTGTAGTAATGCAAATATACAATTTGTGAACCCTAGAGCAAGCACTAAACTAAAATAAGTAAACAAATAAATAAATGAAATAGAGATTTAACTAAGAAATCATAAGTGCATTTGAAAACGAACTATAAAAGTTACTAATTCCCAGGAACTGGAGATGGGCCCACTCACTCTGCTGCCAACACTGCCACATACACCCATTCACATGTGCCACCTACGAACCTGGAGACTGCCTTGCCCAGCCCATCACTGCCACTGCTAACATTAGCAAGTGCCACCTGGGAGCCTAAGGGTTATCCTACCACTGCTATTCCCATCACCCATGCGGGGTATGACGTCCAGGGACCTCAGGACCCACCCACACAACTGGCACACTGCTACAACTGCCAGTACACAAACAAGCTTTTTGGAGGCCCAAGAATTGGCCCACCTGGATCCAGTAACACCAGTGCCTGTATATGCCACTGAGTGGCCCTAGGTCAAGCACACTCCGCCTGCCACTGATACACTGGGGCTTGAGAACTGGCCCACTTGGCATACCTATCCCCATCAATGCCTCACGACAGCTTCTACTAACAACCTCAGCCAAGCCACTGAGGAAATCACAGATTCCTCTGATGCTATTCACAGCTGAAGAAATCATACAGAGACTACACTATTGCATGCACTCAGAATCAAAGCTAAAGTACCTTTGCCAACCAACAACTTTAACATATCTTCAGGAAAAATCCTTCTTCTATGAAAGTTAATCCAAAAACTGAAAAGAGCAATTGTTACATAAGGTGCACAAATATCAATATAAGGACAAGAGAAACATGAAAAAGCAAGAAAATATGACACCACCAAAAGATCACAATAATTCTCAGCAAGAGATTTCAATCCGGAAAAATTTACAAATTCCTAGAAAAATAATTCAAAATATTAATCTTGAAGAAGCTCTGAGAGGTCCAAGAAAATATTGAAAAACCAAATAGAAGAAAGAATCTCAGAAGTTGAAAACAGGTCTCTTAAAATGACCCAGCCAGAAAACAATTTTAAATAATGAATAAAAAAGGATGACCAAAGCCTGCATGACATATGAGACACCATAAAGTGACCAAGTATTCAAATTTTGGGGGTCCCAGAAGGCAAAGAGAAAACTAAAGGGTTAGAAAACCTATTTAACAAGATAATAGATTAAAACTTCCCAAGCCTAGCAAAAGATGTAGACATCCAGATTGAGGAAGCCCAGAGATCTTCAAAAATATACTGTTCAAAAAGGTCTTCTCAACAGCACATTGTAGTCAAAATGTCAAAAGTCAAAGACAAATAGAATTCTGAACTACAGCAAGAGAAAAGTATCTAGTCACCTGTAAATGAATCCCCATCAGGCTAACAGTAAATTTCTAGCAGAATCCTTACATGACAGGAGAGAATGGGATAATATAGTCAAAGTACTAAAAGGAAAAAAATTGTCAGTCAAGGATACTAATCTCAGCAAAATTATCCTTCATAAATAACGGAGAAAAAAAGACTTTCTCAGACAAGCAAATGTTAAGGGAATTCATCACCACTAGACCTACGAGAAATGCCTAAGAGAATCCTATGTCTGGAAGTGAAAGAAAAATATCCACCATCATAAAAACACACAACATAAAACCCATTAATAGAGCAAATATATAAACAAGGAAGAGAAAATGATAACACTACAGAAAACCACCAAACCACAGTGATAGACAAGAGGAGAGAAAGGAACAAAGTATATACAAAACAATCAGATATCAATCAACAAAATGACAGGAATAAGCCCTCACATATCAATAATAACCTTAAATAAAAATGGATTAAATTTTCCGCTCAAAAGACACAGGCTTGCAGAATGGATTAAAAAAATATGACCCACCGGGATACTCATCTCATCTGTAAGGCCACATATAGACTGAAAGTAAAGGGATGGAAAAAGATGTTCCACGCAAATAGAAACCAAAATCAAGCAGTGGTAGCTATACTTATATCAGATACAGCAGACTTTAAGCCAAAAACCATACAAAGAAACAAAGAAGGTCATAATATACTGATAAAGGGATCAATTCAGCAAGAGGATATAACAATGCTAAACATACATTCACCCAACACTGACCCTAAAGAAATGAAGATCTATGCACTTCCTGATAACAATAAAAATAATCCTCTTAAAGAAGCTTAGTGAGCTACAAAATAACACAGTCAACTAAACAAATCTTAAAAAACAATATATGAACAAATTAAAAATTTAATAAAGAGATAAAAACCCATAAAAAAAGAAATTCTGAAGCTAAAGAGCACAATAACTGAATTTTAAAATTTCATAAAGAGTCTCAATAACAGACTCAATTAAGCAGAAAAAAATAATCTTTGAGCAAAAGGCAGGACATTTGAAATTAATCGGTTGGAGGAACCAAAAGAAAACAGAATGAAAAACAGTAAAAAAAAAAAAAAAAAAAAAAAAAGCCTGTGGGACTTATGGGACAACATCAAGCAAACCAATATATGCATTATGGAAGTTCCAGATGGAACAGAGAAAGAAAAGAGGGCAGAAGCCTTTTGTAAAAAAATAATGACTAAAACTTCTAAAATCTGGAGAGAGAAATGAACACCCAGATCCATGAAGTCCGAAGAACTTCTTTATAAGAAATCATAATGGGAGTTCTTCAAGTTGAAAGAAAAGGACTCTAACAACATGAAAATATATGAAGTATATAACCCATTATAAAGGTAGGAATATAAATAGATTAAATACAAAGAGATCTTTAACAACACACATTATGATCAAATTTTCAAAAGCCAAAGACAGAGAATTTTGAAAGCACCAAGAGATAAGCAGTTCATCACATATGAGAGAACATAAGATTATCAGTAGATTTCTAAGAAACCTTGCTGGCCAGGAAACAATAGAAATGATATATTCAACATGCAAAAAGAAAAAAACATTTTAACCAAGAATACTATACCTGAAAACGCTGTCCTTCAGAATTGGAGGAGAGATTAGGACTTTCCCAGAACAACAACAAAAAGCTACAAGAGTTCATCACCACTAGGCTTGCTTTACAAGAAATGTTAAAGGGAATTCTTCAAGTTGAAATAAAAGCACTCTTAACAACATGAAAATATATGAAATATAAAGCTCATTATAAAGGTAAAAATATAGTCAAATCCTGAATACTTTAACACTGTAATGGTGGTGCATAAATCACTTTTAACTCTAGTATAAAATTAAAAGACAAATATATTAAAAATAACTGTAACTTCCTGTGTCCATGTGTTCTCATTGTTCAATTCCCACCTATGAGTGAGAACACGCGGTGTTTGGTTTTTTGTCCTTGCGATAGTTTGCTGAGAATGATGGTTTCCAGTTTCATCTATGTCCCTACAAAGGACATGAACTCATCATTTTTTATGGCTGCATAGTAATGCTAAATGACAAGTTAATGGGTGCAGCACACCAACATGGCACATGTATACATATGTAACAAACCTGCACGTTGTGCACATGTACCCTAAAACTTAAAGTATAATAATAATAAAATTAAAAAAACTATAACTACAATAATTTTAATTGATACATAATATATATAAATGGAAATTGTGACATCCAACATAAAACGTGGGAGAAGATGTTAAAGTGTAGCATTTTTGTGTACAGTTAAATTTGTTATTAGCTTAAAATAAACTGTTATAACTATAAGATGTTTTATGTAAGCCCCTTGGTAACCACAAAGAGAAAACCAGCAGTAAATACATAAAAGATAACGAGAAGAGAATAAAGCATACCATTAAAGCATAAAAATTATCAAATCATGAAGGAATACACCTAGGGAGAAAGAATAAAATGAAGAAACTACAAAACAGTCAGAAAATTAACGAAATGGCAGTAGTAAATTTTTACCTATCAATACTTACTTTAAATATGAATGAATTGAATTCTCCTATCAAAATATATACAGTATATGAATGGATTAAAAAGCAAGATCCAACTATATGCTGCCTAAAAGAGATCACTTTAGCTGTAAGGACACACATAAGCTGAAAGTGAACAGAAGGAAAAAGATATTCCATGCAAATGGTAACCAAAAGAGAGCAAGGATGGCAGTAATTGCATTAAATAAAATAGACTTTAAGTCAAAAAACTGTAAAACAAGACTAAAAAGGTTATTATATAATGATTAAGGATCAGTTTATCAAGATGATGTAACTATAAATAAATAAATACCTACTCAATATCAAAGCACTTAAATATGTAAAGCAAACACTACAGAAATGAATAGACAAACAGCATTCAATGATAGCAGGAGACTTCAATGCCTCACCTGCAACACTGAATAGATCATCCAGATAGAAAACTGATAAAGATACAGTGTTGAACAACCCTATAAATCCAATAGACATATACAAAACATTTCACCTAACTGCAGCAGGATACACATTCTTCTCAAACACACACAGAAAATTCACAAATACATGAAAACAAAGCAACACACTCCTGAACAACTAAGGGGTCAGTCAATAAAAATATCAAATAAGGAATAAAAAAACTTAATGAGATTGATATCATCATCTTGATGAGAAAGATGACAAATGAGAATGAAAATACAATATATCAAAACTGATACGATGCAGCAAAAGCAGTTTATAGGGAATTTTATAGTGATAAATGCTTACATGAGAAAAAATCTTCAATAAACAACCTAAGTTTATACTTCAAAGAAGTAGAAAAAGAAACACCAACTAAGCCCAAAGTCAGTAGAAGATAAGTATTAATAACAAAGATCAGAACAGAAATAGATCAAACAGAAAAACAATAGGAAAATTCAAAGAAACTAAAAGTTAAATTTTTTAACATAAATAATATCGATATATCTTTAGCTAGTCTAAGACAGGCAATTCAGATATATAAAATTATAAATGAAAGAGAAAACAATATACTAATACCACAGAAATGCAAAAGATCATAAAGGACTACTATGAACAATTATATGCAAACAAATTGGAAAACCTAGAAGAAATAGATAAATTCCTAGATACATACTATCCACATAGACTGAATCATGAAGAAACAGAAAATCTGAACAGAACAGTAATGAGTAAGAAGATTGAATTAGTAATCTAAAGTGTTCCATGAAAGAAAAGCCTATAACCTAGTAAATTCTATCAAACATTTAAAGAAAAAGTAATTCCAATCTTTCCTAAATTCTTCCAAAAAATTGACAAGGAAACACTTCCAAACTCATTTTTTAAGGCCAACTTTATCCTTATACTAATGCCAGTCAAGGACACTACAAGAAAAGAAAATTACAGGCCAATATCCTTGATGAACTTAGATGCAAAAATCCTCACCAAAGTACTGGGAAACAAGATTCAACAGCATATTAAAAAAAAATTTACCATGATTAAGTAGGATTTTTCCCTTGGATGCAAGGATAGTTCAACATACACAAATTAATAAATGTGATATAGCACATTAATGGAATAAGGGACAAATCCATATGATCATCTCAATAGACGTAGAAAAAAGATTGGACAAAATTCAACATCATTTCATCATAAAAACTCTTAACGGATTAGGTATATAAGGAATGTACCTCAACACAATAAAGGCCATGTATGACAAGCCCAAGCTAAAATCATACTCAAATGGTGAAAAGTTGAAAGCTTTTCCTCTAAGATCAGGAATAAGAAAAGGATGCCTTCCCTTGTCATTTCTATTAAACATTTTCAAATTCCAATGACATTTTTTATAGAAAATGAAATCCTGAATTTTTTTTTCATAGAAAATAAAATCCTGGCCGGGTACGGTGGCTCACACTTGTAATCCCAGCACCACGGGAGGCTGAGGAGGGCGGATCACAAGGTCAGGAGTTCAAGACCAGCCTGGCCAACATGGTGAAACCCCATCTCTACTAAAAATACAAAAATTAGCTGAGCATGGTGGTGCGTGCTTTTAATCCCAGCTACTCACAAGGCTGAGGCAGGAGAATTGCTTGAACGAGGACCCAGGAGGTGGAGGTTGCAGTGAGCCAAGATTATGCCACTGCACTCCAGCCTAGGATACAGAGCAAGAATCTGTCTCAAAAAAAAAAATCCTAAAATTCATAAAATTCATCTGGAATCACAAATGACTCCAAATAGTCATCTTGAGCGATCTTGAGCAAAAAGAACAAAACTAGAGGCATTGTTCTCCTAATTTCAAAATATACTACAGAGCTATAGTAATCAAAACAGCATGATACTAGAATAAAAGCAGACATATAGACCAATGGAATAGAATAGAGAGCCCAGAATAAATCCATTCATTTACAATCAATTGCTCTTTAACAAAGCTGACAAGAACACACAATGGAGAAAGGACAGTGCCTTCAATAAATGATGTCAAGAAAACTGGGTATCCATGAGGAAAATAATGAAATTAGTCCCTAATATCATACCATATACAAAAATCAACTCCAAATGGATTAAAGACTTAAATGTAAGACCTTTAAATGGGTGTATGGATAAAGAAAATACAGTGTGTATGGGTGTATACATATCACACACACACACACACACACACACACACACACACACACATACCAGAATACTATTCAGCCTTAAACAAAATAAAAAACAAAAGAAAGAAATTCTACCATTTACCACAACACGGATATTGAGGATTTTTGCATCAGATCATTATTGGGGTTCAAGATAAAAACAGTTTAACCTGTTCGTCAGAATCATGGATTCCACATTATACTCTGTGTAATACTATTAAAGATCCCCTCCGATTAAGCACCTCACTTTATACTCACTACCTGGATATTAAGGTTTTGTAGAAGCCTCTAAAATTGTGTGAAGCAAAAATTCATACAATAAGCAACGTACACGGTATTGCAGGAAAACAAAAATACCTCTGTAAAAATATCTCACTCTCACTTTAAAACTGCAGAGGACAGCCTTGAAGTCTAGAATGTCTAATTAATTTGCTTAATGTCACAAATCAAGTAAAAAATAAGAGGGAGGAGGATATGGAGAGTTTTGAGAGAAATACTGTAATTTCATTTACCGTTTTGTGTTCTGACTACAAACCCTCTTTCCTTCTTTAATGTAGTCATAGAAATATTCCCCTGCTTTCTATTTGATAGTGTGTGCCTGTTTTGTACATCCTTCTTGAATCAGGCAGTCTACTGAGATTTTCACTCAAGACTCCATATTTCTTTCTGATAACGAGCTGAATTGTTAGAGGCAAGGTGGGAGTTTCTCAAGCAAACAAATGAAATAGTTGGAAAGACCCTCACTGAGGTCACAAAGCAGGCCCTCCAGAAGATTGGTCTTTATCTCTAACCTCTTTTTGAAGATAGGCAAGAATAAAGAGTGCTTCTTAAGACAGCGTATGTGGGTATGTGGGTGGTGGCTGCAGTGGCGGCAGAGCTGCATGTCAGCATGTTGATTCAGTAGAAGTACACAAGTTTTGCCAAGGCAAAGCAGACAGAAAGGAGGCTGCTAGTTCCAGGGCGAAGCTGGAATCAGGTGCTGGAAATTTTTTCTATCCCTCGATGGGGCAAGAAAGCAGCTCTTGCCTCCTTCTTTGAATAACTACTTAACAAGTCCATTAGCAGTTGAAGTGAATACGTCTCTACATGGCTTTCTTTTCAGTGAACAAAGAATCATCCTGATTCTTGTTTCTTCCAGTGGTGAAGGCCAAGGCAGGGAGGAATTGTGAGCAGTCACTGAAACAAGTAAAGATGCCTGGCTTTATTAGTTAATTTGCAGACATTTATTAAGTATCCTAATGTACAACAAGCACACTGCACTAGGCTTCATAGAGAAGGACAAACATAACAGCAATTACTATTGCTAAATTTATTATGCATTTACATATATGAGTCACTGTGCTAATGATTTTATGTGTATTATATTTTATTAATTTTAATACAATATTTTGAGTAGGTGTTATTCACATTTCCCAGATGATAAAATAGAGACTTAAATGGAGACAAAAATATAATAAGTGACAAAGCCAGGATTGGAAACTAGTTTTGTTTAATTCCAGTGTCTAAACATTATTCTAAACGCTTTTAAAAGAGACAAAGCAGTTCCTAATCTCAAAGCAATGTTTTTTTGATTTTTTCTTTTTTTTTTTTTGATCCTTTTTTTTTTTATACTTTAAGTTTTAGGGTACATGTGCACATTGTGCAGGTTAGTTACATATGTATACATGTGCCATGCTGGTGTGCTGCACCCACTAACTCGTCATATAGCATTAGGTATATCTCCCAATGCTATCCCTCCCCCCTCCCCCAACCCGACAACAGTCCCCAGAGTGTGATGTTCCCCTTCCTGTGTCCATGTGATCTCATTGTTCAATTCCCACCTATGAGTGAGAATATGCAGTGTTTGGTTTTTTGTTCTTGCGATAGTTTACTGAGAATGATGATTTCCAATTTCATCCATGTCCCTACAAAGGACATGAACTCATCCTTTTTTATGGCTGCATAGCATTCCATGGTGTATATGTGCCACATTTTCTTAATCCAGTCTATCATTGTTGGACATTTGGGTTGGTTCCAAGTCTTTGCTATTGTGAATAATGCCGTAATAAACATACGTGTGCATGTGTCTTTATAGCAGCATGATTTATAGTCCTTTGGGTATATACCCAGTAATGGGATGGCTGGGTCAAATGGTATTTCTAGTTCTAGATCCCTGAGGAATCGCCACACTGACTTCCACAATGGTTGAACTAGTTTACAGTCCCACCAACAGTGTAAAAGTGTTCCTATTTCTCCACATCCTCTCCAGCACCTGTTGTTTCCTGACTTTTTAATGATTGCCATTCTAACTGGTGTGAGATGGTATCTCATTGTGGTTTTGATTTGCATTTCTCTGATGGCCAGTGATGATGAACATTTTTTCATGTGTTTTTTGGCTGCATAAATGTCTTCTTTTGAGAAGTGTCTGTTCATGTCCTTCGCCCACTTTTTGATGGGGTTGTTTGTTTTATTCTTGTAAACTTGTTTGAGTTCATTGTAGATTCTGGATATTAGCCCTTTGTCAGATGAGTAGGTTGTGAAAATTTTCACCCATTTTGTAGGTTGCCTGTTCACTCTGATGGTAGTTTCTTTTGCTGTGCAGAAGCTCTTTAGTTTAATTAGATCCCATTTGTCAATTTTGTCTTTTGTTGCCATTGCTTTTGGTGTTTTAGACATGAAGTCCTTGCCCATGCCTATGTCCTGAATGGTAATGCCTAGGTTTTCTTCTAGGGTTTTTATGGTTTTAGGTCTAATGTTTAAGTCTTTAATCCATCTTGAATTGATTTTTGTATAAGGTGTAAGGAAGGGATCCAGTTTCAGCTTTCTACATATGGCCAGCCAGTTTTCCCAGCACCATTTATTAAATAGGGAATCCTTTCCCCATTGCTTGTTTTTCTCAGGTTTGTCAAAGATCAGATAGTTGTAGATATGTGGCATTATTTCTGAGGGCTCTGTTCTGTTCCATTGATCTATATCTCTGTTTTGGTACCAGTACCATGCTGTTTTGGTTACTGTAGCCTTGTAGTATAGTTTGAAGTCAGGTAGAGTGATGCCTCCAGCTTTGTTCTTTTGGCTTAGGATTGACTTGGTGATGCGGGCTCTTTTTTGGTTCCATATGAACTTTAAAGTAGTTTTTTCCAATTCTGTGAAGCAAGTCATTGGTAGCTTGATGGGGATGGCATTGAATCTATAAATTACCTTGGGCAGTATGGCCATTTTCACGATATTGATTCTTCCTACCCATGAGCATGGAATGTTCTTCCATTTGTTTGTATCCTCTTTTATTTCCTTGAGCAGTGGATTGTAGTTCTCCTTGAAGAGGTCCTTCACATCCCTTGTAAGTTGGATTCCTAGGTATTTTATTCTCTTAGGAGAAGCAATTGTGAATGGGAGTTCACTCATGATTTGGCTCTCTGTTTGTCTGTTGTTGGTGTATAAGAATGCTTGTGATTTTTGTACATTGATTTTGTATCCTGAGACTTTGCTGAAGTTGCTTATCAGCTTAAGGAGATTTTGGGCTGAGACAATGGGGTTTTCTAGATATACAATCATGTCGTCTGCAAACAGGGACAATTTGACTTCCTCTTTTCCTAATTGAATACCCTTTATTTCCTTCTCCTGCCTAATTGCCCTGGCCAGAACTTCCAACACTATGTTGAATAGGAGTGGTGAGAGAGGGCATCCCTGTCTTGTGCCAGTTTTCAAAGGGAATGTTTCCAGTTTTTGCCCATTCAGTATGATATTGGCTGTGGGTTTGTCATAGATAGCTCTTATTATTTTGAAATACGTCCCATCAATACCTAATTTATTGAGAGTTTTTAGCATGAAGCGTTGTTGAATTTTTTCAAAGGCCTTTTCTGCATCTATTGAGATAATCATGTGGTTTTTGTCTTTGGCTCTTTATATGCTGGATTACATTTATTGATTTGCGTATATTGAACCAACCTTGCATCCCAGGGATGAAGCCCACTTGATCATGGTGGATAAGCTTTTTAATGTGCTGCTGGATTCATTTTGCCAGTATTTTATTAAGGATTTTTGCATTAATGTTCATCAAGGATATTCGTCTAAAATTCTCTTTTTTGGTTGTGTCTCTGCCTGGCTTTGGTATCAGAATGATGCTGGCCTCATAAAATGAGTTAGGGAGGATTCCCTCTTTTTCTATTGATTGGAATAGTTTCAGAAGGAATGGTACCAGTTCCTCCTTGTATCTCTGGTAGAATTCGGCTATGAATCCATCTGGTCCTGGACTCTTTTTGGTTGGTAAACTATTGATTATTGCCACAATTTCAGATCCTGTTATTGGTCTATTCAGAGATTCAACTTCTTCCTGGTTTAGTCTTGGGTGGGTGTATGTGTCGAGGAATTTATCCATTTCTTCTAGATTTTCTAGTTTATTTGCGTAGAGGTGTTTGTAGTATTCTCTGATGGTAGTTTGTATTTCTGTGGGATCAGTGGTCATATCCCCTTTATCATTTTTTATTGCGTCTATTTGATTCTTCTTTTTTTCTTTATTAGTCTTGCTAGCGGTCTATCAATTTTGTTGATCATTTCAAAAAACCAGCTCCTGGATTCATTAATTTTTTGAAGGGTTTTTTGTGTCTCTATTTCCTTCAGTTCTGCTCTGATTTTATTTATTTCTTGCCCTCTGCTAGCTTTTGAATGTGTTTGCTCTTGCTTTTCTAGTTCTTTTAATTGTGATGTTAGGGTGTCAATTTTGGATCTTTCCTGCTTTCTCTTGTGGGCATTTAGTGCTATAAATTTCCCTCTACACACTGCTTTGAATGCATCCCAGAGATTCTGGTATGTTGTGTCTTTGTTCTCGTTGGTTTCAAAGAACATCTTTATTTCTGCCTTCATTTCATTATGTACCCAGTAGTCGTTCAGGAGCAGGTTGTTCAGTTTCCATGTAGTTGAGCAGTTTTGAGTGAGATTCTTAATCCTGAGTTCTAGTTTGATTGCACTGTGGTCTGAGAGATAGTTTGTTATAATTTCTGTTCTTTTACATTTGCTGAGGAGAGCGTTACTTCCAAGTATGTGGTCAATTTTGGAATAGGTGTGGTGTGGTGCTGAAAAAAATGTATATTCTGTTGATTTGGGGTGGAGAGTTCTGTAGATGTCTATTAGGTCTGCTTGGTGCAGAGCTGAGTTCAATTCCTGGGTATCCTTGTTGACTTTCTGTCTCGTTGATCTGTCTAATGTTGACAGTGGGGTGTTAAAGTCTCCCATTATTAATGTGTGGGAGTCTAAGTCTCTTTGTAGGTCACTCAGGACTTGCTTTATGAATCTGGGTGCTCCTGTATTGGGTGCATATATATTTAGGATAGTTAGCTCTTCTTGTTGAATTGATCCCTTTACCATTATATAATGGCCTTCTTTGTCTCTTTTGATCTTTGTTGGTTTAAAGTCTGTTTTATGAGAGACTAGGATTGCAACCCCTGCCTTTTTTTGTTTTCCATTTGCTTGGTAGATCTTCCTCCATCCTTTTATTTTGAGCCTATGTGTGTCTCTGCACGTGAGATGGGTTTCCTGAATACAGCACACTGATGGGTCTTGACTCTTTATCCAACTTGCCAGTCTGTGTCTTTTAATTGGAGCATTTAGTCCATTTACATTTAAAGTTAATATTGTTGTGTGTGAATTTGATCCTGTCATTATGATGTTAGCTGGTTATTTTGCTCGTTAGTTGATGCAGTTTCTTCCTAGTCTCGATGGTCTTTACATTTTGGCATGATTTTGCAGCGGCTGGTACCGGTTGTTCCTTTCCATGTTTAGCGCTTCCTTCAGGAGCTCTTTTAGGGCAGGCCTGGTGGTGACAAAATCTCTCAGCATTTGCTTGTCTGTAAAGTATTTAATTTCTCCTTCACTTATGAAGCTTAGTTTGGCTGGATATGAAATTCTGGGTTGAAAATTCTTTTCTTTAAGAATGTTGAATATTGGCTCCCACTCTCTTCTGGCTTGTAGGGTTTCTGCCAAGAGATCCACTGTTAGTCTGATGGGCTTCCCTTTGTGGGTAACCCGACCTTTCTCTCTGGCTGCCCTTAACATTTTTTCCTTCATTTCAACTTTGGTGAATCTGATAATTATGTGTCTTGGAGTTGCTCTTCTCAAGGAGTATCTTTGTGGCGTTCTCCATATTTCCTGAATCTGAATGTTGGCCTGCCTTGCTAGATTGGGGAAGTTCTCCTGGATAATATCCTGCAGAGTGTTTTCCAACTTGGTTCCATTCTCCCCATAACTTTCAGGTACACCAGTCAGACGTAGATTTGGTCTTTTCACATAGTCCCATATTTCTTGGAGGCTTTGCTCGTTTCTTTTTATTCTTTTTTCTCTAAACTTCCCTTCTCGCTTCATTTCATTCATTTCATCTTCCATTGCTGATACCCTTTCTTCCAGTTGATTGCATCGGCTCCTGAGGCTTCTGCATTCTTCACGTAGTTCTCGAGCCTTGGTTTTCAGCTCCATCAGCTCCTTTAAGCACTTCTCTGTATTGGTTATTCTATTTATACATTCTTCTAAATTTTTTTCAAAGTTTTCAACTCCTTTGCCTTTGGTTTGAATGTCCTCCCATAGCTCAGAGTAATTTGATCATCTAAAGCCTTCTTCTCTCAGCTTGTCAAAGTCATTCTCCGTCCAGCTTTTTTCCGTTGCTGGTGAGGAACTGCGTTCCTTTGGAGGAGGAGAGGCGCTCTGCTTTTTAGAGTTTCCAGTTTTTCTGTTCTGTTTTTTCCCCATCTTTGTGGTTTTATCTACTTTTGGTCTTTGATGATGGTGATGTACAGATGGGTTTTTGGTGTGGATGTCCTTTCTGTTTGTTATTTTTCCTTCTAACAGACAGGACCCTCAGCTGCAGGTCTGTTGAAGTACCCTGCCGTGTGAGGTGTCAGTGTGCCCCTGCTGGGGGGTGCCTCCCAGTTAGGCTGCTCGGGGGTCAGGGGTCAGGGACCCATTTGAGGAGGCAGTCTGCCCGTTCTCAGATCTCCAGCTGCGTGCTGGGAGAACCACTGCTCTCTTCAAAGCTGTCAGACAGGGACATTTAAGTCTGCAGAGGTTACTGCTGTCTTTTTGTTTGTCTGTGCCCTTACCCCAGAGGTGGAGCCTACAGAGGCACGCAGGCCTCCTTGAGCTGTGGTGGGCTCCACCCAGTTCGAGCTTCCCGGCTGCTTTGTTTACCTAAGCACGCCTGGGCAATGGTGGGCGCCCCTCCCCCAGCCTCGCTGCCGCCTTGCAGTTTGATCTCAGACTGCTGTGCTAGCAGTCAGCGAGACTCCGTGGGCATAGGACCCTCCGAGCTAGGTGCAGGATATAATCTTGTGGTGCGCCGTTTTTTAAGCCCGTCGGAAAAGCGCAGTATTCGGGTGAGAGCGACCCGATTTTCCAGGTGCCATCCGTCACCCCTTTCTTTGACTAGGAAAGGGAACTCCCTGACCCCTTGTGCTTCCGGAGTGAGGCAATGCCTCACCCTGCTTCGGCTCGCGCACGGTGCACGCACCCACTGACCTGCGCCCACTGTCTGGCACTCTCTAGTGAGATGAACCCAGTACCTCAGATGGAAATGCAGAAATCACCCGTCTTCTGCATCGCTCATGCTGGGAGCTGTAGACCGGAGCTGTTCCTATTCCGCCATCTTGGCTCCTCCCTCGATTTTTTCTTTTTAGTATAGTTAGCTACCCACTAGATTGCCAGGCAGTCAGAATTAGCAATATACCTCAGAGTTTGAGAAAATTTTGATATTCTTTTGGTTTCCGTATCACCCTTTTCTATGAAGTTTTGAAGAGCTTCTCAGTTGTAAGGGGAATGCCACTGGTAGGGACCATCCTTTCCTCAGTTCTCCTGCATTCAGTGATTTTATGTTCAACCCATACCCTCCCCTCAGTTCACAGAAGTAGACTCAAGGGGAAGTTCCATGGATAAAATTTATGCAAGTAAGTGATTCACCATATTAGACAAGGTTGAAATTCAGAATCTAAAATGGGTTAGCTCTAAATAAGGTTGCTAAATTAAGCTCATGTCTGTTAATAGGGGCTGCCTGATAATCAGAAATGTGCTGGGCTTAGCAATAACTGTGACTAAGTTATAATGTTAGAACTACTTAGTAAATGACTGTTTTATTTATATTTGTACACATACACACATATATAATATATACATATACACTCAACATATATATGTATATACATATATTTATATATACATATATTTATATGTTGAGTATATATACTTTGTATATATTATACATATATGTATATATTTATATGTTGAGTATTTATATTACATGTATTTATACATTTATATGTTGAGTATATATACTTGAGTATATATACTTTGTATATATTATACATATATTATATATTATATATGTATATGTACATATACATATATACGTATGTACATATACACATATATACATTTATACATATACACATATATACATTTGTACATATGTATATATGTACATATGTACATATACGTATATGTACATATATACGTATACATGTACATATATGTATATATGTATATATTTATTATACATATATGTATATATTTATATATTTATTATACATATATGTATATATTTATATGTTGAGTATTTATATGTTGAGTATATATACTCAACATATAAATACATACATATATGTATAATATATACAAAGTATATATACTTGAGTATATACAAAGTATATATAATATACACTTTGTATATATACTTGTATATATACTTGAGTATATATACTTTGTATATATTATACATATATGTATATATTTATATGGTGAGTATTTGTATATATACTCAACATACAAATATACGTATATGTATGTATATATGTATATTTGTATGTTGAGTATATATAAAAATATGTATATACATATATTTATATGTTGCGTATATATACTTTGTATATATTATACATATATTTATATATTTATATGTTGAGTATATATACTTTGTATATATGTATACATATACACATATTTATATGTTGAGTATATATACTTTGTATATATTATATATGTATATAATTATATGTTGAGTATTTATATTACATGTATTTATATATTTATGTTTAGTATTTATATATACTTGAGTATATATACTTTGTATAATACATACATTATATATTTATTATATATGTATATATGTACATATACATATATACATATATACGTACGTACGTATATACATGTATATATACGTACGTACGTATATATACATGTATATATACGTATGTACATATATACATGTACATGTACATATATATGTATATATGTATATATTTATTATACATATATGTATATATTTATATGTTGAGTATTTATACTCAACATATAAATATATGTATATACATATATGTATATATTTATATGGTGAGTATTTGTATATATACTCAACATACAAATATACGTATATGTATGTATATATGTATATTTGTATGTTTAGTATATATAAAAATATGTATATACATATATATGTTGAGTATATATACTTTGTATATATGTATATATACACACATATATTTATATGTTGAGTATATATACTCTGTATATATTATATATGTATATATTTATATGTTGAGTATATATTATATATTTATATATTTATATGTTGAGTATTTATATATACTTGAGTATATATATACACATCTGTATATATTTATATGTCGAGTATATAAATACTCGACATATAAATATATAATACTCAACATATATATATGTATATACATAAATATGTATATATTTATATGTTGAGTATTTCTTTTCCAAAATGCTTGGGACCAGAAGTGTTTTAGATTTTGGATTTTTTTATATTTTGGAATATTTGCATATATATAATGAGATATATTGGGGATAGGACCCAAGCCTAAATAGGAAATTTATTTATGTTTTATATATACTTTATACACTGAAACTGAAGGTAACTTTGTATAACATTTTAAATAATCTTGTGCATGAAACGCAGTTTGTGTGCACTGAAGCATCAGAAAGCAAAGGTGTCACTCTCTCATCCACTCATCCATGTGGACAACCTGTGATTGTATGGCATCACCATCATTCTGACTGAATGTACATGCTACCAACAGCAAACATTTTTTACACTATTTACGCTTAAGTACTTAACAGTAAAAAATATGGCATATTTTTAATATAGTGAAAAAATAATATGTTGAGGATAAGTAAGTAGCATGGTAACATCGCCAGAATACCTGTGTTAGCTGTCCAACAACAAACAACACCAGGCTTTCCATCACCACCTGCGATACTGTATGTGGATTAAAAGGTTACCGTAAACTGGATTTTATTTTTGTAGATGAAAAAGAAACATCAGAAGCAGTTGAGCAACTAGGAAATGAGTCTTCTAAGAATGAGAAGTAATTCCCTGGATACTTTTAAAATGTTTCCTCTGGAGTCATGTCTTATTAATGGTTTTTGTCTTAGGGATTCCTTTTGACTTTATAAACTGACATGATTTCTTGTTCTGTTATAAATGTATGCTGTTCTAGTTTTTCAATAAGCCCATCACACATTTTCACCATGTCATCTATAGGCATTTTTTCTGCAGCATTAACAACATCTTCATCGTCTCTACTATCAGAATCACCTTGATTCAGAACCATTTCAACTATTTCACCATCTGTCAATGAGTAAACAATTGAGCATCATTATCAATGTTAATAATTTCTCTGATATCCACTTATTCCAGCTTACTGATGGACTCTGAAAGTATATTTTTTGCATATGTAAGGAGGGCAGACTTTTTTCCTCACTTGACAGATGTAATCCTTCGAAGTCACAATCTTGTTCATCATCATCACTGAGCATAGTCGCAGGCCAGGGTTGTGCCAGGCATGCACACTGTGTCTTTAGTCCCTGTGTTCCAAGCATTGGTAACAGAATATACACCATCTTTCATGTTAAACTCCTTTTGAAAACCTTCCACACCAACGCCTCTGTTCACAGTTGCTGGCATGCTATTCAAGAAAGTGTTTTTATATTTACACTTCATTGATCTAAGGATACCCTAGTCACACGGCTAAATTAATGAAGTCACATTTGGGGGAAAGTACATGGCATAAACATTTTTTTTATGATAATTCCAGCTGGAGGATGAGCAGGACAATTTTCAAAGTATAACAAAATCTTGCAGTTGTTACCCTGTCCTTCCCTGCAGTAAGCACATCCCACTGGTACAAATTGTTTGTGAAACCAATTAGAAAAGATGTCCCTGGTGATCCATGCCTTTTAGTTAGCATAATAATGGACTGGTAAAAAAAAATCATACCTTGAAAACAGCAAGGACGCAATTACCTATCACAGTAAGTTTACAAGTATATGTGCCTGCTGCATTAACACATCCCAGCTCAGTTATTCTGTCTTTGGCATCCTTAATTTCTATAGGAGCTGTTTCTTCAACTATAGTCAGTATCTTTCTGGGGCAATAACACCAAAATAGTGATGCTTCATTAGTATTATAGACTTAATCTGTCTGCAGAATTTCATTAGGGATGATCTTGGCAAACTCATCAATGAATTTCTCCACTGTTTCATAATCAGCAGACGTTTTTTCACCACAAATCTTTAAAATTTAATTCTATGTCTTTTTAAAAATTTCTGCAATCAGCCTGTTGAATATAGTTCCCTTCAATGTTCAGTTCGTTCTAATAGATCTTGCTTGTTTTATGATCAGTATACTCTTAAGTGGTATGTGTTCATCGTGACACTGATGGAGTCACTCTTTTAATACACAATCAAAATCTTCATTTTTTAGCTTTATGCAGTGTTTTTCTATTTTTCATTAACTTCTGCTAATCACTTGCAACATAAAACCTCAACAGTTTATCATTCTGTTATACGGTTGTCATTCCGACACTACACTCTTCTGTGTTTCACATTTATATTACTGTCCACTTTCTCCAACAGCTTGACTTTCTGTGCTACAGGTAAACATAAATCCTTCCTCATTTTCTCATCACTGTTAACCATAGGGGTATCTACAGGCTTATTTCAACATTTTAAACAGTATCCTTCTACTACAGAACAGAGAGTAAGCAAAAAACACAGTGAGTAACGAACATAGGTCTTGGACCCATGTGAGGCAACTTAGGGAACCTGCCATTGGTGCATCCAGCCTGCACATGTGCCATTTTATTATTCTTTGTAGTGTACTTGTGTAGAGGAATCAGGGAGGGCATAGAAAAATATATCACAGCTGAAGACGGCTGAGAGGGTCTTTTTTCCTTTGGGGATGCTGAGGAAACTGTGTACACTGTGTATTGTACACCTGTATTCTGACTGTGACCTATCACATGAAGTCAGGTCTGGAATTTTCCACTTGCAGCGTCATGTCAGCCCTCAAAAAGTCTCAGAGTTTGGAGCATTTCAGACTTCAAATTTTTGGATTAGGGATGTTAAAATATGTATAAATATTCAGGTATTTTTAGGAATCAGTCAAGCATATATCGAAACACATTTAATAATGAGTTCTAATGATCTATCCACTTGAAGCTTCCAAAGCTATCTCAATGCTTGCATTATTTTATTCACTTATTATTTATGGGGCTCTTAGGTCTTAGGCATAGTATGAAGCTTTAAAGAAACAAGTAAAAAATGTGTTGTTCCTGTCCTCAGGGATTTCACTTGCCATTTAATAGTATCTTTAAATACAAATCTCTGCTTTTCTCTTTGTCATTTTAATATAATTTGTAACACATTTTCAGTTTACTGGGACTTGCATTCTTTGCAATATATTAGACTAATTTGATACTCTGAACAAACTTTCTGATGAAAATAGCTAAAACATTATGTATGAGTGTGTGTGTGTGCGCACGTGTGTGTGTGTTTTAGACAGCGTCTCACTCTGTCACCCAGGCTGGAGTGCAGTGGTGCGATCTCAGCTCACTGCAGCCTCCACCTCCCAGGTTCAAGGGATCCTCCCACCTCAGCCTCCCAGTAGCTGGGACTACAGGTGGGTGCCACCTCGGCCAGCTAATTTTTGCTAGAGACAGGGTTTTGCCATGTTGCCCAGGCTGGTCTCGGACTCCTAGGCTCAAGCCATCCACCTGCTTCGGCCTCCCAAAGTGCTGGGGTTATAGGTGTGAGCCTGATCTGTATTCGTATATTTAGAATGTTTTAAGTACATCACTAATCTGGCAAAAAAGCATTGATATGTCAGAGCCAAAACAAAGTGATATTGGAAGATGAGAGGCAAGCAAGTGCAGAACCCAGCTTTAACCCTGAGGGAATCCACTGAACCCTGGCAAACTTGAACATATAGAAGACTATGTATGGCACATAAGAAAGTAGACAAAACCTACAGCACATGCAAAGTAGAAAGTCTAATGGTAGTCTCCCATGTAAGGCTGAGGCCCTCTGGGGATATAATTTCCTCGCAGAAGTGGACAGGAAGGAGACTTCTCTTTTCACGTTTGCACTGGGTGGAGGAGAAAGAAAATCTCTTTAAGGAATTTGGAACTATAATCTTGCCCCAAGTTCGAACTTCCTGTGTAGTCAAAAAAAAAAATTCCAATGGAAATTTTAATATAACGTGGTCCTGGATTTTAGTGCCTATGCCCAGGTGATATGAAGTCATTTAAAATCTTCCCAGAAAAAAAATTCAATTTCAACATGACCTAAAAGAATTCTATCAGGTAACAATCCAAGGGATATGAGCTAATAGCCAATAATTGCAAATACACAGGCAAACAAAGAACCATGAATAAGAACCAGCAGAAATAACATTGCAGAATCAGATAAACAAAAAACTCTTAAGTATTGGAATTATCAGATGCTAAACATAAACTAAGAATGTCTGATATGCTTGAAGGAGAGAGGTTTAAAAATATAAGCACGAAACAAGACTGTAAAAAGGATCTGAAGAGAAATAACTTGAAAATTAAAGTGACAACAAAGTAAGTGAAATTAAACATTAAATGAATTAAATAGCAGATTAGAAAGAGGTGAAGAGAGACTTGAAGAAAGGATGATCAGATCAAAGAAATTATCCAGAATGTTTCTGAAAGATACATATTGAAAATATGAAAGAAAGATTAATAAAATTAGAGGGCAGAATGAGAAGGTCCAACATACTCTAATCAGAATTCCAGAAGGAAATAACAATGAGAATGAGGAAGAAACAATATTTGAAGGGATTATAATGAAGAATTTTCCAGAAAGATGCCCACTCAGACTCAATCAGTATAAACAATAATAAATCTATATCTAAAAATATAATCATAAAATTTTAGGGCACTGAAGACAAAGGTGAGGTTTAAAAAGCAGCCCATAAGAAAAGTTTAACTTGGGTTTGGTATGTCACCTCAAAATAAACTGATAGTAAATCAAAGTTTTTCCCCAAAAAATGTTATTTTAGTAGATTTTAGTAAAGTTTTTGAATAAATGAATGAACTATAAGCAACAGATTGAAGATTCCAAAATCTGTGTTTTTAAATATCAGGTATGCAAACAAAATGAAATGCATTCTTAATGAAATTCCTGATAGCAGCATTTGACATGTTATTCACTTTGAAAATTGGATAGGAAGAAAAGCTATGTTGCTGAAATTTTGATCATGCCTGTATTGTTATAATAGATCCATAGCTAGCCTCTGAGTCTTTAAGTTCCGCACAGTGCTACCAGAATAATTTACCCTAATTATTACTTTTGTCTTGTTGCATGGCTGATTAGATACTTTCAAAGATTATGGACTTCTGAACACATCACATCAAAACACCTCCCAGAGCTATGGAACAGCAGTACTGATTAGTGGCTGCACCCCAGAGTTGGTTGGATGTGGGTTTAATTTTACACATACATGACCTGGAAAAGTTCATAATGTATTTTTAATCCTAACTTTTCTCATCTGCAAAATGGAAATAATAATAGCATTTAAAATCTGTTTTAAGGATTAAAAAATATAATGTATATATCAAGTGCTTTGCACAGCACTGGCTTGGAATAAGTTATCACTGAAGTTGGCTATTGCTATTAGATAATCATGCTAATATTAGACAATGAGTCTAAGAATCATTTTTTTTCTTCTACTGCTGTCAGCCCACATCTTTCTTTTTCTTAGACCTTGCTGAGGTCCCACAGCATCAGCCATCATGCTGAGACAAGCTGGTCATGGAGACCTTAACCCAGCAGTGCTAGAGGAATTAAAGACACACACACAGAAACATGGAGTGTGGAGTGGCAAATCAGGGGTCTCAGAGCCTTCAGAGCTGAGAGCCTTGAACAGAGATTTACCCACATATTTACTGACAGCAAGCCAGTCATAAGGTTTACTAAAAGTATTCCTTATGGGAAATAAAGGGATGAGTCGAAATAAAGGGATGGGTCCGGCTAGTTATCTACAACATGAACATGTCCTTAAGGCACAGATCACTCATCCTATTGTTTGTGGTTTAAGAATGCCTTAAGAGGTTTTCCGCCCTTGGTGGGGCCAGGTGTTCCTTGCCCTCAGTAAACCCACAACCTTCCAGCGTGGGCATCAAGGCCATCACGAGCATGTCACAATGTGGCAGAGATTTTGTTTATGGCCAGTTTTGGAGCCAGTTTATGGCCAGATTTGGGGGCCTGTTCCCAACAGCATCACCTAGAAATCTGTCAGAAATATAAATTCTTGGACGTCATCCTAGACCTACTAAATCAGAAAATCTGGAAGTGAGGGCCAGCAGTCTGAATTTTAACAAGAGCTCCAGGTAATCCTGATGCACATGAGTACCACTGTTCCAACCACTGTACCTATAGCTCAGCTATTCTCAGTGAGGAGCTTTTGTAAACATGTAGAGAAGCTTTTGGTAGTCAACAAGCTTGATGATTCCTACTGGCAATTACTGGGGGTAGGGATGCTAAAGGTCCACAAACATCCTAAACCTTCACCTTCCTCTGCACCTATTGAAATTCTGCATAATTTCTGAGGCTTGGCTCCTTCGTATTTCATCTTCTTTATCCATTTTAGCCCAGACCATTATCTCTCTTAGGACATAGCTACATGTATTATGTATAGTTAATATTATCTCATTTGCAATATTCTCAAAGAAGAAATCTATTACTTCTTTTTAGGTAGGCAGCATTAGTTTATTGTTTATTGGGCTGAGAACATAGACTAGGGAGCCAGAGTGCCTGGATATGAATCCTAGCTCTGTGACTCCTTCAGCATGTAACCTTGGGTTTTGCTACTTACCCCCTCTAAGCCTTATCTTTCTCATCTGTATAATGGGATCATAAGAGTACATACAGCAAAGGGTTGTTTTGAGGATTAAGCCTTTAGAACAGTGCTTGGCACAAAGTAAGCACTATACACGTGTTGGCTGTTATTATTTTTTCTACCCCTAAGCACATAATGTGAGGAATTTACTATTAATACATGCCTCATACATTTCACTGATTGGTCAAAGAATCTCCGAATTTATTCCCAATTCAACTTTCAAATGTTCATTAGACAACTCAAGGAAGTCATAATCACCAACTTTAAATTCAAAAAGCACTGCTCTATAGAAGGAAAAATTGGCCTATTTGTTATTGTTTCAGAACATAAGGTTTGAAACTAAAGTTTTATAAAGGGCAACAGAGCGCATTTGCCCTGTGTGTCCCTGCTATTATCTCTTCCTCCTGTTCCTTCAACAGTGGAGGTCAAGGACTTGGAAATTTGGGATCCCAGCCATCTATTTCAATTTCTTTCTACTTGAGAGATATAAATGAGAACACAATCATATTTCCAGAGCCTCTGAGATTCTATTTGATTCATGTTCTTCTTAAAGGTTTTGCTCAAAAAGAGCCTTGTTTCCTGCCAATTTCTGATGGCTGCCCTCCATTACCTGCCCTTTTGTTTCCCAGAAGCCCATAGGCCATTAGCCTAAGTATGCATCACTGGCAGGGGCCCTACATTTGGCGGCACTAAGCACAGCATGGGCAGATGAAATGCACCTTGGAGGTTGCCCATCCAAACATGGACAGCATCCAAGGCTTGAGGTGATGACATAGCCTGAGGTGGAACGAGTACATAGGGCTCTCAACAGTTATGTAATAAGGGCAGGAGGAGGATGTGGTGCATGAAAGTAAAAATGAAACATTGCACAAGTAGGCTTTGGTTTCGTGAGGAAGCCTGAGAGTAAGAAAGGTGATTTAGGCTTTATATTGCATGTGATGTTGCACCAGCAAAGGTGGCCAAAAACCAATGAGGAAGGAAAATACTGGTCTTACAGCTCTTACCAATGGCATGAAGGAAAAGAACAGAAGACTATGCCTTTTATCTATTATCTGTGAGACTCCCTAAAATTAAATTCTTACTTCACTAGGTAGTCATTTCAAGCAGCAAATTAGTTCATAAAGTAATCTGATAAATAAACATCTTGGAAAACATTTATGCCAATGGCCAACATGTATTAAGCTATGGTACCAGGACAGAAAATTCTAGAAATGTTTATTTATCTGTTGATTTTGTAGCTAAAAGGAAGAGAGAGAGGAGGAAGGATTACAACTTTGTCTCAGCCAAGACCTTCCTTGGCAGGACTGTCAGGCCTACAGGCATGTCCTTAGTTTGGCTAGTTTGTGGCTTCCATTCGATCAGTTCATCCAGGAGAGCTCTGACTGGTGAATGGAGTTGTACTGCTGAAGCTCACAAGAGAGAGATGAACAAAATCAGTGTATTTTTAAAATTATTTTAAGCTTAGAGATAAAAATGCCAAAGAGATTGATAATCACATGAGCTGATGGTATCATTTTTCTACCCAATCACAAAAATAGACAAAAAAAAATACCCTTTCACAAGGAAAACATGAAAATGGCTAATAATTGTATGAAAACATGCTGAATCTCAATTATCATCTGAGAAATGCAAACAAAACCCACAATGCCGTAAGACTACATATGTACCCGAATGGCCAAATTTTTGAAAACAACAAAAATAGACAACACCAAGTAATTGGCAATGTGGCAATGATGGATCAGTGGACCCAAATACTGCTCCTGGAAATAAAATTGTTAGAACAACTTTGGAAAACCTTGACAGTGTCTACTAAAGCTGGAAATACACGGACTCAAATCTCAGCAACTTCATTTTGATATGCAACAGATTTGAACCAAAAAACATGTACATAAATCTTCATAGCAGCATTATTCATAATAGCTAAAATTTGAAAACAATTCAAATGTTTCTCAAGAGAAGAAGGGATAAATATATAGTGGTATGACTATGGTAGAATAGTATGAAGGAATGAAAATGAACAAACCCATTACAACATACAGCACAAGGAATGACCCTCACAGACACAAAAGAGTCTGTACCACATATTTACATTCACTTCAAGTCTAAAAACAGGCAAAACTATGGTATTAGAAGTCTGAACAGTGGTTATCCTTGGTTGGAAAATAACAGGAGTTAAAAGGAGAGGATCTTAGATGCTAGTAATGTCCTTTTTCTTGAATTGAATGTGACGTGTATTCATAAAAATTAGTCAAGCTGCACACTTGAGATTTATGCATATTTCTATTTGTATGCTACACATTACTGTTTCTCAACTAGGATTGATTTTGCCTCCCAGAGGACATTTGGCTACTTCTGGAGACATTTTTGAATCTCACAACTAGAGGGTGTACTGGCATCTAGTAGACAGAGACCGTCCTGTAATGCATAGCACAACCACACAACCTCCTATGACAAAGGATTATCTACATATCAATAAAAGTAGTGTGCAGAATAAAATAGCAGCAACAGAATAATAATAATGTGTACAGCTTACACAACACTAATGTAAGATGTTCCTGATAAAAGTCGAGGTGCACTTATACTGTGTCACTCGTGCTACACAAGTCAGCAGTCCATGACGATATGTGGTAAGCCTACAACTACTGCATGCAAAGTTCTATGCAACTGTGGAAAAACCTCATACTTAATGAAGGAACAAGGGCTTAAGCCCAGGAAAAATAAATGTATTTTCATTGTATCCCAATGAGTGCCCATAAATTAATGTCTGAGAGGGAAGCAACTAGATACTTTGTTGACTTTTAAAACTCCAATATGTTGCACAGTTACTACACAGAGTAAGCACTATTTGTTGAATTTATGAATCAATAGTTCTCCCCAAGGCCGTACCAACCATAAACATCATTCTGTAATGCAATAGCCTTGCACATCTATGTCTTTCCAACTTCCCAAGCTCCAAATTTACCTGCCCTGCATCCTATCAGGTAGCCATCTAATTTTTCTGACACATTAATAAATACCAAGGTTTTAACTGTGGCAGTAGGTTTATATGCTACCAAGTTTCATAGTTGAATTTTGAAAGGGTCAACTGAAGACACAGTTTTCTAACCCAAAGAAGTAATGCTAGAAATTCTATGTACTTGTGGCAGGCCTACAAGGGAGAAATATAAAAAAGGACAAGGAGCATTTTCAGTGACACTCAAATCAAACACTGAAAAGGGTTGCCTTTGATGAGAAGTCACATTACTATGGCACTTACAACAGCAGGAAAGAATTTCAATGAGAGTATTTATGAAAACATATCACACATTCATAGGCTCTTCACACATACAAAAACATTGATATACATTTAGGTTAAAGAATGTGGAAGCAGGGGTACTAACACTGAAATGTTTAGAGATTGTTTTGACATTTCACGTGTGGTAGATACAATAGTACCCTCCACCTCCAAAAGATGGCTGATGTCTGTGCTATAATTTCTGAAACATGTCAGTATGGAGGGTTAGAAGGAAAGTGATAATTAAAGTTGCAGAAGCAATTAAGGTTGCTAATCAGCTGACTTTAAAATAGTGGCATTATCCTAGATTATCTAGGCAAACCCAATGTAATCACAAGAGTCCTTAAAAGGAGAAGAGGACGATAGAAGAGAACAAGAGAGACAGCAACATTAGAAGGATTCAGCCCAACATTGCTGGTTTTGAAGGTGGAGAAAGAGGGTCATGAGCCAAGGACTATGGGAAGCCTCTAGAAGATAGAAAAGGCAAGAAAATGAATTTGCCCTTTGGAGCCTCCAAAAGGAACACAGTCTTGCTAGCATCTTGCTTTTAGCCTAATGAGACCTATTTTGGATTTCAGACCTTCAGAACTGTTAGATAATAAATATGTTATTTTAAGCCACTAAATTTGTAATAATTTGTAACAAGAGCAATAGTAACTTATGCACTATATTGATGAATTGAGAAAAGGCCATGAGTCACTCAAGCAACTGACAATATAATTCATATTGACTTCTAAGTATAATTAAAAGGAACATATATACGTCCAAAACTACACATGCACACACACCCTTGTAATTTTTAGTCACTTCCTCATGGCATTCCTCTTCTCATTTGATCTTGTTATCAGAATTCAAGGATAAACCTGGGCCACAAGGGATTGCTTGCAGTTACCAAGAGTTAATTGAGAGATACCAGAAAGCCCACACAGGTTTTATCTACATTTCCTGGGATTAAAGTCAAATTGGGCAAATGGAGAGAGAAAAGCGTGTTTACTCTCTGGCAAAGGGGATAGCTTCAGAAGAAAGTTGTCCATTTGCTGACAAAGTTGGTAATTTGCAGATTTGCAAAACTAGGACACAAAATACACACAGGTGCAAATAAATATCTGTAAACCAAAAAAGTTAAACAAGTAATTTGAGATGGCTGGGAGAGAGCCAATTAATTAATTCCATCTCCAGGAATATTGCAAAGCCAATCTATGATCCAGGTTAAAAAGCAAAATCACACACTGGCAACAAAGGGATGGCTTAGGAAGGCAGAAATGCCTATAATCTTCATCAGCCCCATAACCCAAATCAACTCTAAATAAACATCTAACTCAAGTAAAAACATGATTACTATGTAAACACAGCTTCAAGCTACTGCCAAATAAATACACTTTCCACATAAAGCAGTGTGCCTTTCCCCAAAATCAGCTTTGGAGTAGTACTCTACCCACCCCCAATTCCCACTAGATCATAGCCCCCAAGCCCTTCATAAATGGAAATTCTGGAGGTGCCAAAGCTCTCCAGAATTTCAAGGATAGTTTTATCTCTTTTGAATAAAGTAAAAGAAAGAAACAAGTGGTACATTGAAGCAACAGTGGGATGCCAAGAACTTGAAAAAAAAAAATTAACAAAATTACTCCTATAGTTTGAATGTGTCCCCCAAAAGCGTGTGTTGGAAACTTAATCCCCAATTCAACAGTGCTGGGAGATGGGGCCTAACGGGAGTTGGTTAGGCCATGAGGGCACAGTGAATGGATTAATACTGTTATTGCAGGAGTGGGTTCATTATAAAAGGGAGAGTTTGAGTCCTTTTTGCTTTCTCTCTCTCTCTCTCTCTTTCTCTCTCAGCCCTTCTGCCTTTTACCATGGGATGATACAGCAAGAAGGTCCTCACAAGATGCTGGCCACTTGATCTTGGACTTTCCAGCCTCCAGAATTGTAAGCAATACAATTCTGCTTATTATAAATCACCCAGTCCCAGGTATTCTGTTATAACAGCAAACATGAACTAAGGCAATTACCTTCTGAGAGAAAAATAAAATGAACACACTGTCTCAAAGCTGGTTTATATAAGTTTGCTTTAAAAACTAAGACACAGGCTGGCAAGCACTAGTTATAAGCAGATTTAGAGTATAAGCATATTCAGAGAAACATACACCAATCAGAAAGGGACTGTTCAGAAAAGAAAATATTTTAAAAAAAAGATGACACAGAAGCAAATTTGGCTGTGCTCACTCAACCCCTGTCTAGAAGAGAGGGCCCCTTGGTTTGTGAAGAGTATTAGGTCTCTGTGCCAAGTGTGCACCCCTGAAAACAGATGGCTGCCTCAGTCCATCATGTTCTGATCTAACTAGACAGGCAACTTATCTAACTCTCCTGATTCTGATTACATGTCCACCATGTAACATTCTTATCACAAATGACTATAGGGAGGGAATGCACTAATCAGCAACCAAGAGCTCTTTATCTGCTTAATATACTTATATTCTCATCATAAATTCATTGATCGTTTTTCTAGTTTAATTTGAACCATGCACCATCTTTCCATCTGATTAACACTCACCCCATACGAGCTCCAGGAGCCATGGGTTCTTTGTCTTAAAGGGAAGGATTTTTGCCAACTGTTAGTTGTCTGGGAGTGGTCATAATTCTCACCAGAGCACTTGTCTTGCCCACAAAATGGTTGGGATTATTTTAGAGGCTTCTGGAACTGTCTGGGATCGTGTTTATGTGCCACTAGGTCTACTTGGTTTTGAGCTAGCTCCCATTTTTTTCTCACCAGAAACCCCAAGCCCTGCTCTTTCAAAAAACCCCGTTCTCCCATCTGCTAAGAAGCACACATTACTAAGTAAACACCAAGGAAAGAGAGACTTACTCGTGAATAGAAAATTAAAACATGAAAAAGAATGGGCTAGAAATTAAAGAGAACAGCCTAAGGAGGGCTTGTCTCATGAAGAAACAGGGAGACCAAATTACCTGAGCCCTAGTTTCTATTCCAGCTCAGCCCTGTGCAACCACCTTTGTAGCCTGGCAGAACTACTAAGGTCAGTGATGATCAAATTTTATGTGTGTCCTGGCTAATAAAAATACTAGTACTCATAACACTAGTGTTTACTTTTAATTAAATTATTTTTATCATAATGCTATTTAAATAGAAGTGCAAACATAAACCTAGGTATAAATTTCTTATGCGCACCCAACTATGAACTTACAGAACCAATATAATTCACATTACCTCTATTAATTTAATGTGACAGAGGATGTTACTTGCTGAAATAAAAATCACTCCTTTCTCTGTGACCATGGTCCTGAATGCCAGAGCAGGAATGTTTTTGGTTTGGCAGCCTATGCTACTGTGTGCTTGAGAGAACTTAATGTTCCCATCACAGTTCTTTATTTAAGTTACTGTGAAACTTTTACTCATAGCTTGCATCATGATGCCATTGGCCTTCCCTAATATATTATTTTTTTCTCTGTTCTTTTCCTTTCCACTTGAGGCCAATAAAGTTGTAAACACAAAAGCCAACTCCAACACAGAAATTATGTGGCAGTACTAAGGTAGGCATTTGATGACTTAGAATGTATTTACATTAATGTGCTAAAAGTTAAACACAAATTTAAGTTTAATTACTGTGGAGAACCTACACACGCTAGTTTAAGTAAATGGTAAATCTAGTCCCTTGACTGAGCATCATGTCAGGCTTTCACTCCCTCCTTCTAATGCACATGAAATATGTAAGACATAAAATCAATGTTTCCTTTCTGCTCTCAGCTCACAAAATGGTTGAGGCAACCTTATGCCTTTTTCTTTCATTTTGCACTCCGCAACTCTGAGCTTCTATTTGAGCAAGGTTATGTAAGTTGTCTGGGGAATATTCGTGGATCCCTCTTCTCAAGGAAAGCTGAAAACTGGAAGAGAATGAGATTTGCATCCTAGTGCCTATTCTTTAGTTTTGTAAAAGAGCAACAGCCTATCATTAATGGAGCAGAACAGCAGACAGGACTGGAAAAATTCCCCAACTGTTTATTTTTCCCTACTCATGCCTGCTAAAGCAGAACTTAAACCTCCCTTTGCATTCTACTCCATTTTCCCCTTCCCTTGGAATGTGAAGTCTACTTTTAGGATGGAAGAAAATAAACATTAAAATTTTACAAACTGGAAGCATTGGTTACAAGAGCTTCTGGCATATCTGCATCAGTTTTCCATTTAATCAAATAACTTAGGAGTGGAGTAGGGCACTAACAATGTTCCAAAAGACCAATAAGCCCTATTTCCCCAAATGCCCACTGATTAAAAATGCCACCTTTATCATATATAAATCTCCATATAAATGCAGATCAGTTGCTGAACTCCATGCTGCCACACTAATCTATCAGTCTATTCCCAGGAGCATTTAACCATTTTAAATACTATGAACAGACAGGAACTTCTAGATATGATCTCCTTGCTTTCTAATTTTTCTTTCATAATTTTTTCCCCTTTGCTCTCTACATTTTTGGAAATTTTATCATCTTCATCTTTGAGATCTATAATTTGGTCTTCAGGTCTTCTATTTAAAAATTTAGCAATCTTGATTTTTATTTATAAGAGCTGTTCTTTATTCTTCCTCCTTCATTGCAGCCTGTTTTTATTTTGAGGTGGCAATATTCTCTTAAATGTCTCTACCTATAACATTAAATGTTCTTAAAGTTCTCTTCTGTTTCCTGGGTCACTGGTTCTGATTTTTTCCTCTACCTCTAGGTTCTTTATGTTTTATCACTGCTTTTCCTCGAATATCTGGATAGTCTTAATATTTTCATTAATCTGATCTCCATTTTCTTTCAATTATTCAGAAATTCTTCTAAGTTTCTATTCATTATATCACTCTTTCTCAATTTTCAGCATTGTTATGGATGTACTGACTTCAAAGTTTCTTTTCTCTGATTATATTGAGGATTTAAGAAGACGATTCAGTTCGCCATCCTGTAATAATTTATTAATTTTTTAAAGACAAAATTCATGTCTCTTCTTTAAATAATGGTGGCAGAACATGTGGGGATTTCATACGTCATACAAGAGTGTACTTTCAACCAAATGCCGTCTGATTTCAAATGGTCACCTTTATCACATACTAAACTTCTGTACAAATGTAGGTTTATTTCTGAGCTTTGTGCCGCCTCACTAAGCTATCAATCTATTTATATATCAGTAACATTTTTTTAAATTAATTATTGGTTCGCTTACTCCCATTTGCCCAGCAGATATCCACTTGCAAATTGGAAAGGATTGTGAAAAAAAAAGAAAATGATAATACAGACTAGTAACATATCTTGAAAAATGTTTTCCTCCTTGCAAACATCGAAGAACAGAAAAGCAAGTGGTTACCTAAGATTTACAACATTTCCTTAACATTTATGATAACATGTATCCTGTCACAAAGTATATATAACAAATAGTATCTTTAATTTATCCCCAAAATAGTAATTAATGTCTCGATTAATATCTCCATTTTACAGAAAAAGAAATCAAAGCCTGGAGAACTTTGAGTTAAGTATCTTACTCAAAATTACCCAACTAGCAAATGGCAGGACTTAAACTTGGATCTCACTCCAGAACTCAGACTCTCACTGCTATACAACACGTGCCACTTTTTATTCAAGCAATGGAGCTTCTTTTTTCATGTATTAGAACGCTCTTTATTAACTAGCTTGCCCTTCTGCTCTAAATGAATTAGAAAACAAGTCCATTGCTGATTGCCACACTTGTGGAAGGCAGACCTGTATCCCGACCATGTGTGCAGAGCAATGTAATTCAAACACAATGACACCCTCCGTGAGGATAGACTCAGCTTTCTGCTGGTTGGTCTCTGCCTCTCATACCAAAAGGTCTCCAGGCCCACAGGCTACTCCTTACTACATCTACAAGATATGCCACAAGCTTAAATAGATGTTTTATATGTAGGTACATGACAAATACAATCATGCAAAAAGCGTGTATATCAGGAGACAAAAACAGACAAACAATACAGAAATGAAAATACTTATATTAACGAGGCAATCTTATGGGAAAGCATTTATTTAAAAATCTATGCTGGAATCACTGTCTTTACAGATTTTAAAAGTAATAAAATAATTTAATTCATTTAATGTATTAAATGTGGCATCCTGGATTAAAGAATAATCAAAGATTCTCCTCTAAAATGTATGTTGATTTCATTTCCCCTTTTGTCCACCCTCTATGGCCTAAGAATATGTGAAATGGCCAAAAGGAAGGAATTGAGGAACAAAGGGCCTGGGTAGTGACAACCAAAGAAACAGCTGGGGGTTAGATACCATAAAAGCAAACTGAAGGAAGGAATCAGAGAAGCGAGGGAAAAGAAAACAGTTTTTTTCTGCCTTCAACCACTCTAAGAGGTAAGGGTCATAAAACAAGAGAAGCTGCTTGAAGTAAATATAATGACCTGGGAAGGATAGGACATGAGGAGGGAAAGATGAACTAGGGAGATAAAGAATAAAGGGAAATGAAAGGATTTAAAAAGCAAACAGGAAATTCATCTAAAGAGGATAGAGAGGGAAGGATAACAGCTGAGGTTTAAGTAATACGTTGGTCAGATAGTAACATTATTATTATTTTATGCTTACATGCAGATGGGAAACATGCTCCATTTCTAAAAGCCCAAGAGAAAAGGTCACACCTTTAATTTCCAGGCTCCTATAGCTTTTCCATTCCTCATCTCCCAATGCCAGCAAAAGTTTCAAATCCAACAATACTTATGGTGATTTAATTTGGTTACAAAGACTCATGGGGTAGGAAATTTTAACTTGACATCCAAAGCTTAGGTTCCAGAAGACCAACATCTCAGACTGGCCAGTGACCCACTGGCCACACTCAAAGCAAAAATAATTATCCAGAACTTTAAAATAAGACAAGAAGAGCACTGCAAGATCTCTTGTCATCTATTAGAGAATTTTCTAACAACCCTGCTGCGAGTTATCTGATTCTCTAGGGCTGTCATTTAGTTCGACTTCATATTTATTATTAATTAGGGCTCATATTCTGTGTATAGTTGTTAATTTGTAGAAGATTGATCAATTGTGAGATATTTTTGTCCAGTGAGGATAAAAATAATAATTGCCCAGTGAAAAAGATAACCTCAGAGGCTACCATTTTATTGGCCCCCTAGGACGTGTATAGTTTTGTATGTAACTTACCAACCTTATTTGAGCATTCATTCTTTCACAAACTATATATACTTCTTTCTCTCAGAGTCTCCTTTACCAATCCTGTTGCTTTTCTCTTTGCTGGTTAAATCTTTGACACATGCTCAATATACATTTAAATATGTTTTTAAATGTTTAAAATGAATACTTTAACAATATTATCAACACTAATAACACATATTTAGCAGTATCTTACTATATATACCAGACATTTTATTAAGTACTTTGTGAACAGCATCTCATTTAATCCTCACAACAATCCATGAGTTTGGGTAAACTGAGGCCCAAAGAAAATAAGTAATTTGTCAAGATCATCCTTGAGCAGAGGAAGGATTAGAACTCTGGGATGATTTAATAGGAATTCTGTATTCTTGTTATTGCATTGTATTTTTCTGCTAAGGTACCACAGTAATGCCTACCATGGACAGGAATCTAGCAATGACGGGAGGTGCTGGAAAGTCACTGAAGCTGGAAGTTGGGTGCTCATGATGTGAGGTAGTTGGTAAAATTGGTAAAGCTTCTAGAGAACTAACATGCTGATTTTGTATAAAGGGGGGTATCATCTCCGTTTAACAGATGAGGAGACTGAAATTCTGAAAGAACTCTCTCCAAGTCACCCCACCAATAAGAAACTGAGCAAGAAAGTGGAAGCTCATCACCAGACCTCCAGCCCAGTGTATTTTCTGAGGCTCCCCCTGCTTCTGAACAGATGGTCAGTAAGTTCAGCCTCATTTGTTCCACATCTTAGTTCCAAACTGCGGCTACAGCTGCCATTATTTCCCCTTTGTCCTGGATCTATTTGGCTTTGAGATTTTTATCTTCCTGCTTTTGTCTTTGACATAATGATCAGGCAACATTTAATTTGGTCTCTGGTTCTCATTTATTTTTCTGGCACTGGTCCCAGAGATCAACTCAAAGGAACAACACACAGTCACAAGATATCAACGGCCTGATTTCTATCAGGGCTATCTGACACTAAAGTTCAACATTCCCTTCCTGACCACCACCCGCACACCCCAACAGTACAACATATGGACACAACCTTTGTAGATATGCTACCTGCTTGCCTGCAATATGAGTTTTACACCATAAAATTAGGTACAGTTAATGGTAATTATTAAACAGATGGACTACTCTAAACAGCAAATACTTAGCAAGAATTCCACTTGAAAGCAACCCCTGCCTTACCCTTTTTATACAAGAAGTCTTTTTTAGAAATAAGGAAAAGGATAGAATTTGACCCAATATCTATCTGCATGTTATTTGCCAGTTTTAGCTCCATGAATACCACCCAGCAGTACTCAATATATGTCTATTTAAGACTATCAATTGATAGTAATTAATCCAGAACCAACAAACCTATGAATTCATTCACCCTGAAATACCGAGGCATGTTATTTCCAGTAGCACTGCACTGGTTTTTGCTAGAACCCTAGCCAAGTTACTTTTCCTCTTTGTCTTTCAATGCCTTTACCTAAAGGAGGATTTTAAGTTCATAAATCTCCTCCAATTCTGACTTTTTGATTTTGTACCATATCTATGTTATCTACATTCCTGCTAATGACCTAGAGAAGAAAATGCTTTCTACTGTGTCATCCCTATACTATAGTTAGTATTAACAATTCACTTAGGAGTCTCCTAGGAGGAAAGAGCACTGAAATAAAGAAAAAGACAGGGGAATGGGGAGGAGAGTGGAATTATAAATGGATGGGAAAGAAAAGCTAACATTTATGGATTCCTGCCATATTTTAAGCATTGCGCTAGGAACTTGCACATACGTAGCCTCATTTAATTTTCATAACAATTTCAAAAAGAGGCTCTTATTGTCTCAATATGTATATATTTAAATCTGAGACTCCGAGAATGCAAAAAAACCTTGCCTCATATCACTCAACCAGTAATTGGTGACAATTTAAACCCATTGTCTGATGTCAAAGCCCATCAAGGTGTACTTTCCATCTCATCCTTGAGAATGTTCACGTATCATTAGGGTATTTTGAAGTAAGTGCTGAGAATTGGTGCCTCTGTAGTTTATTAACTTGACAAATCTAAAGGGAATTTAAATTGGTATGATGTATTTTCGTTGGTCACCTACTATGAGCCAGATGCTGTTCTGGGCACAGAATATACATCATTGTAAAAAAAAATCACATACACACACACGCACACACACACACAGTCAGTGTCCCTCCCCTCATAGAGTTCATGGTCTAGTGGAAAAAACAAACTCTAAGTAAGAAATTAAAACTTACATATGAAGAAAAGAGTTCTGACAACACAGAGGAAGGAGTTCAAAACTAGTTCTAGGAATCAAGGTTTGTTGAGGAAATAAATACCAGTTAAACTAATAACTGAAGGATGAAGAGTTAACTAAATAGATATGAAGGTGTCATTCCATGCATGGGGCACAGCATGTGTAAAGGCTTGGAGGTAAGAGCACAGTATGTTAAAGTAACTCCCACAGTCAACTGCTATGAAGAGTAGCTGGTAGATAAAGCAAGGAATTTGTTCACTGGAGAACTTGAATTTGTGTGCATATGTGCATGTGTGTCAACTCACACACGCATACTGAATGGTTTTTAAACTAGCCATAGAACAAAGATAATTCTTCTTCAAAGTAACATTTATCCAGTATTCCATCACTTAAGCAAATCAATAAAACCTATGGGTTCCCTATGAATCATCATCATCAACAACAACAAAATGTACTCATAAGTTAAAAACACAATTCTGTGAGATAAACAGACACATTTCCTAACTCTAGAAATTTAGAAACCAGTGGTTACTTCTTAGGGGTAATGTAGATGAGATATTTCCATGAAGAGATGAAGTATGAGGAGCTTCCCAAAGCCAAGAGTCCATGGTTCTATAACAAAGCCACCAGTGATCTAGGCAGAATCTGGAAAACATTCACATATTTAATATTTAAAAATCAGATTAATATATTTAAAAACTGTTCAATAAAAGGTAAATGCTCTCTGAGAGGGATCACTGACCAAAGGGTATAAGAAAACAAAGAAACGAGTGTGGAAGGTTTGGGTGAAATGGATGGGCATGGGGGAAGTCAAAATATTGGAAATTTGGGGAAAATTCTGTATATTAAGATGAAAGAAAAAATTCCATTTCCAGTAAACATGGAATAACGGAGACTAATCGTGACTATCTCTCTCTCAATAGATAGGTAGATAGAGATAGATATAGATATATGATGAACATATATATATATAGTGTGTGTGTGTGTGTGTGTGTATATATATATATATATATGTATATATATATATTTTTTTTTAAAGGAGTCTCGCTCTATTGCCAGGCTGGAGTGCAGTGGCCCGATCTTGGCTTACTGCAACCTCCACCTTCCAGGTTCAAGTGATTGTCCTGCCTCAGCCTCCCAAGTAGCTGGGATTACAGGCGTGTGCCTCCACGCCCGGCTAATTTTTGTATTTTTAGTAGAGACAGGGTTTCACCATGTTGGCCAGCATGGTCTTGATCTCTTGACCTGCTTCAGCCTCCCAAAATGCTGGTATTACAGGCATCAGCCACTGCACCTGGCCTATGTATATGTATGTGTGTATATATATATATTTGCTGTTATTGTTAAGAAGGCATTCAAGGCCAGGCGCAGTGGCTCACGCCTGTAATCCCAGCACTTTGGGAGGCTGAGGTGGGCAGATCATCTGATGTCGGGAGTTCGAGACCAGCTTGACCAACATGGAGAAACCCCATCTCTAATAAAAATACAAAATTAGCCAGGCGTGGTAGTGCATGCCTGTAATCCCAGCTACTCGGGAGGCTGAGGCAGGAGAATCGCTTGAACCTGGGAAGCAGATGTTGTGGTGAGCCAAGATTGCGCCATTGCACTCCAGCCTGGGCAACAAGAGAGAAATTCAGTCTCAAAAAAAGAAAAAAGAAAAAAAAAGAAAGAAAGCATTAAAGCATTTGACATCAGGCAAAAAAACACAGTGATCTCTAAGACACAGGAAAAAAATGAGGTAAAACCTACAATTTCCCAAGCTTATTTCCTACAGACTAATTCCAGGTTGTGGAGCAGAGAGGGGGAAACCAGGTAGAGACCAGTGTTCTCCTTGAGTTAAAGAGATAAAGCTAAGAGTCTGAGGAAGACAAGACAGTTACAGCTCTCCAAACAGAGCAAAGTTGAGGAGAAAAATTTACACAGAGCAAGAACTCAGGAAAGCTTCAGAGCATCCCTCTCCACTATTCAGCAGGGTACTTCTCAGTACATGCATATGAGGGAATCTACTTAATGTTGGAGAAAGAACCATTCAAAAGGATTAAATGGAACAGTGCACAGAAACTGTGTTCTCACCAGCCAGGCTGGAAAAACTCATAATTTATGGGCCACGTGGGAAAGTACTCAGGAAGGTCTTTCCTCAGTAGTAGGAAATAATTAGCTTTAGACTGAGTCCTAGTTCAGATCCACCTAACAAAGCATAAAAGCAAGACCTAAAAAGATCAAATTCTTAACAAGTAACTTGTAACTTCAAATGGCCTAATGTGTAGATAATTAGAGTCTTCAAAAGAGAAGGAGCATAAAGGCAAAAAAAAAATAGTTCCAGAAATAATGATCAGGAATTTTCCAAATTTGATGAAAACTATAAATCTGAGAAATTCCACAAACCCGTAGCACAAGAAACATGAAGGAAAACACACCCAAGCATATCACAATCTAATTGCTCAAAACTAGTAATAAACAAAAAATCTTAAAAGCCGCCAAAAAAAATATTGTTGTGAATCTTGCTGAACTCCCATGTATTGTACTGTGGGTCCACCAGAATTTTGTGTTCATGGGGCACTGAAAATTCTGTATGCAAATGGGATGGCAAGAATGACGGACACACATATGGCATGTATCTCCTTTGCTCATGAGCATGGTTCATTGTGCCATCAAACTTAACCTTATAAAACTCAAATTCAAAGATAAATTATTAAACATTTTCAAGACGGCAACAGCAGACTTTCTATTGTGGCTTAAGTTACTATCATTTCCTTTTGGAATACTGCAAGAGCCCACCTAACTGGTTTCTCTGCTACCACTCTTCCCAGCCCCCAACTTTATTTTAATCCTCCCAAAGCTGTTGGATTGATTGAAAGAATAATAATAAACAGATTATGTCATTCTTTTGCTCAAAATCCTCCAATATTTTCTTCATACCTGGGTATCATGCTGACCCTCTTCTAGTCCTTGACAAAGCCTACTCCCATATCAGAGTTTTGAAACTTGCTGCTCTCTCTGCCATTAGTTTCATGTGACTGCCTCTTTCTCACCATTTGGAAATCAACTCAAAACTGTATCTTCAGAATTAGTTAAATAAATTACGAAGCAAAGGAATACTATACAGGAATTTAAAGTGGAAGTGTAGATGTAGATATTGATATGTAAGAAAATTCACAACATAAGTGTAGTTTGCAAAACATTTTATATAATGGTATCCTATTTCTGTTCTAAAACAAAAATTGACCACAAGTACATACAGAAAACAATCTAAAAGAATATACAAAAAATGCAACTATTTTTAGAGATGGTGTTTCAGATGGCTTTTTCTTTTTTTTTACATTTTATGATTTTTTTTGCAATGAATATGCACATTTTATGTGATTTTTGAAAGTATAAATGAATGAAAATTTAGTACTATGAGACGTATCGCCATGAAGAACCTTGCTTGAACTACCTTAGCTAAATTAATTAATCCCTTTCTCATCACTTTTCTTTCCAAAGGAACTAATTACATATGGGTTGCAATAATAGTTGTTCATATTAATGAGCATTTACTTAGTGTCTGACATCTTGTTAGGTACTTTAGACTCATTATTTAACCCCCACAACTAACCTCACCTATGAGCTATGTATCATCATCACTGTTATTATTAGTATGATAATTCTCCTTTTACAGAGGTGGTATTCAAGGCTCAAATTATTTAGATAATTGGCCAAAAGTTGCACAAGAAGTAAACTACAGAACTGGAATTCAAACCTCTCTCAGACTGCCTCAGAAGTCTATGCTATATTGTCTCTCCTCACTCCAAGAGAGTGTTCTTGATTTTGGTTGGCACATATTTTCTCAATAAATTGATACAAAATGGAGAAGTAAGGAAATCCTCACCCCTTTTTGTCATAGTCAGAAGAACATAGGCAAGCAAGAAGGGTAATTTCAAAATTATTTAAAATTGTGATTAGAATTTCTTGAATACCATGAATAAAATGTATAGTCTGAAGCTATACTTCTTTAACATGTTTTTGTCCTCGCATCCACTATTCTTATCCCCTCCAGATAACACTCCTGCAAGACTTAGATCAAGTGCCTTTATTCCTTCCCTTTCCTCCTATTTCTCTTGATTTTCCATGAAAAAGTCCAAAAGAAATCACCTGGAAATTTGAAGTATTGAAAAGAAAAAGTTACCAAAAACACAAAATTATAAGCCATTTGAGTAGTCAGAAGGAGGTAAAAGGCAAGGAATACTCGTTCTATGAGGTTTTATGTCCATCACACAAGGCTATAACCACTATCCTGTGAGAGTTTATGACTTTTTTTTTTTAACATCGTAAGTGCATCATTTGACTCAAAAGTGTTGGGTACTACAGCATAACCTTTGAAAAATGTGTTTGGACCATAAAGCAGAGATGAGTAAAAGCCAGAGGGAGGAGAACCGACTTCACAGAGGCAGTGGGATTGGAGTTGAATCTTGTCAGTTAGATGGCATTTAGGATGAGCACAGAGAGTGAGGTGAGGTCTTCTAGAAGAACAAAGGTACCGACATGGGAACAAGCAGACTCCGGAGGTGGGCATGGACAGGTGCTAGGTTACCCACACAGTGGAGTTTTCTACAAACAGAAAAGGCAAGTACTGGAATTTATTCTTGGCTCTCTTATTACAGAGCTGATGGGCCTCCTATGTATTATCTTGGAAAGAAGGATGACAGTGTCTTTCGTCTTTAGATTTTTTTCTAAATTTGTTTTAGTTTAGAAAACTTTTCACTAAAATGTAATTGAGTACTTAGCCAGATTTCTAGTCATAGGTTAGCAGCCAAATGGACAGTAGATTAGGGAAAATATTTAAAAATAACTAGAAAACCTGCCTTGGGGTCTAATGAGTTTCCTTAAAATGAGTGAGCAGGTCACATGGCTTTATTTAACTGTAATTTTTGACATGTCTTTTTTCCCCTTTTTCTCATTTTTCATGGTAATTTCCAAGTCAACACCAACACAATGAATAAACCACTCTTTGGGATTGTTAGAGCTACAATCAACAGAAATACTGTCTGCTCCACATCTGCTTTAGAATAGCCACCTTTCAAAATATTTTTTAATCTTGCTTAACGCTCACAGGTTATCCCTAATTGTATAAAGTCTTCCTTGGCTGACATATTTAGAATTCATTTTCCAACAAATCTGAAACTATTTTCACAAACCATAACCTTATTTCTTCTAAGTGGCCTCGATGTCATTACTTTCCTTCATTACTTTCACCTTTCATTTTTTATCCAGTAAATCTCCTGACTGATTTCATATTTGAGGCTTCAATATTTTTGTTATTCCTTAAAGTCTTCGTCCTTTTATTTTTTAGGACTCTATTACACTTCTTGATTGACATAGCTTACTCGTTTGTTTCCTCATAATTTTCCTGATTTCATTCTTCAAAAACAATTATCCCAATTTTTCACTGTTGACGTCAATAGATGCTTTCATCTCTCATCTTGCATGAAGACCTCTATTTTTTTTTCTTTTTTCTAGCAATAGGTCAGAAATTGGACCTTCAAGAAGAAATAGCAAAGAAGGATCATCTTACTGTTTTAGAGAGGAGAACTATAACAAGCACTCCTAACTACCAAAGCTGCAAGGAAAAGACTCATGGGTATAGAATTTTTAGGGTGAGCTGACATCAACAACATGAGCAGCACCTATCAGAATCTTACCACAGGCCTGAGTCAGGCTTTACATGACTACTTTAATCCAGAAGGAAAAACTTCATGAAAGTAGACAGTAGTTCACACAGGATCAACAAAACGTAAATCAATTAAATAGGCCTGAGGAAAATCAATGAGGAGAATCTATGTGTGGTTATTTGTTTTAAAACATTGTTAGCAGTGTTTTTAATGTTAGTTTTTCTGATAAGCATACAAGATTTCCTTTTTATTTCTTTTTGATCTATTTCTCATGCTCAGTTTAGCAGGCTATATTTGTGCAAACTGAAAGGAAACACTCTTTGAATGTTTACTTATTCCCACTGGCCCCGAAAATTAAGTAAAAATATCCTACTGGAATTTTTAATATATATTTTAAACTAACGAATCATCGGAGAAACCTGAAGATGTTAATGACTCTGGTTCCTAGAATTCAGAAGAGTGGTTTCATTTCAGGTTAAGCTTAGAAAAGTCATAACTGACCTTTGACACAAAAGAAAGAGGTAAGATCCTACTAAAATCAGATCTTACAATTTCCAAGTTTTAATTCATCTGTAAAGAATCAAACTATACTGAAAGATGTTATCTCTGGCATAATCTATAATGATCCTACAGAAAATATGTAAGATACTAATTGCCTTGTCTACAAAAGTATTTAAAACAGTGAATGGATATTATTACAACAACCAGAATTGAGCCTCTTTACCTTTTATGGCAGTGTAATTATTTATGCAGGATTTTTAGGAATCAGTCCTTTTGCCAGTATATAAATGGACAGATCAGTTGGAAAACACAGACATGTTTGTAATGCCATGTTGGATAATAAATCCCATTTAATCAGCTATGAAGGGCCCACCATTAAGGAGCAAGGGTTGTGCTTTGTATGTGGAATCAATACCTACAAAGCCCTCTTAGGAGGTCTGTGGCTTTCAGCTGACAGTAAAGAAGGTCACTTCCTGCCAGGCCAGGAATCTTACTGAACTGGGGGATGTTGCAGAGGCAAAGTTCATTACAGTTATAGGTACTGCAGGTAAAACCTAGTGGAGAAAAACTTCTTAGTCTCTTAGCCTCAGGAAAAATGAGCTAATAATAGTAGAAACAAACATCTAAAATAATAAAGACTTGAATATGCAACCCTAGATGCTTACATTCTTTACAGAACCTCCAGGCAGAAATTAATTAGGTGAGTTTCTCTCTAGTTTTGCTGAAAATACAATAAAAGTGTTTATGATACAACAGTTCTTGCTATCTACATGTGAATAAATCAGTCCAAATATAACAGAACCTATACAATGTACTACATACAGTAACTACCACTGAATTTGGTATAATAATATATAAATCATTGTAGCATTAGTATTAGAACCATGGGTCTTTATGTAGGCAACATATTAAGCCTATGTCTAACTTCAATTAACTATAAAAACTGTAGAAAGCAATTAACTAAACAAGTTAGATTAATGCTCTTAGCACAAAACATGAAATCATCTTTTTATGTGTGTGTAAGTACACGTGTATACATGCATTATCAAGAATAATAAAAGCTTTTTGTGATGGTACAGGCAATGTTCAGGATAGTTTATCTAGAACTTGAAAATAGGGCCGAAAAAAAGACAACATATTCCTTTAATGTCCTACTAGTATCATTTTTCTGGTGCATCTGAGAGCTGTCTCAGTCTCTTGAGAAATGTAATTTTTCACTAACAATTTTTTAGGGCCCAGATGTTCTTTTACCTAACTTAGTAATCTTATTTCAGCATTCTTATTTCCACTGACTATGTAAATCCTAATTTCTCATATTCTCACTGAAGTAGCTTTGCCATTCTGAAGGCCATTTAATCACTAAAATAAAATTTTGATACATGCCAAATATCTCCTTTTTTAGAATTGTGGTAAGAACACAACATGAGCGCTACCCTGTTAACAAATTTTTAAGTATACAATAGTATTGCTAATTATAGGCAAAACATTGTTTAGTAGATCTCTAGAATATATTCATCTTGCATAGCTGAAATTTTACACCTATCAAACAGCAACTTTCTACTTCCTCCTACCACTGGCTACTGAAAACCACCATTCTACTTTCTACTTCTATGAGTTTGACTATTTTAGGTGACTCAAATAAGTGGAATTATACAGCATTTTTCCTTTTGTGACTAGTCTATTTTACTTAGCATAATATCCTCAAGGTTTATCCATATTCTTTCGAGTAACAATATTTCCTTCTTTTATAAGGCTTAAAAATATTTATATATGTGTATTACATATAATATATACATACACACACACACACACACACACACACACAACCACACTTTTTGTATTCACTCCTCAATAGATGGATATTTATTTTGTTTCTACATTTTGGCTATTGTGGATAATACTGCAATGAACATGAAAGAGCAAATACCTCTTCAAGATCCTGATTTCTAGTCTTTTGGATAAATACCCAAAAGTAGGATTACTGGATCATATGGTAGTTCTATTTTTAATTTTTTGAGGAACTTCCATATTGTTTTTAATAAATGTTATACCAATTTACATTTTCACCAACAGTTTACAAGGGTTCCAATTTCTCCACATTCTTGCCAACAACTATCTTTTTTAAAAAAATAGGCATTCTAACAGGTGAGGTGATATATCTTTGTGGTTTTGATCTGCATTCCCCTGATAATTAGTAATGTTAACATCTATTCATATACTTGGCCATTTGTATGTCTCATTTAAAGAAATATCAATTTTGATATTCGGGTCTTTTGCACATTTTTTAATTGTGTTCTTTGGTTTTCTGCTATTGAATTGTAGGAGTTCCTTATATATTTTGGATATTAATGCTTTATTAGGTATATGATTTGCAAATATTTTCTTCTATTGCTTTTTTACTTTGCTTCCTGTGCAGAAGCTTTTGAGTTTGATGCACTCCCACTTACCTATCTTGGCATTTGTTGCATGTGTGCTTTTTTTTAATCATAATTAAGAAATCACTGCCAAGACTAATGTTATGAAGCTTTTTTCCTATATTTTCTTCTAGGAGTATTTTACAGTTTCTTGTCTTTAATTCTTTAATCCACCTTGAATTAATTTTGGAGTATGATGTAAGATATTAGTCCAGTTCTGTTATTTTGCATATAGATATCCAAGTTTTCCAACATCCATTGTCAAAAGACTATCCTTTCCACATTGTGCATTCTTGTTACCTTTGTCAAACATCAGTTGACCATACATACTTGGGTTTATTTCTGGGCTCTGTATTCTGTTCCATTGGTTTATATGTCCATATTTATACCAGTGCCATACTGTGTTGAATATTTTAACTTTGTAATATATTTAGAAATCAGGAAGTGTAATGCCTCCAGCTTTGTTCTTTTATCTCGATTGTTTGGGCTATTTGGAGTCCTTTGTGGCTCCACGTGTATTGGTTTTATTTTTTCTGTTTCTGTAAATAATACCATTGGGGTTTTGATAGAAATTGTATTAAATCTGTAGACTTCTGTGGGTGGTATGGACATTTTAACATTATTATCTTCCAAACTTATGAACAAGGGATACCTATTCATTTACTTGTGTCTTCTTTAATTCCTTTAATCAATGTTTTATAGTTTTCAATGTACAAGTCTTTCACCTCCTTGATTAAGTTTATTCCTAAATATTTTATTATTTTTCATGCAAATGTAAGTGGAATTGTTTTCTTGATTTATTTTAACATAGTTTGTCATTACTACATAGAAATGCAACTGAGATTTGTATGTCGATTTTGTATCCTATAACTTTACATAATTTATTCTAATAAAGCTTTTTGTAGAGTCTGAAGGGTTTTCTCCATATAAGATAATGTCACCTGCAAACAGAGAACATTATACTTCTTCCTTTTCTATTTGGATGCTTTTGTTTCTTTTTCTTGCCTAATTGCTCTGGCTTCCAGTAATATACTGAATCAAGGTGGTTACAGTAGGCCCCCTGCCTTGTCCCTGATCTTAGAAGAAGAACTTTCAGGTTTTTACTATTGAGTATGTCATTAACTGTGGGCTTATCATATATGGCTTATATTATGTTGAGGTAATTTCCTTCTATTCCTAGTTTGTTGCATTTTTATCATGAAAGAATGTTGAATTTTCAAATGTTTTCCTGTGTCTATTGAGATAAATATGTAAGTTTCAATCTTCATTCTCTTAATGTGATGTATCACATTAATTTATTTTCATATGTTAAATTTTTCTCACATTCCAAGGATAAATCCCACTTGATCATACTATATGACCATGTCAATGTACTGTTGAATTCAGTTGCCAGTATTTTATTGATAATTTTTGCATCTTTGTTCATCAGGGATATTCTTTTCCTCAAGTGTCTTTATCTAAGTTAATGTCAGTGTAACACAAGCCTCAGAGGATAAGTTTAAAATTGTTCCCTCCTCTTCAACTTTTTGGAAGAGTTTGAGATACAATGGTGTTAATATTACTTTAAGTGTTTGGTAAAATCCAGCTGTTAAGCCATCAGGTCCTGGATTTTTCTCTGTTGATAGGTGTTTTGTTACTGAGTGGGTCTGTTCAGGTTTTCTATTTCTTTAAGATTTAGTCCTGTTAGGTTGTTTGGTTAGAAATTTATCCATTTTTTCTAAGTCACTCAATTTGTTGGTATCTAACTGTTTATACTAGTCTCTTATGATCATTTTTATTTCTGTACCATCAGTTGTAATGTCCTCTCTTTCATTTCTGATTTTATGTATTTGTGTCTTCTCTTTTTTTGTTCTAGTGAAATTTTTAAAATCTTTTTTAAAACACCAACTCTTAGTTTCATTGATTTTTTTGTGTATTATCTTTCTTTTATATTCTCTGTTTTATTTATCTCTGCTCTAATATTTATTATTTTTCCCTTCCATTAACTTTTGGCTTAGTTTTTTTTTTTCTAGTTCCTTGAGGTGTAAAGTTAAGTTATTTACTTGAGACTTTTCTTTTTTTAATGTAGGTATTTAAGCTATAAATTTCCCTCTTAGTACTGTTTTGCTACATTAAATAAGTTTAAATATGGTGTTTTTGTTTGTTTGTCTTGAGATATTTCCTAGTTTCCCTTTATATTTCTTCTTTGACCCATTGGTTGTTCAAAAGTGTGTTAATTTCCACATAACTGTGAATTTTCCAATTTTTTCTTCTGCCATTGACTTTTAGTTTAATTCCAGTGTGGTCAGAAAAGGTACTTGAGATAATTTCAATCTTTTGAAATTTTTTAAGACTTTTTTTGTGTCCAAACACATGATGTATCTTGGAGATTGTTCTGTGTGTTCTCAAGAATAATGTATTCTCCTGCTGTTGAGTGGAATGTTCTGTTTATGTCTGTTAGTTTCATTTGATTTATTGTGTTTAATTCCACTGTTTTCTTATTGACTTTGTCTCTGGGTGTTCCATCCATTGTTGAAATTTGAGTATTGAAGTCTCCTTGTATTATTGTATTACTGTTTATTTCTCCCTTCAGTTCTGTCAATGATTGCTTATATATTTAGGTGCTCTGACATTGGTTGCATATATATTTGCAATTATTATATTATCTTGATGAATTGAGCACTTTATTATCACATAAATACTTCTTCATCTCATTTTACAATTTTCTACTTAAAGTCTATTTTTTTCTTTTATAAGTATAGTCATCCTTTCTCTCTTTTGGTTACCATTTGCATGAAATATCTTTTTATATCTTGTTACTTTCTGCCTATGTGTGTCTTTAAAAATAAAGTGGGTCTCTCATAGACAGCATACAGTTGGATTTTACTCTTATCCATTCATCCACTGTATGTTTTTGATTGGAGTGTTTCGTCCATTTATACTTAAAGTAATTATTTATAGGAAAGGATTTGTTACTTCCATTTTTAAAAATTGTTTTCTGTCTTGTAGCTCTTTTTTCCTACTTTTCCTCTTTTGCTGTCTTTGTTTTTTCATTGATTTTTTTTTTTTAGTGATATGTTTTAATTTCTTCCTCTTTTTATTTTGTGTGTTCTATACACTGGGAGAGATGGAGTTTTTTCCTAATGCTAAGATACCAACACAAAGAGTTAAGGAAAATGAAGGAGTAGTAAAATATATCCCAAACAAGAAACAAGATGAAGCTTCAGAAACCAATCCTCATGATATGGAGATATAAGAATCCCCTGACAGTAAATTCAAAATAACAATTATAAAGATGATTCATGAACTCATCATGAACAAAGTAAGAATTTTAACAAAGAGATAATTTTAAAAGAAACAAATTGAAATCCTGGAGCTGAAGTATATAAAAATTGAACTATAAAATTCATGAAAAGGTTTCAACAGCAGAGTAGGTCAAGCAGAAGAAAGAATTAGTAAACCCATTTCAAATTACTCAATTGGAGGAGCAAAAAGAAAAAATAATGAAAAATAGTGAAAACATATTAAGGGACTTATTGGATGCCATCAAGTGGATATTGGTGCATTATGGATGTCCCAGAAAAAATAAAAGAAAGGGCCAAAAATTTTATTGGAAGAAACAGTGGCCAAAATTTTCCAATCTGAGAAAGAAAATTGACATCCATGTATAGGAATACCAAATGATCCCAAATAAAATAATCCCAAAGAAATCCACACTGAGATACATTATAATTGAATTGTCAAACATCAAATATAATGAGCAAATTTTGAATACAGCAAGAGAAAAGCAAATTTTTACATATAGAGGAACTTTTATAAGACTATGAGAAGATTTCTCAGCAGAAACTTTGCAGGCCAGAAGAGAGTGAGACTATATATTCAAAGTGCTGAAATAAGAAAAGAAATCTTACCAAGCAAGAATACTACACCCAGCCAAAATATCCTTTAGAAATAAAAGAGAGATAAAGAGTTTCCCAGACAAACAAAATTAAAGGATTTTGTCACCGCTAGACCTACTTTACAAGGAATGCTAAAGGGAATTATTCAAGTTGAAATGGAAGAATGCTAAACAGCAAGATGAAAACATGAAAGTATGAAAGCAAATATATAGACAAATACAGAATACTGTAATTCTGTAACTATAGATCATATATCACTTTTAATTCTAGTATAAAAGATAAAATACAAAAATATTTAAGATAATCATGGCTATAAAAAATGTTAATGGATAGACAATATATTAATAAAATATGTAAACTGTAACATCAGTTTAAAAAGTGTGGTGGGAGAAAAATAAAAATACAGAGTCGTTGTATCCCGTTGAAGTTAAGCTGGTATCAGCATAAAATAAATTGTTACAACTATAAGCTATTATATGTAAAAGTTCTATTAACCACAAAGAAAAAGATCTCTTTCGAAAAGAAGTTAATGTTTAATCATTTGAAAATTATGATTTTCCAACTTCGAATTCATATGCCATTGCTGTCTATACTTATAACTTGGCACTTTTAAAACAGCATGTTTAATTATTAGTTTTCTTATTTCTTTGTTGCTGACAGCCCGCTGGCTCATCGACGTTCTGAGCTTCTTGAGAGCAGGACTATGTGTTTCATATGCCTCTATAAACCTAAGCTTCATGTGAACTGTCTTAAATCTTGCAGGCATTTACTTTAGTCAGACCATATAGGTCGGAAGAAAGATAGATTTGCTTAGAATATCTTAAAAGAATGGAATTAATTGCAGAATTACATGTATCCTGGTGCTGGCAAGCTGCTGACATCTCATTACCACGTCTTACCATGTTTTCTTTACAACAGCTTGAAACACTCTTTTTACCGGAATTACTCCTACTTGTTAATTAGGTCTGAGCTTAAATGACCAATTCCAATGGGAAGTCTTTCTTGAACTGTTCAGACTAAGTTAGCAGTATCTGCTATGTACTCCTGCAGTACACCATACTTTTTCTATCAGAGCACTTACAACATTTTAAAAATTAATAATCTGTTCAGTTTTGGGCTCCATGTCTGTCTTGCTATTGAATCTCTAACGCCCAGCCTTGTACAATAGGCACTTAATAAATGTTTGCTGAATAAATAATTTCTCATGCTTCTACTTCTCTCTGGAACAATCACAGTCTTTCTCTCGCTACCGACTGACTTACTGTTTTTATCCTCTCTCTAGTTTTACTGAATTCATAGTATCTGCTGTTTTATAATGTCTACTCAGCCATTATCTATCCTGATACTTCTCTTTATTTTCCTTACAACTGGACACCATCCGCCATGGTCCTGATCCTTCTTCATGACTACTTTCTATCTATACTCTCGGTTTTGTATTCTGCTTGTAACAATTTTCCGGTGCAAATTCCAAATAGAGGGAATCTGGTTTCTTCACCTCTTCTCTTCATACCAGGACACATTATGGACTTTTTTAGGTGTTCACCTCTAGTCAATGGCTATAGCAGGGGGCAGAGTCACATAGAAGTAAATACAGCTGTCTAGATCCATCTTTTAGCAGGAGGTACATTTCCTTAGAAAAGATTATGGGTGTGGCAGTCACCACAATTGAAATGTGTTATACAATTGATTATCAAAGGTAACTATAATTCTTGCCAATTGGCTCCAAAAATATCCATAGTCTCAAATATACAAAAATCAGGTATTTTATCTTCTCAATATACCATCTAAAAGTGCCAGAACAAGTACTTTCTTCCTTTCAGCACCTGAGGTAATTGGCACAGAGAATTTGACTGACTGGCTGAAGATCACACAGTTAGTCCGAAACCTGTTTATTATGGCGGGGGTATTAATCTTATTAGCTGGGCCCTCTTTCACATGTTCAGTCAAGTTTCCTCTCACTTCTCAATGCCCAGAATACCTGTCCAAGTAAGCCTCAAAAGGTTCAGTTTTTATTAAGAAATTGAAAGAATGGAGATTACTGATTGAGATTCTTAAAAGTTTGGCTTGAAACTACTGTGGTTATCCTCAAGTAATACAATTCAATTCTTCCCACTCCTTCCTTTCTCAATAATAAATAACCAAGGCTATTAAGATTGAACAGAACTTCGTTTGCATTTATTTTACCTTTGACCATGAGAAGTCTCATTGAGGAGTCGCCATGGAGACTATGATGTCATAAGCAACACAATGTGCTACACTGAAGCCCCAGAGAATAAAAGTTAGGGTTTGATGGAAGCATTTTCTGGGCAAGTTTATTGCACTTAACGAGAAAATGGAAACTTGACTTGAGAAAAACATTTCTAAACATTGCACACTGCTGGAGGTCAATTGGTGTGGCCATTGAAAGCTTCACAGAGAAAAATGACTTTACAGTTTAATCACACTAACAGGCCAGAGTGAGGGAATAAAGAGAGTGTGTGACCAAGATGGCTGCTCTTTGGACAGCCTGTTCCCAAGCTGGAAATAGTCCAATTTTTGGTGGCATAGTAGAATCTATCTATCGAATTTTTCAGTCATGTTGGAAGTTTACTACATGATTAAATCAAAATAAACTGAGACTAAATAAATCAGAGTAGACGGTGCTTACCAGAGCCTTATATGCACTCAGGACCACATGAACTGTGGTCTTCTACAATGTCAAGTATCAGACACTCTTCCGTGGGCTTTCCAACTCCAATTCCTTTTTTACACTCAGTCTTTGCCACCCTGATCATTTTGGTAGCTCACCATCAGAGGTCTTTTTTCCCCCAGCAGTTATACAGACTACAGTTTTCCACAAAGAAGAAAAATAAACACAATACTAAAGGAAAAAGAAAAATGGAGAAACAAAAGAGACCTGAGGTCAGACAGCTGGGGGTGATAGAATTGAAAAGTTGCAGGCTTCAAGACTGAAATAGGTATTATAAATAGTAGATGTACAGGATGAGCAGGTATATACATGTCAAAGAATCAACATGTTCCTGATATACCCCAGGATTCTTTCAAATCTACAGGAGAGTGTTAACTTTCAATTTAAGAGTTGTAACCATAAATTCCATATGACAAGGATTTTAAAGAAGATAGAATTATATCAAAATATATTTCCTGTAATTAAAAAACTACATAAGTGAAGACCTGTTTATTTCTTACCGGTTTTAAAGTAAAATTTACATAATATAAAATTTATAATTTTAAAGTGAAAATTCAGTGGCATTTAGTACATCCACAATGTTGCACAAACACTACCTCTATCGTCTTTTGAAACATTTTTATCACCCCAAAATGAAGCCCTATATACATTAAGCTGTTACTCCCTATTCCCCCTATCCTGCAACCCTTGGCACCTGCCAATCTATCTATTTCTATGTATTTATTTATTCTGGATAATTCATGTCAGTAGCATCATACAATATGTAACCTTTTATGTCAGGCTTCTTTCACTTAGCATGTTTTTGAGGTGCATTCTTATTGTGGTACTTTATTCTTTTTGTGGCTGAATAACTTTTCATCATACTGATACCCCACAATATGTATTTATCCATTTTTTATCTATTCATCCATTGATCGGCATTAGAGTTGTTTTTACATTTTGCTATTGTGAATAGTGCTGCTATGTACAGGTAATCTTTTGAGTATATGATTTCAATTCTAGTGAGTATATACCTAGGAGTAAATTGTTGGGTCATATAATAATTCAATGTGGAACTGTTTTTCACAGTTGCTGAATCATATTACATTCCCATTAGCAATGTATGTGGATTCCAGTTTCCCCACATCCTCCCCAACATTGGCTACTTTTCATTTTTCTTTTTCTTTTGTTTTTCTCTCTCTTTTTTTTTTTTTTTTTTTTTTGAGATGGAGTCTCGCTGTGTTGCCCAGGCTGGAGTATAGTGGCACAATCTCGGCTCACTGCAACCTCTGCCTCCCGGGTTCAAGCAATTCTTCTGCCTCAGCCTCCCGAGTAGCTGGGGCTACAGGTGCGTGCCTACACCCAGCTAATTTTTGTATTTTTAGTAGATACAGGGTTTCACCATATTGGCCAGGCTGGTCTTGAACTCCTGACCTCGTGATCCACCTGCCTTGGCCTCCCAAAGTGCTGGACTTACAAGCGTAAGCCACCATGCCTGGCCCATTTTTCATTTTTTTAATAGCTATCCAAGTGGGTATTAAGTGGTAAGTCATTGTAGTTTTGATTTGCATTTTCCATAATGTTGAGCATCTTTTCATGCTTTTGTTAGTCATTTGCATAACTTTTTTGGATAAATGTCTATTCATATCCTTTGTCCATTTTAAAATTGTGTTATCTTTTTGTTGTTGAATTGTAAGAGTTCTTTATATATTTTGGATGTTAAGTCCTTATCAGATATATTATTTGCAAATATTTTGCCATTCTCTAGGTTGTCTTTTTATCTTCTTGCTAATATTCTTTGATTCACACGTTTTTAATTTTGATGAGTTCCAATTCAGCTATTTTTTTCTTTTGGTGTTTTTAGCGTCATATCATAGAAACCATTGCCAAACCCAAAGTCATAAAGATTTATGTTCTTGCTAATGAATTTTATACTTTTGCATTTCATATTTACATCATCAATTCATCTTAAGTTGATCTTTGTATATGCCATGAGGTAGAGATTCAATATTACTCTTTGCCTGTAGATATAAAGTTATCTCAGTATTATTTGTTGAAAAGCTCATTCTTCCTCCATTGAATGCTCCTGGCATCCTTATCATAAATTAATTGGCCATAGATGTAACCAAAGAGGTAAAATACTATAACATTGCTTTAAGAAATCAAAAGTTGACTTAAATAAATGAAAAGACATTTTGTGTTCATGAACTAGAATACTTAATATTATTACTATTTTTTAATTCTTTTTCTTTCCATCTTTTATTTTAGATTCAAGAGGTACATGTGAAGGTCTTTTATGTGGGTAAATTAAGTGTCTCTGTTGGGTGTACATATAGTTTTGTCACCTAGGTAATCAGCATAATACATGAGAGGTAGCTTTTCAAGCCTCACCTTCCTCCTACCCTCCACCCGTAAGCAGGGCCCGGTGTCTACTATTCCCTTCTTTGTGTCCATGTGTACTCAGTGTTTATATCCCACTAATAAGTGAGAACATATGGTATTTGGTTTTCTGTTCCTGCATTAATTCACTTTGGATAACGGCCTCCAGCTCCATCCATATTGCTGCAAAGGATATGATCGTGTTCTTTTTTATGGCTGAACATATTCCATGTACCACATTTTTTTTTATCTAGTCCACCACTGATGGGCATCTAGGTTGATTTCATGTCTTTGCTATTGCAAATAGTTCTGGACAAACATACGCGTGCATGTGTCTTTATAGTAGAATGATTTATATTCCTTTGGGTATATACCCAGTATTGGGATTGCTGGGTCAGATGGTAGTTCTATTTTAAGTTCTTTGAGAACTCTCCAGACTACTTTCCACAGTGGCTAAACTAATTTACATTTCCACCAGCAGTGTATAAGTGAATACTGGTCCCAACATAACAATAGTCTCATTGGTGATATAATGGAGAGAGACCAGAGAATCAAAAGTTACTTGCCCAAAATTATATAATTATTACCAGCAAGCTAGAGGTAGAATCCCGACCTTCCTAACTCTATCAGTGTTTTATTTTACTACACAACTCTGCTTCTGCCCTGTATCAGAAGGAAGAAGAAGGGCAGAAAAACTCTTAATTTGGGGAGTGTTGGTAAAGAGTGAGGAAAACTCTAAACTGAATATATCTTTCATGTCATTATTCTTCAAGAGTTACTGCCAAGGGGCAAGAGGTGACAGTGAGAATTAAACAGAATTTTTTGCAGTTTCATGAATTTTCCACTGGAATGCGCTGATGAACACCAGCTGTTTCATCTTCTGGGTATGTTGAGATTTTTTTTTTTTTCTGCTCAATGTTTACTGTATGCCTGCAACGTACAAGGGGATGTTGTATTCTGCTGCTTCACTGGCTCCACTGGAGTTAAATAATACTTTCCAATTTTAAATAGGGTGCATATGGGTGATATGGGAGGTATTCTCTGTTGGCAGAAACCTGTAGTTTGAAAAAAAATGAGCCAGACTGTAGGGAAGTAGGGAAGCAATCTGAAACATCTTTTTCTTCCTTCTCCTTTCTGCACGGCAGAAGTCAGGGCTACTGCCCTACAGAGCAGGCATGGCCTATGAGACGTTGCCGCTGGAGAGACACTTGTCCCCTCAGTGTCCCACCTGAGTAAGGTGTAGGAAAAGCACAGGCTTAGGAGACAAAGATATGAGTTTGAATCCCAGCTACTCTAGTGCCTAGGCATTTGACCTGAGACAAGTCACTCAGACTCCATGAGCTTTGCTTTTCTCACCTGTAAAAGGGGAATGACAACATGTATCATATAAAACTTTTATGAAAATAAGATAACATACAAATAAAATAACTATCATATACTATATTTGGAATGTAGTATATGCTCAATAAATGTTACTCTTTATTTCACTTTCTTTGGTTTCAGTTTTCCCTCCACCCTGACTGACTTAAGTAGAAAGCAGAGCTGAGTTCTAAGTACATGACATTGGGGACTCACATGATATGGCCTTTGCAGGGCACTCTCCCACTTTAGAGGTCTAGGTTGTTTGAACATCAGGAGAGCAACCCCCTCCTCAGCATAACCTGAGTCCTGACACAGCTACTTTCTATTCCTCAGCTGCCACAACTTATCACCAAAAATGGCCAAACCAACCTTTCCTTGCCCAGGCTCACTTTGTGCAGAGACCTATTGGACTTGTAAACTGTCTTTTACTCCATTGGAATAGAAATGCTTTGCTTTTGACAGCTAAATTAAAATTTTCCAATAACAAGGTTGGTAGTTTCCCTAAATGCATTGTACAGTTTAGTATTTAACTATAGATTTTTATGTTATTTCATATCTTAACTTTAGGACTTTTATCTCCTTAATCAGACTGAAAGCTGCTCAGAAGATGTCTTACATCTTCTGTATTAAATGTAAGAGATGTCTTACATTTCAGTATTCTCAAGTTGTGCCTAGCACAGTGTCTTCAAAAGATACCTTTTTACTTCACTGAGAGCCAATTTGGATAAAAGCTAAATTTAATCCACACTAAAAGAATTATTCATATAGCAGTAAGGTAAGACCAGATAGATTATTACTTTGTAGGTAATGGGAGTAATGTTAAGGATTTAAATGAGGCAAAACAAGAGCCTATCTTTACCAAAATCTTGGCAGCCAACATGATTCTCATCCACAGGACTCTTTAGTACCTCCTGTCAATGGCCCTGATTTGGCAAAAGCTGGCTCATTGGGCTAGTTATTATTTTATGCATGTACCCTCAGCCTTAAGCTATTTGAGATCAAAAACATGCTCTTTTGATCTTTGTACCCTGCCTGTCTAGCACAGTGCTGGCCACATTGTAAGTGCTTAATAAATGTTGTTGACGGCAAGTGACATATTCTACCATTGAAGTTGAGATGACATTGAGATGCCCATCAGAGCTTGGAAATAAGACTTCTCTTTGAAGGTTGAACTAGTAAATCAGTTCTGAATGGGTATGATCTGTTATCTCCAAAAAACACTTTATAGAACATTATATTCTGGAAACAGAAGATCAGAGACAGGAAAACAAATGACTGCATTTATTAAAAAAACCCTGAAACCTAATAAATTATCTCAATTAATTTATTTTAGAAACAGAATGAATATATAGACACAAGAAGTCGATGCACATGGAGCCTAGGAAAAGGCCAGAGAGCAAAAATTTGTCAATGTTGGTTCAGCATTGTCCCAAGTAGAGGAACTTAATGTAGCCACTAGAATATTCACTGATGAGGTGGCATCACTCTTCATTGAGCTGCCTCAGGGCCTGCCCTAGGGTATCTCAACTTTTATCACTGAGCTCTCACCTCCATAAAGGTAGAAACTGTCTAGTTCATCATGGTGTCCCCAGCATCTAGCCTGGTGGCTGGCATGAGACAGGTATGCAAGAAAATATTCATTGAATTAAAGAATATTCTATTTATTTAAACATTAAAATTTCATTCTCCTTTAGGTTAATTTGAAACTAAAATGAAATTATATGTCCTATGTTACTAAAATGAAATTCAAATTATTCCAAATTGAATATGCTTTGTCCATATCACACACCCTACCTCTCTCCACTGGAGCTCACTTGCTCTCCCAGGAAGGCAAGCCTTGCACTCCTTTTTCCAAATGCCTCCCAAGGTCCTTTGGTCTGGGGGCCACAGACTCAACAGTGCACCTGATTTCCTCTGAACCTCTTTTCATGAAAGAACAACTGTATTATTATAGCATTTCGTCATTTCTAAAAAGTGATGTATATATTTTCACATTTATAACATTTGTAAGCATCTTCCAACGAGCACATTTAATGTGGTATTAATTTTGTTCTCCAAAAAGTATCAATTAACCCATGGTGTAATCTAATTATCAGTAACATTTTTAAATCATAGAAATACAGCAACTCAGTTTCCTACGTACTTTAATAACAGAAACAGGGGGCATGGATGATAATTATATAAAATTCAGACACTGGAAAGGAATAGCTACTTTACAAATGAATAACTCAAATTCTGATTTACATATTCATCTCCTGTGAGTTCTGTTATCTTGATTAAGCCCCAGAGAGAATCAGTCAAGTCTGAGGCAATGAGCACATTAAGTTCCTAGTGACACGCACTCTGCTCCTCCCCACCAACCAGCAAGGCCTCTCTGGGCAACCAGGCTTCCTCCTCTCTCATCAACATCTGAGTTCAGCCTTCTTTAACCAAAGCACGATGATTTTCATTTGGCCTAAACCTCTTCTATCATAAGTAGGCGAAGTGACAGGAATTTTCCAAGGTCACCACTCTGGGGTACAATAGAGTAAGAAACTAGGTAATGTTATAGTTATTTTTTGACTCAGAATCTGCTCAATGAACATTGAAACCATGCCCTCCTACTCAAAATAAACTATCTCCAGATATGCCACCATCTACCCTTTTTCCTACTTGCCACCTGACTCCTGACACTAACATTATACCCCCAACTGCTCCAGTGATATCTGGGTGCCAATGCCATCTCATAGAGTATCCACATGCCACCTTCACTATGAATCGCTTCCTTCACATCTATTTTAGACCACAAAGCAATGGTAATTGACATCCTTTTAACTTCACACTAAAACTCCCAGTGGCACCACTTCTATTTCACTCTCTCTCCTATTTTGAATTCCTCTTTGAAAGACTTTCAAACTCACTCAAAACAGACCCTGCTGGGAGCCTGACTATCTTAATCCTCTGCAATCTCTCTACTTTAGTTAGGATGTAGACTGAGCTGCTGTTACAAAGAGACAAAATAATGGCCTAAATAAGATGAAAGTTTATTTCTGTCATGGGACAGTCCAAAGGTAAGCAGTCTGCCATCCTGAACACAAGGATGCATATATGGGTCCCAAGTGGCTGCTTCAGTTTACATCATCTCCTTGTCATTGGGATGGAGGAAAGGAACTGGGAAGATGTGAGCAAAAGTAATAACAGTCATTCTCTTTCCTCCTTCCCATGCAAAGGGTGTACATCCTGACTCCATATCCAGTGGTGTGTTCATTTCCTAGTATAATACCAGAATATTTAAAAGCCAGCTATTGTTCTCTAAAGGGCGAGGATATTTCTAGCCTTGGCAGCCTCAAAGAATATTTCTAGCTTTGGCAGCCTCTGGCTGGCTCCCTAATGTGTGGTTGCTACCGTCTATTCCATTAAGTTCTCCTTCCTCAAACAAAGACAAACCTTGAAGGCCCATCTACTTAAAAGTGCTCAAATTAACTTGAATCAGGCCAATAGCAGCAGCATCTTCTTAAAAATAATGAGAATTGGAGAAGGAACGTGTAATAAAACAGACACTAGGAAACAAATTTGTTTTATTTTTCATCTATTAGCATTTATGAATAAATGCAGATAAAGAATGATAAACAGTGCCCTGTGCTCAACACTGGGGGTAAAGGTGAATTAATAGGCATGATTCTTGTACTAGACGTCTTTCATGTCCTCTCTCCACCTTTCTCACCCTCCTCTCTGCCAGATGACATCAGTGGGTTTCCTTGCCCTCAGGTTCCCAGTAGAAATTAGGAAGGATAAAGGAAAATGAAGTAAGGGTATCTGTGAACCCGGCCCCCTCTCCGTGGAGTCAGCTTGGTTGGCTGATCTACAGCCAACTCTGCTAGCCAACCATGACACATCTCTCAAAAGGGGCTGCTCTGCCCAGGATGCTCCTCTGCACATGAATTTCTCCCTCCAGATCCAGTGACTGCCTTCTTGTGTTACCCCTAGAGACCTAGGGTGGCAATGGCCCCACTCTTACTAGTTCTAAGGTACTGAATCATCCCCTGTGGGTGTTTCTATATCTTGCCCCGACCAGTGTAACTTCCCCTAAAATTAAGCCATGCTCAAAGTGTCCTTCGATCGTGTGTCATCTTTTCCCTGCCTAATGAAGTTCCTGTTCTCAGGGAACTTACTGTCGGGTGCAAGGGGACAGACAACCAACAGACATATAATTACAAATTGTGATAAGATCCATGAAGGAAACAGAACAGGTGGTGTGAAAGAGAATAACAACTTGGGGCCTAATTTAGATAGGATGGAGATGGCATTTAACCTAAGTCCTAGAGAATGAGAAGGAGCCAGAGTGGATTCTAGGCAAGGAAGGAAGAGTTTACAGAGGCCTTGAGATAGGAGAGAGTTTAATGCTCAAGAAATTGAATATTTTCAACAAAGATGCCGAAAACACACCATAAGGAAAGGACAGTCTCTTCAATAAATGGTGCAGAGAAACGTGGATATCCACGTGCAGAAGAATAAAATTAGACTCTTAACTCACACTATCTACAAAAATCAACTGAAAATGAATGAAAGACTTAAATGTAAGACCTGAAGGTGTAAACTGCTAGAAGGCAACAGAGAAAAAGCTCCATGATCTTGGTCTGGGGGATGATTTTTTTGGATTTCACCCCAAAAGCCCAGGCAATAAAAGCAAAATTAGACAAAGGGGATTGCATCAAACTAAAAAGCTTCTGCTCAACACAGTGAAGATACAACCAACAAAATACAAAAGTATATTTGCAAATCATACATCTGATAAGGGGTTAATATTCACAATATATAAGAAATATATCTTACAACTCAATAGTAAAAAAAAACCCAATTAAAAATGGGCAAAGGACCTGAATAGACATTTCTCAAAAGAAGACATGCAAAGGGCCAACAAGTATGTGAAAATATGTTCAACATCACTAATCATCAGGGAAATGCAAATTAAAACCACAAAGGTATGTTATTTCACACCTGTTATAATGGCTGCTGTCAAAAAGACAAAAGATAACAAGTGTTGGTGATGATGTAGAGAAAAGGAACCTCTTGTACACTGTTGGTGAGAATGTAAATTAGTACAACTATTATGGAAAATGATATGGAGATTCCCCAAAAAATTAAGAATAGAACTACCATATGATCCAGCAATCTCACTTCTGGGTATATATTCAAAGGATATTAAATCAATGTCTTGAAGTACTATCAGCACTCCCGTGTTTATCACAGCACTATTCACAATAGCCAAGATATGGAATCAACCTAAGTGTCCATCAACAGATGAACGGATAAAGAAAATGTGGTATATGTACACAGTGGAATAATAGCCTTAAAAAACAAAGAAATTCTGTCATTTGTGACAACATGGATGAATCTGGTGGACATTAAAAAGTGAAATAAACCAGGCATAAAAAGACAAAAATACTGCATGATCTTACTTATATGTGGAATCTTAAAAAGTCACTCTCATGGAAACAGAGAGAAAATTGTGGTTATCAGAGGCCATAAGGTGGGGGACTGGGGAGATGCTGGTCAAAGAACACAAAATTTCAGTTAGGGGGAATAAGTTCAAGAGATATATTGTACATCATGATGACTGTAGTTAACAGCAATATGCAGTGTACTTGAAAATTGCTAGTACAGTAGAGTTTAAGTGCTCTCACCAAACAAAAAAGATAAGTATGTGAGGTATCATGCGTATGATAAATGGCTGATTTAATCTTTCCACAATGTGTGCATGGGTGTGTATATACATACATATAAATATACATATACACCCACACACACATATCACATTGTATGCCATAAAAATGTACAATTTTTACTTCTTAGTTTTTTTTAAGAAAAGCCATAAGTAAGAAAGTCACATGAAAGAAACATAAATGATCAATAAATATATAGGGAAAAAAAGACCAGTGTTGCTATGTGGCATGAAATAGAGTTGAATAACTCAGTAATCTTATATACAGACTCAAAAACACTTGTTTACAGTGGTTTCTAAATAATTTTCTCAGCCCTAAAAATTATATATAGGCTTTTATCACACTTTTCCTAATTTCTCAACTATTAACATCTTAGTTTAGCTAATATTTAGAAATTTTTAGATTGCCATGTGAACAGTGATTCTGGTAAAGAAAATAGTCATTTAGGGAAAACCTCATTTTAGTCTGTACACAAAATAAAGCTCAGCCAGACCCTTTTCCAACACCCCTTGTTTCTCATTAGTTTTCCAACTGAAGACATTGTTAATTCAAATAGTCAATTAGCCAGATCCTCTAATGACTCCCCTTCCATTAAGATCTGCCTGACTGCGTTATATCACCAGTGAATGGCCAGCCCCAGAATGTCACTGAAGAGTCCCATGGAATTCAGTATTTTAAAATCAGTGGCATTGGACAAGGACTCAGAGGACTTGACTTCCCTCAGTCTTTCTTTAAAGAAGGCCTTTGGCTTGGGCCTCAGTCCCTTCACTTCATCTTTCTGTAGAAGGGGCAGAGCTAGAAAACTATAGGGTCCACCCCAGCTCTGATAGTTTTTGAAGCTGGGTGGTAACCATCAACCTTACTAGACAATATCTGGTCTCCTTAAAATAAAATATCTCATTCTAGACCACTCTGACTCAAGCTTTTAGAATAAGCCTCTCTCTATCCTGTTCACTGTTGGCATTATTTCCTCACCATTCTTGGTTCTTTACTGGGAAACAGCAAAGAGGACTTTGGCCCTCAGGAGACACAACACTCACTCGGTCTAGTTTGAGGGAGTGTGTCACTCATGAACATCAGTTACTTGACGTGATGGTTAATTTTACGTGTCAACTTGCCTAGGCCATTGTACTCAGACATTTGGTCAAACACAAGTCTAAATGCTTTTCGTTAAGCTACTTTTAGATGAGATTTAAGTCAATTACACATTTAAATCAGTAAACTTTGAGTAAGGCCGATTACCTTCTATAACATGAATGGGCCTCATCTGATCAGTTGATGGCCTTAAGAATAAACAGACAGAGATCCCAAAGGAAGAGGGAATTCTGCCCCAACCACCCTCGGACTTGAGCTGCAACATCAGCTTTTCCCTCGGTCACCAGCTGGCTGGCCTACCCTGCAGATTTTGGATTTCCCAGCCTCCACAATTGTGTGAGTCAATTCTTTAGGAAGTTAAATTTTAAAACTCCTTTATGAACCATTTTGTAGGTATTCAAATCAATACCATTAGATCAATATGGATAAGACATATCTTCTCCCCCTCATGCCACACTCTGGTCACTAGCACCAGTCAGTAATCCTTCTGAGCCACAGACTTCCATTTGTAACATGAGCATATAAAGTAGCTATTCTGCTGACTTTAGGATATTGGCACTAGGAGCATGGAAAAAAAATGTGGAAGTACTGTATAAATGGTATGATTAAGCAACAGCAATAAGGTATGCCTGATTATTATATTTACTATAAATTGTAAACATATATAATTAGGAAATTTTCCCCCACAAAAAAATGTATCCTATTTATCAGACTGAGTTAAATCATACTCATTTCTAACTGGAGTCAGTGTCTCTTCAGCTTAGTGATCAATGTAGAGAATCCTGTAGTGTGCATAGAGAGGAAGGAGAGAAAATAGTAAACACTGATTTTTCTTAAATAAAATGAAAGCCAGAATTCACATTAACAAAATGAGAGTGGTAAACACCGTAAATACATGCTCATCCCCCTCATTTAGGTCTTTTGAAAAACATGTTATATAAGCTGCCTCAACCCCTGCTGGGAATTTTGTGAACAAACAATGAAAAAGAAGGAAAGAAAATGAAAGGGAGAAATTGAAAGAAATTATGCAGAGAGGGCAGGAAGGGGTTCCCTAAAGAGTGACACATGCAACTCCTGATAGAACTTATGCGAAAATGAAAACAAAAAGGTGGGTTTCTATAGTCAACTAAGTTTGAGAAATGCAAGTTAAACAAGTTTCTTTAGGACAGGTGTTCTTAGAAACTTTTAAGATATTAATATACGTGGTGAAGTAAAAGATGCAACCGTTTGCATTTTCTGAGATTTTCTCATTCTCTTTTCCTGTTATCTCAAAATTCTTTGATAATAGTTTCTCCCTCCACTGCAGGATCATCTCATGGGATGAGAAAAACAGCTTGAGAAGCCTTGGTGTACTGAGAAAAGTCCTAGTCTAGACATCAGGAGTTCTAAGTTCCAGCTCCCACCCTATCACTGACTCTTCTCTATGCTCTTGGCAGGTTGCTTTAAATTCTTTTAGCCTCCAAGCTCCAATGTGTAAATAAAATGATTGCATCATCTAAGAGCTCTCAGATTCTTTCCAGCTCACATACTTCCCAGCTCAAATATTCTATGATTCTACACAAGAGGGTGAATAGAAATATATATTTCCTGAGAAGTAACAAAGCACTTCTTGGTAAAACAAAAGAACCCTTGTTTGCACAGTCCTGTATGTATAGTCTTTGAAGGTATTTCTTCCAATTTCTATTTAATTCACACAACTCTGAGAGACAGCAATATTTATCATGCCTGTTTTACAGGTGAGGAATGCTTCCAACAGGCTTCCCAGACTCAGTATTCCTTTCAAATCCTCCTCCATATGCTGTCAGAGTGATATTTCTAAAACTAAATATCTACCCCTTACTCAAAATCCCTCCATGGCTCCCCATTGCTTACCTAAAAAAAACCAAGCACATTATACAGCATGTAAGGCCTGACTACCTCCCCATCCTCCTTACTCATAGCTCCTTACAGAGACAGCTAAAAGGAGAGCCAAGATAGAGAAAGAGTTTTTACAATGGGAGATTATATATTTGGGATCCTATTGATAGGCCGATAGGAAAAAACAATAGAGAGGGAAATACTGAAGACACAGGCAAGAGAAAAATATCTTAATGACCAAGCTCATCTAAGTCTGACAGCCTTCCTTGAACTCTAACACACACACGGGCTGCGTGAGGAGCACTGCCCTATTCTCCCATAGCACCCTGTGCTCACCCCTGTCATAGCACCTACAATACTGAATTGAGATTTTCTGTTTATGGATTCCTTCATCTCATACATTGCAAGCCACTGTTATGAGCTTCCCATTGCTGCTGTTACAAATTACCACAAACTTCATGGCTTAAAACAACAAAAATTCATCTTACTATTTGGGGGCGTGGGGGTAGAAGTCTAAAATGGGTCTAATGGCTAAGATCAAGGTGTTGGCAAGATTACATTCTTTCTGGAGGCTTTAGAAGAAAATCCATTTTCTTGCCTTTTCTAGCTTCTATAGGCTGCTTACATTGCTTGGCCTTGGCCTCTTTCTCACTTCACTCTGACCTCTGCTTCCATTGTCACACCTCCTTCTCTGTGCCTCTGCTTCTCCTCACTCCCTCTTTCTCTCATATGGACCCTTGTGATGACACTGAATCTGCCCATATTTAATCCAAGATAATTTTCCAATCTCAAAATCCTAACTTAACCACATCTACAAAGTTCCTTTTGCATGTAAGTTAACATATTCACAGATTTGGGAGATTAGGATGTGGACATTTGATGGTGGAAAGGGTGTCAGTCTGTCTAGCATAACCTTCAGGGGCAGACCATGTCTTAGTCATTCTTGAACCTCAAATGCCTGCATTATAGTAGCTGCTCAATAAATGCCAGTCCCCTTTCCGTCTATATGCAGCACTTTTGTGTATGCTTCATTCAGTTTGCACAATTGTCATGTTGAGAGAAAAATATTGTTATTTGGGGGAAGGTGCACTGGATTAACAATAGAAGATCTAGGTTCTTAGTCCTAGGTTTCCCCATTCTCCAAATGAGAAAACTGAGCCTTGAGCATTTAAATGACTGTGTCATGTCCAAGTGGTGATGCTAGGATTTGGAGCCCACTCTGTTTCCATTTTAGTACTCTAATTCACCAACATAGACATGTGGTGGTGTTTTACTGTATTATGAAGGTAGGTCAAGATCTTGATTTAGGATAAGAACTGATGTCAGTATCTTATATCAGTAGAGAGGGTGGGATGGAGTGGATATTTATAACAGTCTTACCATCTCCAGAGGTTATATATATGGATTTACTTAATGAGGAACCCTAAAGAAGTTAAGCTTTGCTCTCACTGAGTAACTTTCCTTTTACCTCATTTGATTTCCAACTGTTTATTTCCTCAGGAAAGAATAATCCATGAACTTTTGGACCTTACAGTGCCAAACGTAGGCCACACTTCCCTGTATTGTGCTGCTTGTATAATTCCTGACATTAGCATAAGCCTCAGTCTAAATGAGGCTGTTTTGTGTCTTCTCTGGAAATTTCCCCTGGTGCTCAGGCTGCCTGTGGTTGGCTATGTGGGATCACAGTTAGTCATTCTGGTTGAGTTCACCATCATGCTTGCCAGCTTTTAAAGCTTTGAAGCCATATCTCGTCAGATCAGACTCCCAGCTCTGTTCCTTCTTTCTTTCTCATGGAATACCCTTTTACTAAAAATCCACTGAAAATCCACATTGAAGATTCAGTCTTCCAGGAAATCCACCCAATGTCATTCTAAGCCAGTAAGTAGATAAAATTTAAACCAGGTAATTGAGACAATTTATGTTTCTATGAATACCCATTACTTTAATCCACGAATCATTTTTACTTTAGTTTATCCTAATTTTCTTTTTAAAGACAGGGTCTCACTTTGTCACTCAGGCTGGAGTGCAGTGGTACAATCAGAGCTTGCTCACTATAACCTCAAATTCCTGGGCTCAAGGGATCCTCCTGCTTCAGCCTCCCGAGTAGCTGGGACTACAAGTGTACACCACCATGCCAGGCTCATCCTACTTTCAATAGTACATCTTAATATTAACTACATTCTACAATGCCAACAAACTTCAAATATTCAGGATAATCTTGAAATATTTTATCATTGGGATAATCATTTTTATTTCCTATCCTCCCCACAAATTTGTTCTTTTTCCTCCTGTATTTTTGTATCATTATTCTACTTTCTATTTACATTCTTTCCAAAGTTGAACAATTTAGTTACTGTCTTCATCCTTGCAGTGAATGTAGATGTTTGGTCTACCTAAAATACCTTTTTCCTTCTCCAGGTAACTGCTTCTACCCCCTCAAAAGAGAATGCAATTCTGTGGAAACTGCCAATTATAGTGACCCACCCACCCAAGCCCACCCCCTACACACGCATGCATATACAAACACCACCTGCCACAGGGCTGGGCCAGTGATCAGAGCCAGGGCAGGTTTAACCTACATATAGCCATGTGACAGGCTCAGGACCTTAGTTGTGCCAAGAGAATCTTTCACTATGATTTGTATGGATTGAAACAGGAAGAGAAAATTTCACTGCTTATTTCTCCATAATCACTGAGCTGGGAAGATTTTTATTAAGCCAAGGGTCTGGAACAATGGAATAAGCCACATAAGCTACATTGGCCATGTTGCATAGAGAATATCTATCTGCCACAGAAGAAAAGGGCACCATCAGGCAAGGTGGAGCAGAGACAGGAGAGATGCAGAGAGAAACCTGGCACCCAGCTGAAAGTGAGGCCAGCCGCACCCCATTCTTTCTACTTGCAGGAACCAAATAATCTCCTATTTCCTTCAGTCAGTTTTACTTGGATTTTTGTTATTTACAATAAAAAAACCCCAACTGATGCCAGTTTTTTGACAATCCTCATTGTTTTCACCTTTTATATCCAGAATGTTTCAGAACAATTTTATATTTTCTTCACGCTAGCTTTAAACCCTCAATCACTTTTAACCAATTGAGAACCCACCCTTGCCCAATTTATAATGGAGGAACAGAAATGCATTCTTCTGCAGAATTAACAACCCAAAGACATACTCTTTCTCATGATTGAATTGGACCTTCCTGGAAAACATCACCTCTAATTCAGGTCTGTACATTCTGATACACAGCACATGTTGAATACCAAGCACCATTATAATAATTGATAAACAGAAAAACTCTGCCTAAGTGGAGCCTTCTGAATCCATTAGACTTCTGGAACAGCTCCAGGTTCAAAAAATGGCTGAAATATTTGAATGAAACAAAGCAAAAATCTCTCAGTGGTAGAGAAGCAATTTCTGAAAACAGCCCACATCAAATGAAAGAGTCAGAAATGCTGAGGATCTAAGTCATCCCATGGCTATGAAATGGAATAAAAACTCTCATTGGATGGCAATACCTATACATCTCATTATCCAAGAAACATGAGTAAAATAACAGGAAATGTGAGCGGCTAATTAGGAAATTAGGAAAAAAAGAGAGAGAGAGAATGACAAATATGAGTAAATGTGGAGGCAGTGGTAAAGATGGAGTTTAGATGTGATACCAGCTTGGTGAGCAGCAGACACCCCCACACTGTGGAAGAGGCTTGCCAGGGGAAAAGAGCTAAGAAATGAGGCCAAGGCAATGGGAGCCCAAGGAGAGTGCCAGCAGGACACAGCAGATGTGTGCCCACATGTGGTGGGAAAATAGGAGAAGCCAACAGTCACCTGCCCTATACCGCACACTCCTTGAAACATTCCTGGGCCTCATCAAAGGCACAACACCTGGTACACAGCTTAGCAGTCTGTGGGGGTGTTCCCTGTTCACTGCATCAAGGCAAAACTAAATGACAAAACTGAGCCATAACAGTAACTTTGCTGGCACCGTATTGGAGAAAAACAAAAAAGCTTGGCATCTCAGTGAAGCCACTCCTTGACTTTAACTGCATTTTTTAAATGGAAGCCAAAGTGTACAAATCTAAAATGTATTTGAAAATCTTAAAAGAGAAAACATATTATATGTACCCAGTTGCTCTATCTAGAACTGGAATGCTGTATTTTTGCTTGTTTGTTGCCCTTGGGGAGGGGCAGGGCAGAGGGGAGTATGAGCAGTCACTGTTTTGAGAAAGAAAGACCTCCCAAAGGCCTGTTGAGAAAGTGAGGGGAGGGCATTTCCTTCTGTGGGGGCAATAAGCTAGGGGCTAGGGGCTCCAGGAGTAGCAATACATGGTGGAAAAGAGTAAGCTTTTCCTTTCTGTCTTTTCTTTGTATTTCCCAAGTCATTGGCCACTTTAGTTAACTATTCCAGCCCAGGCAATGCTTTCTGGGAATTAAGAGAGGGGCCTGTTTCTGCGATGAGAGAAATCAGTGCAAGGAAATCAGCAGAAGCCATGAGAAGTTGGTTACAAAACAGCAAGAGGTGCCCAGGCACAGATAAGTCATCTGGGACAAAATAACAAGCTGAAGGGAGAAGCCAAAACCAGGATAGATTTGTGGGGCACGTGAGTGTTCCTTGGGGATTCTCAGGAATATGTGGGGATAGGTTATGAGAAGATACTACATTTTCTGTACATGTGGAAAGGATGCCCATATTGTTATTATTATTATTATTATTATTATCATTAGTATTATTATTCAGAGTAAGTGTGGCCTTAAAGGTTGGAGAACTTGAGGATATAAAGTTTACATTGAGAAGCCAGGGAACACTGACAAATCCAAGTCCATCCAGACAATATTGCTTATCTACTCTCTGTGACACTGATGCTCAGAAGAGGAAGCTACAACAATTTATCTGAGCATGCAGACATATAGTAAAGATGCATCTTCCATAAACTGAAAAATGTACACTACTTTTTTTATGTGTTCAGCCATATAACATCATAATTATCCCATTTCTGGTTCAATGCTCAATGGAAAATTATAATGTTTTATGAATAATTGAAGCTGACTGAATCATGTACATTTTTATCAGGGCTAATTCTGATGTTTCATACCAAGGTTTGGCATCAAAAGGCTAAATATAGTTGGAAAAAGAATTATTAATTCACATCTCATAAGAAAAACTGCAAGTAGAAGATGAGTATTTTGAAGATGTTTTCACTGTCGGTGGTGGAGAAATCAGAGGAAGAGTAAGTTGTACTCACATGAGAATACATCTCATACACCATTAAAGTACAGAAACATTTTCTATCATATAAATGCTCCTATTATATTAAAATAAGTTATTGCGTAACTATTGCACCTATAAAAGGGACACCCGAAGTATCTGAAGTCAATTCTAAAGTCAGTTATATAAGTAACAGGCAAATCTGGAAATATGGAATCCAGAATAAATGAGGCTACTTTGGAAAATGGGGGTGAAATTTTATCCCAACTATTATGGAACCCACTAATCTCAGCTGGGCTTGTGGGTTCCTGGAATGATGATTACATTTCCTAGTCGTCTTTGCAGATATGTGCAACCTTACAACCAAGTTCTGGCCAAAGAAGTAGTGTGTACAACTTTGGAACAGTGTTTAAAAAGGGAAAAGGCATGATTTTCTCCTTTCTTTTCTTCTTTCTCTTAACTGATATGGATAATAACCGGAGCTTCAACAAGCATCTTGGACCATATACAACACCCCCAAGGGATGGCAGAGAAGAAAACTGGAGGAAACTTGTTCATATCCCTCTTGGATGCTGATCTCCAGTTTTTACATGAGACAACAAAAAGTTCTGATTTAAGCTGCCATATTTGGGTTTTCTTCCACAAGACACTGAACCCAATTCTAATAAATACAAGGGGAAAAGTAAAACTGTCTCATGTTCCTGACCTGAGCTTTGGAGGATGTCAATTTCTAAGAAAGTGTTTCTTGGATGATACATTCAAAAATTAATAATCAACTCATGGAAATAAGCCAAGTACTAGAAAGTTGGAGATTCAAATAAATCATTTCTTTATCTCTGGGACACACAGGGGCTGGGACAGATTCTGTAAGATGCTGCAGAAAGTCACATCTTGTGGGCCAAACTGTTTAGATTCTTCCTACTGTGATTTCTTCCAACTCTCCATATTTATTTCCCTGCTTTTCTCCTTGAGCAGTTAGCAAAATTTTGTTTTGTTTTGCCAGGGACAAAATTAAAAGAAGGACAAGAGCCTCCTGACACTGGCATACCTGTGTGAGGGTGACAGTAGAAATAAGCAAGAAACCCCTAAATGAGTAATTCCCACCCCTGCTACACGAACAACACCTTCTTAGAACGAATATTTTGTGATCATCCCTTTGCTATACTAAAATAAAATTCAAAAATAATATAACCTATCTGCACATAAGAAGAAATCAATATAAGTATTAAACTATATTATAAAAGAAAAAATAAAAGGAAAATAGTTGATGATAATGGTCTTTCATAAGTAAATGCTCAAGTATGATCATGCTAGAAGACAAAAGTGCCCCCACATTTTCAAAATGCTCCCCAGGGAATGTATAGTATGCAATGCCCTATACGATATGGCATTTTCCTACCTTGGAAAGTGATAAAACTTCAGGGTCAGAATGATGTCTCTTCCTTCTCTACAAGAGCCTCTCCTTCCAAGGACGACCTTAAAGTTCTTGGTTTTATTTTCTTAAGAAACATAACATTTTCTTACAGCAGTGTTACTTCAAATGTGTTCTGTAGCAAGTGAATTTCCTGTGAACAGGTGTTATGTTAAAGAAAAATTGTACTCTAATTGTTTAAGAAATATTAGTTCCAAATTAAATATTTTGTCTTGCTTTATGACATTTCAGAGTCTTGAAGTTGTCACCGTGCATTGACAATCTAACTCCCAAAAGTATTTTATCACAGAATCCTTTTCCACTGGGTCCATGGAAGAAACCTAGAAAACACTACCTTACATCCTGCCAAGGAGTGCATCAACACAGACAAGAGAGGCTTTTTGGAGGATCACAAATCTACTTCTGAAAGACAGTCTTTAGTTGACTAATTGATTTTGCATGAAAGTGGCCATGTAAAGCTGACCTGGAAGTCATGAATTTCACCACATCTCACTTAACTGTCATGACAGAAAGGCAAATGGGTAGAAACAATCTGACATCAGAGGTGTTTCCAGAAAAGCACAATTTTAATGTTGCTAGTGGTACTGACACATATTTGAGCTCATATTTTACATCACATGGATCTATAGCTATTTTAACAAGACGTTACAGATTTTATCTGTTCATAATATTGACAATGAGGCATTAGAAAAGGATATATGTTGATCAATATCTTTAAAGCGCATATTTTTCTAGTAGCTTCAATAATATTTACCATGTCTGAAATTTCTATTTAGTATAGTGACATTTTTACAATCACTGTTTTATGTCATCCACACAACCCTTCAATGAGCTATCATTAGTCCCATCTTTCAGATAAAGAACCTGTATCTCAGTGTGGGTAAGTGCCAACGTCATAGAATTTTTTAGTTGCAGAACTTGGACATAGCCTACGTCTATCCTGCCCTGCAGCCCATGTTTATTCCACTGCCTCCCTTAATCAAGGGAAAATTTTTAGAATGTTTTCCATTAAAAAAAATCAGTTACAGCAATTACAAGTTAACCATCAGTTATCAGGAAAACAGCCATCCACAGATACCCAGAATCACTCATTCCTTGAGGGTACGATAGCCCATGGTTTCATGTACATATTTGAATTGACAAACCTCCTCTGAACTGCTGAAAAGTTTACGAGGTCTAAAATACCATCATGTTTTTCTTCCTCCCTCATCGTCACCTGGTTTAAACTTCAAGGTGTGTTCTTTGAAAAACACTTGTTTCCAGTGACTCATTTTGAAATCACTGATTTCATCTTCCTTGTTCTTTGCAAAGCCAGGAAAAGAGATCAAGACCACATTGTTTTCACCTTCAAAAACACTTGCCCTGTAACCGGAAGAGTCCAGAACTGTTTTTGTTAATTCGTTGAATAATGTGTTCTTGTTTCATCTTTTCACAAGAGCAGAAATCCACTCTCAGAATAGGGCTCCCTGCTTGCCATCTGCTTATCCACCAGCAATTTTCAACCAACCTGTTTGGAAAGGATTCACTTATGCAGTCAACACATTTATTGAGCATCTACTTTGTACCAGACACTGTTCTACATTCTGAGAATACAGAAATGAGATAGATGCAACATTTTGTCCTTAGAGTTTTTACTTTAATGAGAGAGATATAATGAAAAACATACAAATAAAAATGATTATTCTAGATAGTGAAAACACTCATGAAGAAAAATTTAAAAGGGTGGCATAGCATAGAGTGAGTCAGGTGAAAGATTTCTTTAGATTGGGTGGTCAGGGACAGCTTTCTGAGGAGGAAACATTTGAGCTGAGATTAGAATGTTAATGAGACAGCAATGACAGGATTTGGAGGAAGAGTCCCAGAAGAGCCTTAAGATGAGAACAAAATTGGTGGGGATGAGGAATGGAAAGGAGGCAGATGCAGCTGGAAAGGGATAAGGGAAGAGAAAACAGTTGATGAGGTCAGAGATGCTATTAGGGCCCAGCACCTGTGGTAGAGAATTTTAATTTTATCCCAACTGCAGTGAAAAGACATTAAAGAATTTTGAGGCTGCTGTTTAGAGAGCTGATTACATATTGGCAAAAATGGAGCAGAAAGACCAGTTAGGGGCAACTGCAGTAGTTCAGGTGAGAAATTACAATGCCTGGACTAGGTAGTCCACGAAGATGGGAGGAAGTAAATGTCTTTCATGATAGAACAGCCAGCATGTGCTCATAAATTGCACGAAAAAAAATGGGACTGGATTGTTATGCTAGTGACATTTTCTGAATTCAGGAAGACTAGGAGAGAATAGATTTGGGAGAGGGATGGGAAATCAAGTGAAGTATTGGAAATGTTGACTTGGAGATTCCTATTCATCATCTAAACAGAGATGTCAAGAAGCTGACTGTACAAGAGGTCAAAGAAGGGGTTCATAGCTGAAGATATGTAGAGTATCTCATAAGACCCCTGAGGGCACACCCCTTGCAAAGCCCAACCCCAGATTTCAAACACAGTCTTTCCCAGTTTCGCATTGGGAAACTGGAATGGGAAGCTGGGCAAGATTGCGTAATGGGAAACCGGGAAAGACTGTGTTTGAAATCTGGAGTTTAACTGATCCTATCTTAGTATTAATTCTCCATTAAAGTACTTAGTCTCCATCTGATTTCCCTCTAAATGGGGTCTTTATAAGCTCTCTTCCTTTGTTACCAGGGTCTTCTTAAATGCAAACAGAATAGGCACCTACACCAAACAGAATGAAGTTGCAAGTATTCTTAAGTGAGAAGATAACTTGCATTCTAAGACAAGCTAGATGACATCCACAGAGTTCTTAAGAAGGATTGTTTCCAACAACAGTCTGACCTACTGACTCTTTCACCAGTCTTCACCTCTTCTTCATCCACCACTTGCACTCTTTATTTTCCCTTTTGAGGAACCTATCTGTCTTTATTTCAACCAACAGCCACCTAGTCAACCCTTGGATGTTAAAAGTTTACTCATCTCGAGATATATTTGCTTTTTACCTGGGAGACTGAAGAGGCAACAGATCTTGAAGATCAAATAAATGACTCTCAGATAGTAGGATTTCAAGTAGGACCTCTCTAATCTCAACGCATGGGCTGGTTCCTTTCCTGTGGCCTGCTCTGTCCATTTTTTTTTTCATATTTTCCATCTTAAAAATTCCCCTCCCCAGGAAACTGTGACACATGCTACAACATGGATGAACCAGGAGGATATCATATTAAGTGAAATAAACAAATCACAAAATGACAAATGCTGTATGATTCCACTTAGATGAGGTACCTAGAGTAGTCAAACTCCTAGAAACAGAAAGTAGAATGACGGTTGTCAGGGGCTGGGAGGAGAAAGAAACGAGGAATTGTTATTCACAGGTAACAGAGGTTCAGTTTTGCAACATGAGAAAGTTCTGGAGATTGGTTGCACAAGAACATGAATATACTTAACACTTCTGAACTGCACACTGAAAAGCGGTTAGAATGGCGAATTTTATGTGAAATCACAATTTGGAGGTGTTTTTTAATTATTAAAGCTAAAAGAGCAAGTCAGAGAGATGTGAAGCATAAAAGGGATTCAACACGCTGTGGCTTTGAAGATGGAGGAGTCTGCAGAATGAAGAATTCATGTGGCCTCTGTAGGGTGGGCTCAACCAGCAAACAGGAACCTCAGTCCTGTAAACATGAGAAACTATGAGGAACTGAATTATGACAACCTGAAAGAACCTGGAAATGTAGTCTTCCCCAGATCCTGCATATAAGAGCCAGTCTAACACCCTGATTTCAGCCTTGAGAGACCCCCAGCAGAGAACACAGTTGAGTAATATACAGATCTGTGAGAAAATAAATGGACATTTTACACCACTAAAAAAAAGATCCCTTGTTTTAACCTCAAGCTCCTCTCTTCCATGAGCTACCATCTCATTTCTCCTTTACAGACATACTATTTGACATTCAGTATCTACTTCATCTCTTTCATTGCTTATACTTTCCCCCAAAATGTCAGTGACTTTCTTTAGTTCCCAGTTCCAATGGGCATTCTAAACGTTTTCTATTACTTGACCTTTGTGGTACTTGATGCTCCTGACTACTTAGTCCTTTATGAAATATTTTCTCCCTTGGATTCTGTAACCCACTCTTCTGGTTTCTCTAACCTCTTTTGCTGTTTCTTCCCGAGCTCCTTTGTAGATTCTACTGTCTCTAGTTAACTCTCAAATTTGTTGTCCTCCAGGGCTCTTTTATTTACCCTAGCTTCTCTCCTTCATGTACTCTTTCTGGGGATTTTTATCCTCATTCACAACTTCCACTCTTACCTATGTATGTTATTATTGGCTCCAAACATATTTCTCTGGCTTGTACCTCTTGGCTAAACTCCAGATCTGTATATCCAACTGTGTATGGGGCATCTCCACCTAGAAAGCCCAAAGATCTTCAAATTAATATGTCTAAATCATTCTTTCCTTATCAAAGCTGCACCTTTTCCTGCATTTGCCATCTTGATGAATATCAGTCTTCCAAATTTAATCACTCAAACTAGAAGACAAGAGATGTTGTCTATACTCCTCTTTGCCCCTCAAAACCTCTGCCACAATCCATCCACTTATCCAATTCTAAGAGATTCCACCTCCAAACTGTCTCTTGAATATGTCCCCATCCCACCCTTCTATATCTACTGTTACTTTCTTAGTCCGTGATCTAATCACTTCACACTTGATTATGGCAATTGCTTCCTGTTTTCTTATTTCCTAAATTGTCACCCTATTTTCAGTTTGCCCCACTGCAATTCATTCTCCACCCTGGAGCAATCTTTCTAAAATGCAATTTTCTTCATTAAATTCCTTTAATAGCTCTGCATTTGTTCAGGATAAAGCTCAAATTCTTTTTCTTAGTATCTAATGCCTTACAAGATATGGCACTTGCCTAATTCACAAACTATCCCTCTGTCTATGTACATACTTGGGACATACTAAATTCTTACCAACTTAGTAATATGTCAAGCTGTTTCTTATCTGCACTCCTTTGGACATGTTTTGCTTATCCATAATTACCAACTCATTCTTCAAATTTTAGCTTAGTTATTATTCCCTTGAAATATCTATTCTACTTAAACAATTCAACAAGCAAAAAACAAATAACTCCATTAAAAATAGGCAAAGGGGCCAGGCACAGTGGCTCACTCCTGTAATCCCAGCACTTGGGAGGCCAAGAGGGGCAGATCACTTGAGATCGGAAGTTTGAGACCAGCAGACGCTCTCAAAAGAAGATATACAAGTGGCCAGCAAACATGAAAAAATGCTCAGCATCAGTAATCATCAGAGCAATGCAAATCAAAACCACAATGAGATACCATCTCACACCAGTCAGAATGGCTATTATTAAAAAGTCAAAAAACAACAGATGCTAGCGAGACTGCAGAGAAAAGGGAACACTGTTGATGGGAATGCAAATTAGTCCAGCCACTGAGGAAAGCAGTCTGGAGATTTCTCAAAGAACTTAAAACATTAAAACAGAGCTATTATTTGACTCAACAACCCCACTGCTGGGTATATACTCAAAGGAAAATAAATCATTCTACCAAAAAGACACATTCACTCGTATGTTTATTGCTGCACTATTCACAATAGAAAAGACATGGAATCAATCCAGGTGCCCATCAATGGTAGATTGGATAAAGAAAATCTGGTACATATGCACCATGGAATACTATGCAGCCTTAAAAAAGAATAAAATCATGTCCTGTGCAACAACATGGATGCAGTTAGAAGCCATAGTACTAAGAGAATTAATGCAGGAACAGAAAACAAAACACTGCATATTCTCACTTACAAGTGGTAGCTAAATATTGAGCACACATGGACATAAATATGGGAACAACAGATGAACAATAGACACTGGGAACTACTAGAGGGGGGAGTTCAAAAACTACCTATTGGGTACTATGCTCACTACCTCGGATGATGGGATCCATACTCCAAAATTTATCATCATGCAATATTTACATGTAACAAACCTACACCTGTACCCTCTTGTGTCTAAAATAAAAGTTGAATTTTTTTTTAAAAAATTAAATCAATGGTATTTTCTCTTTCTCCCAACAACTGATGTGCACACCTGGTCAATTAAGCAGTTATCTTCCCAGCAATTCTAACGCTTACACATGTGGATGTTCAAATAAAATATCATAAAGCTAGTTTCAGACTCTATTTTGAAAAGTAGCTCTTTCTTTTAATCATACTTGGAATTTTAAAATTTGTGGCAGAATGACCCAGAAAAAGGGTACTAGAAGGAGTACAGTGAATTTATCGAATGCTTCAGTGGGGTGCAGCAAGTTGAGCATTTAAGACTCTGAGCTCTCATCCCCATTTCAAGCTTTGTAGCATCACTTTGATCTATCTTACTGCTTTGGAATATGTTATTTGGGGAAAAAAATTTTACTTGAAATAAAGTTAGAAAACTATTTGGATTATAAAAGTGAATTTTCTATGATCTGTGTATGAACCTATTTTCCTTTTGGGAAATTTCCTTGTGGACCCTCCTTGCACATCTGCTACTTGAAACAAGGTTGTTCTTCTTTTGTTCACCAGATTCTTTCTGCAATTCGCTGAGGACTATAAGCCTGAAATAGAAAATAGATTTATAGCTTTATTATAATGCAATACTTTGAATTTAGGCACAACTAATATGTTTGAATTGTCTCCGCAGGATTGTTGGGTTAGAGATACAGAATAGTGGCCCTGAAGTTACCCTCCCTGTGTTTACATTGTAGCTCTGCTAATTTCTAGTTGTGTGACCTTAGAAAAATCAGCTCATCTCTGTGCACCTCTAGCTCCATCTCTGTAAAATGAAGTTAATAACAGAAGCTATTTTATAGCACTGTGGTAAGGATTAAATGAGTTAATATATGTGAAGCTTTCTGAAGAGCCCTTGGCACATAGTACTGAGCTCAGTAATTGATAGCTGTTGTACTATTATTATTACTTACACATGGACATCCCAATCCTTGAACGTATGGTATTATTCATAAGGGCCAGCACTATTCCTAGCCAGCTCCATAAAAATGAGAGCTGTATGGTTTTCTCTTCTTAGCAGCCTGAAGCAACAAAGCATACATCTAGTCCTTGCCTTTATGGATATCCACTTGCAGGACTGGAAATTCTTGCCTGATCAATCACTGTAGAACTCAATTGTTTAAGAACTCAGAAGCTTCCAGAATAATGCTCATCTATCCTCTCTACCTTGTATGTGCTGTTCCCTGCCTTTGAGATCCTCTCTTGTCTTCTCCATTGGACCAGAAGAGGATAGAAGGTGGCCCTAAACCTTGCTTTTGTTTTTCTTATATTAGGACACAAAGTTGAGTAAGAGAGAGTCCCCTGGAAGACTTTCAGTTAAGAAGGAATGACAGTCCAGTGAACCTGTGGTTACAATAAAAGTTTAAGAGTTTTTATGGCAGTGGATAATATTTTTTAATTTATTAATGATTTTCTTCACTCTTCCTTGCATAAGGCTGTGCTCTACTAAACCAGATACACTGTTACCTCTAGGAAGATTTTGTTTTAACTAGAATGCAAAGAAAAGGCCACCATTCAGCATTTGATTTGCAACAGAGAATCATGAGGCCCATGGCAAAGCTGTGGTCATGAAAACCAGGGTTTTCTCAGAAATCAAGGTACTTCTAAAGGTAAACAACTTCTCTTTCCATATCAGGAGCAAAACTTGAAATTTGAAACATATGATTTTACTATAACCTTTAGATAGTAAAGCTTATATTATATTATATTATATTACTATGTTGTAAAGCTCTTATCTTTACTGTCTAAGTGAACCTTAGATAGTAAAGATAAACCTCCAAATTGTCTGAGTTTCAAGTAAAGCTTAGATAATAAAGACAAAAATTTTTCTTTAGAGAAATTTAAGGATTATGATTTAAGGGAAGTTGCCATCTATCCAAGGAGTAAAAATAAAGTGGAAAGGACCTCTGACTTGAGGGATAGAAATCAGACAGGGAGAGCTACAGAAGACTAGACAAGGGAGAAGATGATCATGAGTCCCTGAGTTTATCCCCAGCACAGGGGCCAGGTATATAGAGACTGGAGGGTTTTGCAGCAGCAGAAATTGCCACAAAACTCCAGGCACATTGAGACAGAACCCACAAGCATTTTTTCCATGCTAGTGCCCTGCTTTCCTAGGCTATCCAAGCTGGCCTTGGAGTGGTAGAACAACAAAGGGAAGTGTCCACAGAGACAGGCCTGCTATGGGACAACTGACTCCCATGGTGCTCATATGATGTGGAAGGAGTCCAGAAGCTCCTGAATGCCTCCGGGAATGTGGACCATGAGTGCTGGCTGGTGAACTTACTCAAGGCAACGATGGGCCAAGCTGGGGATGGAATGGAGTCACTGGGAATCTGAAGCACCGCGAGAGCCAGCGTGGGGCCTGATCAACAAGAGGTGATGGCCAAACACTTTGGATACTGTTTCAGAGCAACACGCAAACCATGTTTTCCTCTGCCCTCATACCACAACAACAATCATCAACACAGAAGAAGACTTCTGTGACCAAAGTGTGGGGGTTTTTCCCCGGGTATCCTCCAATCAGTTCTAACATTATGTACCCAGAAACAGCAACAGATATCACATATGGAGGGCTCAGTCCTACAAGTCTGCCCCCTTCTCCCACCAGCCTCAAGTCCAGGCCTCCAGAACTCCTGACCGATCAGCTTCAAGTTGGGGTTCCCATGACCCTATCTTTGGGTTTGATTTATTTATTAGAGCAGCTCATAGAACTTACAGAAACATATTTACTGGTATGTTATGAAGGATATTTTAAAGAATACAAATAAACAGCCAAATGAAGAGATACATAGGGAAGGTCTGGAAGCATGGACAACTGTGTCACAATGTGACTGTACAGAAAGGATATGACCTGAATAAACCCAGCAAGGCCTGCCTGCTCAGGGTTTTCTGGATCTCTCTGTGCAGCATTCCTTCCTGCGGAGTATGGGGTAGAACCCACTCTGGAATGAGGTTCTCATGACCCACAATCAGATGAGAGTCCTGCCTTGGGCAGGTGAAAAGAAGGCAGGAGAAGGTCAGAGAGAGAGATTCCATTTTCTGAGGCCTGTTCCTAAGGCCTAAAGTACCCCAACATTGTGACAAAAGAATATAACAAAGATTATGAGGTTTCTGAGCTAGGAACTGTATATGAAAACCTGTGTGTGTGTGTGTGTGTGTGTGTGTGTGTGTGTGTGTGTGTGTGTGTGTGTGTGTAATCATATCACAAGAGCCATCATCATGCCTCACCCATCCTGGAAGAATACAACCTGAGTGGAGTTACAACAGCCATACGCTGCTCAGTAGCAGCTTTAATGTAAATAGAGGCTGACTCCCAAAGACCAGGTGGGATGAGCTTAACTAGAGCCCCAGAAGCAAGCAAAGAAGGACAGCACATAAATTGCCCACCTCTCCCCTGCTTCCTGGATACCATTAATTCACGCAAACCTTCCCTTGCTTCCAGACTCTATCTACTCCCTAGAGAGGGCAGTTAGAACATTTGAAGTGTCAGATTATTTATCCAAAACACACAGAGTTACCTTAAAATCCAGAGCCACATAAAATCAGCCACCCAAAATTTGAAAAGTACATACTCTGGCCCATCTGCATCGTAGGTTATCAAATTTGACTCCTCTGTACTACAACTGAGTATGCACACTGCTATAGGAACTAAGAAGGTCATTTTTTTTCAGACGATGGAGTTAGAAAAGGCTTCCCACAGGAGTAACATTGGAGGTGAACTTTGAAGGGCAAGCAAGAATTATCCAGCTATGAAGAAACAGAAGTGTATTTCAAGAAATGCAAAAAACATGAGTCAAGGGACTCTGGTAAACTTAAGTACAGCTTGTTCAGGGAAAGCAAAGTTGTCCGAGAGAAGGATTGAGCTTCCATGCAAAAAGAAATCAGGTTGAACAGGAAGGCTGCAGGGCCTGCCTATGGCCGTGAGGGTTACTCCTAGGACCTCTGAGTGGTTGGAGGCTGAAAAACAGCCTTTGCCCTGCTCTCTAAGGGCCCTGTGTACTCTACAGCAGGACAGGGTACACCCTAAGGATGAGACCACCTTTTAGAATGCAAAAAGGCTTGATTCTTTAGCTGAGCCTTAAATCGCAAGGCTTCCTATGCCCAGAGGGGGTGACTTCTCAATTTTGCACAAAGTCATCGTGTAAATTAGCAGGGATTCTTTAAATATGGTCAGATTATAGAAGGCCATGCAAATTTCTTTAAAGGATTTGGGTTTTAAGTAAGAACAGTGAGGAGCCACTGCAGGGTTCTGGGCAGGGGTATGACATGGCAAAAGAAATTATTCCAGCAGCAGCTGTCTGCAAGGCAGATTGGAGCCGAGAGACTCGGGAAGTTACCACAGTTGTCCAGGCATGAAGCAAAAAGGGAAATTTTACGGTATCCATGGCAACTGAAGGGGAAAAATATGAAAATTATTTTGAAGGCAGAAACAACGAACTTGATTACTGATTGGGTATGAGTGCGTGGAAGAGGCAGCAGTAATAAATGACTCAGGGGTTTTGAGCTTAGGAAGCTATGAGAATAAACCTGAAATGGGGACGCTAATCAGGAGAGCTGCTTTGAGGGAGAAAAGAGAGTTTGGTTTAAGACATGTTGAATTTCACATAATGATGAAATGTAGAAGTGGAAATGCTCTCTATACATGTAAAAGGACAAGACTAGGTCATTCTTCCTTTTCTTCATTATTTTTTTCTCTCTCCATGATTTTTGCATACATCTTAGGATCTTTCTCTGAGGGATGTTTGGGAATAAATTTACCACTTCCCTTACTTTTAGTAAACTGTGAAAAAGATCATCATTATCATCATCAACCTTGTCTTCAAGTTAACACAAAGTATTAGTCAACACCTAGTTGTGTTTCACTTTTATGATTCCATGCCCTTGAGAGATTTCCACTCTCTGAAACAGCCAATATTTGCAGGATCAATATGTAGAGAACAGAAAGAGTAGAATAATAATCATCGAATAATACCTACATAAGATTAAAAGTAGTATTCACACTCTACAGGAAGAAACAAAGAAAGAGGAAGGATACTATGCTAGGTTAAGACCTGTGGTCGGGATGCTGGTGATTGGAGATAAAAAGAAAATTAGCAAGAATTTCTTTTTTGGACAGGGCTAATTTAAGTCTTCTCCTTAGGAAGGAAAATGGATTTGGGATACTCCTTACATAATAATTATTATTTTCATTCATCTAGGACTTAACATTTTATACCCATTGTCTTATCTTCTCCATGGATTGCAAACCTTGTGCAAGACCATGTAGCTATTCTGCAGGAAAGCTGGGCCACAAACTGAAATTTCCAGCACGCCAGATTGAGTCATTTGAAGACGAGAAAAAACACAGTGTTTCATGAGGAAATTCAGCTACTTCTTAAAAGATCAGCATGTAAGAATCCAAAAATATTGTTGTTGAGGGCAGCTTCTTCAGCAAGCTCTCCTTCCCTGCCTTTTACAAACAGAAGTCCTTCTGTATGAAAGATCACAAGGGTAGGCTGCTCATCTCTGCCCATTTGAACAGCACATCCCTTTACTCATGCATTTCTGTTTGCCTCAGCCATGATGTTCCTGGATTTCACAAAGAGGGAGTTGTTTCTTGCACAGAGCAGTTCTGTGAGTCAGTGTGAAAAGAACTACCTGCCATATCACCTCCCACTATCTTAGAGAGGAGAGTCAACTTTGATCAAAGAGAGAGAGGAAGAAATGGTATGTTTTCTCTCTCTTGATTTTCCACCTTATTAATTTCCATTATAGTTTAACACTGTGGGTCCAAATCTGGGCTTGCAGTGAGGCAATCTGGTTCATGTTTTTGTCCCATTGATGGACACATTGTTTGCTTTGCTGTTAAAGAGATTTAGTGAAGTCTTTATGGATGCTGAGAAGATTAAAAAGCTTGATTGCAAGATGGTGCCTTCTGGACACAGACACCATTCACAAAGTCTGGTGGTGCTGGTGGAGTCCCACTTACACCTATAAAAAAAGTCTGAATTCATTTAACTTTCTCTGTAAGTTGTAGAAATCAAACATTCACTTTTTACTTACATAACATGTTTTCTTCAAGCTTCCTTTAAATTGTTCACTATACTAAATAGAGGGACTTAAAAAAAAAGAATCTTTATCTTTTGCAGCTACTTCAATGTATGAAAGCTTGATTTCTCTGCTACCCACACAGTTTCCTCTGGGGCTTTAGCCTTACCAGTATTCTATGACTCACTGTGTTACTTTTCATAAATAGATGCTAAATACCATCCCTGATTCTACTGGAAATGGCAGATAAAAATATTCAAGGAAAAATTTTAACTAATGCAGTTAGATTTGAACTATGCAAATCTCCATCAATTTCTCACGTCTCCTTTTTTTCCTCCTTCTCTTTCTCTTTTGTTTTCTGCTCACCAACCTGCTTGTCATAAACAGTGGTTGTCAAGCTCTGTCACATAACTCTGTTCTCTTCATTTCTCATCCCCCACACTGTACTACATAGCCCTTTTATTGGGAGAAGGAGGAGTCGTATTTGATCCTTCTCTCCCTTTCTCTCTTCTCCTTTATTTGCCCATTCTAACCCACACTGCATTTGTTCCCCTCTTATTTATTCTCCCCTAGATCAATCAAGTGTCACTATGGCATGCCTGGGTCCATCAAGTGTCGTTATTTGTCCCAGAAAAAGTTACTTCCTCCTTCCTGAGACCTAGCTGAGTTGTCACCTTCCTTGTTTGCGAAGATTCCTGGGAACCCTTAAGGGGAAGACTCAAGAAAAATAAAGATACCCAGGGTAATTCCAAACCAGACTTGAAAGCAGAAACTGAAAGCAGAGAAAACCACTACATTTAAGATGGTGGCTTAACGATAGCAGTGGAAAAGAAACAGCATGCATTGGGCATAGATATCACATTCTTCCAAGAACTTCGTTGGAGGACAGTTTCTCCGTGGGACTCTCACTTTCTGAACATCTTGCAATTAGAGACGCTGACTTCTTTTGTTCTGAAATATATTTTCAAGGATTCTGCATGGAAAGTAGCCCTGAAATACACAGAATGTACCTTCTTTGAGGCACTGACTTCTTTTGCTTTGAAATATCTTTTTCAAGGATTCTGCATAGAAAGTAGCCTTGAAAGATACAGAATTTACCTCCAGCAACAGGGTAGGCATGCTTACTGTGCATTGTAATGGATTTCAGTTCCCTGGTTTCAGAGTTCTTCTCTTGTCATGTGGCTCATGTGCAGGTGTCACCTGGCCTTCTTCACATCACCCTGTGGAAAATGGGGCTCAAGGAACTGCCACAAAAAATTGATACTCTGCCTATTGCTGTCAATCTGAGTAATAAAATTCTTTGTTTCCAACCCAGGAGTTCTGTCAGCATCTATGAAACTGTAGCAGGCTAATGTATTAACTTACAAGTAGGATAAAATCTCAACCCTTCACAGTTCCTGATAATTTCCAGACATTATGATTTTTTATGCTGTCAGTAGGAATATTAGGTAGATGAAAACTTGGGAGCTAAAATGTCTTCTCTATCAACATTTAGAAATCGTTAAACATACCTCTCCCTCCTCCTCATTCCCACCTCCATCTAGTCTAATGTACCTTCTTAACCTCAATAATGAAAGGCTCTAATGGCCCATTTATTCAGTAGAGTGGATTTCTAAAACCCATTTTCAGATTACAGTTTGTGTGCCAGGATTACATTTGTTTTTATTAATAGAGAAAAGAGTCGAGCAGCTGACTTTTCAATCATTTAATCAACAAATGCATCCAGAGTACTTTCTTACTACTGTGTTAAGTGCTGCATAAAGCAGCCTCAGTTCCTGAAGCATCTTAACTTCTTTCACTGCAATAAAGAAAAATTTCCCTATAAAAAAGAACCTAAATGCTCAAGCCATTCATTCAGAAAGCAACCAGGAGAAACTTTTTTTTTTTTTTTTTGAGAATCGCTCTGCTGCCCAGGCTGGAGTGCAATGGCACAATCTCGGCTCACTGCAAATTCCGCCTCCCAGGTTCAAGCTATTCTCATGTCTCAGCCTCCTCAGTAGCTGGGATTACAGACGTCCACCACCACGAGGCAGGTGGATCACCTGATGTCAAGGGTTCGAGGCCAACCTGACCAACATGGCAAAATGCCATCTCTACTAAAAAAAAAATTTTTTTTATAAGAAGTCCTTTTTTTTATGTTTTAAATTCTCCTGGGTTATAAGAAGTCTTTTAGGCCAGGAGCAGTGGCTCACACCTGTAATCCCAGAACTTTGGGAGGCCGAGGAGGGTGGCTCACCTGAGGTCGGGAGTTTGAGACCATCCTGGCTAACACAGTGAAACCCCGTCTCTAATAAAAATACAAAAAAATTAGCTGGGCCTGGTGGCGGGCGCCTGTAATCCCAGCTACTCGGGAGGCTGAGGCAGGAGAATGGCAAGAACCCGGGAGTTGGAGTTTGCAGTGAGCCGAGATCGCGCCACTGTACTCCAGCTTGGGTGACAGAGTGAGACTCCGTCTCAAAAAAACCAAAACAAACAAACAAACAAAAAACAAAATTAGCTGACCATGGTGGCACACACCTAGAATCCCAGCTACTCAGGAGGCTGAGGCAGGAGAATTGCTTGAACTCAGGAAGCAGAGTTTGCAGTGAGGCAAAATCCCGCCACTGCACTCCAGCCTGGGTGACAGAGCGAGACTCTGTCAAAAAAAAAAAAAAAGAAGTATTTAAAAAGTATTATCTCTAGTCTATCCCTCTCGCAAACAGAAAGATAACCTCAGGACCCACACTTAATACCCTTCTGAATTTTAAAAACCTCTGACCTTCAGGAAACTCAAAGACTAAAGAGTCCAGACCTACCAAGCAAACATCCTTTAGCTACTACTGATTTATAGTAATAATAAAATAAAACATTGCTATCTGTCATTTCCAGTTAATTCAATTCATGGTGAAGATTATTTACTGGGGGAAAAAGAGCAGTGAGTCATGGCGAGGCTTTAAGAGCTGGGAAAGGAGCCATATGAATACACACACACACACACATTTTCATGTCAGCTTGAATCATGGCATTTTCTAAACAATGGTGCTTAAATGTTAAATCCTAAATGCATTTTACAGTTTAACAAAAACTTTATCACTTATCCTCAATCCTTCTAAGTCTCTGTGTTCCCCCAATTTAGTCCAGAATTTAACCTCTGACCCAACATAATACTGACCACTTCAATTTCAACCAAGTCTTCAGAGAGAGATTTAGGAAAACCAGTGCAACTTGTTTATTTGGTGGGGAGGGGATAAGTGCGAAAACTTACTGGATTATATTCCCAGGGTCCTCAGCAACCACCCATTAAGGCGCTGAAAAGTTTATAGAATAGTCCCAAGTCTTGCATTCTTTCTATGGGGGTGGGGGAGCCCCAAAAGATGTTCTGTTTCCTGTGACCTACCGCACCATTCACAGATGGTTTTTTAGCAATACTGCCTGTTTTCTCTGTGTTGGTTTCTCTTTAGAAGAAGGGCTACCAACATTCAGCAGATAGACAATGACACAGGCTGCACTGCTTGCTCTCTTGGCCTCATTCTCACCCTAATATGAGAAAAGACCTTGTCCCAGGTTTGCATAACTGTGAAACTGCATGTTTTAGGCAAAAACAAAAATGGTTATTCTATGCACACCAAAAAGATGGAGGAAGATGCCTAAGTTGACGGCATTTTCACAATGGAAAGACTTTTAGGTAGTTATTGAGTTGGAATTTGTTCTCTTCTCAATTAAAAGCTAGAGTTATTTATATAACTACTCACACTGCCTCCACTGAATGAGAGAGCTGAAAAAAATGAAGTGAAGCACAGGAAAGAGTTAAGTCATTCCTAGGTGACCAGTGCTGTGAGCTGACTGAAAAAAAGAAAATCTCTAAAAGTTCTAGCATGACACAGATCCAGGCAGTTGTGCTTAGAAGAAGAGTAATGAGAACTAAAGAGATACAGCTGATAGAAACTCATGTTAAGGCGTAAACTCGAAGCAATTGCAGATAGAAAGCCTGAGACTTCTCAAGTAGTTTAAGTGCTCCGATTCAAGAAGTAACCATTCCAATAGAAACCTATGGGGAATGTGGAATAGTGTCACATAAAAGATAATAAAATCACATACTAGAATTAGATGAAAAGGTGGGGGGGAAGTAAAGATCTATACATGGGCCAGGCAGAGACATTTCCTTTAGGTATCCCTGGATAAACCTTTTATCAGTTCTGTAATAACTTAAGATATGAAATACTGCAATTGCTTGACTATATATTATTTGCAGGAGTGGTGGTGGTGTATGTGTGTGTGTTTGTATTTGCTCGTTAAGTACATAGTTGAACCTAGTATATTCCTTGGTTATGGGTTTAATTATTCTCCTTCATTTGTGTAACACCTCATATAAATCCCCCAGTAAGAAAATATCTTGATGGATAATTATCTGGACTGGATCTGCCCAGTGGAAAATCACAACCAAGGTTCTGGTGATCAGGGTAAGCAAATATTAGAAACAGCCCTTCCAGAATGTTGCTTTAGCAGGATTATTCCTATTTGAATATGCCCTACTATATACTGGAAGGCACCAGGCTGCAGAAGAAGGGTCCCAGGAGATTTTGTTGCAGTATGTAACTCTCCTCATAGAGGGTGTGATTTGACAGAACTAAATGGCCTCCCCACCCCCAAATCACCTCCTTCATCAGGCTACCATGTGCCTGAAATTCTTCGCTCCCTTTTTTAAAGTGCAATTAGAGGGAAAGGGGTGATTACAAATTTAGTCATTAGCTTCTACTCAAACACTGATCAGGACATTTCTTCAGATTAACTACCAGGGGATCTTGAATATAGTGAACATATTTTACAAATCTAAAACTGGGTCAAGTGGTTGGACAAGTAAAAATGTAACTATGAACTTTTAAAATTTTTGAATTTATAACAGTACCAGAAGAACTGACATATTAATTTCTCATAGGCATGGAAAAGTGTTATTCTAATGGAGAGGAGAGGGAGGAAAGGCAATGGATCCAGGTGGAATGGAATAGTTCAGGGCCATTATTGCAAGAGAACATCATGGAATTCACAGAGGAATGGGAAGATAGGAAAGGACAGGGAAACAGCTGCTTCTGAAAAACAAAATGTCACAGGGCTGCCCTAGGTGACCCTAATGTTTCCATTTAGCCCTGAATATTTTTACTGCATTCTTCACGGGGGAAAAAAAAAAGTAAAGGAAAAGTAAACAAAGATAAAATATCCTACGCCCTTGAACATAAAATAAGGAGAAAGTGGATGTTCAATCCAACACTTCCTGAGTTTATACTCTGTGTCAACCCCTAAGCCAGGTGCTATCCCTTCACTGGGCCAAGGACCAGGCTATTGGGCATGTGTTACCATAGTGACACGCTACTGAGAACAACCTCATGCCCCACTTATACTGAGTCTTCTAAATATTCCCAAGGTTCCTCTCAAGCAGAAATAGATTTTTCTTCACACTTCTAAGAAAGGACTGTATTTATTTGTTTATGTATTACCATAAAGTTTAGCAATATGATGCAAAAACTAAGTGCTAGGAAAGAAAATATACTTTCATCGGGCATGCCAGGTGTTTTTGTCTGAAAGACTAGCATCTTACCTGACATCTGAGCAGAATATGAAGAGCTCTTAATCAAGTTTTCAATTTCATTTGCCAAGATAAGCTTGCATAATGTCTTTAGGACACAAATTTCCCAGCCTTCACTCCTCAAAACATCATGAAAGAGCTAAATAAAGTGAAAGTGGCAAGTGATACAGGAACTGAGGTATGTCAATTCCTTTAATGGGCTGGGAAGCTCCTGATTTCGAATTTAAGAAAGATACAGCCGCAGTCCGGCCTTGCCTAGAAAGGCATTGCTGGCAGCTCCCGCCCTGGTTAGAGAGCGCCCCCTACTGTTTCTCCTCTTTGTCGGCTCCAAGCATGCCAACACCCAGGCCGACTCACAGTTACAAAGCACCAATTGGACAAGTGTATCCTGGACTGTGAAATAAATTGAGAGGAAGAAAGCGCCAGCCTTGGAGCTGGGCAGAGAGGATCATATTGGAGGTTTGGAAGGAGAATTTCGGATTTCTCCTCACCACCCAGACCCCTGGTCCTAGGATGCCTTCCAGGAAGATCAGACATGGCTTGATTTAAGAGCAGAAGAATCTATCACCCGAATTTCTTTACCTCCTGTCACACATAGAAGTAAGAACAAGAGACAATCAGAAGGAAGTAAAGAACAAGCCAGAGAGACAGAGCAAAGGAGAACCAAGAGAAAGAACCCCAAAGGAAAAGAAGTGGAGAGAAGAACAGAAAAGGAGTCAGGCAGAAAATAATAGAATAGTCTTTATTTCCTTTTCACTCCCTCCTCTTTTTAAAACAATGTTTCTAATGAGCATCTAGTTTCATCTGAAAGTTTTTGAGCGCACTTGTTTACCTTTGCTACAATTTTCAGAGTTTAGCACTTTTGCGGGCTGGGTGTTGGGAGCTGAGGCTCAACTGTCATTGTTCATTTCTGCTGTGATTTTGCACTGATATTTGTATGTCATCATTTAGTCGTTTTGTTGTTTGTTTTTGCCATCAGCTTGTGTTTGTTGCAAGGCAGTTCTGCTGCTGTCTGTCCTCCGCTTCTGGATCCATGTCACTGCTCACACTGCCTCATTGACATCTTTCCAAGACTACATATCAGGACCCAAGCCTAAACAGGTTTCCCTCCCTCTGGAGAAGCACTGTGAGGTGGTGAAGTCCGGCCCCTCCAAGTGATTCTTGAAAGGGGCAGGTAACAAAAAATTATTGAGGGTGTTGGGGAACAGAACCATCATAGGTTTTCTTGTTTAATATACCTAATAAAATATGGAATTGAGAGGGACTAAAGTATTGTCCAAAGTCAAACAGCTTGTAAGTAACAGGATTTGAACCTGTGGATCCCAAAGTTCATTCTTTTCCCTACATTACACTGCCCCAGAGCTCTTGTAGCCCTGCCAATCTAGGCTCACTCCAAGAGAAATATTCCCCACTTGCAAGAGTTCGTAGAACTGTCCACACTACTGAAATTGTTATGTCTCTGGGTTTTCCTTTTAATAGGCACACGTACTCAAATTTGCATAATGTAAATGTAGACAGAGTGTAACTACCATGTAAGCACAACTACCATATAAGTGTTATGAGTGATCCTTTGGAAACAAGCCTAAAAAATCCTGAAATCATATGAAAACAGACACTTTTTATTCTCCTGGGAAGCAGATGACATCATTTTTTATGCAAAGTACACTAAGACAGTAGAGTGCTGGTGAGGTGCTGATAACGCAGCTCTCTGTCGGGAATACGGGAGCCCTAACTTCCAGTGTTTGCTGATTTCTGTGGTGTAAATATTTCCACCATGGCAAAATATAAGCTACTAATATGACATCACTGAATGCAGAACTGGGGAAAATTGTGCTTAGTTAGCTCTTGTGAGCCCACACAAGCTGGCACCGGCATACAACAGCACTAAGGGCCGCGCACCCATCACTGGAATTAGACTGCACGTGCACATCAAGGAAGAGAGCCTGTAGCAAGTACCATGACAAGCAGGATAGGGTGAAGTGTGTCAGTTCTGGAGCCCAACTGCATGTAGGTTTCAAAGCCCAGCTTTGCCATTACTAACTGGGAACTTGTGCAAATTTTTAAAATATTCTGTGTTGCATTCGTATATAAAATGAGGATAGTAATAGTATTTACTTTATAACATTGTTGCAAGAATTAAATGAACTGATGCATGAATAGGGTTTAAAAAGTATTACCTACTGTTATATTTTATGTGTTTAGGAGTATCTTACCCTACTAAAGATCATCTTGGCAATACCTCAAATAAAGTACAAGAAGAATAAGAATGATTGTCACTGTGGACTTCACAATTTCAGTGCTGAACATCAGTGAGAGTGATGGGAGTACTTTCAATCCCTAAGAATAGTTGCTTCTTCAGGCTCAGACACTCAGCTACTCTATGTGCAACCCCCTGCCACCTCCCGCTGTTGCAGAAAAAGCCATGGCAGCTTTTCAACCAAGATTCTTAAGACAGGAGAAAAGTTCCACCCTTAGGTAGACAGCAGGGAACCATACAATAGCTGGATCTACTCGGCACTGAATTGTTTGGAATAAAGAAGATTAAAACACTTTTATGAATGTATGTTCTTCAGTATCTTTTAATTTCTGTTCTTATTATTTTTAAAAAATCTATAAAGGTCTTACTCAGAAAAGTGAGGCCTTCTTAATTCTGGCAGACACTAAGACATACAGTCCTATTCAGAGAGAAAAAAAAAAGCAATGAGTTAACTAGACATATGACAGAATGAATCAATCTTTCTTTTGCTTTTCATGTCTACTTTTTGAAAATGCACATGATTATCTTTTCCATTCTGGGTCTATTCCTAATAAATTACATTTTATATTTTATTACCTCCTGCTTGAAATATTATAATAGCCATCAAAAATAATGTCCAGATTACAGTTTTGTTCATAAGTTATTTTATTTTATTTTTCTGTCTAACACAAGCCAGGCACTGCTTAGGACATGGTGGGGTTGGGGGGTAGGGGTTTGTCCAGCGGTAAAGAGTTGGATATGATTACTGTCCTGAAGGAGCTCACATTGTATTAAGGGAGAGAAACAGTAACAAAATCAACAAATACATGAATATGATAATTTTGGATTGTGGTCATTTGTATGAAGGAAATAAAGAAAGCGATATGGTAGAAAGGAGGCATCAAGGAGGATCTTTTAGGTGAGGTCTCATTTGAGCTGTGAGAAGGAACCAGCCATTTGAAGAGCAAGGAGAAGCATGATCTAGCCGGAGAACTGCAGGATGAAAAGCCATAGGCAGGGAAGAGCTTAGCATGTTACCAGAGCACATTCCTCCTCTTCCATGCCTTCTTTCAGTACCTATTACCCACTCCCTGCTTTATCTTCCTAAAATGTCCTTTAACAGTATCTTTTCTTTTAAAAAGCTGCAATGGCTTCACAATTCCTAGCAATTCAAATTCTTTGCCATGACCTTTGAAGCCCAGAACACTCTACCCCCTCCCACTTTCTGGGCTTTATCTCCCACTAATCCTCTGTACAAAGCCTGCACCAAGTTGGATTCCTCACCATCTCCTATATTGTTTCTCACAGTTTTGCTCATTCCATTTCCATTGGCTTGGCTTCATGACTTAGCCAGAACCCACATATCTTTCAGGGACTAGTTAAAAATGTTTTTATCTCTCCGGCATGCTTTCTTTTGAGTCTTTACAATGCTTCATATCGCTCGTGGTCAATACCAATAACTCATCAATTAAACTACCTAGTTGTTTAATTGTAAGTTTATTTATTTATTTCTCTTGTAAGTTTTATTATTTCATTCATGCCTGGTTCTCTAAGTAGTCGCATGCTTTGGGGGTAACATCCCCAGCAGATTTTTAAGCTCCTGGAGGGCAAGTAGTGATAGCTGATGTTTATTCATATCACACAGCACCAAGAACAAGGCCTTGGGCCTAATACGCCTTTCTCTTGATCTAATCATTTCTTCTCCATGACTTCTCTCATTGCATTTTGCATAATTCCTGAGAGGAACTTATCTCTATAAGAGAGCTCTGAATTCAGTTGTTAATCACGTATCCTGTATGCTTTTAGCCTCACTAAACAGTGGACATTTGCTCTCCAAATGGCTGGTTCCTTCTCATAGCTCAAATAAGACCTCACCCAAGAGAATCTTATTGATGTCTCCTTTCTACCGTATCACCCTCTTTATTTCCTTCATACAAATGACCACAATCCAAAATTATCATATTTGTTTCTTTGTTGATTTGGTTATTGCTTCTCTCCCTTAATACATTGTGAGCTCCTTCAGGGTAAGAATCATATCCAAATGTTTACCACTGGATCCCCCACATGCCTTATGCAGTGCCTGGCCTGATGGAGTGAGTATAGGCAAAAGTGGGAAGAGCTGATGCACAGGAATTGTCTTATTTGTTTCTGGAGGTTCCTCACCATTAATAACCCTGAGCTTAATTTCAATTACCCAGCCATATTATGGAAATTCTGGAATTCCTTGTTTTCATTAATGTTTAGCAACAGGTTAATGAATATCGCCAGATATAAAACATACATAAAATTTTAAGATCATAAATTTTATAGAAAGAGAGAACAGAGTTCAATTCCCACTCCACCATTTATATCCCATGTAACCTTAGTCATGCTCCTGGTATTATTGAACTTGTTTCTTCAACTGCAAAGTCAAGATAACATTCACCTAATGGAATTTTGTGAGGATTAAGCGAGTAACGTGTGTAAAACACTTATCGCAGTGCCAAGTAGTAAGGGTAATTGGTAGTCGCATTTAGATTCACAAAGCCAAGCAGGGAGCTGGCCCACAAGAAGGGCTCAATATATAAACGCATGTTAAAAGAAAATAGAATAGACAAGAATAGCTCCATCCTATCCCAGACCCCATAAACAGACCTAGTCTGACTAAGCAATGGATGTTAGGAATATGTAAATGTTCATCTTTAGGCCTCAGTCTTCAATGTCCAGCAGTTGTCCAAACAGTACACTTATGATAACCTGCTCTTCGTGTTCTCACCTTCTCTGGCTTTTTCCTAAACTCTTCTCCCAGTTTCCTCTTCTGGCCTCTTCTGCTTCGATTAACCAGTGGGACATCTCCCTCTGGTTTGACGCTTGTGCTCCTAGACCCAGTGGAACAGTCAGTCATATTCTGGGTCCACACACTTTTGACTCTGGGTAAAGGTTGTTCCCATTGTGTCCAGGGAAGCCCTTCTGATCTCACCGAGAGAGAGAGATGGGCCATACTCATTCAAATGAGTTAACTAGCTAAGAAAAGCAAAAATATCAGTTATCAATTTTGAGAGATAAATACATATTCAATTTTGTAATCATATTTTTATTGGTTGCTGGAAAATAAAGTATTCCACATTTTAATGTTGCACATTAGCCTGTCCACTGTTAGAGGCTAATGTTAACTATTGTTAAATTTTGAATGCAACCCATAATACACATCCTACAAATGTGATATGCCAAAACCTCTTGCAATGGAATGATTATTACACACATATGAAGGACCAAAAGGTGTGAAATTGTCAAAGCTTGTCCTTGGTTTCTTTTAACACCATTCCTTAGGAAACTGTTTCTGAGATTCATTGCTTTCCCTATTATTCTGCATTCAGCCAGTTGTCAATGAATATCCCTCAGGTGTGGACTGACATTGCCTTAAGGTGTTTTAAGTGCAAAAAAAGTCTAAGGCTTAAAATACAATACCTCCCAATGGTATTTACACTTTTATATGGGACTATTGAAAGAAAGCCCCTAAAGAATGACTCTCTCAGGGTAAGATTCAGATATCTTGAAAAAGGTTGAAAATTACACCTGTCTCTGAAATTACATCATTTGTGGGCTCACTTACTCCATCCTCCACGAAGGTTAGAGCCCAGACAAAGCAGACAGTAAGCAATAGAACGATTGAGGTGAGTATGTAAAATATGTAGCTCTCTTCTTTCACATGACCTCTGAGGTTAGAAGCAGAGTCATCGGCTCGCAGCTGCTCCAAGAAAGTTTTAGAACAATCAAGGCCAGCTGTGAAAAATCCGCTCATGGTTTGGCTTCCAACAGACAGCAGCTTTTCTGTGAAAAGTAACAGCTCCTTTTCCTTAGCTAAAACCTGAAAAGTCTGTGCTCTCTGTAAAATCCAAATTGGCCAATGAGTTTGAAAGAATATTGATACTGAAACCACCAACACAGAGAAAGCAGAAATGTCCCTTTTAGCAGCAATGTGGCACATAAAGACTGGACGTAAAGGTATATAATTCAGCATACTTATTATTTCCAGAGGGCTAAGGGCACTTAAGTTCAGTAAGCTCCATGGTCCTAATAGCCTAATATTGTGTATTTCTCATGCCTGATTCAAAATCACAAAACTCACCAGCTCATTTTGTTACTGAGAAAAAACGAGTTATGACTTAGAAGGGACCATGAAGGAAAACTAAGGCAACCTGTATAAAGCACAACAGAATATTAAGTGTGCATGTCACTTGGCTGGGACACCAGAGTATCACAGGCAAAGGGGTAGAGTTGTGGTGGATGCTGAAAATGGCTGGGTAGAGACCCTCAAGGGAGACTAGAGATAACTGTGGCTAGAAGACAAAAAGACCTGTGGGTAGGAGGTAGTGAAAGTGATTAAATCCTCCTCCTGAAGCATATTAGGGAGCAGTTGAGTCATGGGTATCAGAATGAGCCCAAGCAAAATGGTTCCTGTAATATTAAGCCATTACAGGCAAGCAAGGTCAAGGACGCTCACAAGAGGAGAAATACAGAGATGTGACAGAGAGATTTCCAGCTTCACATAGTAACGCCCGAATTGATGTTTTATCCTAATTAAAGCTTAATATAACTCTGTGGTAAGAGTTTCTTGCCCCATATATTCTGAGATATACTTCTGAACAAAGGAAATGTGCCGACTGAGAAATATTCCATGAAACTAATTGCTTGATAAATGTGTGCAAAAACACATAACACAGAGATATTAAACAGGAAAGCTGGGAGAAGTTCTGTGCTAAAGTCAATAGAATAAAATCAAACCAAAATGGTAGAGTGTGGGATAATGCAAAGAATGTCAATTATACAATTCCATTGTATAATACCACCATATAACTAGGTTCTATAAGTCCACACACACACCTAGGGAGGTAGTCTTATTTACCTCTTTCAACTTTTATGTTCTGACTAATACGTATTAGAGTCAATATTGGTATGTTGATTCCATATGACTTGTTGATTAGGGATCAGATGAGAAGATTATTCTAATACTGAAATACTCCTTTTTCACCTATGACTTAATCACCTAACTAAAGTTTACTGTGTTCTTTGGGAATCCAAAGTGGGTGGTGGGAAAATGGAATTGTCCCTGGCATCTTTCCCAAACTACACATACCCACCCATCCATAGATGCTGATGGGCCCTTAAGGGAAACCTCCCACCTTCCCACCCCTCCAGAGGCACAGTGCTGCTGACAGACACAAATTATCAGGTGCACTGAGTGAGGAAAAAATGTTAGAACCATCAGCAAAATAGGAAAAACCACTGGACTACAGTCTGATGGAACTGGAATTGAATTTGGGTTCTCACCCATACTAGCTCTTTGTTTCAGACAGTTACTTAACCTCTCTGCTCCATTTCCTCATCTTCAAGGAAAGGGGGGACAATAAGAGCTAATTCCCAAGTTTAAACATTAAATAAGATGATTTATGTGATAAAGATATTAAATGTTTGTAAAATTTGAATAATATTGTGCCATTCATAACTATCTATGTTATTTTAGCAAACAAATATGTCAGATTCCACCCACTGTTTTTATTTTATTTCCCCTTATTTTCATTTATATCACCTTCCACTGGTTTGTACTAAAAGGATTTCCTGGACTGTATGTTTTTAATGTTTGTAGAAAGAAAGCTCTCAAAGGAAAGACTCTTTCCTCTATATCCAATGGAATCATTGGCACAAAATTTAGGAAGTTAAGAAGAAATAACATTCTTACAGTTATTTGATTCAACATGGAAATTTCTTTTAGGATGAACTTTTTGCTGATGTCATTGGCTCGGAGTAAAACTGCCAAATATAAAGATATGATTCCAGCATTAATAGAGCAAAACTGTGAAACTGTACCAACCAACCTGAATTGTATTCTCATTAGTGCTGTCAATTAATGAAGTTAGACAAACGATTTTCCCACATTACAATGTAGTCTACTCAAAAGCCTAAGGAATGCCACCTGCCCATCAAAAATGAATAAATGTGACGTAATTCCATTGTATAATACCACCATATAACTAGGTTCTGTAAGTCCACATACACACCTAGGGAGGTAGTCTTATTTACCTCTTTCAACTTTATATTCTGACTAATATGTATTAGAGTCAATATTGGTATGTTGATTCCATATGGCTTGTTGATTGGGGAATCAGATGAGAAGATTATTCTAATACTGAAATACTCCTTTTTCACCTAATGGTTTAATCACCTAATTAAAGTTTACTGTGTTCTTTGGGAATCCAAAGTGACCATTGGTGAACCTGACAAAAAAAATTCATCTTCTTAGAATTTTGTGATGTAATTAATATTTATTTTGGAACCCTCAGCACCCCAGAGAAGAGTTAGGTATAGAAAGAAACTCTAAAAAGCATATAAGTGCCCCAGAAGATTTTCCCCTTCCTCCCTGTCACATACCTCTTTGCCTCAACCCACTTAAATTCTGAGAAAAAAATCAATACAGTTAAATGAATGTAAGTATGGGTTTATCATTGTCTCTTTAAGTAGAATTATGTCCACGTTTTACAAGTTCCATTTCTTTAGGTGTCAAAAACTAGTTTTATTTAGCTGAGGTTGAGAATATTGGGCAGAGTCAAGGTGAGCATCTAGTGAAAAGCTTTGGAAACACTCCAGGTATAAAGCTGAAGACATTAATCACCAGAATAACAAATGAAATTGAACTGTTCTAGAATTGGGCTCCTTCACCTCATTTTCCACTTCTTCTTCCAGTGTGGTCATCAGGATTCAATCCTGGTCCTATGCTGTCCATAAGATAATACCAAAGGGAGCAGACACTCAACATTTACTTCTTTTTATCTCGACTCTAATCAAGAAAATATGACAATATTTCTGATATCTCTTCTCAAAAAACTTTTTTTTTACTCTAAGTTCTGGGATACATGTGCAGAATGTGCAGGTTTGTTACATAGGTATACATGTGCCATGGTGGTTTGCTGCACCTGTCAACGCATCATCTAGGTTTTAAGCCCCGTATGCATTAGGTATTTGTTCTAATGCTCTCCGTTCCCTTGCCCACTACTGCCTGACAGCCCCAGTGTGTGATGTTCCCCTCTCAGTGTCCATGTGTTCTCGTTTTTCAACTCTCACTTATGAGTGAGAAGATGCAGTGTTTGGTTTTCTGTTCCTGCGCTAGTTTGCTGAGAATACCTGAAAGCTTTGAAAAATCAGATTATCATTAAGAAATAATTCTTAAACTCAAAAATTTTGCCCAAAGAACTTCCTTCTCTGGAGACCTGAAAGAACAAATTAAATACTCATCATAAATATCCAAGTGCAAAACTACCAGTTTTGCATTTATAAAACTACCAGTTTGCACATGAGGAAACTAAGATTCAGGAAGTGTAAATGATTTACCCCGGCATGAAGCTAGTTAATAGAAGAGCAGGTTGCTCCTTACTCTTACTATCTTACTTTTTTGTTAATCATTTATACACAAATCCTGAGTACCTACCATATCCATGGCACTAAGGGCTGTGAAGGGAACAAATCCAAAACATTCATGGTTCCTCCTCCCAATATTATTATTAGATACTTTAAACATTACAATAATGATAACCACTATACATCAAATACTCATTACGGGGGAGAAACTGGGTCAATATCATGGTCGCAGACATTATTCTCTTGATATGAGTGTTAGTTTCTTCAGTTTACAGATGAAGAAAAGGAAACTGGTATGCAAAATGTCATATAATTGTCTCAAATCACACAGTTCATCAGAAGCAGAGGTCAAATTTGAACTTACATTTGCCTGATTCCAAGACCTTTGCTCTTAACTGTATCATAAGCTGATGTAGTTCTACAACTGAAACTTAACATTTACCTCCAGAGACAATGGAAGATACTTTAGCTAAAAGTAAAAGAAATTTTCAAAAATAAGGTTTATTAACGCTAGAATAATTTAACATAGGGAGCCTGTAGAACTTCATCACTGTAGGTGAGTTGAAAATGAGAGGATACTAAATTAGAGGTTTTATTTAAGAGTGGGTCTACCTAATTGCCTAGTAGGAAGTGAAAACAAATGATATTTCAAGCTTTCTTTTACCCTATGACTTTAAGGAAAAACAATAACAACCATAAAACACCACCACCTACGACAACAGTCTTCTGTGTTTTCCCATGCATTCAAATGAGCTAAAAAGTGATAAATGCATTGCAAGTAAAATAGCTATGCAGCACTCTTGGGAAATGTGGTTCCACGGAGATGCCACAGAGACTTTCATTGTAAAGCCTGGTACTGAAGTTTGGACAAAGGTGTGTTTGTGTGCAGTGACTAAGCTTGTGTGGGAGGGAGGCAACCACTGCAGATGGCTGAAAAATATGCTAATGTTGAAAGACCCATGTGATGGCTGGCATCCTGAAAGAGACACAGATGTTTCCTCCCAAGAAGAATTTTAGAACAAGTGGCTTGCTGACCTATTCAGGCTTGATTCCTTAACTGCATCTCAGGGTCATACACACGTCAGAACCACTGAGACAATTGTCCTCCTCACTTTGTACCCCAGGAAAGAGATAGAGCAGCTAATTAATCACAAGGCCTTTGCTGATAATACCTTTCATTTGAAATTTTTGTTGTTTTTGTTTTTAAGATGTTTTCATGTTCTCTGAGACTTGCTTTCAGAATGCTGCCTCTGTTCACATGCTGGGTCTCCTACAGTGCTCACATTGCTCCACTCTCTGTACGTTTTGTTTTTTTTCCCCATAAAAACCATCCCTCTTATATTCACTTTTTAAGTCTTTCTTTTCCCCACTAAACTATATGCTCATTTCATGGCAGGGAGCATGACTAACTTGTTAACCACAAAATCCCAAGAGCCCAACATAATGCAAGATACATAGAAGTCTCTCAAAAACATCTTTTCTCAGCACTCCTGAGAATACCTACAAGACATTCTCAGATATACTAGAGAGGCAGAGCGTAGATTGTCTTGTATTAGTCTACTTAAACAAGATTGTTCATTCCTTCATTTATTCAACAAAACTTCGGGGGTTTATATCATGTGTCAGGCACTGCTCTAAATGACCAGGATGCTGCAATAAAAAGAACAACAAAAAAAATTCCCATCCTTATGGGTTTAGGGTGTTAACATCAATATATTTTTAAAAGAAATTGAAAAAAACCCAGGTACTTCGACTACAAAAATCATTTTGTTTGCAGATTACCTAACACTGCTAACTCAAGTTCCTGGGTCTATAGAAGAAAAATAAAATTAAAAATTAAAAAACAGCCGGGCGCAGTGGCTCACGACTATAATCCTAGCACTTTGGAAGGCCAACACGGGCAGATTACCTGAGGTCAGGAGTTCGAGACCAGCCTGGTCAACATGGTGAAACCCTGTCTCTACTAAAAAAAAATACAAAAAAAAAAAATTAGCAAGGAGTGGTGGCACATGCTTGTAATCCCAGCTACTTGGGAGGCTGAGGCAGGAAAATCGCTTGAACCCAAGAGACAGAGGTTGCAGTGAGCCGAGATCATGCCACTGCACTCTAGCCTGGGCAACAGAGCGAGACTCTGTCTCAAAAAAATAAAAATAAATAAATAAATTAGTTAATTAATTAAAATTCAAAGACATTGCTAAGGATCTCACTAGTTTTCTTCTATCTTAATCAGGTAGGGATTGTCCCCATAAACAAGAAGAGTTCTAACCTGCAAAGCACAACTTAAAGAAATATAAATCTGCTGTAATGGATATGAAAGCTAACTGTGTACCACTCCATCCCCACCTTTCTGCTTCTGGCATTATAAGCTCTCCAATAGCTTTAGCATAAATTCACATGTCCTATTGTTTCTTGCCACCTCTCAGGGTTCTGAAGGAATAGGCACCAGGTTCTGATAAGAACAGAAACATCTGGAGTGTGGGAGTGTTCATCTAAAGAAAAAAAGTGAAAATAGCATGCATTGAACTGTTTGGTGTGCTAAGTAATGATTAGGGTTTTCACATACATTGTCTCATTTAATCTTTGCAATAAACAAACAACAAAGTACATCATATGCCCCCCTTTTATTTTCTACCAAAGAAGGAAATAGGGTAAGAGGTAGAGACGTACCTTTATGGATCTATAGAGAGATTTATGGCTTTTGTAATGGTCAGAGCACCTAAATCACTAATTAACTTCCTAGCAAATTTATAGGCTGACATAACAAGTGAATAAATGGTTTCACTAGATACTGAGGAATTTTATTGTTCATAACTTTGTGCCAAAAAAAAGAAATGGGAAACCATTAGATCAGAGAGAGTGGCCATCTACCTTCTATTCACCCAGGGAAGATTTTGTAGAAAAAATGGGAACTGGCTACAGTTGATACTATATAAAGAAATACTGACTTTTAAATTTCTTCACTCTCTTTCTTAACAGATTCTCTTTTTTTTTTTCTGTCCTTAAGGTCTCAAAGTTTTCTCCAGCTGAAAATACAGCTGCCTCATAGAAACACTGCATAAGAAAATTAATAACAATAAACCCCAGAGGAATCAGGGAAGTGGTGATAAGGCTGCTTTATGCTTTCCTTTTACCCAACTGAGAACTTCCTTTAGGCCTCACTTGCTGAATGCTAAGAGGCCAGGGAGGAGCACTAGGGAACATAGGAGAGAGACAGGATGGCGGGAAGCAGCGAACAGATATGGGAGCAAAGGGAATTTTAAAAAGAGGAAAGGTCTCTGGCCAGGGCTGGCCCAAGGAAAAAATTGAAGGTCAGCAGACGGGTTTTAACACAACCCTCTCCATCTCCCTGTCTATTACCTACAGTGTTTTCATCACCCTCAGCGCCTAGCCTCAGCTGCTCTAATTTCCCAGTTGCTCTAATTCCCATCCTCCCATCCACCTGAAACAACAAATGTTCCAGACCAAGAGTTAGTTTTGTGTTTACAGTAGAGCCTCATTTTGCACAAATGTAAGTCATGTTCTGATTTTAGAACCTAGTCTTGCCACTAGTTTTCTTTATCCTCAACCACAAACAAATCTATTAGCATGTATTAAGGCTATGGAAAAAAACAGACTGGACTATAACCAGCAGGCAAGCTTGAGAATGGACACTGCTCCCCATTCTCTTCCAGACAATTAATAGTTACTACAAAGGCAGAATGCTGTAAAGGGCCAGACACCAGCATATACACATTCTTTTTTCTTTGGTCTAGATCAATGGTAATCAAGTTTCAATATGCTTAATAATTACTGAATAGTAAATATCACAAAATCATTTACACTATAAATCATAGGTGATTTAAGGGCTTTTTTTTTTTTTTTTTTTCTGAGACAGGGTCTTACTCTGTCACCCAGGCTGGAGTGCAGTGGGCAATCTCGCCTCACTGCAACCTCCACCTCCTGGACTCTAGTAATTCTCGTGCCTCAGCCTCCCAAGTAGCTGGGATTACAGGCATGCACAACCAAGCCCTGCTAGTGATTTAAGGGTTTTTAAGTAAAATTTTGTCTCTGCAAAATTTTCATCTAGTTTTGACTTTTAAACATGCCCAGCTGAAAAAGGTCATCTCTACTATAATACATTTTTCTGGAGAGAAAATTATAGCATTTGAAATACTCTCTAAGGAGCCTATAACCACCAAAGATAAGAACAACTCCTCTTCCCATAACAAATCTCATCTGTCTCATGTCTTACTCTCTCAGGAATATCCTATTCCTCTGCTAAACTACTGCAGCTCAACCAGTGAATTAATCGGAGTTAAATTTTTCATGTTTCCTATACTTAAACAGCACCTATACTTTACATAAGACCTTAGTGCCTAAACCAAGGGATAAGGAACTGCGGGAAATTCCAAGCACTTTGGCAGAATCCGGAAGGGAAATACTTGAGTTAGGAAGTCAAACGCGTTTTTTAAAACCTCTTTAACCATGCCTTGTAGGTAAGGGCTTCCTCATCCTCCAGGAGTTTTGTTCTTGGCACACGCTGCCGACCTTACTGACAGCTCTCATGCCACAGCTGGTAAGTGACAGTAACAGTGGAATATTTGCCTGACTCTGAGGGATCTTTAGGGGAATGAAGTAGAAAGGGGAGCTGAAGAGAAGATACCCGAGAACACTGAAGAAGAGATACATCTTTGGAGAAGACACTCTTGGGACTGCTACCACCCCAGTTCCCCATTTGTTGAAAGGCAATAGAACAAAATCAGAAAATATTGTAGCTAAACTTCTGAGATCTATCTCATGTACACAGACAAGTACACAGAAATAACAGATGCCAACGTGATCCAGCAGGTCTAGCATACTTTGCCATTAGAAAGTATTGCCCAGTGCCGGCCAGGCGCGGTGGCTCACTCCTGTAATCCCAGCACTTTGGGAGGCCGAGGCGGGCGGATCACGAGATCAGGAGATCGAGACCATCCTGGCTAACACGGTGAAACCCCGTCTCTACTTAAAAAAAATACAAAAAGATTAGCCAGGCGTGGTGACTGGCGCCTGTAGTCCCAGCTACTAGGGAGGCTGAGGCAGGAGAATGGCGTGAACCCGGGAGGCGGAGCTTGCAGTGAGCCGAGATCGCGCCACTGCACTCCAGCCTGGGCGACAGAGCAAGACTCCGTCAAAAAAAAAAAAAAAAAAAAAGAAACTATTGACCAGTGCTCTCTTCAGCAGTACATATACTAAAATTGAAAGTGTTGCCCTTAAGAGGGGCTGGGGCCCAGAGCCACCTTTGGATTGGCCAAAGTTCCTGCCCAGAATTGTCTGGGCAGGAAAAAAAATGATAATGGGAGTACCCATTTCAACTGCCACAACAGGAAACCACAAATGTCTACTCTATCAGTCTAGAGAATCCACCAATTCTGTGCCTTTGCGGAACATTTGTAGGTCATACCTAGAGCTTTGATTGTAGCTGAAAATTTATATGAAAAAGATGGCTAGAGATAATAAACATCTTTGCACTCAAAACGTTGCATCTGAACTTTAGGAACTAGCAAGAAGAAATACAGAGCATTCTATATAATTAGATGAAAACCCATGAAGAAAGTAATCTATCTGCACAGTGAGTCTGGGACATAAATAATGTGAGGTACAGCAGAGTAGACAAGTCAAGCCCTGCATAAAGAATCAAAATAGAAATATTTCCCTTGGTCACCTCTGGCAGAGGATTTTACCAGTTCCTTGGGATGGAGGAATCAAAATAGATACAAGAATATAGGATTTTAAGTTTGTTACATATTATTGTTATCTTACTCATGCTAACTGTATAGTAAAGTTCATACAATTTTCATTTCATAATATAGATTTGCTAACCATTCATTAATTCTTTTATTTTCTTACTGAAAATCAAAGTTAAAGAATTCCTCCAGGTATATAAAAAGATTTCTGGACTGAGATGAAACTTCACTAAATGTTGCAGTCAAGATTCTGGTATCTAGACAAAAAGGATAGCTAAGCAGCAGATGTTCTTATCCTAGCTCTGTGTTTTACAAACAGCAAATGTAATAAATAAAAAGATATATTTTCTCTTCCAGTGATCCATAGATTTGCTGTAATCATTGTAGGCATTTAAAGATGTAATCTTGTAATCTCATGGTCAGGAAGTAGGGTTGCTTTTAGTACAAAGCTACCAGAGCTGGACATAGAATGACTTCCACCCCAGCCTTATAAACATGGCCCTGTATCACCTGAGCTCATGAGTCCCACAGTGCCTGGACCCCCAATGATCTGCTCATCCCCACAGTACCTGCCTTTGGTTCTGAAGCCTCATAACCTTTTTAAAAACACCTCTTGTCAATGTAAGTTTTTCAAACTCTACCCAATAAAGTTTGCTCTATTATTGTAAAATAACAATGGTAAGAAAAAGGAACAATTGTCACACTGATGGACTCCGTGTGATTTCTTGTTCTACCAAACTCTATTGGAACTTTGTGAAATTACTGCTCTTCTCTGGTCCTCAGTTTACTGACTTGTAAAACAAGAGTTTAGAGTCCAAAAGATGATCTTTAAGTTGTGCATTTCCAAGGGAATACGAGTGAATCATACCCTTGTCTGTGAAAAATTCATCCATTTAACAACAGGGACATGTACAACTACCACCTGTTAGAATGGCTAAAATCTAAAAACTCTGTTGATACTAACTGCTATCAAGTATTCAGAGCAGCAGAAATTCTCATTCATTGCTGGTGGGAATGAAAAATGGTATAGCCACTTTTAAAGACAGTTCGGCAGTTTCTTATGTAACTAATACAGTCTTAAAAGCTATCATGCTCCTAAGTATTTGCCCAACTGATTTGAAAACATATGTCCACACAAAAACCTGCACACGAATGTTTATATCAATTCAATTAATATTAACAGTTGCCAAAGACTGGAAGTAATCAAGATGCCCTTCAATAAATGAATGGATAACAAACCTTGCTATATCCGTGCAATGGAATACTATTCAGTGATAAAGGGAATGAGTTATCAAGCCACAAAAACATTCATGACTCCTAAGTGCATATTGCTAAGTAAAAACAGCAAGTCTAAAAATGGTATGCAATGTATAATCCCAGGTATATAACATTCTGGAAAAGGTAAAACTATGGAGATGGTAAATAGTTCAGTGGATGCCGTATATTCCAGAAGATAGGTGAGTAGGGCTGAACAGGTGAAGTGTGTTGGATTTTTGGGGGGATGAAACTATCTGTATGATACTGTAATGATGTGTACATGACACCATGCATTCCTCAAACCTTACAGAATATTACAGCTTAAAGTGTCACTGTAAGTTATGCAAATGTTTTAAAAATCATTTAGGAAGTCAGAGGATCCCAGAATTGAATACAGGTTTAACAAAGGTCTCTAATATTTTAAATACACTAAATAACCTCACTAAATGGGGTTGGGGATTAGGTGTCGACTCAAATAACTTTGGAAATGAGTATAGTCTGTAAGTCCAAAGACGAAAGGAACTCTGTATACTCTAGTTGACAAAGTTTTTTCCCTCAAGAGTGTGGGTCAATAATTCTGACACCAATATACATGGATGTTGGAATTGAGCAATTAAGTAAATGGATGGTGTATGGTAGGTGCCAAGTTTCTTACTGTTGGAGTAAGAGGGTACAGATAAGCAATGGGAGGAGCCTAGAATGATCCATGTGTGATAGGTTAGAGTTTGAAATATCAGTATAAACTCATGTTTAGATCAATATAGATACAGATAGTTACATATAGAAATGTTTATAGATATGTGCATGTATGTCATTAAGTACACACACATCTGTCTCCTTGCTTTGTCATCTGAGATGGCCTAGAAACCATTATACCCCAGTTGCAACAAGCACAGCTGGTTCCCAGATCTTGGTTTCTAATACCATTCTCCAGTAAAAGGAACTAGGGCCCCTTGGCAAAATGGCTGGTTCTAGAACTTGAGCAGAAAATATGCAAGATGAGCCTGGAACACCTTGCAATTACAGAAAGTAAAAAAAGTGCTCAAAACAAAACAAAACCCCACACTGCTGGGGGTATGTCAAAACAAAACAAGAGGCAACTGAAATATCTCCCACAGGCCAAAGCTGGAATAATATGAGCAACAAAATAAATAAAGTACCATTAGATTCTAAGTTAAAGTATAAAATAAATATTTATGACTACGCACTCATATAAATGACTGAATAAATAAATGAAACTGAAGAAACAAATGTCCTATGCAGAAGAATTCCAAATAATTTATAGATTTTCCACCCTAAAGGAGGGGGAGCACAATATACAACTACTTAAGTGTGGGCTGCACACAGTGACTTTCTTTCAAGGATACAATACAGAAAAGGACAAAACCAAATAACTTCCCAGTGGAGAAGCCTGACAAATACTACCAAGCCAGATCAAGGTTAACATCAACAGTGATAAATCATATTGATACTGTGTACCATTGATATGTTGTAATGAGAATGGCATTTTACCTCTGTGGTCATCCTTTCCAAAACACATCACCCAGTCTAACCACGGGGAAAAAAACCAGACAAACCTCAATTGTGGGATATTCAGCAAAATATCTGACTTATTCGTTTTTGTTGCTGCAACAGAATGCCTGAGACTGGGTAATTTATAATGAACAGAAATTTATTGGCTCACAGTTCTGGAGGCTAGGAAGTCCAAGATCGAGGGGCTGGCATCTGGCCAGGGCCTTCTTGCTGCATCTTCCCCTGGTGGAATAGTGAAGGTCAAGAGAGGGCAAGAGGGGGCCAAGCTCACCCTTTTATAATGGCACCAATCCTACCCCTGATGGGGGAGCCCTCATGGCCTAATCACCTCTTAAATGTCCCACCTCTTAATACTGCTACAATGGCAATTAAATTTCAACATGAGTTTTGGAAGGGACATTTAAATGGTAGCAATATCTAACTACTGCTCCTAAAAACTATGAGGGTCCTCCAAACAGGGAAAATCTGAGAAACTGTCATAGCTAACAGAAGACATGACTACTAAATATAATGTGATACGCTAGATTGGATCCTGGAACAACAACAAAAAAAGAACATAAGGTAAAAAAACAAAAACAAAAACAAAAACTGGCCAGGTGCGGTGGCTCACGCCTGTAATCCCAGCACTTTGGGAGGCCGAGGTGGGCGGATCACGAGGTCAGGAGATCGAGACCCTCTTGGCTAACACGGTGAAACCCCATCTCTACTAAAAAAATACAAAAAAAATTAGCCAGGTGTGGTGGCGGGCACCTGTAGTCCCAGCTACTCAGGAGGCTGAGGCAGGAGAATGGCGTGAACCTGGGAGGTGGGGCTTGTGGTCAGCTGAGATCATGCCATGGCACTGCAGCCTGGGCGACAGAGCGAGACTCTGTCTCAAAAGATAAAAAAAAAAAAAAAAAGGAAAAAAAAAAACTAAGGACTGAATACAGTATACAGTCTAGTTAGTAATAATGTATCACCATTGGTTCATTAATTGTGAAAAATGTGACATATGAATGTAAGATAGTTATAATAGGGGAAATTGAGTGTGGGGTATATGGAAAGATGGAACTATTTTCACAATAATTCTGTAGATCTAAAACTGTTCTAAAATAAAAGTTTATTTTAAAAGTTATTCTTCATGCATTGAACAAATGCTGTTATGCTTTTGCATTGTGCTGGGCTGCACTTCATATAAAGCAATGAGTAAAACAAACCTGGCCCATGCCTTCAGGGAGCTTATAGTCTAATTTGAAGCAGTGACATTCAGCAACTAAATAAAATAGAAGGAATGAACCCATGTTGAGGAGTTCATAAGGATTAATGGATGCAGATGCTGAAGTGGTGTCCTCAGACTGATCCCAAATCCTTTACTCTAGGCCTCAGAGCCACAGGCTGCCTTTGAACCCAGCCAGAAAACAAGTTTTGTTGATGACAAAAGAGACTCTGTGAAAGGTGGTGCTGGGTAGGACTGAATCAACGCATTAGAATCAGAAGATGCAAGATCAAATTCCATGTTCTGTCTCATATTTGTCATACCAGTTCTTTGAGCTACAATTTCTTCACCAGTAAAATTTAGCTAACAATACCCACCCTGCAGAATTGGTATGAAGATTAAATGTGATTGTATAAACTACCAAGCACATGTAATGTCCACTTTCAGTGGCTTAGCTGGAACCTCACACAAATCTGTTCATTTATTCCAGAACATGTTCTATTCCAACATGCTCTGTTCTCTTTTCTCAGAAAGATCACAAACTATAAGTTTTTTGAATATAGCTACCCCTCTCCCTCTAAATATGCCTCTCTCTCCTTAAGAGCTCTTGTCTCCCACCACCTCACTTCCTTATCAGTAAAAGCCTTGTGTACAATGATGCTATAACTCAACAGATCTTCCCAAGACAGAAAAATTGTGTTTCTAGTTGCTTTGCTTTCACACAAGGAAACTCAATTTATCTTGTGGAGGGTGAAAGGAAGTTTCATCCAATTTATTTCTGGAAGCTGGGAATATGCTGTGGAGAAAGAGAAAAAACTAGAGAGAACGTTTAAATTTAAAATCTACAAGATTCTATCTCAATTTGTACACCAGTAATTCAGAATTTTTGACAATTCAGAGAGAATTCCCTATGGTTCTATTGAATAAAAATAAAAGCTAGCAACTTCAACGCAATATATTTAGTGGTATATTCTAATTATATTAATTAACTTGATAGAAACAAGCCCATGTTAAATTATATTTAATATATAAAAGCATGCTTTTTAAGTTTTTTTATGTATTGGCTAATTTAGACACAGTCTTTCTGGATACATGATGCTATATTGTATTAGTATTACCAAGCCTGCTGTAACTGAACCCAAGCAGACAAACAAATAACTATGTGTAAAATAATGCTGAAGACAATGTCGTTAGAATAGGAATGAAAGGAGAAAGCAATGCTTAGAACTCCCAGTAAGAGGATGTCCTTGGGTGAACAATAATCAGCAAGTCATAAAAATATATTTAAGTCCAAAATCCGAACACTGTTTAGTGTTTATTTAGTCAGGAAGCTAACATTGCCTGTCTAATCTTAATTTTAGTCTAATTCAGGTGATGATGTCTAGCACCTACTGAAGAAATGGATGTTTTAATAACTTCACCAGCCCTTGGCAAAGGAAGAATTAAACATTACCTCTATCTCCCCTTTCTCCATCCTGAAATCTGGCTGAGTTAATGACTATTTATCTAGGTTTGACACCGATAAATTTGGATATTTATCCATAATATGATTCTAGAAATAAGCTTTCTATAATGGTAGTATATTCAGAAAAAAAAATCATCTGTATCAAACACTAAAAAGACTACCGAGAAGACTCTGGTGGAAATACACATTTTATCACATTTATAAATTTATAAATATATATTTTATTCTACCATAAATTTTTATTCATTCAATTACATCATCATTTTTTCTGTATCAAGTTTAGCTTAAATGCTATTTGAAGTTCTTTCTTAGAATACTTCCAAAATTACTAAGAAGAGAATTTAAATCAAAAAATATTGCAAACCTATCTCCCATAGAAAAACTGAGACAAAACTCACAATGTCCTTTCGTTTACTTTTTTACTATTAATACACTACATTTTATAGACTTCACATTTTTCAATGCCTTTTCATAACACTACATCACTGATCTGTTTTATAGGTGATAAAATAATTTCAGAGACAATAAGGGTCTGAATTGAAGTCATACAGCACAAAGTGATGACCCCAGGACCAAACTGCAGGTCTGGCTATGAAGTCCGTGCTATCTGCAACATAACAGCACAGCTGCAAAGAGAGTGATTTATCTAAATAACTTTTTAAATTTACATATTTATAAAATATAAAACAAATCATGAGATTGAGAATTAAACTTTGAAATATCAGAGGGAAATAAAATTACCAATCTGTTCACTCAATCAATGTGGACAACAAATCACATCAGAGAAATGAGTTGAGCTCTAAACATTAATTAATCTGAAAGAGCTTCATTGTGTAGAATAGAATTAGTAATGAAGTGTTTGGGGACAATCTTGGGTATTCTGAAGAAATGAAATGATTCAGAACATTAAAAAGTGACTATGTTCAGAGACAAATAGCCCACCCCTTCCTGCTGCACTTGTATCAGTTGAGATTTCTTTTCCTTGGAAGTAATAGACACTATCTTAAGCCTGCTTAAGCAAAACATGGAAATGTATTAAAAGGATCGTATGTCTGGGGCTCATGATACTAAAGACTATTTTTAAGCATTCTTCTCAGGAATCTAAGAAAAAGGGAAGATGTTGGAGGAAAGAAGAGACAGCTCAAAGGAGGACTCAGTGGGTAGAAACAGCTAACAGATCTGTTTCTGAATGCACAGAGATGCTCTCTAAGGATTCCCACTTAAGTGAGGAATCTCGGGCAAATATGGGGATTGGTAAATCACTGCAGCTTTATAAATGAGAGGAAAGGAGTGAGCCAAACTTGGGCATTATGCTAACGTGACTCCATTTCTACCAACAGACTGGTGAGGCCTGAGGACATGGGTTACACAGATACCAGGGGTATAATACAAAAGAGAGGGAGAGTCCTCCACACACCAGTGGAAAGAACACAACATGAGATTTCTGCAGAAAGCTGCCCGCATCAGTGGTTTTGGCACGATGAGATTGCTTCAATCCTGGGGAAAGCAGGGGGCAGGAGGCAGGAGGGAGCAAAGGCAAGAGCCCTGGGCAGCAGCATCTGCTTCTTTGGCACTGGGATATTTGGCAGTAGACCCTACCCTAGGCAGAAAAGCTGGGGCTGGAAAGAAGTAAAATGATAGTGTCTGGGGGCGGGGATGTTCTGGTGAAATACGCTGAGAATAACTCAGAAGTAATCCGTAAAGATTTTAAAGGAGTCTGGTGTGAACGAGGCAAAGCCAAAGGAATACCATATTTGGACTGCCATTCTGATGCTGTTGGCTTGGGAGACATGCTGTATATATCACTAGATATATGTGAATATCTTTCTATCTCTCTATCTATGGAGTTCTCTGAGTATTGCCTCTTTACCATACTGTGTCATGGTACTTAATGGTAGGGAAGTTATTTTATGCATTTGTCTGCCCTTTCCTGAACACCTTCTGACACAATGTAGGAATTCAAATCAAATCTATCTATGAGAGTCCTGATGCCTCACAAACATGTGATCCCTGCCATGTCATTTCTACTTTCACTAAAGGATTTTACCCATGACACTAGTCAAGATGTCAGGAAGTTATACATATGGAAGATAGCAACAAAGATCTTCTGAAGCCCAGAACACATTGATTGGCATTCATTTTAAAAGACATGTCTCATGTTATGTAATGCTTACATTCCTAAAAAGTTGATATGTTGCAGTGAAATGTATATAAAGGCAGATGGTATTTAAATACTGATTTTAAAAAAAACTCTGTAGCAGATTAATTTGAAATGAAATAATCACTTCTCATTAATTTTCTTTGTAGATTTGTATTATCTCCATAGCAGATCTGCAGAAAAGGGTAGAATACAGCAGAGTGAAAAGAACATGGGTTTCAAGCCAAATAGACTAAGAATAGATCTTTATCTACAATTAACTAGCTGTGTGAGCTTAAACACATTTCTTAGACTTTTGAGCTCAGTTTTCTCATCTGTAAAGTAGGGCTATTACTGATCTCACAATTTACTGTGAGGAACCATGTAAACAACTTGTACATAGTAGATAGACAGCTAGATATGGATATAGCTGGTATGTTTTAAATTTTTTCTCTCTATATATATATATGTTTCTCTCTCTACGTAGATATGGAGAGAAATACTGGGACAAAACTCTCAATGCTCTTTTGTTTACTATTTTTATTATTAATACTTTACATTTATAGACTATATTTTAATGCCTTTTCATAAAATTATGTCACTGTCTGCTTTATAGGTGATGAAATAATTTCAGAGATACTGAAGAATTAAAGTTACGCAACAAAAAGTGATAGACCCAAGATCAAACTGCAGGTGTCTTGGCTATAAAGTCCCTGCTATCTGCAACATAGGAGACATATATGTATATATGTGTGCATGTGTATACACATGCCCCTACATCTATATCTAGCCATATATATATATATATAACACCATATGTTTTTGTTTCTGAAGAGAATGACATTTCTAGAATTTTTAAAGTATATATACAGAAATAAAAGTTAAAAAAAACTATGCAACCCAGTCAAGTCAACCATCAAAAATTCTAATATTCTGGATAATAACTATTAAATTTATACTTTTAACCATTTTTAAATTATACTGAAACTAGTATCTTAACCTACTATTTTATTACTGCTTAAGGTTGACAGCCTCACCACAGTTCTAAACGAATAAACGAATGAGACGCAAATTTTTTATGTTCAGTCCTTTCATCTCTATGAAAACCCTATATGGTCTGGCTCTGTACCCTCACCCAAATCTCATCTTGAATAGTAATTCGAATTGTAATCCCCAGGTGTCGAGGGAGGGTCCTGGCGGGAGGTGATTGGATCATGTGGGCAGTTTCCCTCATGCTGTTCTTGAGATAGTGAGTAAATTCTCACTATCTGGTTGTTTGATAGTATGAGGCTCTTCCCATTTCATGCTTTCTTTACCTCTCGCCTGCTGCCCTGTAAGACATGACTTGCTTCCCTTTCACCTCCCGCCATGCTTGTAAGTTTCTTGAGGCCCTCCCAGCCAGATGGAGCTGTGAGTCAATTAAACCTCTTTCCTTTATAAATTAGCCAGTCTTGGGGAAGTTCTTTATAGCAGTGTGAAAACGGACTAATACACCAATCAACTGACAGTTAGTAACCACCAAGGGTACAGAACTGTACTGAGCATATCAGATAAGATTTTATTGAGAGCTTTTCCCCAAGTGGAATTATATAACTAGCTTCCTTCAAAATCACATTTTTTTATCCTCATATTAATGTTTTAAATTTTGGAAAAGAGTTTGCTCAAAATAGCAATGAATTCCCAGAGTCAACTGCTGATGGCCTTTCCTCTTTTATAAAATATGTAGTTACATAGATGATATGACCATTAGTTTCTGCTTAAGGTTTAATTTTGATATATTTGCAATTGAAAAATAGGCCCCAAATCTACTCAAAACCAATGCATGTCAATTGCTAAGTTTTTCCCAAGAGAAAATTAGAATAAATTTTGTATGGCAAAATCACTGATTTGCATTCCGTGACCTTAGCTAATTTCTACATTAATGTGGAAGAACTATAGGGAATCATGTCTGGAACATGTCTGTCATTAAGTTTACTAAAAGATTGCTATTTGAGGGCTTAAAGAGGCCAAAACATGAGTTGGAATGACATGTTCCTCAATGTTGGGAACTCTTTGTGTCAAACAAATCTGTCAGAGTGTTTATCACCACATAGGACATCAGTTCTTATTTTTAGATTCTCATTAAACGCAGTAAAGCAGGTGTCTGCACAAGCTGAAATTTCATCGATATGCTTGTTCTGAATATAGATTGAAATTATATTGCTCCTTATTATTGGTAATGCTTTCCTTAAAAACAGAATCTTAAAAATATTTTAACAACTTGATTTAAAAAGCTCTTTAGTTTCACTGCAACTTAGGTGGTCCAATCCTGTTCTTCCAAATGTAGTTTCACAGAAAAAAAAATCAAACTTTACCAAAATTTTGACGTAGCAGCAGCCAACATGGCACCACTGATCTCAAGTGCTTCAAACCAAATGACAGAATTTGAGATTTATAAATGATCATGTAGCCTATCATATTGCCCAACCTACTTATTTTAATGTGAGCAATTTAAAGCCAAAATCTATCGCTCTCATAGATCTCATAGCACCAAATACCGACATGCCCAGTTTTGTGAGCTATCTCAACTCACAGGGAGATAAACAGTAAAAGCTTTGAGTTTTTTTCCAATAACAAGTACCCCTGTACTCTGTTGAACACATCCCCCCACCAATAGCATTCTTCAGTCTTTACTGTTTTCCAGGCTTGGAAGCAGGATCTCTTAAGGTATCATTTGGCTCCATAACTTTGTAGTCACTTTCAGTTGTTAAAATAGTCACATTTTGGATCTTTAAAACTGAGTGCTGTTCATTTAGCTCCAATCTCACATTTGATCCAAAGCCTCTCTCTTTTCATCCTAGCACAGGCTAAACTCATGACTCTCAAAACTTGAGAGGAGAGCGAAGAGAGAAAACAGGGTTGTGTCTTCTCTCCTCTTTACCTCTCTCCATCCTGCTTTCTATCCTCCTGTAAACTTGAGGCAGAAAGGAAGGAAAGGCAGAAGAGCCTACATCTCCTCTCCTGTACCTGCCCATGCTGAGGTTTCCATCTCTTTCCTATTGGTGTCCTCTCCTTTCCTGCTTAACATGGGCAGGCCTGCAATCCCTTCAGTGTGGCTAATATCCAAATATCTTTGGAACTCTTCTTGTTTTCTATTTACACTCAATTCCTTGTTGATCTCACCCAATCTGGTGGCCTTTAATAACATCTGTATACTAAATCTCCCAATACCCAACTGCCTAATCACCACCTTACTTGCATGCCCAGTAGGCTTCTCAAACTTACTATGTCCACAAAGCCTTCTCCACCTGCCATCTTCCCCTCTCAGCTAATGGCAATTCCATCTTTCTCGTTGATCAGACCAAAATTTAAAGTCACTTTTTTTTCCTCTCTTCCTCTCTTATCCCCATGTTCAATCTTTCTACAAATTTCATCAATTCTATTCAGACTTGTATCCTCTTCCTGCCATCTCTACTGCTGCCACCCTCATGTCAAACATCACTAGCTCTAGCCCAGATTATCCCAATGGTCTTCCAATGGATCTGCTCACAGTCTTTCTCAACACAGCAACCGGAGTGATCTTATTAAAACACATGTCAGACCAATTTATGCCTTATGATAGCCCATATGCCTTACATGATGTACTTCATTCCCTATTATATCTTTTGCTGCATCATATGCTACATCCCTCCTTGCTCACTCCACATCAAGTACAATCAAGTACCCTGATTTCCTCAGCAAACACTACAGTCATATGTTTGTTTGTTTGTTTGTTTTTAATTCAGCTATAATTCACATAAAATGGGCAAATCTTAAGTGCTAAGTTTGTAGTTTTGACAGTTCTATAGGCCCATGTAACCACCATCCATTTCAAGATAGAGAACAATATTCTGTCACCTCAGGTTCTTTTCCAGTCAATTCCAATTCATCCTTATACATAACTACAATTTTAATTTCTGTTACCCTAGATTCTCTTTGCCTGTTTTTAGACTTAATACAAATGTAATCAAATAGTATATATTATTTTATGTCTAGCTTTTTCTTACTTAACATAATCTTTTTGAGATTCGTTCATGTCATAGTATGTATTCATAGTTTTTCTTTTCTTTCAATTAATGACTAGTATTCCATGGTATGAATATATTACAGTTCATTTACCCATGGGGCTAATATGAACAAAGATGCTATGAACATAGTGTACAAGTTTTCGTGTAGACATACGTTTTTATTTCTCTTGGGTAAATACCAAGGATTGAGATTATTGGGCACGGGCTAAATGCATGTTTAACTTTATAAAGAAACTGTGCCTTCTGCTCTTTGCATTTGCTGTTCCCCTTACCTGGAATGTTCTTCCTCTAGGTATCTCATGGATAACTCCTTGGCTTTCTTGTCTTTGCCAAAAGTCACCTTCTCAATGAGCTCTACCCTATGTAATCCAACTCCATCCTCCACCTCAACCCTAGCACTCTCACTATTTCCAGATTTTCTCATAGCACTTTTCACCCTTTGGCATGCTATATAATAATGAATTATTATTTATTGATTTTTTTCTCCCACCAGAATGAAGGAAAAAGCTTTTTTTAAAAAATCTCTGCTGTGCATTAATAAGTCAACATTGCCTAGAACAGTGCCTGACACTTAAGTAGAAAGTCATAAATAATTGCTAAATGGAAGGAAAGAAGGAAAAAAGGAAGAAAGGAAGGAAGGAAGGGAGGGAGGGAGGGAAGGAGGGAAGGAGGGAAGGAGGGAGGGAGGGAGGGGCCAAGAGGCAATGAATGTCTGGGGTGTCTCTCAGAATGCCAGGTCATAGCTGCTCTGTGGAACTTCTCAGGTCTCCAAAGCTCCAGAGTTAGTGTCCAATTGTTCCTAGTGAATTTCAGCACTCACTCTTGTCCCAAGTGTGCTATCTGTGGGCTTTCCAACCTGTGCCTCTTTAGCACATGCAAGGTGTTCTCTTATGTAAAAAGCCTCTGTATTTTGACATGGAGTTACTAAAATATCTCTTCCATCAGAAGTTAATCTGCTTGGCTTCTGCTTTAGTGTGTCTAGATATGCCTATCTGGTCTCCCCTTGCTCCTCCTCGAAACACACACCACCCAATTATGAAGGGAGTTTCAAGCTTCTTTCCGTGTCCCATAAGCAGCACTCAAACCCAAACCCCACCCCTCCTCCATTTCCTCAGACCCTGAAGGTGTTCATATGCTCTGTTTCCAGAATTCCTCCAGCTGAATAGATTCATGGCTTGTGGTTTTGTTTTTTTTTTTTTCAAAGCATTTACTACATAGAAGTAGCTATTATTTACTACATAATCTGGCAGAAAATTCTAGAAAGCTACATTTCTTTTGCCCTCTAATACAAGCCCTCACTAATAGAACGGCAAAACTGGGATTGCTATTTACTTATTAAGTCTTCTTCCTTTGAGAAAATCAGAAAGAAGTAATGGGCATGTGTGGGGGCAGGAGCTATTTGAGAACTCACTATTCTTTCCACTCAGTTTTGCTGTGACCTTGAAACTACTCTAAAAAAAAGATAAGTTTATTAATAAAAAAAAAAAAAAGGAGTCACGATAGCTCTGCCTTAAAGATAACAGTGAATTCATGTTAAAATCACTGCCCATACATTTTCCTACTGGTCCACTAAAGTAAATGTGAACTCATTCAGAGTTTAAGCCAATTCTCTCATCAAGTAAGTCAATGTTTATTACAGTTTAACAGTGCTGCTTGTCTCAGCAGTCTTAAAGTGATTATATCAGTGCCTGTTTTGGTCAGGGTATAGCCAGGAAAATGCAATTTACTTTAAGTATTTACAACGGAGGATACATAATACAGGAAGTTGGTTCCACAGATGATAAAGGAGCCGAGAAGCCAAATGAAACGGTGAGAGGAAACCCTTAGCAACACCAGGGAACCACTCCTCTCCCTGGGCTGCCTAGATAAAGGGAGACAGCAAAGTTACTAGAGTCCAGGTGTCAGGGTTACTCAGCAGAAGCCAGTTTCAAGGCAGGCCTGTCAGACAGGAGCTAGTGCCATGGAAAATATACAACCTAGCCAGAGATAACACCAAAAATATATAATTAAAGAGAAATTCCCTGGTACCTTCATTTCTGTCACCGCTCAGTCTGCTGCAGGTCTTCCCACTGGCCACACACAGTCTGAAGCCCACTGACACATAAGCCTGGGAAACAGCCTACAGGTATCAGCCCTTCAAGCAGGGGAACAGCAAGGAATAGATCTGAGGCAGCAATCAGCACTGTGGCAAACTAGAATAAACACACAGAGCAGAATTTGAAAAACGTTCAAAAATTTCTATCAGAGTAGATGATTCTCTGTATGGTGCTATTTCAGAACATTTCAAAATACATGTATTAGCATAAGGAAAGGTTAATGGCTTATGCTCTATTAGGTTCAGAGAGAGAAAGAAAGAGAGAGAGAGAGAGAAAGGAAGGAAGGAAAGAAGGAGGGAAGGAAGGAAGGTAGAAAGGAAGGAAGGAAGGAAGGAAAAGAGAGAAAGAGAAAGAAAGAAAGAGGGAGGAAGGGAAGAAGGGAGGAAGGGAGGGAAGAAGGCAGGAAGGGAGGAAGGAAGGTAGGAGAGAAAGGAAAGAAAGAAAGAAAGAAAGAAAGAAAGAAAGAAAGAAAGAAAGAAAGAAAGAAGAAAGAAAAAAGAAAGAAGATTAATTTACTTAATGGTAAACATTATTAAAATAAATATTCAAGCAAAGCTTGAAAAAGGGAGTCTTGTTTAATTCCATCCCACCACAATCCTATTCTCTCACCCTCCTATGGCACAGAGATTAGTGGTAGTGAAGTGGAGAAAGGAGGTTAGAAGTTTCCATGTTATTTCTGGCTATTTCAGTTGCAGCATAGAAAAAAAAAAAAAACACTAACAGTAATAGTTCAGATCTTATCTTGATACTAATCTTGATGATTTGTGTATTTTTAAAGACATGAAACCTGTAAATATAATTGGGAGGTAAAGTTTCTTTTTCTTCTATTTGACATCATAAAGTTATTTTAACAAAAAGAAAATTTAGTCTAAAAAAAGATTGTGCTCCTAAATTCAAGTGTTCGTCTACTTCTTAAGTCTATAATTTACTAGGCACAATGTTGTGACAAGACTAACAATTAGATCATTGTTGCATAAGCGCTATGATAACTTCATGGGCAGTAGAGAGTGCCCAGGGTTTTGGTTCTAAGACATGAGTCTTAGTACCACCGGGAGTACTTTTCTGGCTGTGTATCTTTGGACAAACAACTTGACGACTCTGAGCCTCCAGTCATTTTAAATAAAACAGCTACAGTCATGGTACCACTCCACGAAGCCATTGGGATGATTTAACGAAGTACAATTTGGTGACCACTATGGCACAAACGCTTGGCTTCTGTTGTTTTCCTTTTTATTTTGGGGACCCAAGAATAAGCCTTCCTTTTAGCCAATGAAGAAACACCAAACACAAACATTATGTAGTCAGAAGCAACCCTAAAATAGCTACTATATAATTAACCCAGTCTTGAGAAGTGAAAACAATTACAGGATTAGAGAAGGAAAAACACACACAATTTTCTATGCCATCTCAAATGCAGCAGCTGAAAGAAGACCCATCAAACTCACTTATGGCACCCAGCTGCGTTACTGCATCTTTACAACCCTAAGGATTCCAGATGCGTGGGGTTCACCTGGATCTAGGGAGCCCTTAAACGAGCTAACCAATGATTTCCTACAAAACAGTGGACTAAATGATCAGAAGAAGAAATGAAAATCACCTGGACAGTTTCGCCTTAAAATAATTGCCAGAAGGGGTGGGGAAAGATAAGTTTTATAAGTAGTTTCTTGCCGCAGTTTTCTTATTCAAATGCCTCCTGGCAGGCAGTTTTTCCACCCAGTTCTGGTTTTAGTTGAGTTGCTATGTTTTCCTCTCTAATTCAGACCCTGAGAATGATCTATTGCAAATCCACCTACTCTTCCTCCCAGAGAATCCTTTTATTCATAAAACTACTTTTTCTTTTTTCCATGAAACTACCTCCATGTTAGCCCTTTGGAGGAATTTAGTGAGGAACTTATCTTCCAACAAATACTTGTTGAAGGCCTACAGCGTGCCATGCAGGCACCCTTCTAAGCACTCTGGGCACACCAAGGAACGGAGGAAGTCTCTGTCCTCATGGAGCTTATATTCTAGTGAGGGAGACAGACAATGAACAAGAAACATAAACAAGAAGTAGATGGTACAGTGTGCTAGAAAGTGATAAGTATTATGGCTGAAAACAACGAACCATGGAGCAGTTCCAGGAGTGCTGAGTCGGCGGCATTGGTGAGAGAAGTAAAAACTTCTCGGCAGCATTGGTGAGAGAAGTAAAAATTTCCTCGTGTCCTCCCAGCTGTCAGCATTCCAAAGAGTTAGATTTCTGTGAAGGCACACAGCCCTTTTCCTGAAACAAGGTTTCATACTGGCAAGTAATGACTTTGTTTCTTTCCCATTCAAACAAGTAATGAAATTTTACATAGCAATTTTTACTCTTTTAATTTCCAGATCTGATTGTGTGGAACTACATATTAGGATACCCTGGTTTCTATATCCATTATATTTCATTAAGGCTAATTTAGCTTCTCTATCTCCAAGTCCTCAATCTTTCCATCTTCCCTTCACAAATAGGATAATTACCAGCTCATGTCCTTTGACGTCAGAACAGTGCAACCACTCTCTGTGTTTTAGCAATTCAGTTGTAAGACTTTCATTTGATTCCCTGGACCTCATTTGAACTTCCGTGGGTACAATCCTATCTTAATAAAACACATACTGACTCTGGGAAAAATTGTAAAGCAAGTAAAAATGGGGAGGGAGCTGCTCCACAATTCATTTCTGAGGCTCTTAGCTCATTTATTACAGAAACTTATTTCTCTTTCCTTCCTGTTGATAGTGCTTAAGTAGTCCCCTGACCTGCACTGCATATCCCCCCTACTCAAAGCTTATACCATAGGTGACATTACCTTGAGGAATTTCTGTATAACCAAAAAACCAGTGTTTCATCATAATTAATTCACACACAGTTAATTAATACAAAAGAATTTTTTTTATTTTTAGCAGGGAAGTGAGTTTCTGGCTTCATCTTAGCCAGCTTTTTCTCTCCAGGGCTTAATACATGTTAGTGCACATATACATTTGATGGATGAATGAATGAAAGAGAAATATTAATATATGAAAATGTAATCCTGACAGAGGGAAGGAAACAATATCTGTTTTGTATTTAATTGGTTGAAAATAGTATTGGGACCATATTTCTCCCAGGACCTTCTGCTTCATCCCCCTCTTCATGCATCCTTTTCTTTCACAGTGCTCTGTTTGTCTTTTTGTCTGCCTGTCTCTGCCACTGGACTCTGGGATCCTTGAGATGTTAGATACGTTTAGCGGTTTTATCTCCTGTCACTAATATTTGGGTTGGGGGAACACTTATTTCCCCACTACTTGTTTCCAGCCAGATAGGAGCAGGAATTTCTATTCTCCTCCTCAAAAGAGAAAAGCATGAGTGGAGCTTGTGATGTCTCTCTAGGTGCTGCCTCACTCCTCTCCAAGTGGCTTACTTCATTGGAAAATGTGGGAGAAGAAACCATCATACTCAGCTCATCACATCTGCCTCTCCTTTTGGACCTGGCCTGCCTGCAGGGCACCCATATTCTCTGCAACTATCATGGGGTAAATGTATGGAGGGGGCTGGAGCGTGAAGGGGTTGTACTGCTCTTCTAGGGCCTAGAAGAGGTGGGTGGGTAGATGAGTCTGCCTAATCCAGTAGTAAAGTCTTAGGTGGCCCATTGAGGATGCCATTTTTGGAATGATGGCACTGAGGCCTGGAGTGCTTATATAACTTTGCCAAAGTCACAATGAGCAAGTGACTTTGCTTAGATTTGAACCTAAGCACTTTGGTTATAAACCCAAACTCTTGAACACAATGTCCTATTTCTGTTTTGTTTTTTGTTTGTCTTGTTTTAATTATTTCCACATTCTCTAATCAACCTTACCAAATAAGCTGTTTTACATCTCTGTCAGATTCCTGCATCTACTCTTGAATGCAACAGCTAGCACAGGGCCGGCCTGGCTCATAATATGCATTCAAAAATGGGTGACTTTAATGAAGTGATATTATCAGAGTCCTTGTGATGCTTGAATGAAAAAGTGAAGAATGAGCTAGATCACGGCAAGGTCACTCCGATGCTTGAAAAAATGTAGAGTCAGCTCTCATCCCAAAACTCCAGGAGTCATTAATTTCTTTGATACTTTAGAGAATAGAATCAGGCGAGGGTGAGTTGAAAATGTCTAACATTGACTCTTTGTTTCCTGTCTCCACTATACCATTCATGTGTGTAACCTGAGCTGGGGTACATCCCAGCAATACTTGATATCTTTATCCTAGGAATTTCTTCTGAAAGTGTAAACTATGGGTCTCCACTTGAGCAAGATCATCTTCGGAAAAAATAAAAATAGAAAAAGAAGAAATAGGGCATTGTGTTCAGGAGTACGGGTTCTATAACCAAAGTGCTTAGGTTCAAATCTCAGCAAAGTCACTTGCTCATTGTGGCCTTGGCAAAGCTATATAAGCACTCCAGGCCTCAGTGCCATCATTCCAAAAAAGTAAAGACATGTCTTAGAACAGTTATGCAGATGATATAAAGCAATCTATATAAAGTATTTAATGTAATAAATAATATATAGGTGCTTGATAAGTGCTGGTGCCCTTATATAAGATTGATAATTTTATTACCTTCTTTTAGAGAGTACCAACACATGTAAGGCTGCCCAGGATGCTGAAAAATCCTGCACTACAGAAATGCATTCAACCTTGTTCAGTGCAGAACCTCTCAGATGAATTTCACCAAAAGCTCTTTTTTAAGGGGTTTTAAAATTATTCTTAACATCAAGACGAACACTTTGGGCCACACTACCACAGGTCTGTGAATTTAGCTGAGGGCAACTCACACCCCTAGTGGCCATCAAGCCCTAAAGGAAGATGCAATTCAGAAATATACCCCCATTTGGCTGGTGGGTCACTTCTGAAGTCTGAGTCCAGCTTCCCTTCACCATCTGTCTTTTAATGTCCAGTACTAAGCACAGGCCTTAGTTAATTGAACATGCAAAGTGGAACCCACAGGCAATGATCTCAGTATATATTTTGACTCATCATCCAAAGAAATCAGAGATGAAAGCAACATCTAATGGCTGAGAATACATAAATAGCCATTTCCACTCACTTTCAATTACCCTGCAGAGGAATCTGGTCACAGATGAGCTCAGTAAATTCACAATATGTTATCCTCAATAGCTAAGCTGAGCAAAATCACCCAATTTGTTAGAACATTAATCCTCTAAAAGCCTGCCAACCCTAATCATTTTATGGCTTCACATTGCTTAATGGTAAAGATAAGAGGATCCCCAGGGATGCCCAGGTGTGACCTTCAGTGAGTCAAGTGCAGACAGTCTCCTGAGAATGTAGATGGATATTGTATGGCCTAAATATCCAGCCTATAGCTAGTGTGGTCAGTGTTCTAACTCTCCTCTGCACTATGTGCCTTTCACAGTCATCCTGGAGGAATTTCCAGTCCTTTGAAACTGGGGATTACAATGTATTTATTTCTGAATCCCCAATGATTGGCATAATATCAGATACCTGGAAGTCACACATTTAACAAATATTTGTTAAATGAAAAATCAAATAAGTGATAGTAGGCAGTTACCTTCAGCAAATACACTCACCATACATATGTACATACATAAAGGATGGGGTTCTTTTTTATATTTCTCAATCTGAACTGGGAGGTGAAGTCTCTCTTTGCTTGATTCTACCTGTGAGGGGAATCGTTCTGAAGTGCTGATACCTTAAGAGCACAACTGGCAGAATTGTGGAAAGCACCATAATCTACAGGTTTAAATCTTAGGTCTGTCTCTTAGTAGCTGTGTGACTTTGGGCAAGCTAGTTATTCTTTCTGTGTCTCAATGACCAAACTGTCAGATAGGAGTGATAATCAAGGTTGTCATGAGATAGGAATAAATTATATGCAGCTATGCATCACATAACAATGCTTCTGCCAACAACAGACTGCATATGCAATTATGGTCCCACAAGATTATAATGGAGCTGCCCTATACAGATATACCATTATTTTATCTCTTGCGCTGTATTTTTACTGTATTTTTTCTATGTTTAGGTATGTCTAGATACACAAATACTTACCATTATGTTACAATTGCCTACAGCATTCAGTTTAGCAGCATGCTGTACAGGTTTGTAGCCAAGCAGCAACAATAGGCTGGACCACCATATAGCCTAGATGTGCAGTAGGCTATTACTATCTAGGTTTGTGTAAGTACACTCTATGATATTCACATAATGATAAATGTGCCTAATAATCCATTTCTCAAAGGACATTTTCATCATTAAATGATGCATAACTATATATATAAAATATATATGTGTGTGCACACACACAAATATCTGTATGCAGCATGTGTCTTTATATATGACATATACTATATATATATATATATATATATATATATATATATGAAAGAAATGTGTAGTACACAATGAACACAATATAAGCCTGGGCTATTACTGTTGAAAGGTTGGGAGTAGAACACTAAGGAGTTTATGCACCCTTGCTCCCATGAAAATTGTTCTTTCTTTCTTTCTTTCTTTTTTTTTTTTTTTTTTTTTTGAGACAGAGCTTCGCCTTTGTTGCCCACGCTGGAGTGCAATGGCATGATCTCGGCTCACTGCAACCTCTGCCTCCCAGGTTCAAGCGATTCTCCTGCCTCAGCCTCCCAAGTAGCTGGGACTACAGGCATGCACCACCACACCCGGCTAACTTTTGTGTTTTTAGTAGAGATGGGGTTTCACCATGTTGCTCAGGCTGGTCTCGAACTCGCGACCTCAGGTGACCTGCCTGCCTCGGCCTCCCAAAGTACTGGGATTACAGGCATGAGCCACTGCACCCAGCCTAAATTGTTCTTTCTTAATGCTTTGTTCCCTTTTGGTATCTCTTAAAACTCACTTCTCACAATGTAAATGCAGCATGAGGAGCTAAAATCCTGACAAGGGATAGCATATATTTGTCTGGCCTTTCCCTCTACTCAGATTTCTCTGGGACCTATAGAAGTGTTGTCTGGTCAAGAATATTAGTTACCATATGACAGACTTTTGCACTTTTGCCTTCCCTTTTCTTCATCCTGGGGATATCTCATCACATCACCCACTGCTCAAAGGGCATGATAAATTCTAGCCAGGCAAAGCCCCCATCGCTGTACCAAAGGAGCTATATTCTCCTCCTAACCTAAATAGTGAATCAGTGTAACATAAACTTATATGACTAGTAAAATGGTTGCTGCTAGCTGACCAGCGGTCCTGTCAGGGAGTCATGCATTGTCGTGGTCTTTCAAATCAACTTAAGGTATGAATTATACACAATAAAGTGCACCTATTTCTTATATTTATATGTGAATGAGATTTGACAAATGTATAACCTCTATAACTACCACAGTCATCAATACATTTCCATCATCCCAAAAAGTTCCCTTGTCCCCTTGGTAGCAAATTATCGCCACCCTAGTCCCCAAGCAACCACTTATCTGTCACTTTAGTTGAGTTTTTGTCTTTGCTAAAATTTCGTACGTTTGCTTTTGTGTATTTTCTTTCATTCAGTTTATTTTTGAGTCATTTATGTGTTACATGTTTAAGTACTTTGCTCTTTTTTATTGCTAAGTAGTAATCCAGTGTGTGAATATACTATAATTTGTTTATTTATCAACCTAGTCATAGACATTTGAGTTGTTTGCTTTTTTTTTTTTTTTTTTGGCTGTTATGAATAAAGCTGCTATGAACATTCATGTAAAATTTTTTATGTGGACATATGCTCTCTTTCTCCTGTGTAGATTCCTAAACAGCATTGCTGGTCCTATGATAATTGTATTTTAACTTTATAAGAATATGCCAGACTGTTTTCCAAAGTGTTCTATCATTTTATATTCTCATAACTAATTTATGAGTTACAGTAGCTCCACATTTTGTAAATACTTCGTATTGTCAATCTCTTTAATTTTAGTAATTCTAGTGAATCCGTGATTGTATCTCATTGTGGTTTTTTTTTTTTTTTTTTTTTTGAGACGGAGTCTTGCTCTGTCGCCCAGGCTGGAGTGCAGTGGCGCGATCTTGGCTCACTGCAAGCTCCGCCTCCTGAATTCACGCCGTTCTCCCACCTCAGCCTCCCGAGTAGCTGGGACTACAGGCGCCCGCTACCATGCCCAGCTAATTTTTTTGTATTTTTAGTAGAGACGGGGTTTCACCGTGTTAGCCAGTATGTTCTCGATCTCCTGACCTCGTGATCCGCCCGCCTCGGCCTCCCAAAGTGCTGGGATTACAGGCGTGAGCCACCGCGCCAGGCCCTCATTGTGTTTTAATTTGCACTCCCTGATGATTAGTGATGTTCAGCATCTTTTCATGTGCTTATTGGCCATTTGCATATCTTCTTTCATGGTGAATCTGTTGAAATCTTTTGCCCATTTTCTACTTGGGATTTTTTTATCTTCTCATTGAATCCTAAGGTTCTTTTATGTTTATATACAAATCCTTTGTCAGATATACTTTGAAAATATTTTCTCCCAGTTTGTATTTGCCTTTCCATTCTCTTAATGGTCTTATGAGCAGAATATTTTAATTATGATAACGTTCTATTTTTCCATTTTTTCTTCATATTCCATGCTTTCTCTGTGCCTAAAACATCCATGCCAACGCAAAGTCACAAATATTTTCTGATATTTTTCTTCAAAAAATGTCATAAGTTTAGCATTATGTTTAGGCCTATAAGCCATGTCAAATTACTATGTAAAAAGAGTATGAAGTAAGGTGTGTGTGGTGTTCATTTTTTTTAATGGATAACCCAGTTGTTCTAGCATCATTTGTGGAAAATACTGCGTGAAAGGCAATTCTACACAAAAGCACACACACACCATCTTCTGTTCATTGATTTATTTGTCTATCCTTACATGAATATTACATTGTGTTTATTATTTTAGCTTTTATAAATTTTAAAAGAAGGTAGTATAAATCCTCCAATATTGTTCTTGTTTTTCAAAATTGTTTTCGTCATTCTACGTTCTTTGCATTTCCATATAAATTTTTGAATCAATTGACAATTCTAAAAAAAAAAAATCATGCTGCAACTGAGGTAAAACTCTACATCAAGTTAGCGGGAATTGACATCTTAGCAATATGGAGTGATCCAATCAGTGAACATGGTATATCTTACCATTTATTTGGCATTCTTTCATTTCTCTAAGCAAGGTTTTGTAGTTTTAAGGTTTTACAGTGTACATTCTTAATACCTTTTGTTAAATTTATCTCTAATTATTTTATCTTTTATGCTAGGCTAAATGCAATCACTTTTATTGCATTTTCAGTGATTCATTGCTAGTACATACAAATACATTTTTTTTGTCTATTGCTTTGTATCCTGTGACCTTGATAAATCCCTTTGTTAATTCTAGTAGCTGTCTTTTAAATTCCTTAGTTTTGTGGATACATGATCATGTCATATGTGAATACAGACAGCTTCACTTCTTCCTTTCTAATTTGTATACCTTTTATTCTTTGCGTTGGTTTTTGCATGAATTAGAACCGTGGTCTAGGACCCTTGTAATGTTAAATAGAAGTGGTAAAAACAGACATACTTGTTATACTCTCAGCCTTAAAATTGAATCTTTTATCATTAAGCAGGATGTTAGCTGTGTTTTTTTGTTTGTTTGTTTTTTGTAGATGCCCTTTATCAGGTTGAAAAGATTCCTTCTATCCCTAATGTGCTGAGATATTTTACCATGAATATGTGTTGTATTTTGTCTAATGCCTTTTCTGCATCTAATGATGTTCATATAGTTTTTCTTCTTTATTTTATTGATATGGTGAATGGTAATGATATTAATTAGATATTTAAGGTAAATCAACTTTGCAATCCTGGGATAAATCTTCTCCATTCTATGTCATTTCTTTAATGTACTGCTGGATTTCATTTGCTTATAATTCAGAGTAATTTTGTGTCAATGTTCAGGAGGGACATGGGTCTATAGTTCTTTTGTAATGTGTGCAAAGTCATTTGTGGAAAAGACTGGGTTCAAAGGAAACTCAACACCACACTCACACACAGAGGTCTGGTTTTGTTATCAGATAAGTCTGATGCTATGGTTTAACTTTTTGTTCCTTTCAAAATTCGTGTTGAAATTTAATACCCAATGCAACATTAGTGGAAGGCATGGCCTTTGGGAGGTGATTGATTAGGTGCCCTTATAAAAGAGCTTGACAAACCTAGCCTTGTTCACCAAAAACTCATTCCTTTTTGCCCTTCTACCTTCTGCCATGTGAGAACACAGCATTCTTCCTATTCAGAGGATGAAATGTTCAAGTCATCATCTTTGAAGGAGAAACCAGACCCTCACCAGATGATGAACCTTCCAGCACCTTGATCTTGGATTTCCCAAACTCCAGAATTGTAAGAAATAAATTTCTGTTCTTTATAAATTACACACTCAAGTATTCTGTTACAGAAGCATAAAACAGACTAAGACAGTTGGCTTCATAAAGCAAGTTAAGTGTTTCTTCTGCTGCTGTTTTCCAAATAAGTTTGTATAAGACTCATATTATTCATCAAATATTTTATGAAATTCACCAGTGAAGCAACCTAAAAAATTGGTAGTTTTGTGGGAAATCTTTTAATTTTTTAATACAATTTTTAAAATAAATATATATAGGACTATTCAAATATTCTATTTTTACCTGTGTTAATTCTGGTAATTTATACTGTTCAAGAAATGTTTATTTCACCGAAATTATCTTTTTTTGGCATAAAGTTGTTTATAATATTTCTATTTTCCTTTTTATGCTTCAGGGTCTCTAGTGATGGGTTCTCTTTTATTCCTGATACTGGTCATTTCATTTGTATCTTTTTTTTCCTAATTACTCTGGCTGGAGGATTATCCATTGTATTAATCTTTTCAAATAATCATCTTGTGGTTTTATTAATTTTCTCTGTTTTCCACTTTCTATTTAATTATTTTCGGTTCTTTTCTGTATTATTGTTTTCCATCTGTTTACTTCGAGTTTTATTTGCTCTATAGTGTACAATATGCATTGTCTTAAAACAGAAGCTTAAATCATAATGTATTTATTCTGATAATATTTTTTGTTCTGAGTCTACTTAAATGTTAATGCAATCACTCTTTTAATTAGGCATTTTCAGGGTTTTTTTTTTCATTCTTTACTTTTAACCTAAGTTTCTTGCAGTATCAGAAAATTGAATATTGCTTTTTAAAAAATCCAATCTGACAATCTTTGACTTTTATTTAGGGACTTTAGGCCATTTACATTTTATGAATTATTAATATAGTTGGATTTAAATCTGTGACCATGCTGTTTATGTTTGTCTGGATAACTATTTTCCCTCTCCATTTTTGAGGGATAATTTTGCTTAATATAAAATTCTCGGTTAACCTATCTTTTTTAGTCTTCTTTCAGTACTTTAAATCTGTTGTTTTATTATGTATTGGCTTGTCCCATTTCTGACAAAAAAGTCTGATATCATTCTTATCTTTGTTCCCTTTTACATAATATAGAGTTCTCTTTTCCTCTGGCCATTTCTAGGATCTTTATCATTGGTTTTCAGACATTTGATTAATATATGCCTTGGTGGATTTTTTGTCTGATGTTTGTATGATTGTATATTAATTTTATGATTTTTATCCAATTCAGAAATTCTTTTTCTTTATATTGATTTTATGATTTTTATCCAATTCGGAAATTCTCTTTATTTAATCTAATACTTCTAAAATCCCCCTTTTTTCTTCATGGATTTTAATTACATAAATGTAGAGCACTTGAAATTATTCCAAAGACTTCTGAGGCTCTGTTTATTTATTTTGCTACTTTTTTTTCCTTTTTCTGCTTCCATGTGGATAGTTTCTATTGCTACATTTTCAATTTCACTGACCTTTTATTCTACAGTATTTAATCTATTATGTCCCTCCTGCAATATTTTCACTTTCTATATTGATTTTTCATCTCTGGGAGTTCCATGTGCTTCAATTTTTAAATATTTATTTCTTTCCTCACTAACTTCATTTTAAAAAAAATTCTTGAGCATATTTGTTGCAGCAATTTTAACAAATATTTAAATCCAGTGTATGTTAATTCCACTTCTGTCATTTCTAAATTTGATTCTACTGACTTGTCTTTTTCCTGGTTATGAGCCATACACTTCTTCATGTGTCCAGAAATTTTTACTGGATGCTGGGAATTGTGATTGTTACACTGCTGAGTGTCCAAATTTTGTTGTCTTCCATTAGAGTGTATTTAAGTTTCTTTTGGAAGGCAATTAAATTACTTGTGGATCAACCTAGTCTTTTTGAAGCCTGTTTTTAAACTGTTAAAAATGTCTAGAGTAGCTTTTCCCTTAGGGTTAGTCTAGCCTACTACTAAGGTATAAGTCTTCCAGGGTCTGTATTTAATGTTTAATGAGGCCTCATCACTTTGGCCGGTTGGAACTCAAGGAACTTTCAGTCAAGTATGTTCTCTGGAAATTGCTTATTTTGCAGCACCCTAGTGGTTCCTTGCTTGGCATAAAGTTTTCATCCTTAGCATGCATAGCTTAGTTTTCAGCAACAGACTCAAGTGGACCTATATGCAAATTTCTGGTGCCCTTTCTCTGCATGGCTCCCTACTCTCCAGTTTCCTACTCTACAAACTACAGCTACCTCAGCCTCTTCAACCTGTAGTTTCTATGTCTTCAACACAACAAGACCACTGAGTTCTGTTTGGGTTCTCCTGCTATGTGCTGTCCCTAAAGTACAGAAAGCTGAGATCATTTTAGGGCCCACATTACTGATTTACCTTCTCTCAAGGATCACAGCCCTGTACTACCTTTCATCCAAAGTCTGAAGACAGTTGTTTAATACATTTTTGTACAATTTTCTAGTGTTTCTGGTAGGAGGCCAAGTCCAATTTCAGTTACTTTATGGAAGTCAAACACTGGTTTGATTGCTATTATACTCTAGGCAAAATGGTTTCTGATTTAAGTAAAAGTCACATTAATCTACAAAAGACAACCTTCTCCTTCAAAGACCATAATAATCTCTTTTTATCATTAAACAGACTTTGAGGAAGAGCAAAGAACAAATGGTCAAAGACGGTTGTTTTGGCAAGGTTTTCATAATAAAGTTTCTCCACCCTTTTCATTTAGCAGCAATCTCCTGCCTAACCACTTTTCCTCACCTCCATCCTTGGTTCTGGACTCCCATGTAGCACACTTTGCTCCTACTTTTTTCAAAATATCTCTCTACAGAATTTCTTGCCTAATTATCCATCTGTTCAGCCTCCAACTCCCCATTCAGGGACTATGTAGATGGGCTCCAGCAGTGGTGGGGAGACTAGCTCAGGGTTTATTGCTTTTTATCAAGGTAACACCTGTTCTTTTCAGCAAATGCCTTCCGGAGACAATAGTTCTGCCTTTCATGTTTAACCCAAAAGAAAACAGCTAATCAATAATCACTCCTCTTGGCCAGTCATTGAGACTAAACATTTTAATCAGATGAGGCTTTAAAATAAGTCTCCAGGAAGACAGTTAATAGAACTGGAGAACCTTTAATATATATCTCTCTCCTTCTAGTATCTGGAAGAGCAACAGAAGGAAGCATTCAAAACAATTCCTACCTAATTGACCTCTGAGGTTGATGCAGTTGTACGTGGCAAGGATGTACAGGTTGTTTTGTTTTGTTTTGTTTTACGATTTTAAGTATTTCATTGAATGGAATGTTTGGATTCATTTATTTATTAATGCAAGAAATGTTTATTTCACTCTTACTTTGTTTCACCTGCCTTGTGCTAGCCATTCCCTAATGATGAATTGATATGGTTTCTGTCACCAAGGAGCTCACAACCTCTTGAAGGAGCAAAACATAACAGGATCATTATAACATAGTGTGAGCTCATTTGATAGAGACATGCTTAGAGAGCTATATGAGCACAGAAGAGAGATTAATTCTCCATGCTTCCCATGACCGGGCACCATTTCAGTAATAGCTTATGGACAATATACCTGAGTTTCTCAGTATTGAGATGATAGTTTTAAACTAGTAATGTTGTAAGAGATATGAGGAACAGTGAATGAAACTTTACAAAATGAAATGGGTGTCTGTAGGGCCTGTGAGGAACTGCTGATTTAAGGCTAAGGGAGGATGTCTTCATGCTCAATGCTCAGATCATTATCAGAGACAAAGAAATAAGGCAAGAGAGCAGATTTGATGTAGTTAATTGGATGAGGGAGCAAGCCAGAACTCTGTTGGAAGGCTGAGTTATGATAGCCAACAAAGGAGAAATAGAATTGACTAAGAAGCATGTTCTTTATACAGCAGTAATGCCTAACCTGAGATCCATGAGTAGGCTTCAGATGTATTGGAGGAAAGGAACCTCCCCATCCCTGAAATTGTCTTCACATTTTTGGATGTGCGCACATTTGCATTTTTCTGGGAAAATGTTCCATAGCTTTGATCAGGTCATCAAAGTGTCACACAGCCCCTAAATATTAAGAACTACTGCTGCATAGTAACTTATCGTGTAATGGCAATGAGTTATAAAACCAAAAGCCTCAAATTTGAGACCTGCATCCTCCATGTTCTAGTTGTGTGACCTTGAACATGTCCTTTTATTCCTCTATGCTTACACTTATCATCTGCCTACCTTGTGGAATTATTGTGAAGGTCAAAGGGTTTCATGAAATAAAAAGTGCTACACAGTTGTTATCTACCAAGACAACAATTGACTTAAATAAATGCAAATACAATTTATTGGAAGTTCCTTATTACTCTTTTAAATATGGTAAATCCATTCTAGAGGTTAATACCTATCCGTGTGTGTGTGTGTGTGTGTGTGTGTGTGTGTGTGTAAACTTCCAAAAAATTTCAGTGTGAAAGTTTTCAAGCTTACACAAAAGGAGATAAAATTGTATAAAGAACTCCCATGTACTTCTCATTGGTTTCATAATATCAACATATATCCAATCTGGTTCACCTATAATCCGATCTCCTCCTCTTTCCCTCACTGGGCTATGTTGAAGCAAATCCAAGACATCATATTATTTTATCTACACATTGTTTAGGATATTTCTTAATAAATAAGGATATTCCTTAATAATTCCTTAATAAATAAAAATTCCTTAATAAATAATTTCTTTTGTTTCAAAATGAAATTAAGGAATTTATTAAGGAATATCCTATTTATTATTTATTAAGGATATTTATATTCCTCAAGGAATATTAAGGAATAACTATTAAGGAATATTTCATTTTGAAACAAAATGAAATTAACATTTTTGACATAACAACAATACCATCATTACACAGAAATATTAAGTAAATCCTCAACATCATCAGTGTTCAAATTTCCCTGGTTATTTTCTTGAGGCAGGATCCAAATAAGATTCACACTGAGCTTTTAGTTGCTAGGGCTCCAGATGTTAACTCAATCCCAACTTTTCCAGATTCTCCCATCTAGGGCCCTAAATACTCTTCCTTTGCAGCTCCTAAGCCAGCATGTAACATGCTGGAGATTATAGCAGCAGCCTCAGCCATCAGCAGTTGGATCCAGGAATGATTTTTGTTGTCAAAACCCTTATCAACAGAGATCGGCCTGATTTTCCTTTCAGCTTCTGCTTTGATTTCTCTGAAGAGCTCCTGACTATTTGACTATTGTTTTCATGACTATATATGGTGATTTTAAAACCTTCCTACAAATTCTTTGACGTTCCTCCCATTAAGAAATGGTGGCTGTACCCTACTTGAATCTAGATTAGTTTTGACTGCTTTACCCAATAAAGTACACTAGAAATGAGACAATGATTTACAAGGCTGGGCCATGAGTGATCAGGGAGCATCTATCTTTTTTGCTGGAACAGTCCACCAGAAGCCCAGACCACATGAAGAGGCCATACACAGGCATTCCAATTGAGAGTCCCAATTAAGCTTAGTCTTCATGGCATATCACCAGTCACCACAACTGTGGTTAAAAAAGTTTCCAGATGATTCCAGTCCCTGGCATATGAGTTATTCCAGATGTTTGAGTCTTCCCAATAGAGACCCTAGTTGTTATAAAGCAGAGAAAAACCATCCTTAAGTTTTATTAGAGAGGACACTCTCTGAAATCCTGATCAATAATAACCTTCAGCATAATAAAATGATTTATATTTTTATGCCACTAAATTTTGTGGTGGTTTGCTATACAACATTAGTAATGACACTAAGCCAGGCATGGTGGCTCACACCTGTAATCCCAGCGCTTTGGGAGGCTGACGCAGGCAGATTACTTGAGACCAAGAGTTCAAGACCAGCCTGGCCAACATAGTGAAACCCCGTCTCCACTAAAAATATAAAAATTAGCCAGGCATGGTGTCATATGCCTGTAATGCAAGCTGCTTAGAAGGCTGAGGCACAAGAATTGCTCGAACCCAGGAGGCAGAGGTTGCAGTGAGCTGAGATCACGCCACTGAACTCGAGCCTGGGCAACACAGCAAGACTGTTGAAATACATACATACATACATACATACATACATACATACATACATACCCTAGTTCTTGCCATGCCAGTTTCCTTGGAGGGCTAAATCCCCCAAACCCCTGCTTCAGTTCACCATGCTAAGTGTCCGTGATTTCAGCATCCAGCTAAAGAAATGGACTGAAAGACCTTACCATTCATCGTGAATAATTTAAAATAATACTCATTTCTAACAAAGTAACTCACTCTGGGCCTAGGCTGTGTCTGTCATCACTAAGTCCAGAGGGTCTTGATTCCATTTCCTTGGTGAATAAACCTCCAGATGCTTAGCTTTGTGGAGGAAAGCAGAGGAGTTCAAACAGTCTGTGTTTCAATCAGTCTTCCTTCATGCAGTCCATCCTCACCCCTGCCTCCAGTTCCTGGGTTGGGCAAAGCCAAATGATTACCTTGTTGTTGGCACCCTCCTCTGCGAACACGTATATCTCAGCTTTATTCGCTCTGCTAAGTTGGAACCACCCACCCATTAACTTTTTCTCTTCTAAAATATTCATGGGCATCTCATATCTGCTGCAACCTCTTACTCCCTTTTCTCTGTCCTTGTATATTTGTACCTGGTTTTATTTACTCTCAAGGCTTCTGGCATTCTGGAAGCAGGACAGGGCAAGTGGCTGGAGGCTGATCCTGTTTTCCGTATGTGAAATTTCACTCAGTCCCTGCTTTCTGGCCTGCCTCTCCTTCTAGCCATACACAATGCCTGCTATTGCTGAGTTCAAGCTTTGTTTTGCTTATTGCCTATGTTCAAACAATCTTCTTGTTTTCAGCCCTATCCCTCATTCCCACCCTCCACAGTACCTGACACCTCCAAGTCCTGAGCCTTACAAAGTTTCCATGGGGATGGACTAGCTTGTTGCTGGTCAGTTTCCTCTTTTGCAGACTCCTCATGTCATGATCTCTTCTACCCTGCTAAGTCATTTATCACTCTCCTGCATCCACTGGTATTCTCATTTTCTTCCTGGGTCTACACCTTTTAATTTTCTTTAGTTTTAGTGAAGTCTTGAAATGGTTATAAACTTATGTGGTCAGTACACCATGTTTAAGAAAAATTGCCAATATTTATTTATACAGTCACCAATGAGCAAAGAAGGTTTTGCTTGGATAAAAATCAGGGTTGACAGAAATCATACATAGCATTTGCTGTATTATATCACCCTCAGTCTGTAGTTTACTTCTTTATTTTTATAGGGTTGCAGAGTATTAAGAAATTTCTAATTCATACAGAAAATTTGTTGCAAACAATAATGTTTTTAACAGATTGCCTGGCAGTCTTGTAATACTCTACAATATAATTGATCCAAATCTTGAAAGAAGGATGTAAGAAATACCTTTTATTCAAATTTGGCTTACTAACAATTATCTAACATTGTTCACATTTTGTCATTGGTAAGTATTCAGTTTGGAGTGAGTCGATGGGACAATTTTTAAAGCAGTACATAATTGGAATCATTATGAGATCCCTAACAATGTATATTTAAATCTCAGAATGACTTCTATTCAAGACAGTAAATGGAGCACACACTCCCTTCCCATCTTTCTGAAGACCCACTGAAATGATAATCAGCAAAAAATGGGAGAAATTCCTATAGGAGCTGAGAATGGATGGGGGACATCAGCATATGAAAGTCATTAGTAAATTTCTATAAGATAGAGACTAGATGATGGGATACTAGTGGATGAGGAAGAATGGAGGCAGTGCCAGCTCTAAGCATGAACTGAAGAGACTGAGACAGAGGGATGATTAAACTTAATAGTGATGCCCAACAAAGTCATGAGTTGATAATGAATCATAACTGAGTTTTATTGAGCACTTATGAAATGCTAAACAATGCTCTGAACACCTTACTAGATTTTGTCCCATTTAATGCTCAAAGCAATCTTATAAAACTATCTTGAATTCATGGCTGAACAAACTGAGGCACAGATAAGTTGGGTAGTATATCTAAGGTTTCACAGCTAGTAAGGCAAGAAGCTACGTGTGGAATTCAAGCAATTTAAATCTAGAATCTCATAATTGCTTTGCCATACTGAGGCTGTTTTCAAATGGTTCTATTTATTTTGTTTTGCATGTAGATTTTAAACTTTAAGGTTCACTTTTATCCTTGACATTTATCTGCATTTATAAACTGGAAAATACTAAAGGATTGAATTGTAAAATTGAGCTTGTTCAGCTTATTAAAAGTCAGACGGCATCACAAATTCACAAATGCTAAAACTATCTGTAATATAATTGGATCACAACATGTTACCCATTCACATATTTCTTAACATTGGCTATTTCTCCACAAACATGCCATGCACCCAGTGGAAGCATCTGAATGTTACCTAACATTTAATTGAACCCAGCATTTGTGAGTTGTTATAATGTACTTGCTAATACAACTTTATGAGATAACACATGCACCAATCTGAATTCAAAAAAAAAAAAAAAACACTGGGGTAGAGCTACAAACCTCCTATATAACACATTTGCTTTTTTTAAAAGTACAAATACAAAATCTGTAAGAAAAAAAAAATTCCAAAATTTACTCAAAAGCAAATTAAACAAGGTATCACAAGTTAGCCCATAACCTGTGGTCCTTACAGTAGACATCTCAGGGATTCCCCAGTGCTCGTTCCCACGCATCTCTTCTCCCATGAACATAGATAGGATCCTGGAATTCATGTTTTACTGCATATCAGTGCCCGTGGCCAAGTTAATTGATTGTGCAGGTGATACTTGGCTCGTTAGCCAATTTGATTTCCTCTCTTGAGCATTTGGTATAGGGACTCAAAATTGAGTCAGTCTCTGCAGATATATGGACTCTGCAGATATATGGACTCAAGGTGTGTGGTATGGTGACATTTTTGGCCACAAGGCCTGAGGAGCATAGAAAGCAAGTCTTCAGATGAAAGAATGAAGAAATACACAAAAGTGAGCAATAGATTCCTATTGTCCTTTGATACCTGGTTTCAATCGCTTCCTGAGATCTGGCTGCATTTTAGCCCTTGGTCTGTGATAAAGTCCGGAGTCCTTCAGATAAAAATCTCCATTTTTGTTTTAGCTCTTTATGGTTGATTTCTATTACTTGAAATCATAATCCTAATGTATAGAACCTACTATATATTAATGCTTGTTACATATAACATTTGTTATACATCTGTTATATGTTTGTTATATATGTGTTGTGAGTCTGTTTCTTACTTCTTTTTAATTTTTTTAAATTTAATTTTTTTTTTTTGAGATGGAGTCTTGCTCTTTCACCGAGGCTCGCGTGCAGTGACATGATCTCAGCTCACTGCAACTTCCGCCTCCCAGGTTCAAGCGATTCTCCTGCCTCAGCCTCCCGAGTAGCTGGGATTACAGGTGAGCGCCACCACGCCTGGCTAATTTTTGTATTTTTAGTAGAGACAGGGTTTTCACCATATTGGCCAGGCTAGTCTCAAACTCCTGACCTCAAGTGATTTGCCTGCCTTGGCCTCCCAAAGTGCTGTGATTACAGGTGTGATTACGGTGCCCAGCGTGTTTCTTACTTCTCATTCAAAAATGTTTAAATGAATTTTTATTATACTTGCAGACCCTTACAGCTCCTGTGGAGCACAGTATGAAAACCTCTAGTCTGAAGCTTCTGAAGAATCTATAACAGGAATGAAGAGTTTGACCAGCTTGAATTTCAAACATCTCCCCATTGGCAAGACATGAAAACCAAGCTTTCACTTGATCAGACGAGCAAGACATCTAGTCTTTCTGGAGATGTTCTCTTATATCTTGTTGCTTTGGGCTGAGTGGAATACATACAGGAGCCTTGAGACCCAAAGACTCTCCCTGCTGCTCTGGAGGTTGTAACCTCTGAACTTACTGTTGCCACTGCTCAGGCCTCTCCCATGAGAGAGTGGTTATTTGTTTTCCTTGGTTTCTCCTTACCCATTGTCTTTGTTACTGGTACAGATCTACTCCTTGGTCTTCTCCAGGCCTACCCACTCTTCAGAGCCCATTCCTACTTACTCAGAGCTCTAGAGAGGAGACAAAGCCCTTCCCTCTCCTCGACCTTGGTCCACCACATATGTGCAGGTGGTTAACAGTGGGAATCTTCCTTTCCTTCTAGTAAATCCTTTCCCCTCTACAGGGTATCATAGGGTCCCAAGGCCTCAAAAAAATAATCACAAAACAATTTGAGCATAGTAGATTTCTCCAGATCTGGATTTTTCAATCATATTCATGATCATCTTGTCACCTTTATCAGGTTGGGTCTACTGGCTGGTTGGTTGGGGCATTAAAAATACAAAAAACCACTTTCATTGGTCTCTCATAGCCAGGAAATTCAAGCTGCTTATTAGCATAGCAAAAATTCTTTTAAAGCACTTGTAAGGAAGCAAAAATAACAAAACAAAACAAGAAGTACTAGGAAGAAAGAACAAGAAAAGGAAGAAAAATGAAAGAGCAAAAAGGAACATTCAGAGAGTAGCAAATGCTGGAGACCCAAAAGCAGAGTGGGTGGTAGAGATCCGAGGTGGAGCTGGCTTTGACACAGATTCTGGGGTGGAAACAGCAGGAGGATAGAAGTGACCGGGCAAAGAAGAGAATCTGCTATGTGAAGAGCACCAACAGGATTCTATGACATGAAGGAAGCCCGTTAGATATCTCTGTTCCTTACAGAGAACCTGTGATCTAGAGGGACGGTCACTGAAAGGTCGTGCAACTTGTTAACTTCTGCAGCTCCAACGAGCACACGGCAGAATTCAAACCGGGGCCATGATTAAGGTACCCTAGGGGCTCCGGTCAGTTCAGCTGCCAAGGAAGTATTTGCTGCATGGTCTGTAATAATAACAATATTTGAGGGCAATTTGTCATAATGTTACTGGATCCTCACAGTTCTGAGGGTTGATATTTACAGCAGAGTTAGTATGACCCATTAAAAGAGGAAACAAAATGAAAAGGTATTTTCAAGGTCTTCTGACTCCACATCTCATATTTATTTTTCTCCAACACAACAGACTTTGATTCAGTGATTAATTTAGTGGAAGCTCAGCTCTGAAATCATGCAACTGCATAGGTATCCTTTCTCTTTATTTGAAAGAGGCAAATAATTTAAAAGTAAGTGGATATCAAGGAACTTTTGATATCTGGAGCAAGTTCCAGTGTCCTTTCCTATTTAGTCCTACATTTGTTTGTTTGTTTGTTTTCCCCCAGCATTCAGAGCTGTTTATTTCCATCTTCATACTACACCAAAGAATTTCAAACAGTGTTAGGTAGACTAGCTGGAAGTTGGAGCTTAGAACATCCTACATCCCTGAAAAGTTCAGTGATGCAGTCCCAGGTACACAGCTGCCCATCTGCCACCCAAGAATTGTTGTGAAGAAACCAGAGTCTCTGCAGATGATGGGACAGAAGCCTGTGGTGCAGCAGTGGTCACCTAGCAGGTCCTTGGCTGGGACACCTTCTATTATAAAGTATATCAGTTTAAGCTTGACAGAATGAAACATGATATATTTTACAAGTAATGAATATAGGCCAATAGAAAACTCATAGATACAAATATAACTAATTCTACAACTTCCATAATGGCCCGTCCTAATTCTTTAATTTGTCATCTATTATAATTCATAGACTTTGTCACATAATTTTAGAGTGGGTCTTAAGATAAAATCATGTTTGTTAAATATGTGAGGTTGATGATAAGCTCACCAAGGAGTTCTTTACTCAGTATGGGAATTCAGAGAGCACAAAGTTACAGAGGGAGAAGCAGGATTATGAGGGACAGAAGTCATAGGGGTGATTCCCATTTTTATTGACTGACACACATATTCTTACTTTAGGAAAAACTGCATCTAATTTTAGACTGCAGTTCATGGCAGATGCTGCGAACCAGCAGCAAGTTCATGTCCAGAATTGCTCACTGCAGAGGATTTTGTCTGCTGGCTGGTACCATAGTTTCTCTTTCATAGGCTATTCCAAAACTTCTATAATGCTGGTAGATTTCAGTGAAGTGTCACCCCAGCCCACCCACCCCTTGCACTTAGCCAGCAGTGGCACCCACCTTGAGCATGGTGAGGTATGTTATGCCAGCAGGGTCCACATTGCTGCTGTTCACCTCCAAGTGCTAAGCTGCTGTACACCTTGCAGTGGGACTCCACTTCACTGCCCAGCACCACTGTCTGATTGGGCAGCAGCCATGCATGCGGAATTAGTCAGTGAGGAGAGCACTCTGTGGGGGCAGATGGGGACTGGAAGGCTGCCCGTCTGCCTGCCCCTCTCTGTAGCCCTCATCCAGCATGTCCAGTGTGTATATCTGCAGGATGCTGCCAAACTTATTCTCCACCATACTCTCCATGACCAGGCTCCATTGCTGGTGCTGCAACTGGATACACTGATATGAGGCTCTCCATGGAACTCCTTGTGGGTCCTCAGCCAGGAAATGGAGAGAGTAGAATTGCTGGTGGTGGGACATCAGAAGCAAACAGGTTGGGTGGCCAGCATGGCCAGCAGCTTCTTGTCCATCCACTGAGCCCAAGTCCAATAGAGGGCCTCTGGCACGTGAAGGCCATATAGAGGTGAGGAACAGAAGCCTATCTGATCTGACTCTCCTTCCAAGGCTCCCCCTGTCCACTTCCCACCTCAGTTTATCCTCCTGTGTAGGGAGAGTGTTGCCTTTCAAGTACATCTGCCTGGGGTGGAAAAGGCTCCAAGGAACCTCAACACCATGTTCCCGACACCCTTGGCATTCTCAAACATGGGCCATGTGTTCCCTTCCCTCTGAGCTTCCTCCAAGTGGCTTCTCCTGCTAAGAGGTCCAGGGTGCCCCACTGTGGGGGGCCTTCAGGACATACCAGCATCTCCCAGGGGAGCCCCCATACATTTGCTTTTATAGAAAGTAATAATGGCCCATTTACTGAACACTTGCCATGTGCTAAGCCATGAGATCAGCATTTTGCATGCCTTATTTAAACTTGACATCCGTCATGTGATATACCTCCATTTTAGCAATGAGGAAACTGAAGCTCAGAGGGCTTGAGTAACTTACCCAGTGTTATACAGCCAGACAGTGGCCAAGTCTGAGTTTGAACCAGGATCTAACTTGAAGTATCAGTTCTTAGCTATCACACTTTGTGGCCTCTGTATGCAACACTATCCTAAGTCTCATGTTAGGTATTTGTCCTTGAGTTAAGGAAAAGTTAAATTCTTTTCTGCAACCACCACTTAAAAATGCCAGAAAGTGTTTTCTGAGTTTGGTTTTTTGTTTGTTTGTTTGTTTTGGCGGTTGTGGGGCGAGTTTTTCTTTTTTTCGTCAAAAACTGGTTTAATTTTTTTTTTTGACAGGTCTTGCTCTGCCACCCAGGTTGGAGTGCAATTGTGCCATCTTGGCTCATTGGAGCCTCAACCACTTGGGCTCAAGCAATCCTCCCACCTCACCCTCCCAAGTTGCTGGGACCACAGGCGTGCACCACCACAGCTGGCTAATTTTTTTTTTTTTTTGTATTTTTTGTAGAGACGCAGTTTCACCATATTGCACAGGCTGGTCTCAAACTCCTGGGCTCAAGCGATCCTCTTGCCTCAGCCTCCCAAAGTGCTGGGATTATAGGTGTGAGCCACCACACCCGGCAGGTCTATGTTTTTTTACTTTTAACTAAACTTTAGTGATCAGAAGAAATGATCTTCCTGAAATTACTCTTTTCTCTGCAATTCAGGATGCATCAGTTGTTATTATACTTTTATTTTGTATATCCATGCTAAAGTTTATTATTATTGTATACTTATTTTTATTTACATAAGGTGAAGGTTTTTTTCTAAAACTAAAAAGCTCTTGAGCAGTACTTTTGAAAAATGCACACCCATCTAACTTTTACATGTGTATATGATTATATTCTTGCTAAATTCTTTTTTTTTTTTTTTTTTTTTTTTGAGAGACAGAGTCTTGCTCTGTTGCCCAGGCTGGAGTGCAGTGGCTCCATCTCTGCTCACTGCAACCTCTGCCTCCCGGGTTCAAGCTATTCTCCTGCCTCAGCTTCCCAAGTAGCTGGGGTTACAGGTGCCCGACACCACGCCCAGCTAATTTTTGTATTTTTTTAGTAGAGACAGGGTTTCACTATATTTTAGCCAGGCTGTCTCGAGCCCTTGACCTCAGGTGATCCACCCACCTCGGCCTCCCAAAGTGCTGGGATTACAGACGTGAGCCTCCGCACCCGGCCTCTTGCTAGATTCTTACAGCACCATCTTCAGTCTTTGTTTTTGTCTTCCGTTTCTCTCCAGACACTCTACATTACTTGCCGCTTCTCCCTTCCTGTCGTTATTTTTCAATCATGTTTCCTCTTCCTGATTTTTGCTGGTTTGATCAAACAGTTTCCAGTCTAGTTTTCCACTGATATTTTGAATATTCTAGCCCCTTTTTATTCCATTAATGATTGCCTGTCCTTTCCTGCCCTCATGATCACATTCATGTTTTCTTATTTCGTTTGAAGAAATCATACCATCTATTTCTCCCACCTCAGGGGTTCTAGTCTTCTATTTTCCCCTCATCCCAGTCAGTTTAAACCTTTAAAATATGGTTTTGTGGGGGACTGCTTTCCCCCCACCACAAAACTTCATGGACGGAATAATCTAGTCCACTCTCTTACCTCTAACAGATTTGGCTGAGATCGTTAAAAACTATTGATATGTCCCTCCTTTTTGAAGACTCCATATTTAACACTTCCTGATCTTAAACAATCCTAGGCTGATACTCACTGTTTAGATTTAAAGATAAATATATCTTACAAGCTTTGTTGTTCACCACTTTTCCTGTCCACTACATCTCTACAATGAAGTTTTCTTTTCTAGTTCCCTTGCTTGGTGTCCTTTCTAGATTACTTTCTTCATATAGACAACTTGGGTGATATATTCTCTGATTATACCCATATCAAAAATTCACGTTCTTTTATCTTGTCAGGAGAATGATACTTCGCTGGTATAGAATTCTGAGGTGGCAGGTCTTTTTCTCTAAGTAGTTTGTGGGATGTTAGTTCACTGCCACTTCTGGTGTTACAGATGAGAAGTCTGATTCCTTTTCCTTTACAGGAAACCGATTTTTTCTGCCTGGAAGCTTATCAGATTTTTATCATAAGCTTTAGAGTTAAAAAAAAAATCGATTCTATTAGAAACATTGAGTCCATCTAATATGCAGACAAGCCTTTCATCAGCTTTGGGATGTTTTCTACTATAATTAATGCCTCCAATCCTTCTACTCCTTTTTAATGTTTTCTTTTAGAACTCCTTTTAAGATTATTATTACTTTGCATGTCTGGACTCCTGGATCTATCTGACAAATATATATGTATGTATATTTTCTCATCACATCTACTTTGCATTTGTGTTATATTTCTTGTTATTATTTTTCCAGGCCACTATTCCAATTTCAGCAATGACTATTCTCTCCATTTACTGAAATGTTCGGTGGAGAAGTCCTCCTTTTTAGGTATAGAAAGTCTCTTTTTCCCCATATGTGTGTAGTTCTTTGAGTAGTTTTTATTTTTTCCCTTTCAAATGCTCATTTCTGTTCATCAGCATTTTTAGATGATTGTGCTTGTGTTACTTGTTTGAGGCCAAGAGTTTGAGACCAGCTTGAGCAACAAAGCAAGACCCCGTCTCTACAGGATTTTTTTTTTTAATTAGCCAAGCATGGTGGTGTGCACCTATAGTTCTAGCTACTCAGGAGCTGAGGCAGGAGGATCATTTTAGCCTAGGAGTTTGTGGCTGCAGTGAGCCGTGATTATACCACTGCACTCCAGCCTGGGTGACAGACAGGCATCCCTGTCAAAAAAAAAAAAAGATTCTTATCCCCGAGATGTGGGGTGTGGAAGGAGAAATGGAAGGAGAAATTAGAGATGAAAAGATATTTAAATGACATGAAAAATGTCTGGTGGATCTTATATAGATCTTAATTTAACAAACTAAAACATGGTCTCTTAAGAAAGTTTGAACACTGATAATTGATATTAAGAAATTATATGAGATAATGAAATTAAGATTATATTTTTAGAAATAATATTTTTGTTTAGAAACATATATTAAATACTTATGAATAAAATGATATGATGATTAGGATTTCCTTGGAGATAATTGTGGGAAGTTGGGTGTGGATACAGATGAAATCAAATTGACCTTCAACTTGGGTAGGACAGCTGGTCTTCTTTCCCTCTCCATGTAGCCTCAGAATTTTCCACTCCATGTGGTCTTTCCATGTGGTCTTTTTAGCAGCACAGCTGTGCTTTATATATGAAGTTCTCCCAAGAGCACAAAACTGGAAACTGCCAGACCCTTTCAAGGCTTAGGCACAGAACGGACACAGTGTCACTTCCTTTGCATTATACTGGTTAAAGGGAGACACAGGGCCATCCTAGATCAATGCAGCAGGGAACTACACATGGTGTGAATACTGGAAGGCATGACTCGTGGGGCAAATTTGTGGGGACTGGTAATTCATACCATATCTGAGTTTTAAAGCTAAGATGTCTTCTTTTCCATAACTGAGGACTGCTGTATGCCAGCCATTTGCAGTAGGTGGGGAGAGAGGCCCTGGTCATTCTCTTCCCCTACTTGGCATTTGTCCTCTTCCTCCAGCTTGTATTTCTGGCCCAGCTAGTGCCAAAGCAGGGGGAAGCTGGAGCAGTAAAGAAGTGGGAATTTTTACTGAAATGGTGTTATTATAATATAGCTTCACTCTCTGAATTTGGCAAATGTTTGGAGCTGATTCCTTCTCTTGTGATGGGATGGGTAGCTGGATTGGTGCTTTTATGTGTTCTTTTGAGATCTCCCTCCAAGTCACTGAGAACTTTTTATTGTACTTTCCATAGCATGGACATTTTCCTATGGCTCACCGCTCCCCTAAAAGCTCAGGTTTTATCTCAACTATTCAATTAAAGACTTTCTGCTGGAACTCCCTCACTTCTCACTTCCCACCCACCCAAAGCCATCATCTTGAGCAAAATTTAGAATAACTCCAAGCCAGATACATCATATTCCCAATTGGACACAATATTCATATATCCTTGACTCAATAATCTCTGAGGATGGACGACGATCTCAATGCGATGGCATTTTCTTTGTTGGTACCATCAGAAAAGCTGGCCAGCTATGCCAGATTTTAGATTTTTCAGGGGCAGTTGGACACCAGACCATGTTGTCCCCGACCAGAGACATGGAATTTAACAAGTTCTTCAGGTGAATTCATTGAAAATCTTTACTTCTGGTGGGGAAAACACCCCAAACCTACCTCCTTGGATAGACAGGAAGGGCTTACATCTCATCTCTCTCCAAATCTTTTCCTGGGTACCACTCTCAACCTCTTTAGCCCCTCAGTTCTGGTGAGGGAATAAGAATTGTGTCCTGAGTTTTCAGCTACCTCCGTTTTGCAAGTTTCTGAGTGTGGCTCACCTCACCTTGGTATCTATTGGTACCTTGCTGTCTCAATCATGAATTTTAATCTCATATCCTATGATAAGTGATCTGTATGCCCAAGCTGAATTCACAGCCCTATTTCCAAATAAAATGTTTGTTTTTCACTCCTTTTCAAATGCTCCTAAAGCTTTTCTTACTCTAGTACTTTGAGATAAGTATATGGAAAGCCTAGCTATTGAGGTAACAGAAAACGTGCATTTTGTTTTAAAAATAAGTCATATTACAAAATCCTCCTACTTCTTTACTCAAAGGAAAAATTAAATACGGACAAATGCCCTTTTATCCCTCCACTCTATAAAACTACTCACATACTTATAGTCTAGGAAACAGGCCACTTCATTGACATAGATGATCAGAAATTGTGGGCCCATCTTGGTAACCATAGGAGCAGGCAGCTGATGACATCAGAGGCCTGCATTGCGGCTTCTGATTGCTCAGAGTTGCTATGCTGAAGGAAATCAGAAGGTGATGTAAGGAAAACACCATATTAAATACATTTCATTCCATTTGAGAGGCACTTGGAAATGATTTCTAAAATTCTCTAAATTCCTGCAGCCATTTTTAAACCTTCCATTTGAATAAAATGTATATTGCAAAAAGAACTTAAGACAATTTGAAAATAAGAATGCAGACTTCATTTAGCATATATATACACACAAACACATATTATATATATATTTACTGGTTATGAGTTTTGACTGTTAGTTTGACTATAAAAGCACCTAGCTACAGAATGGTTATGCCATGACCCCAGACTAAGTCACACTTGTATTAAAAGTCATTTTAATATAAACAAAAGTTGGATGCAGTAATTATGCTGGCTTGGTGTTTGGTTTTATTTCTTTTATTTTTATTTTTTGAGACGGAGTTTCACTCTTGTTGCCCAGGCTGGAATGCAATGGTGCGGTCTCGGCTCACTGAAACCTCCGCCTCCAGGGTTCAAGCGATTCTCCTGCCTCAGCCTCCCGAGTAGCTGGGATTACCAGCATGTGCCACCATGTCCAGCTAATTTTGTATTTTTAGTAGAGATGGAGTTTCTCCATGTTGGTCACGCTGGTCTCAAACTCCTGACTTCAGGTGATCCACCCGCCTCAGCCTGCCAAAGTGCTAGGATTACAGGCGTGAGCCACCACACCCGGCTGGTGTTTGGTTTTTGTATGAACTCCACTTTTCCCAGTGCCCCACCTTCCTTTCAGCTACTTTCCAGGTTTCTCAGGTTACCTTCTCACTGCTGTTCCACCTCATCGTTTTCAGTTTCAGTCATCACTTTTCAGGTATTTTCTAAACTGTACAGTTTTTCTAGCTGCATTGATAAAAGAGGGGGTCACAACAGAAGGTGAATGGTCCAGCCCTTATGAACCCTTGATGTCCCAGTAGACATTGTTCCATGAATAATAGGGGAGGCCTAATAATCCTCTTGAAGAAAAATTCATGTCACATAGAATGTGCAAAAATGAGCAACATCTACAAAGAACGATCATTTAGGAGGCATTTAATACATGCGATGGCTTGATTCAAAGCCTATTTCTAGCCCAGGGGGTAATCCAAGCCTCAGCCTTGGTTTCATGGCTGCACAGGTTGTGTACTGTAGAATTCCAGGCTTCCAGGGGTGCATTGACAATGAAAAGCTCAATAATGCAGTGCCCATGTCATGTCTCTCTAGGAGACAATGGCTTAGTTGGAGATAGTAGGCTTCTGATTTAGAATTGATGATTTCTTAACCTATTATGTTACCCCTGGGTATACTGGGTGCAGGAACTTCCTCACAGATAGATGAAGGAGGGACCAAATAAATGTTGCACCTAGTGCATCAGTAGGACTGGATTTAGAGGGAAAGAAATGTGCACAAAAAAATCCAGTATGGAAATCTTTAAAGCAACTCCTTAAAATAGTATTTGCAAATTCAAAAACAATCCATTCAAAGACAAAATTATATTTTAAAACTCACTTTTATCGAATGGAAAAAAAAATGTACACTGGAATTGTGAAAAATAAATTGCATCTGAAAATGGGTTACCGTACATAATGAAACATTGTTACAAAGAGTATGAGGATGCTTGCTCTGATTACAGTGACTCCTGTAACAACGTGGCAAGTGAAAATACTGTATTATTTAGTAGTGAAGCCCTCCCCCTAGTGGAAATAGGTAGGAATTTTAAGAAAAAGGGTTAACACTTTTAAATACATTTTATTTCCTCTTAATATTTACAGAATTAAAGAAAAGAGGTGGAGAATAGCTGTAGTGTGGTATAAAGACTTTTCTTACAGGGCTTTTAGGCCATTATAAGAGCTGAGATGTAAAACTATTTTAGAGTTTTGAGTAGAGCAGCTGGTATGGTCTGAATGTTTGCATTCCCTCCCAAATTTATATGTTTTATTTTAATCACCAAGGTGATGGTATTAGAAAGTGAGGCCTTTTGGAGATGATTATGTCATGAGAAATCTGATCCAATGAATGGGATTAGTGCCCTTAAAAAAGAGGCCCCAGAGAGCTGCCTTGCCCTTTCCACCGTGTAAAGACACAGCAAGAAGGTTGTTTATGAGCATGGGTCCTTATCACACACAGAATCTACCAATTCCTTGATCTTGGACTTCCCAGCCTCTGCAACCATGAGATATAAATTTCTAATGTTCATAAGCTACCGAATCTAAGGTGTTATGTTATAGCAGTGCCAATGAACTAAGCAGGGGTTCTCAACCCTCGGCTGAGACTACTGACATTTTCAGTTAACAAATTCTTTATTGCATAGGGCTGTTTCGTGCATTGTCGAATATTTGGCAGCATCCCTGGCATCCACTCACTTGATGCTAGTAGCAACCTCTCCCCAACCCCACCAGTGTGATAATCAAAAATGTCTCCGGACATTGCCAAATATCCCCAGGGGAGCAAAATCACCCTCAGTTGAGAACCACTGGAATAGAGGGATAACATGACATGACATCTTTTAATAGGATCACTCTTTGTTGAGAACAGACTGCAGACAACAGAGATACCAGTTAGGATTGGAGATGACAAAAAAAAAAAAAAAAAAAAAAAGGTCAAACTTGAAGTTAGAGCTTGCAGAACTTTTCAAAGAACAGCCATGAAGTGGGAGAAAAAGAGTCAACAATATCATCAAGGATTTTGGCCTGTAACAACTAAAATTGAGTTGCCATTATCAGAGATGGGAAGATAGCAGAGTGGCTGCCTTGGTAGTTGTTTGGACTGGGGAGTGCAGATAAAGAGTACATCATTTTGGACGTGTAAAACTTGAGAGCCTTTGTAAGACACCCAGATGGAGATACCAAGTTTCATTGAATAGAAATTCTGGAAATTAGGGGGAGAGGTCTAGGCCGTTACTGTAAGTTTGGGAGTCATTAGGCTTATAGGTAATATTAATGAGTTTACCAAGAAAGCAAAAAAAGAGCCCTGAGCAACTCCAACCATTCCATGTAAGGGATAAGAGAAGGAACCAACAAAAGAAACTGAAAAGCATCACGAAAGGTAAGGGGTTAAAAAACGAAACAAAACAAACAAACAAAAAAAACAGGCAAATGTGATGTTCTAGAAGTCATGAACCTTTGGACATTTTTTCTCTTTACACAAAATGGTTTCATCTTAGTAAGTCCCTCCCTAATGTAAACATTTGTGAATATCTATACTTTATTATACTTTCTGCAATGATTTATTTACCTAGCTGTCTCTTCTAGATTATGAGCTCCTGGGAATAAGATTTATCTTTGCATCTTTGTAGTAATTAGCATAGTGACTGGTGCATAGCAGCACATAACACATGTTCAACTGATAATTAAATTTAACAGGAAATTCACCTCCCTGAAATGAAAATGTCTATACAGTAAGATATCACTCATTGAGATTCTCAATTAAAAATTAGCAAAAACTCAGATATAATTCAAATAACTGTGACATTTAAATTATGTCGCATCAAGGATCAAGGACACAGTACCAGCATCTGCCATGTTTGATCCTACTATGAAAGGGATACCAATCCTTGCCTCGACGTCAACCAGTGTATCAGCTTTTGTTTTATATATTGGGACTCTTGATAAGATTTTATTTAAAAAAAAAAGTTTCCATGGCTGAAAACTATGATGCCATTAATCAACCCTAATAGAATTTTCATCGACTGCATCAAGGGACATGCTCCAAAGTTGAAAAGGTAGTTAGCCTTTATATTACCTTATGTATTATTTTTAATTGATTAAAAGTCATATTATAAATCTATTATTATATTATGTAAAGTGCTTTGTGTATCAATACTTTACCTTAATGTTCATTAATAACTCTGTAATTACACAGATGAGGAAACTGAAACTCAGAGATATTAAGTACACCTCCAAGACACCTAGCTAGCAAATGGCAAAGTGGGATTTGAAACCTGACATTACACTAAAAAGTCGTCTTAAATATTTAATAGTGGTCTTAAATGCCTCACATGCACAGCTATGAAATGACAACAAATAATCGCTGTTGTTGTTTTAGTGTGGAAATTGTTTTTGTTAAGTAGGGGGAGAAAGGAAGAATGGAAACAGGAACCAGAATTACATTGTGGCATGATCATAGCCATTACTCACAATGCTGCAAGAAAACATATAAAACAGAAACAAATATGTCACCTGGGAGAACTGTGAGTGGTTTTTTCTTTTTTCTCCTGATTTTTGTGCTGTGCATTTTTTTTTTCAATAAGCATGTATTGTTCAAATTGAGCGTAACTTGGCAGGCAGGGGTGATGGTGGTAGTGTTACTTGTTATTAAGAAAAAATTTACACAAAAGTTGAATATAGTATAATAAACCACCATATAACTATCACCCAGTTTCAAAAATTAACAACTCACACCCAATCCTGTTTCATTTATATTCTCGTATCTCCCTCCCTATACTATTTTGAAGCAAATACCAATCATCATACCATTTCATTATAAATATTTTAGTAGGTGTCTCTAGGACTCTAAAAAGATAGCTGCAACACCATCATCACATCTGAAAAGTTAACAGTACTTAATTCCTTAAAATCATTACATAACCAGTGTTCAAATTTTCAGTTCTCATACATGTTAAAAATTTTTAATTTCTTGATTCCAGATCCATATCAGGGTCACATATTGTGACTGGTTTATATTAAGTACCTTTTATACTATAGGTTCTCCCTCCACTGATTCCCTCTGCTTGCAACTTATTGAACAACTGTGCCAACTGTATCCTTTTGGTGTCACTCAACATGATCTTCCATCCTTTCTATTTTTGGTTAATTGGTAGATGCTTCGTCAGATTTAGGTTTGATTCTTTTTGGCAAAACTTTATAGGTAGCAGTGTATTCCTCCATCAGAAAGCACTTAAGAATGTGTTTGTGTATTGTCAGTAGCTGCTGATGACCAATCCTTAACTCCATGAGAGGTTGCAAAATAGTGATGTTGCAATTCCATCCTTCCTTTTTCATTAGAATGTTTTAAAGAGAAACTACCCCCCATCTACTACTTACCTACCCAATGGTATAGTTTGTATGGGAAATGCAGGGAATATTAAAATGATAGTTCTCAAAATGTGAGCTCTGGGCCAGAAGCAGCATTACCTGAGAACTGAGAACTGAAAATTCTTAGGCTCCATCCCAGACCCACTGAATCAGAAAACTGGGGATAAGGTCCAGCAACATGTGTTTATCATGCCCTCCAGGTAACTCTGATGTATACTAACGTTTGAGAAACAAGGGACTACACCTGAAGTCTTGAAATGCCCTTGCTAAAAGCTGTTAGCTTTTACTACACTTTATAATACCAAAGTTAGGTTCCAGATTTTTTCCCAAGCACAGTATCTGCCCACCTAGTCTACAAATGAAAGAATCACACCTTCAACTTTTAACTTATCAAACAATCTAGCATGGTACTAGTCATGTTCCAAAGCTTTCAAAAACTTAACTATAGCTTGAAATACTTGCTCAATTAGATGCAAATTTATTTCTTCCAGGAAAAATAACTATTGCACTAAAGTGGTCTGAATGGACAGACAGGAAAATAGTTTCTAATGTTTGGCCTAAACTTCTCTCATGTATCTGTTGTTTCAGGGTTTCATACTGGAAAAAGGGGGTAAAATGTAGATGAAGCTATGTAGGCTCAATAATGGTCCCCCAATATGTCCATGCCCGAACCCTTGGAACCAGTGAATACATTACCTTATATGACAATAGGGACTTTGCAGATGTGACTAGGTTAAGAACTCGAGATGGAAAAACTACGTTGTTTGTGCAGGTGGAGCCAATAATGTTCTCATAAGGTCCTTATGAGAGGGAACAGAGGGAGACACTCTGAGAAGGTATGATGACAGCAGCAGAGAGAGATTTGAGATGCTACAATTTGGGCTTTGAAGATAAAGGTCAATGAGCTCATAGCATGCAAGGAATGCAGCTCTAGAAGCTGGAAAAGGCAAGAAAACAGATTTTCCCCTACAGCCTCCAGAAAGAAGCAATCCTGCCAATACCTTGACTTTAGACCAGTAAACCTGATTTTGGACTTCTGGCCTCCAGAACCATAAAAGAATTAATTTTTGTTGTATTAAGACACTAAGTGTGTGGGAGTTTGTTACAGCAGCCATTGAAAACTAATACAAAGCCTTTGACAAGTTTTTTATTGTGAAATATTGGATCTAGAAAAAAGTACAAAATGTCAACAGTCAGATGTGTACAAGTACAGTATTTCAATAGTCTATACATGTGAACAGCTTAACAGGTTCACTGCAGAATGCATATTTAGACCAATATAATCTAAAAAGGACTGCAATATTCACAGGCTATTAATACATAAATAACTTGAGTCAAAATGACCCTTACTGGTAAATGCTAATTAATAGTGGAAAACAGGCTAAAAGCACAATACACCACACCATAGTATCTCCTTACAGGTCCACATTTAAAGAATATCAGTTTATTATGTCAAAACACTACAGAGATCCAGGACTGGGACTGAATTACTAATTTATACAATTGCAAAAAAATTTAAGTTATAAAATAAGGTCATGGAATAAAGAAGGGTATTTAATTAGGACTAAATACTGTGAAGCCCATGAAAGGGTTTTAGCCTTGGAATTTACAAAGCTAAATTATTAGACTGTTAATGTTAGCTAACACTAAAACTGAATTACCTTCCATTTTAATGTTAGCTAATATTAATATTCAACTTTTTAATTTTGATGTTAGCTAAGGGGAAGGACGAGGACAACTTTCTTTTGTAGTTTCTCCAACAAGGTGTAAGAACTATCAAAAAGTAAAACCATAATGACCACTGTGGACTGACAAATGGCTATGAAACAAGAATATAAAACATTACAAATTTCAAAGAAAGGTAATAACTATCTTATGAATTTAGCAAATCCTGCAAACGTTAAAATCCATGTTAAGGCATTATCTATCATGGTTGAGAGTACTAAATTTAAGAAAATTATTACATGAAGATCCCATAAAAATAAACTGGTTTAGTTTACAAGATTCTAACTGAATCTTTTTGTATCACTTGAAAATTACCCTATATTATGCTTTCAAAATGGACAAAGAATTATTTGGTATTCACTTTATAATGAACTATGAGAACAGTCTATTGAAACACGTCATGTTAAAAAAAAATTGTTTCAATCATGTGTTCTTAAGAAAGCCAATCTTTGATATGACATTCACAATCAATGCTTGTATAAAACAAAACCTTTAAAACTTATAAATTTAGTAACAGTTTTACATGAAGCAAATTTATCTTTGCCCATAAATTATTAAGAGAAGCAACTCACTCTATACAGTGTATCTAGCAATACTTTAAAATCAAACTAAAACTCTGAACTGATAATAACTAGGAGATAAATTCTATTTCAGGCTGAAAACCGCTGGATCAGAATATAGTCAATAACTTCATATAACCTATCCCACCCTACCTTAACCTTTTATAGACAATTTTAAAGACTTTAGGACAATTTACTTATAATGCCTGAATCTTATAGTAGATTCCAATTTATTCAAAGATTATCACAGATTGGATTAAAAAGATCATTTAATTTTTTTCAGATTTGCTTTAAATTTACAAATTACATTGTACATAAATATTAACTTAGATAACCACACATAGGGAAAGCAGATACATGGATCATTGCAGAAACATTAAAATTTTTAAAAAATTTTATAAAATATAAAGCAAAACATGTAACTCACACAATACTAATATGAAGCCACATGACATAAAAAATAAAATTACTCTTTAAGAAGCAACTTAAAATTAAATCTTTGGGGAACTATTTTGACATAATTAAATGAATTCAAAGACCAACAGCTTCCCTTATCACACAGAAACAAATCACAAAATTTTCTACAATCTATATGCATTATCAGTTAGTTCTAAATGTAATCTCAAACATTTTACTAGCAACTTTGATTTCCTTTTGAAATAGGCTTCTGTACATATGCATTTATATACAAACATTTATTAAACATGATTTTAAAACAAAATGTATGTACAAAAGATCAGCATTCCTATAAATAAAAACATTAGGTGGCAAAAAGGCACTTGTAAGTAAAAATCTACAGTAGTTTTTACAAAACAGAAACACATTTTACCTTAGATACTGTACAATAAACATTAATTCCTATACCAATAATGAAAATGCTAGGTTACTAATGTTAATGATGTAACTTTAAAAAACAAATTTACATATATCTGAAGTTCATTTAATAAAAGCACCGTGATTTTCTCCTAAATTCATCTTGATGCAAAGTAAAAACACAATTCCCAAAAAACCAGTGTTCGCCATTTTTCGAGTTTAAAAGTTTTTGTATTTCTAAATTGAAAACTGTTTGTCTGAAATTAGCATAGTGTAAAACAAAAACAAAACAAAAAAACCCTGCTGCTCTGACTTCTGAAACCATACCTACTCTATTATTGCATGTTGCGTTTCATAAAGAGCACTACTCATGCACTCCTTTACAACTGTTTAATACTATTGCTGGCAAAAAAGTTCCTGGATATCAAATAATTAAAAAGTTACTTCAAACCAGTTGAAGTTTTATTTGAATGTTTTACAACTTAAAAAATGCTGTATATCAATTACAAAAGTGAACAGGAAACACACCAATTCATTTGGTGTGCAAAAATATTTTTCTACTACACAGAATTTAAGGGCTTCACAGAATTTTTTTTCCCCAAATTTACATTGTAAGAAGAAATGCTAAACAAATGACTTTCTCAAGGAGATGTTAGTATGCTTCCACTTTTGTCAAATTTTTTACCCTTTGATAATGCTGCGACCTGTTTGAGTAGTTCTCTGTTTTTGGCCTGTGGGAGACAAAAACATTCAAGATTAAAAATGTTTGAAATATTATTAAGTCATGCTGAAGAATACTACTTATTTAATACTGTTTTCATTTATATAAATGTTTCACTAAAGCACTAACATTAAATGAAAGAGTTGATACCTTTACATTCATCTCTTTAAGGATGAACATGCAGAAGGAAAATTCTAGATTGGCTCATCAGCCCCCTTTGTATATGTCATTATTAATATAATTGTGTCCAAAGATGCACAATTGGTTACAAAAAAGGAAACAAAGTGAATCCACTTAAAAGAAGGTCCAAATTTTAATAGGGAAAAGGTGTTTGGCCCTTCATCTTAAAAACATGAAAACTATGAAAATAAGTTGTAATTTACAATTAATAAAATCAAAGAATGAATCAAGATTTGGGAGGAGTATTTCCTGGCAAGCTGTATAAGGTCTTTTTTCTATGTTTACTCTCTTGTAGAACAAGCATAAGAGGTCATTTTTGCAAAAACAACTCAGAATTTGTTACTTTGCCAAATGCACCCAATGATATTCAATTTTTTTTAAAGCACCCATCAGAACCACTCATTATCTTGTTGTTCCTTTAGTTACCAGTCATCTGACACTGATTTTAGTGTGGTTTGAGCAGTTCCACATCATCATTTCCTATCTCATGAAAGCTTGAATTTTTACAAAGATTCAAAATTTCATTTCATCATCTGACTTGAATTTCATTATTAAATGTCCATCCATCACTAGTTTAGTGAAGAGGAATGTGTAAGTACAGTGAATATTTTCACATTTTGACTGCCTTTGTCACCTTATTCAGTCTCTTAAATATGAAAACTTAGATAGTAAGGATCCCTATATATACAAATACATTAATGATCAAGCATTTTTGTAGTTTGAGCCAAAATGGGGAAAGTGATGAAAATAGAGCACTGCCCTAAAATTAACACATTTTAAAAAGATATCCTCTGACTTATGTTTCAACACCATTTTCCTTCACAGGTTCCAGGAATTTTTATTATATAGACAGACTTTTTTAATCTCAGTACTTCATATTTTATTCTAATTTTAGCTTTTTACGGGCAGATAACACTCTGCCTTCTCTGTATGCCATCTTAAAGTGGTTTCATGAAATAACCTTTTTCAAACTTTATTCTTCCATTCCCCCACCCTTCTTCTCCAATCACTCTTGCTAATTAACACCCATGACCTCTAAAATGCAAATATTCTCAGTACTATCTTATATGTGCAAATCAAATAATTTTTTATGTTCAGATGCATGATCAATAGAACTTTCCTATTCAGTGGTTATTAATAACTAAGGTGGTAACGAAAAACTTCAATTTCAAATTCAGTATCAATTTCAAATTTTGAGTCTGCAAATTTGACTCAAAAAGATCTCCACTAGATCTGTTAAGTTATATTTATCTAAAAATGTTTATACTGATACAAAATAGTTAAAATGTGAATCTCCAAGTTCTTATCTCAATTATCAAGAAATAAAGTGTTTATAATTTTCATATTTTAAGTACAAAATACAATAATTTGAACATTAGGTCTTCAAAGCAATTTTTCCATTTAATGCTTTGGTAGCTAATTTCCAATTTGCTTTTAATATATTTATATCACTAATAAAGATATTTCTTAATAAATTACATAAGACAAAAGTCTTTATGGTAAATAAATAACACAATTGTTAAGTACAAGTCCAAATTATTCTAATTTGAATACTTTAAAAATGAATTTTATGCCATATTTCAATATATGTACATTTAAATTGTTTTATCCTAAAATTACTTCATTTTGCAGCCAGCCAAAAAAAAAAAAAAAAATCAATGAAATTCTTTACAGACTCTTAAGAAAGCTAAGTTTTAAAGTTTAGACATGTTGGTGCAAAGGAAAGAATATCAGGATTAAGAATTACATAGATCCTGCTTTAAATCCTGGCTTACTTACCAGCTACATAACCTGGAGCATATTTTCTCATTTGTAACACAAACTCCACCATCCGAACTCAAAATGAGTTGAAGGAACTTATCAAATATATAAAACACTTAGCCTAACACAGTTCCTGGTACACAGAAGGCACTCAAATGTTAGGTCCCTTTTCCTTTTAACCACTTACCTAATTAAGTGAATAAGAGTTTTAACTTGATATTCTTAGTATTTTCAATATTTGGGGTATTTTGGGGTGACATTTTGAACAATTTTTTCATGTGATGTTCAGTGTTTTGTCGTAGGTTTGGCAGTTAAAAATATTTTACTAGCTATTAGAGCAAGATCCATCTTGTGTCACAGGATTCAATTCCTTATTACATAAAGATAAAAAAAAAATTACCGGTTTCCTCACCTCAGTAAAGAATCCTACTAGTATCACTTGGTTGCTAAAGGAAGTGAGGTAAAAAGATGGCACTCAGCTATGACAGATTGTCTCTAGCCATAACACAAAAAAATCAGGGAAGTGGCCTGATAGGAAGGATGAAATAGAAAACCTGAGGAACCTGAAGTGGTGGGAACTAGTGTAGGACAGGGAAAAGTATAGATAAACTGGAGTGAGAAGACAGAGATTTCTACGTCACCGCTTACTGTGTGATCACAGTTTCCTCTGTAAAATGGGCATATCACATAACCCAGTTTTTGCAACAAGTAAGACAGCATATGTAAAATCATGTCAAAATGTCCTATTTAAATATTGGTTACTTTTATACTACATGAAACTTCAATTACCAAGAGGAGGTAGGCCTAAGATATCTATCAGGCTAAGTCAAAGATGACCCCATGTATTTGCAACTATGATTTTAAAAAAGAAAAACCAACACACAAACTGCTCTTTTGAACAGTGGGGAGCACTAAGTTAAAACATATCTGAGCACCTATTGCAGTTATTCTGTTATCTCATTCTGGATTTACTTCAGAGCTTTGGTTACATTACATTAAATCAAAGATCACCAGGTGGAAGATTTTGTTCCAGGTAATCATTCAGCATTAATAACTGAGTAAGAAAAACAGGAATAACATAAAATTAAAAATAATACTTGCTGGTGGATAAAAACATTGACTAATATATAAGAATCTGATATATGATACGGGCAATCTCTCAGAACAGAGGGCTGATGGGCATTTCCATAAATCACCACCTAGTCAACAAATTATTTGAATGCCTACTATGTCTCAGGTTCTACATGAGGTTCCTTTTTCAACAGTCTTTGTAATAGTATGATAGGGATTAAGACCAGATAATCTGTACCTCGAATTTGAGCAAGTTCCTAAATCCTACTAATTTAAGCTACTTGCAAAGAAGTATGAATAATACAAAACCAAAAGAAAGAAATAGCAAATATCCTTTGGTGTTACAATGTGAAAAAAAAAAAACAAAATGAAACAGGACAGTATTAACTCCTTCCTTCTGAAGCTGTACTCTCCCAAGTCTGACGTCTGTGTGCTGCCATCTTCCATTAACATTTAAAACTTCTTTCACCTTAAAAATTTTGTTACTAAAGACTAATTTTACAAATGTGAGACTGTATAAATCAAAGAGAACATGTAATTAATTTAGTGTGGTCTGATTTCTAAATGTATGAAACCTAGAAGAGAAGCAGCTTAATATGGTAGCATTCTGTATCCATGTTGGATGTTCACCATCTCTGCATGCCAGACATCAGATTATTACTGTGGTGACTCTTGACTTTACCATTCAGTTGTTCTGTATACTTAAACTGCTACTTTGCAGTACTCTGAGGTTCAGGTGGATCACTACCTGTTAGCATTTAGCAGAACCCTATTTGGCACTTTGCGAACCACTGTACACAGGTTAAGTAAACTCTCTTGCTTTGCACACATTTTTGCCACTCCAGGTCCTTAAGAATTGGTTTTATACACCCATCTCCTTTCCCATTATCTGGAAGGAAATATTAATGTGAGGAATGATTGCTACTGAAGACCTGCTTTTCACCTTAGTTTCATTAATCTGATTTTTAATTTTTTGCTATAAGCCCAATAATTAATTGAACACACTCCAATGATACCCTCCTCCAAAAACTCCATTTGAAGTTTAGGCAAAAGTTTTCAAGATTAAAGTACTGAATCCCCCTTTCAAGTAATTTCAAACAATAACTTCTAATGAGATCAAGATTAAAAATGATTATAAAGTCAAAATCAAAACTGAAATGCACCAACTATGCACAAAATAGGGCTACCAATAACAATCTAAGTCAATGAATGCTATTACTCAAGTTTAGCCCTTCTTGCCTATCATTTTACGTAAATGATGGTAGTTACCTGAAGTTGTTCCACAGTTTCTTTGTGGGCTTTTTCCATACTGTTCATTTTTGTTCTCAAATTTGACTCTTGGTACTGAAAGTCTGCCTTTAGTTCAGTTAACTGAGAGATTAAAGAAAAAATATATGTATATATTTGCACACATACACACACACACCATTTTAAATAACTTTCACAATAAACTCACATTTCATTACAAAAGTAGAAGATGTTAACTGCAGTTTCCTGAATTGTACAAGCTATCTAAAGTTTGTTTGGTGAAATGATGAAGTCTATCTGCTTCACAATAGTATAATTTTAATGTTAATACCTGACCATCAGTAAAACTTCTCAGTTTTCTTTTTTTCCTAAACATGGCTCGACTGGAAATAGAGTTTGGCAACTGGTATGCCAACGAAAAAAGCTTAACGGCTAATAACTGGGAAAATGCCTCATTTAAAAATGTACTTCAATAATAGTAAAAACAATATAAACATTTAAACTAGCTTATGCGTAAAATAATCTTTCAATGCTTAAAGAAAGAAATTTCACACTGGGTAATATAAAAAGGAATGGTCTTTTCAGCCAAAAGCTACACTGTTTTCATTTTTTAATTTATGTCCAGGATTATGTACACAATACCACCTAACACTTGAGGTAAAAATAGAGAACAAAGCACAGAAATACAACTAACACAGAATGAGAAAGGAAAGAAGGTTACTATAAAATTTGGGCTAAATTAGACAAATACAAGAAAAAAATCAGTGCTTTGAGGAAGAAGGCTACATGATAATTTTTCATAAATGACATACCTAACAGTATAATATCTCATGACTTCAAACTAAATAAGTTATTATGTAATTTCACTATTAGAACCATGCAGAGGGAACTCCAGGTTATTTTTTAATGTTTTTCATTATGCCAGCTTTAAAGGTTTACACATTCTCCTTTGTAATTACCCAGTATCTAATAAACTGAAAGACATACAACAGCAAAAATAGAGAAAATCATGGAGTCTTATAGTCTTATTAAAAAAAAAAACCCTTGCTTTTGTCAAATTCAAAGTATAACTAAGTTCTCTCTCTCTAACTTTCTCTAATCACAAAAGATTTTCTGTTCTGAAATGCCAACATACACCAGATCAGCTAAGACAATTACTCTATTCACTACACTGTGAGTTGCCTCCTCACTATGAACTTCTGGAAAATAAGAATTATGTCTTATTTATTCATCTTTGTATCCTCATGATCTAGTTCAGTGTCTGGCTCTAGAAATCATTAAATAACTTTGTGAAATCAATTCAGTAAAATAACTTCATCATCTTAGATTTATAAGAAAAAGTTGCAAATGTATAGTTATTTTAGGTTTACCATTAGGATTTTCCTTACAACAATGCTAATTTCAATCCCCATTAGTGTTGTGATTTTTTTAAAGAGGAACACTAACAAAAGCAGAAAACTTCAATTAACTGCACAATACAAAGATAGTACCTCTTATGCTAGAGAGGAAAGAAAAATCTAGCAGTCAATATTCTATAACTGATTACTACTTGGTTTTGAAATCATTGCTATTTTGCAGTAAAGTTGGCATTTTATTCAACTTTTCTCAAGGCTAATGCAGATATATCTGGCCTGTCTCTAAAACTTTGTACACAGGACAAATTTCCATAAAGGCTCATTAATTTAAAAAATGCTGTCAATCAAAAAGAACCATAAGACAAAGACACCCGTAACTATCCTATTTTATATGTCACTCCTAATTTTCATATACTAAATTTGCTTAAAGTAAGCTACAAATGTATTAAAATAAATTAAGCCCACTAACCATCAAGGTGTGGCAAAATGTATCAAAAATTACTGAATGCCAGAAGTAAAAGCCAACTCAGCACAGACTTAGAGATGGATATAAGTCATATATGTATTCATATTAAGGCCTTATTCTTTTAAAAGAAATGATTTTAGTGTTCTCCTACTGCATAATACATTTGATACAGGTCAAACTACATTGTCTGGGACCATAAAACAAGTACAAAAGATGATCAAACAGTAATAGCCCCTATGGGCACTTATACATACCAGGAGCTATAATAAATACTTTGCATTTTCATTAATCATCAAAACCATCACTTCAGATAATATTAATGCTCTCATTTAAATGAGAAAACTGAGGTCCAAAGAAGCACACATTCTGCTTTAGGTCACACAGAAAATGTTAGAACTAGGATTTGAATCTAAGTATGGCTAAATTACTTCAAAACTGTTTCCTGTTCCATGCCTGTCCACTATTGTGCCATCCTGATTTCATAGCACAAGACCTTAAATCCTTCTGTAATTCTGTTAATATTCCTCTTTTCACTAAATGAACAACACATTTTAATATTCCTCTTCATTTAACTGATGAAGTCCCAATAAGTACACTTACTTCCTACACAATGAGCTTTTAGACATCTATTGCTAATTACTATTACTGACTACTACAGGAAATTCCCATACCATTACTTTTCAGCAGTATTTTGATCTGGATTGATACAAATATATGACTGGATTGATACAAATATATGAATGTTATATCAAAGACTGTTCAAACTACATTCTTAAATCAAAAAAGTTTATGAAATATTCCATTTACATCTCATTTTTAATTAGGTATTAGATCTATTTTTAAATTACATGCTTACTGAAAATTAAAGTTTGGAAATTACTATCCTAATTAAGCCTCAGTTAATTCTTAGAACTAAAAATCTGAAAGACCATTTTTACCCATCTTCATTAGATGGCTTCAGGGGCTTTTGTAATTTGTCTTATAAAAATCACGCACAACAAACATTACCAAATTATTAAAGGAAGTCTAATAAAATTTGCGATTATCAAGCAACAGTCAACACATAACTCTTACCAGGCTTCAATGAACCATGTTCTTACCTTTTTATCTTTTTCTAAAATGGTCTGGTCTCTCTGCTGTAAGAGACGCTTAAGTGACATCACTTCTTCTTTCAATTGACTTATAAGGACAAAATTGTCTGTTCCCCCACTATCTGCTGACTGATTTATAGAGCTACTAAAAAGAAAAAAGTAAAACACAGTTAAATGAAGTAGAAGGAAAATTAGCAGGTGTTCAAATTGCATAAATTAGACAATTCCACAAACATCCTTAAGGCTAATGCAAAAAAATATGTACCTGACAGAAATGGATGCAACTGGCAAATTACCTTACTAATGGCACACATTACATACACCTGCAGAAATATAATTCAGTATTAGCTTTAAGGGGGTCAATACTTCTAGTGTAAAGCAATAGGCAGCCAATTTGTACAGTAACATCAGCAAACTTTTGGCTAATGAACTAAAACAAAGTAACGCTCATAATATTTTTAATCTAAAAACATTTTCTAAGCAGGTCAATTTAAAATATCACAATTAGATTTGTGTTTCACTGAAGAATAAAGATAAAAATAATGTTCTCCATTCAAATTTGTTTCTTCAAAACCCAAATTTATTTCCCAAATAGAACAACATAGTTCAGTGCCACTTTCTTATTGCCAAAATTAAGCTAAAAATTTTAAACTAATTTATGTTTATTCTTCTAGGTGACTCAAGTCAATGTAGAAAATACATGTTTCTATTTTTTTATCTAGTAATAACTGGCATTCAACCATAACTATTCAACTAAGTTGAATTTTCATAACACTAAAAGAATTCATTTTTACCTATCTCCATTAGATGGCTTAGATTCCAATTTGGGCTTTTTCTTTGGAGTTTCATTCTGAATTGTTGCAGAGGATTTATGGCTGAAACCAAACATTAATAAGAATAGTTAGAGTAAAAAGGACAGAGAAACCAAATGATAAGTTATTCATCTTCCCCTAAAATATTACTGAAAATACTGATTTTGGTAAGACTTAAGTAACAAAGTTGAAGGGATATCACATTTATAAATATACATTTCAAAATACTTCAGAAAATACAGCAATGTATTTACCTCTGTTTCCACAGTCCCTGCTCTTCTTCTGGACTTAGATTGCTGATTCTGAAAAATACACAAATGACATCTAATAATGACATTTATTTATTTAATACATCTAAATTTAACATTCTTTCTCAATGGATACAAATTTTATGTTTATAATATTTTCTTCAGAGAAAGGTATATTTAAGTTTTCAGACTAAGCTAATACATATTGAATAAATCACATTCTGATGAAATAAATTTTAATAAAATGACTGCTAACCATCTCAAGTTCTTCAAGAATTCTTTATAATCAGGATCTCCACAGTTCAATTTAATATCATACAAAGGGTGGGTTACACAAGTAGTTTTCGTGCTTGTGTCTAGGTATCACTGTACTTTGGCTGCCCTTACTATTTCAGACACAAAATTTGTATCTTTAAAGTTAAGGCTTTCCTAATAATCTGAAGTAGAGATTCTTCTTTTGGAGTAACTCAAGTTGCTCAGAATAGTATTTCAATTTAAATGGGGAAATATATTGATTTCTTTGATTCTTTCCTAGTTTTCTTAAGAATCCTCTCCAAAGTCCATAGAGCTCTCTTTAGTTAGTATTCTGGAGAAGTTACGCTGAAACTATTGAGAAATTTCATAGTAACAAATTATTTTACTTTTACTCATAATTAATACTGTAATACTCCTTTTCTATTTTACCCTAATACTAATAATCACTTTATAATTCATCATGAATCCTTCATTTTTTTCCTCCTAAACTTGCATATCAGTCAATGCTTCACTAACCCTAGCTTATTCACTCAGCATGTAGAGAGCATCTCCTATGAACCAGATGCCACGTATTTATACGATTTAGAAGATGTTAGAATACCTGAGCTGTGACCTTATGCAAATTACTTAACATCCCCAGCCTTAGTTCCCTCATATGTAATACATACCTTATACTGATATGAGCATTAAATGAGTTATATATGTAAAATCACTTAGTACAGTGCTAGCATATACAAAATAGACATATATATATATACATGTTTACTTGTGTCTAAAATTTACTATTGGTTCAGCTGTAGAAGTTTTTTAAGCAAAAGAAAAAAACAAACCTTAAGACTCAGCTGTAAACAAGTACCAAGTTGGGAAAAAAATGTTAATAGCAATAATTCCATCAAGTGAGTTATTCTTACTTGTGAATGAATGGAAATCCTATTGAGGAATGCAGTTGTCCCTTTTTTTTTTTTCCCACAAATTTCATTATAAGCCTAACAAGCCATACATGAACTAACAGCACTAACCATATCTCAAAGTTAAGAATAATCACATTAATATCACTGACAGAAACACTTGGAATTCCCATCTTATCTTTCTGAGGGTTGTCCATTCCTAGATTCAGACCCACCTTAGTGCCACCTGGCAACCACATCCCCTACCCCTGCCGATCACTATCTATCACAATATGAATGCTCCTCATTTTCATTCTGATCTATTGAACTTAAGATAGGACCCTACAAAGTAACTGTTCATCAAATGGTCAACAGCCATCAAATAGAAAATAGTGTTTGTATTTCATAAGTAACCAGAAGTAAAAAAATTGAAGACTTTCATTTTCAATACTGTTCTCTTTCCCTTTATTTTTGAAACCTGTCATTCTTTCAAAAAATTAAGTTGCTGTCACATACTTTAGTCTTCACAAACATAATCTGATTGTGTCCTTTTACATCATGCTAAGACAAATTTATCTGTAAAGAATAGGGAAAGGAGACATTTTGGGAGTCTTAGAAGTAGGTCTGACATATGCTATTATGGTATATAGTCATTTTGTCATATTTTTTCTTAAAGCAAGAAGCAAAAACAAGGTAGACTTATATTATTTTGCTTCTTGAAATACTCTGATATAAAGATCACAAGGTTTCTTCAAAACAGCCAGAAGAGAAGACACTGCATTGTAGTCTACCACTGCCACATTTAGAAAACACTACAACATGGTAGAATTAAACATCACTAACCTCAACGTAACCTCATAATCTAATAGGTGATTGGATACAGTTTACAACAAATCTTACTAATTAGACAGAACTACATTACATTCTAAAAATACTGCATGTGTTCCAAAATGAGGTGGGCATCAGTTGTTTGTAAATTCTGTTTTAAATAACTATCTGAAACTTTAAAGACTCACAGAAAAATTTAAGAACAAACAATAAATTATTCTGAAAATGGGCATGCCATATGTCCGTTTTTTCCATTTTAATTTGTGTTTGTCAGTTTAATTTGTATTTTCATGTTCTTGATTTTTCCGTGAAGACTAAAATTGCATTTTAAAAAATCTTTATACCACACACATCAAGGGTTAAGGTACTACTACTACTACATAACTCCCCCCACAGGTCACTTTAAAAATCAAGTACAGCTGACCCTTGAACAACCCAGGTTTGAAATGTATGGGACCACCTATAGGAGAATTTTTTTTTCCCAACCAAATACGGATCAAAAATACAGTATTTGGAGGATGTGAAACCTGCATATATAGAAGGCCAACTTTTCCTATAGGCAGGTTCCACAGGGTCAATTGCAGAACTGGAGTATATGCAAATTTTGGTCTATGAGGGGGTTCTAGAACCAATCCCTCAAGCATACTGAGGGAAAACTACAGTTGTCTCTATTTAAGTAGAGTTCCTAAATATATGTTTGAAAAAAACACAAAGTATCATTAGTTAAAAATATTGCTCATATTTTGGGGACCACAAAGATCAGAAATGCTTCTATCATAGTAACAAATTATAGTATTAAAATATGTTCTCCAAACCCAGTCATTGGTTTGTTTCGATTTGTTTTTACTAAAACAAATTGACAACTAAAATATAATTTTTCAAATAAAACCTTAACAATTATTTAAACAAAAAAAGAATACTGAGGCTTTTGATAAGTTATTTAAGTGTTAATTAACTGACGTACTTGTATTTTGACTTTACATGGTTATAATTTTATAGATTTTCCTAAATATCTGTATTATGGTAAACAGCTCAACATATTTCATGTATATAACATTCTACACTGAATAAAATGGAGACACAGCCTTAGACACTCAAGATGCTTACTGTGTACAATGGAAACTAGACTAGCACATAGTCAATATTTGCAAGAAGTAAACATCAATAAATGGCATTAAAATGCAAGGAAGAGTTTTAGAAAATATGATTTCAAAGTACTTACTTGTGATGGCTACTGCTGTGACGATGGTGATGGTGATGATGGTGGTGATGATGTTTTGGATGATGCTGGTCTTTCTCAGTAAGAGATGAAGAAGATGAATTTGAATGTGAAGATCCCAGGCTCTTCCTTTGTTCTTTCGTCTTCTGTAAAACTCTTTTGTACGATAAAGTACAGAGCCAGCATAATAACTTTCCATCAACCTTTTAAGAAAATGTGTTAAATTAAATGTACCCATATAAACTGGCTGTAAACGAAACCAGGTAAGATAAACCACTCAACTTCCACCTATATTCCACACGTAACATGCACAAATGCATGTATGCACATATTCACGGATTTTCTGCAAAACAGAAATAAAACTGGACTTTTCTGAAACTTGAGAAAATACTTGTTAGGAGAATTATAAAACTGATGAGGATGACATCAGTTTTGAAGCATTTTTAATTTGAAGAAAAAGAAAATGTTACCTTTTTTCTTATTCCAGGAGAATAAGCATAAACTGACTGATATACTTCCAAGAAATATAGCCTGAATTCTTATATCGCTGTGTCATTACTAATAATTTTTCACTACAGTAAGTACTGTAAATTTACAGAAAAACAGAAGCATCTAAATGACACACAGAGTTGCTTCTCATTATTCTTGCATTTCCTATTCGTGTATTTGCCTACCTAGTAAAATGTATCTGTAACCCAAAAATCAAGACTTGTAGCACTTTTGTGGCCACTGCACACATACACAAGAGTGGTGAAAAATCTGTGCCACCCAATAGCACACATTCTCAGCTGAGGTGGAACAAGGTGATGCTCTGCCTCATTTATTTCACCTCTCAGACAAGTATCCTTTTCACAGTCTGTTTAGTGCCATGTTTTTCAAGTTTTTATAGTCCCAAAGAGTACTGCCAAAGTGCTGTATAGTGTTCCTAGGCTCAAGAAGGTTGTAATGTGAAATGGCAAAGACATGGAATCAACCTAAATGCCCATCGTTAGTAGACTGGATAAAGAAAACATGGTACGTATATACCATGGAATACTATGCAGCTATAGACAAGAACAAGATCATGTCCCTTCCAGGAATATGGATGGAGCTGGAGGCCATTAACCTTAGCAAACTGACAAAAGAACAGAAAACCAAATCCTGCATGTTCTTACTTATAAGCAGGAACTAAAGGATGAAAACACATGGACACACTGAGGGGAACAACACACATTAGGGCCTATCAGATGGTGGAGGGTAGAAGAGGGAAAGAATCAGGAAAAATAACTAATAGGTATTAGGGTTAATACCTGGGTGATGAAATAATCTGTGCAACAAACCTCCATGACACAAGTTTACCTATATAATAAACGTGCACATGTACCCCTGAACTTAAAAAAAGGAAAGCTACGAAGGCTGTGATGTGTCTTAAAGAGAAAATATGTGTGTTACATAAGTTATGTTCAGGCACTCTTAGCACTGTTGGCCATGAGTGCAATTAAATTAATCGACAGTGTGTGTGTGTATATATACACACACACACACACACACAATTTTTTTTTTTTTTTTGAGACGGAGTCTCTGTCGCCCAGGCTGGAGTGCAGTGGCGCAATCTTGGCTCACTGCAAGCTCCGCCTCCCGGGTTCACGCCATTCTCCTGCCTCAGCCTCCTGAGTAGCTGGGACTATAGGTGCCTGCCACCATGCCCAGCTAATTTTTTGTATTTTTAGTAGAAACGGGGTTTCACCGTGTTAGCCAGGATGGTCTCGATCTCCTAACCTTATGATCCACCCACCTCAGCCTCCCAAAGTGCTGGGATTACAAGCATGAGCCACCATGCCTGGCCAATCGACAGTATACATTAAATGAGATATCTTCAAACAGGAACACAAACAAAATAAGGTTATATATTGATCAACTGACCAACATGTTATTACTGGAAATGTGAACTTAATCCTATATTTCTCTTGGGCAATGCTTCAATACAGTACTCCCCTATCTACAGTTTTAGTTACCCATAGTCAACCTTAGTCTAAAAATATTACATACAATACACTATTCTAAGGGATAAAGACCACATTCATATAACTGTAACTAGGGTATGCTAATATAATTGTTCTATTTTGTTATTATTTTTATTAGTCTCCTGTTATACCTAATTTAAAAACTACACTTTATCATAGGCACGTATGTACAGGAGAAAACACAGTAAGGTTCGTTACTATCCCCAGTTTCAGGCATCCACTGGTCTTAGAAGGTATCTCCCATGGATAAGGTGGGTACTACCGTATTCACTGTTTTGTGGGAACTTTAAAGAACTACCACAAATAATGAGAATCAATCGTACCTGTGTCAAAGAAGAGACTTTCCAGAAGTACTGACTAAACCTCTAAAAATAAAACCAAGTTTTTATCTTCTGTTTGTTCACATGTATTCCATCCATAGTATTCCATGATGTTTATGTACCAGACATGCTGGAGGGACATGTCTTATAATGGGATATGTACATTGCTGTGGGGAGACCTGAGGAAGCCCCTCAAAGAGGTAGTCATTCTCCAAATCAACTAAAATTGATAGGCAACAGGAGGCCTGTGTGAATGCTGATCGGCAAAGGAATTATCACATGAACACAAATACTTATTACATTAAGTCACTGCAGGTAGACAAAAACAAACAACAGTTTCAAATATGAGCCTTTATCAAAAGGCACAAGAGTAACTGAATTTTATGTGCCAATGTGCCATCAGGTATTTTTTTCACACCAGTGATGTCAAGTAACTAGCAAAAGGGTAAAGTAAAAGGAGATATTTAAGCAATTAGTTAAATCTCCTGAACCAAATGTGGGATAGCCAACTAGTACAGAATAGCCACCATAGAATATTTTTTAAAGTATAGTACATGAATCTATGTATCATGCAAACAAAGAGAAAACTCACTATTCCTGCACTTTCATCTAACTACTTGCTTTCATGGACCTAAAGAATAGATCCAGTCTCAGTAGTGTATTAATTATAATTTCCAACTTGTTTGGCATTTTATTTAATTTCCAGAAGATGTCATAACATAAATAAAGCATACCTTTCTTCTTCCTTCCTCCTTCCGATCAAAAGCACATTGCTGTTTGCACTGTTCACAGGTCTGAGGTGGTCCATACTTTTTTTCTGAATTTGTGCAACGCTGACACTTGGTACCAATAAATGCTGCAATTATGTTACAGTACTGACAAGGCTTGGGCTGAAAAACATACACATTTTGAGACTTTTAAAAACATTAAATATTTGCGGCATAGCATATACCCAGTGTTGTAGACATATTTCTGGAATTAAGAAAACTCAGGTAAAAAATTTGTTTTCTGTCAAGTTTGTTGCCCTGTCACATGCAATAACTTTTATACCATATTTCTATGCATTCAACTAGTATTTATTTCTAGTCATGTAACTATTACTCTAAGATCGTGAGAAATAGATTTGTGATTTGCATAGTCTGTTAGATAATACAAAAACTACACATAAAAAAGGTTTTAAAGAACGAAAATAAAGGTACATATGTAGAGAAGTCTCATGAATCAAGAATTTGAGGAAACGTCCTTCTACTAATATCCTAGTTACCTTAATGACCATATCATTTATTTAGAAAATGTTAACTTTTCATCACATATAGGTACAAATCATATAAGGAATATATACTGTGAGTTTTCAACTTTGAAAAAATGAGAACAAGCATATTCAACATAAACTATAAAAACATACCTTGATTTTCTTTGATATTCAAAAGATGATTCAGGGCAGTTTAGAGCGTTAAAGTTAGCATTTTTGACCAATAATAAATAATATTGGTATAATATACCTATAATGATTGTAGTATACATATAAGACAATTTGTACTAGGATTGGGTCATGACTTCTGTGAATAAATATCTTTAATTGCGCTGTTTTATAAAAATAGTTCTGAGGAGGCTGTTCTGAAGTGGGCTAAAGTCTGATGATGCAAACTTTATGGATAAGTTCTCCATAACCAAGAATTTGCTATATTTGAATCTCTAAAGAACAGCTTCACAAATTTCACACTGGATTCAATACATGTAAAACAGGTATATAATTTGACTGTTTTTAAATGTTATCACCTTTCCATCAAAGTATCTATAGAAAATGTCTTTCATAAAATATGGTATGTTGAAATATCTAAGAGCATAGCAGTAGTTTTTTTTTTTCGAGACGCAGTCTCGCTCTGTCCCCCAGGCTGGAGTGCAGTGGCAGGATCTCAGCTCACTGCAAACTCCGCCTCCTGAGTTCACGCCATTCTCCTGCCTCAGCCTCTGGAGTAGCTGGGACTACAGGCGCCCACCACCATACCCGGCTCATTTTTTTTTTGTTGTATTTTTAGTAGACATGGGGTTTCACCGTGTTAGCCAGGATGGTCTCCATCTCCTGACCTTGTGATCCGCCCTCCTCGGCCTCCCAAAGTGCTGGGATTACAGGCGTGAGCCACTGTGCCCAGCCAGCAGTACATATTTTTTTAAAAGGTCCAGCTTTATGAAAAATATTAACTGGTAACAATGACATGAAAACATAAGACATACTTACCGTCCCAAATTGCTTCACATTTTGAGCACACTTCTTACAAATTGTGTTAGTTTTGCTGAAAAATAAATTGTATATAGATCATGTTTATGTAGCTTTCTAAAGTAATTAGCACAATGTCAAAATAAAATGAGTCAAAGATTTGTTGTACTTAAAACTTTAATAAGGACCACGGATTTTTTTCAAATATACAAGGATATTTTCAGAGTTGTTTTACCCAAATTAACTTATGACAAATGTTTTTATACATTTTTATTGCATATTACTTTTTGTAAACAAAACATCTTAATGTTTCCTATATAGCTCCAAAATCTTCACACTTGACACTATTACTGCACAGCATTACAATACCAGTGCCTACCTAACCTTCCACTTGGCTACTGTCCAACATTATAATGCCCACACCTATTTATGAAGAAATTATTTGTTCTTTTCTGAGGCTACTTTCTGTATATACTCTCAGAGTGGAACTGTTAAAAATGTTACGTACTACTCCTCTTCTATGTAACAAATTATTAGATTTTCACCTTGGAAGGCAGTTGGTAACACTACAGACCTTTCCTCAGATCCATTAAGGCTTTACCATTTTTTTTTAGTTTAACATAACTGTTTACATTTGCATTTTCATTAGCAAGGCTGTACATTTTCCATGTAGTATTATTCCTTCTCTCATATAAAGTCTAACTGTAAATTAACCACCACTGGTTTTTTTCGCAACATTCTCTCTCCCACCATGTATAAAAGGTTTACAACTTAAAATTTCTGGGGCTAAACCATTTTTTAAAAATACTTTCATAAAAACATGGGATTACAACCCCCAAGTATTCCATAAAGACAACACTTGTCTTTAACAGTCAAAAACTATTCAGTATACAAACCTCTCTTGTTGAAATTCTGATCTGCAGTAAGTACATTTTACAATAGGATGTGCAATCCGACATTCCTGTAATAAGACAATACATTAGTCAGTATCTTTCTGAAAGTCCCAAATCTCACTTTTCTGGTAGAAAACTGTTTACCCAACCTAGTGAAAGTCTAAAACATTTATAAAACCTGGCCCCAACGTAAAGAACTGGATGCTTTATCATATAAGTGGCCAATCACAATATAATTCCTTAGGGAAGGCACAGGTGTCTTTGTCTTTAGTAGACGTGGGGGTATATTACAGACAAATTAAGAAAGCTGTCAGGGCCTATTTCAAGGATTGGTTAAATGTGAAACTACTTATTATTTTGCACCGTTGCTCACAGACAGCATCCAGGCTTTAATGGGATGGGAGGAGCTCCAAATCAGAGCATTCTGTTCCCAAACCAGTCGCTTCGCTTTCCTGGACAGGGAAGAAGGATGCCATCAGCTTTGCGGCTTCGGGTTCCTAGCAAGAAAGTGCAAAAACCGTCCCCTGCCTCCTGGTGGAAGAAGAGGACAGACCAGGCAGAAAACCGAGATGAAAACATCTCCACCCCTGGGTCTCTGCGGCATAGACAGGTGGCTGCCTCACTCAACCCCACTCCTGAGACCCCCAGACGCTGACGGGGCCCGGCACCCTCCTGGGCCGCCTGGAAAAGGGCACGATTCTGCCTCCCTTTCAGGGTCCGTTCCCAGCTAATGTTCAAGCCCCCAGAAAAAGGGGTCCCCGAGTGGGGAGGCGAGGGCTCCAGACTCCCAAACCCCTGAGGCGCCGGCGAAGAGGGGCTGCAGTGCAGCGGCTACCCGGCCCCCTCCGGCTACGGCCGAGGACACCCATCCCGCCCGCCTCCCGGAGCCCACGGACCTTGCAGAGCTGCTGGCCCTGGGAGAGCTCCTCGAAAGGATAACGCTGGGTACACTTGGTGCAGGCGTACAGGGCCGAGGCCGCCATCCTGCTCCTCAGTCTCCTCCTCCGCCGCCGCCCGCTCCGAGGCGGGGCCCTACGGAGAACCCGAGAGCCGCCGCCGCCCGGGCCGCGGGCTCCTCCTCCTCCCCCTCCCCCTGCCTCGCGCCCACCAGGGCCTCGCCGCGAGAGCCCAGGGCCCCGCGGACGACGCCACCGTCTCCCTCCGCCTCCACTTCCGCCCCAGCCCACCCAGTGACGCCGTGCCAGCCGCTCCCGCTTAGGCCCCGATAGCGGCGGAGGGAGACGAAGCGGGTAGGGGGTTGCTGTTTAGCTGTGCGGCCGTGGATCCGCTTCCTTCTCGGCCTCCCTTTCCCATCCCTGATTGGCTGCGAAGGCTATCGCGTCATTCGATGGCTCCTCCCAACTCCCAACTTCCGCGACGCAGGAAGCGCCCACAAAGGGAGGATGTCGCCGGCCAATGACATCCCGGAGCTCTCAGCGCGCGAAATCCGCTTTGAACCTGCCCCGCCCAAAGGTCTGCGGTCGCGGCTATTTCTAACAGCCAGTCCCAGGTTTGGCTGAGAGCGCCCCAATCCAATTGAGCAAATGTTCGCGAAAGGCTCGTTCTCTGCCGCAACTTTTTTTCCCTTGCTTTCTATTGGACTAAATCGTTAAGTCCCTCCTAATCCTATTTGTTATTGGCCAAAAGGTAAATACTTCACCTGGAGAGGCGTCCCCGAGGCAAATTCACGCTCTCTCCGGCGTTTAATCCGAGGGAACTCGTGGAGTGCTTTAACTTCGCCTTCGCTTTTGTTTTATCTCCATTACTCCCTTCAGTTGCCACTGGCGACACCACTACTCGCCCACGCTTCTTACTGGAGGAGGCCCGACCCTCCGTAGAATCCCCGCAGAGCCGGCCTGTAACCCCGGCGTTGTCTGCCCCAGCGGGCCCCGTTACGCGCTACCTTGTGACGTCACCAGGGAAGAGGCGGATTCTCTCCTACTACAGAAAGACGTCTGCTGTTTTGATTGGCTAGGAAAGACGTCCGTTAGGACGTGTTGCCCTTTCTGTGTAAGCTGTGAGCGTAGGCGGCCCTGAGGGGGTGTGTTGCAGGGGTTTCCAAGCCCAGCACCAGCACCCTTGCCCTTTTCCATCAGGGGTTCAGCCTAGGGTCCCCGCTGGTGGGCGGCTCCCGAGTCTTGGAGAAGAGCACGAGAACCTAGACCGCCCCCGAAGTGCGGAGACCCCCTGGGCAGGCTGAAAGATGGCGGCGGCGTCTGTCTCTGCGGCTTCTGGTTCTCACTTGTCGGTAAGAAGCAGTTGGCGCGAGTGGGCCCCACGTCGGCCCTAAGCGCCTCTTTGAGTTTCCTCACGTTTCAGGGCGCTGTCAGTCCAGCTTCTGACGCAATTCTGGAGGTCGGCGGGAATGCCTAGATTGCCCCGCGCTCCCCAAGCTTCCATTCACTGTGGCTGTGTCGAAGCTGCACCCTCTGGCTCCCAGTGAAACTGGGCTGGCCGCCCCTGTTCCCCAGCCCTTATTCACCTTTTGGCGTAGCAACCAACCCCGGTTGCCTAACATTCCCAAGGGCCGGCTGGGATAACTGCCCACTCCCTGGCCTGCAAAAATGTAGCTCTTTTGGTCACGTGGGTTCAGCGGCCCCTCTAGGAAACTCGCCAGATCAGGTGAGGCGCGCCAGTGTGTTTAAGAGACGTTGCAGAATAGTAGTCCGCCGTCTCTCGAGCGCTTACTAGTCGTTGCTTATGCTGTTTCCTATCCCTGCAGTGCCTCCCACTCCCATCCACATTAACTTCGTTGTGTGATGCTCGTAGCCAGAACGCGCGCTTCCTGTCACCTAGAATTACTGGAACTTCAATGTGGAAATGCCCTTTTGGAGAGGCGACAGGGGGAATTGATTTTAAATATTGTTTTCGCCTCATCAAATGTCACCATCCAGTTTAGTTACTGGTATTCACTGGTATTTCTCAAATTGGAGTGTCGAATGCTTAGGTTTTTGAAAACCGCGGCATTGGAAAGCTTTGATAGGAAGTAAATGTTGGAGCTCTTATTTCTCCAGTTAGCAAATGTTCGATGCCTGGTATACTGTTAGGGTCCAAATGAACAGAATAGAAACCCTGCTTTGAAGGAGAAAAACACTGAAGAGAAACTACACGTAATTAGTGATTACTGCGCAGTATAGTTTAGGAAGTGCTACCGTAGTAGAATAATCTAGAGGGGAGTGATTAACAGTGCTTGGGTAGGCTAGAGAAGGTTTCCTAGAAGGGAAGATGGAGCTAGTTGCGTGTCGAAGGAATTGTGATTGCTTGTCCCAAGAGTAGAGAAAGGAGAAAAAGGCAGTGCGGGAATTTTGGAGTATGTGCTAGAACAGTAGGTGCTTTTAGGAAACTTGAGATAGTTCGGAATGAGAAGAAGTAATACGGAGGTAGAGCTGGATGAGGTGAATTGGAAACGTAGGTAAAAACGTGAAAAAAGAAGGATGGTGAGGGAAGGAACTAGAAGAGTATCAGGGTAAAGTTATTTTCTAGGATCTAGGGGGAAAGAGTTGGAAACGCTAAGAAAGCCTGGTCACCTTGGAGAAGTCAGTTTCAGCTTTTGGAGACTTGTTAGAATTTGTAATAATGGGACTAGAAGTATTACAGTGTTTCAGCCGAATGGGAATTAGAAGTTTGCAGAGAGGTCTGGGGAAGTTAAGGAGAAGTAAGGAAAGCAGCAATTTAAGGTTATTCAGGATTAGGTCAGTAAAAGAAAAAAGTAAAAAACTATTGGAAGTGTCAGCAGATGGATGAGATTTTATAGGAGATGTGATTAAACTTGGGAGAAGAGGGCTTTTCACGGCTCTCAAAAGTTAAGCACTTGGAGACCGAACAAGGAATACTCTTACAAATGTTGAATTGAGTCTGGGTGCGTGGCTCATGCCTGTAATACCAGCTACTAGTGAGGCTGAGGCGGGAGGATCACTGAGGCTGAAGTGAGGTATGATAGTGCCACTGCTCTCCAGCCTGGGCGACAGAGCGACCCTGTCTCCATAAAATAAAATATTAAATAAACGTTTAATTGAGCTGCACTATGCCAAGGACACCTAGGTGAGCATTGGCACTGGGATATAGTCAGCTGTTAATACTTATACGGTACCCTTGACAGAAATACCAAAGACTGTTCATTAGGAAAGCATATTTTTTTTGTGCTAAGCTCAGCTTTAATAGGATTCTAAATATCAAGGGTACACTAAGAATATCTAGGAACCTCCACAAATCAAAGTATAACAACCATAACTCAATCTGCTACATCAAAATGTCTATTTTGGAAGTTACTGTTTCTCAAAACAAAAATGACTAAATTTAGTTGGTTTCTTGGTGCGTAAGAAAACGTCCTGCTTAGATGTCCCATCAGAAATAAGGCTGCCATTTCCAACAGCGTTGGAAAAGCACTTAGCTTATCAAACAGCTGATCTTAACAGTAGGCAACATTTAAAAAAAAAAAAACTTGTTAAAACTATACCATGAACTGAGAACACAACTCGTATTCAGATTTCACGGTTATGAAGATTAACAACTGTTATATTCAACTGTTTTCGACATTGATAAACTCATACGGAGCTAGTTATAAGTACATTGAGATGCTTTACAGGCAAAGATTTTTAACAAGTAGATTCATAAATAACCGTCTTTGGGAAGCAGTGACCATGTAAATCTCAAATGTGAACAGCATGGAAGTAGGGCGATAGGTTTCAGTTAGGTTCTAGGTAACGTTTATTGAGTGATTGCTCTGGAATTGATAAACTTCGACTGGTGGAAAAGGCAGGAAAGCAACTATGATTGGGCATAATGAAATTAATTCCATATGGAGGTATGGGCAGCATTGTGTTGAAATACACAAGAATGTCTTTCATGTCAGCCTTGTAATATTTTCACAATAACCTTGGTGATTAATGACCTAATCTCTTGATTTGTCCCTCTGACTTTTGGTCCTTCGACCAAGCTGCACAGTAGCTCCATATTAATTTCCCTTAAAAATGTTTTATGGCTATCATACATTTTATAATATTAAATATAAGATTTACTTTTTGAGAATAATAAAATGAATACCTTCATGTTCCTCTGTGTCTTCTTTCTCCTTCCCACACCCACCCACTACCACGTATTTTAAGATTATAATGTATGGTATTTATATAGGACTACCTGGCAAGGCATAATCCTTAAAGACCCTTTTCATGCATTAACTCATTTAATCCTCACAATAACCTTCTGAGATTGGCATTAATATTTCCTTTTTCAAATGAGCAAAATGAGGCACAGAGAGGTTGAGTCAAAGTTCTCTAGCTAGTAAATGACAGTATCTTAATGGGCTTTGGATTTAATGGGTTTTGCTGTTCATTTGTTTGCCAGATATTAGAAACAATCTTGTATTCATTGTTATATGCTGTACATGGCAAATGTTTCTCTAGAGTGCAGTTCTCGAAGTATGGTCTCACAACCCTTGGAGATCTCCAAGACCCTCTCAGAGTCTACAAGATCCTTCTGTAATGACCACGTTTGTGGTAGACTAGATCTTTAATAAGTCAAACAAAATAACATATCCAACAGAGCGAATGCAGAACTAGATAAGAGAATCCAGCATTCTTTTTTTAAAGCAAACATTAAAGAGATCTGCAGAAATGTAAAATAGTGCCATTCTTTTCACTAGATCTTTTAGAGTGTAAAGGGGTCCTGAGAGAAAAAGTTTGCAAGGGGCAACTCTAGGGCAGTGATTTTTCTTTTTTTTTTCCAGACCAGAGGCTGGGCTCTGGATTACAGCTCAGTAGTGGGTCATGGAATATGTACTGTGACTCAACCCGTATCATTTTCAAGAAAGAAGAGAGAGAAAATCGTTCAGCAAATATAACTGAATGAATTATCTGGTTCACAGAGTATGTGCGTCTTCAGCTTTACTCGGTCATACTAAATTGTTTTACCAAGTGATTATACCAACAACCCTCTTTATTTTATGTCCTCTTAAATGGATGGTATCGTCCCACTTGTAAATTTTTGCTGTGTGTGTGAAATGGTATCCTATTTTCTGATTTGTGCACCTCTTATCATTGGTGAGTATGCACCCTGTTTTTTTCAAACCTTTACTAGTGTGTGTGTGTGTGTTCTTCTGTGAAATACCTGTTCATGTCCTTTGCCTGTTTTTGTCTGTTAAGACTGTTCCAGAGACATCTTGGCTGGTCTTTGATATCTTTCGATTAATAGTTGTTGTTACTTTTAATGTAAAATTTGTTAGTCTTTTTATAATTAGTGATTTCTGTTTAAGAAATTCTTCCTTTCTCCAAGGCCTTGGTTGTATTCTTCTATATTTTTTTCCTACTTATTTTAAAGTTGAAGCCTTTTATGTCCTTAATTTACTTGAAATTAATTTGTATGCTGTGAGATAGGGATCCAGTGTAACGGTTTTACTTAAAATACACAATTGTCCCCACACTACTTGTTGAAAATTCATCCTATCCCCAATGGTTTGCAATATGTTCATTTCCATATGTGTATGGGTGTGTTACCTGGCTCTTTGTCCCTTTGTTGTATTTGTCTCTCCTACTTAGATACCCACTTGGAGGTGGGGGGGTCATTTACCTCCTTGTTACTCAAGAGAAATATTAGCTATTGTTGGTCCTTTGCTTTTCTTCAGTAGAAATTCTGGAACCTGCTGTTGGAATTTTGGTTTAGATTTTATTGAATTTCTAGCTTAATTTGGGTGTAACTGATACGTTTAGGATATTGACCCTTCTGTCTGAATGTTATGTTACTCCATTTATTTAGAACTTTAACATTTTTCAGTACTTGTATAATTTCATGTCTTGTATATTGTTCAGTTTATTTCTAGTTTTTAATTGTGTGATATATATTTTCATAAGTTGCATTTTCTAATATATAAAATTACTGACTCTTACATATCTATTTTACTCAGCAATCTTCCAGACTTAATTCTCATAATTGAGGATTTTTTGTTTTGTTCTATTTAGTCATGATACGAAATTGGGATTCTTCCTTTTCAATCTTAATAGCTGTTATTCTTTTTTTTTTTCTTAGTGTGCAGACTAGGGAAATGAAGTACAATGTTGACCAGAATTGATGTAGGTATCTTTGTCTTACTCCTGATTTTAAAAGGAATATTTCAAGTTTTCCACCATTAAGTATGTTTGCCATCTTTTCTTGTAAAACTTCATATTATCATAAGGAAGTAAGTTTTTTAAAAAATAATGGCTGGATGTTGAATTTTATTGAATGCTTTTCTACATTTGTTGACGATCGTATTGATATTTAGTTTGGAACTGTTGCATTGATTGCACTGCTCAGAGCTGTACATCATGTTCCTCCACCATTGGACCTTGACTTCTCCAATTTTATTTCCTCAACATGTGTACACAAACTCTTTTTTTCAGCTAAACTGATGTATTCATTAACCTGGAAATAATTGCCTTTTATATCCATTTCTAGCTTGCCTATCAGAATACATGTCAATCTACAAGACCCAGTATCGATTTCAGCACTAATAAAGACCTTCCTTTACCATACTGTTTTGAAGCAGTGTTCTGTTGAATGCATCTGAATTTAATTTGCACTTAGTCTCTATTACATCCAATTTACCAGTTCCCACCTACTGTTTTGTATTTGAGTTTTATCTAGGTAATATCTTGCAGCTGTGTTGCATGTGCCACTTATAAAGAAAGCAAGTAATATGCATTTTTAAATTATGCTTCATACTTCACACAGTGTCATAAAAAGATGTTCAATAAATATTTGAATTATGTGTTCCTAAATGAGATATTTGCCCTAAGAACTAAAGGCTGCAGGAAAAGCTAGTGATCAGGTTAAACATTTTGCCTTTAATCCTGAAAGTTTCTCCTACAATCATATTTTGGTTGGAATAATTTTTACTGAATGCTTAGGGTCATGGAGAGATTAGTGGATTGGGAGTTAGAATTGGGCTCCTTTCTACGCAGCCTTCCTATGATATTTGTGCTATTTGTTAAATATAAAGAAGCCCAAAAGCTTTTGGTGATCTCTTAAAGGGTTGTAGTGATTTTGTTGAAAAGGATAATCTTTTATAAGTAATGTGCAGTTTCCTGTTTTGCGGAGGAAATGTATAGTTAATATTCAACAGATTTATTGAACATAATAAAACTCCTTTATTAGAACTTAATTTCTCCAGCAAAAATTCTACACCAACTGGGTGTACTACAATTATTTTAATTCTGACACTGCCCAGATGTTGCTCAGACCCCCATACATTAAGGGGCTCCGTTTCACAAGACTGCCTGCCCCCAAGTCAGTCAGAGTTCGCAGAGCATCTGCATTTCTGCTCAGCTGACTACAAATTATGGGATTCCTGCAGCTTTCCAAGAACGGCTCACAGTACTCAGGAAAGACTGTTCTTAAGCAATTTCAGTTTTATAAAGGACACAACTCAGAAACAGCCAAATGGAGGAGACATAGGGCAAGGTGTGAAAGGGCTTCTGTATCCTCTGGTGCAGCACCTTCCCAGCATATCAGTATGTTCAACAATCTAGAAGCTCCCCAAACCTCATTATTCAAGAGTTTTCATTGAGCTTTCATTACATAAATACATAATTGAGTAAATTATTGTCCGCTGGTCACTGGGCTCAATCTGTCCCTTACCTCCCCTAAGGTCAGGGCCTAGGGCTGAAATTTGTGACTCTTCCCCCCCACCCCACCCCCCTCCCAACACACACACACACAGACGGAGTCTCACTCTCTTGCCTAGGCTGTAGTGCAGTGGCCCAATCTTGGCTCACCACAACCTCCACCTCCTGGGTTCAAGTGATTCTCCTGCCTTGGCTTCCTGAGTAGTTGGGATTACAGGGCACACCCCCACACTTGACTAATTTCTTTGTATTTTAGTTAGAGACAGAGTTTCACCATGTTGGCCAGGCTGGTCTCGAACTCCTGACCTCAAGTGATCCGCCCAGCTCGGCCTCCCAAAGTGCTGGGATTACAGGCATGAGCCACCATGCCTGGCTGAAATCTGTAGCTCTTTATAATCTAGTGGTTGGTTTTTCTGGCAACCAGCTTCCAGAAGATGCCTTCAAACCTGAAGCTACCTAGGTGCCCTACCTTGAGTCCCTTCATCAGCCTAACAAGGATACCCTATCACTTAAGAAATTCTAGGAGTTTTTGAATCTGTATCTGAAACCAAGGACAAAAGACTAAATATATTTTTTATTATACCACAGGGCATACAGATAATAAAAATGTATATGTCATGAGGAGTGATATAAAATAGTAAAGGGCAAGCCCACTAACATACAAAATGTAGAACAGAGGTAGTTCCATTTGGGGAACTAGTTTGTTAGTTAATCACATAGTTAATGGGATTCCCCTGACTGGGCAGAGGGTGGTCGGCAAGTCACTTAATATTTTTGAATATTAAATGATAGGATTCTGGTGGGTTGTAAATAACCAATGAAAACTTGAGGTTCTCTGTGACATTTAAAATTAAGCTATGCAGTAATTGAGGATGCTTTGCAAGACCTTTGACAATATTATAAAGAATTGAAAACTCATCCTATTTTCCAGTTACCTGTAAAACCAGATGCCAATTTGCCATTAAGTTTGGAAAATGACAAATACTAGTCTTTGTTATATATGAACATACTATAGTAGACTTAGCACTTATTTATTTGAGTACCACTTTTAAGACTTGGCCCTACCCTCCTAAGCTCTTTGTCCCCACTTTTGATTGTCATAGCCATAGTGTGTTTTATATTTATATAAATAGAAAATGTTTTATATTTGCTTTCTTAAATCACCTGGAAATTTGCATGATTTTTAACATGGAAGTAAAATCTTTAATTTTAAATAAGATTTAAATACAGTGCAGGTATTTCGATAGCCTTTGTTTCAGGAGATTGTTTACTGTTTTAAATATTCATTGTGCTCTTGTACTTTTATGAACACGGATTATTCTGGTAAATGTAAATCTTCAAAGGTAAGAATTGAAAAACATAGTTTGCTGTGGCCGTTTGAGGAAGGAAAGTGGATGAACATTTTGAATAGCTGGTAGTCATATCTTCCACCTTAGCCCTCAGCTTCTTAGTTACTTCCCCCAGTCTAGGACCATCTGTCAGTAGGAAGTCGCCTACAACAAATAAAACTCCACAGTTAGCATCTCCTGGGTTGAAATTATTATGTGGAATCCTAAATTTAACAGAATCTCATTCATGACAGAATGGTGTACTGTGGAAATAAAGTTTTATGTTTGAGTGTTTGATGGGCCTTAATGTTTTCTAATTATTTTCTTTTTTGTTAATTAAATGTAAAGTATTTGAGGCAAGGACAGTGCCTTATTTTCTTTCTGGAGTTTTGAATACTATAAATATTCAAGTAGTAGTTTGTGGATGGGGAATAGAGTAATTCAGTCATTTGTAGCAGTTTCTGGTCCTGTAAAAATAATGTTTTTATTTTTCTGAACGTATATTTCACAGTATATATTTTTAACTGCGGTATTTACATTCATTGTATCATTTAAGTATTTCTGCACAGCATTTGTATTCAAGTTGTATGAACATTATTTTCTTCTTGTGTCTGGCATATGGCTATATTCAGACTAATATGAAACACTTTAAAAGTTGTATTTCTTTAATGATTGAATTGTATTGTTTCTAGTCAGTGGATTTTTTCTGTTGTCTGTATGGACAGTCAATCTCAGTCATAAATATTTGTGATTTAAATCTGCTATTTGTGGTTCACACTTTTGAAAGGTAATTTGTGTCTTTATTTTTTAGAACAGCTTTGCTGAGCCATCAAGGTCTAATGGAAGCATGGTTCGGCATTCTTCATCTCCATATGTAGTATATCCTTCGGATAAGCCTTTCCTTAATAGTGATCTACGACGCTCCCCAAGTAAGCCTACACTTGCCTATCCAGAAAGCAACAGCAGAGGTAATCGAGCCTAACGAAATAAATGTTATTTGTGTTTTCTTGCTGCTTTAAAATTCTTAACTTTGTCCTCCATTATTTTGCCATTAGAGGAAAATATATTTCCCCTTTGCTTCCAGTTTCAGCCCCCAGAAAATATTATGCTTTTCTTGTATTCCTTATATTGATTGTTGAACATCATCATCCACCAAATTACTGATGCTAAAACACTTTGAGTCATCAGTGACTGCTCTGTAATCCCCACTATTAGTCCGGAATGAAGACCTTTTTTTGCTTCTGAAATATACCAAAAGCATACTGTTTTTTCTGCCTTTTTGTGTTCTCATTGCTTTGGTTCAGGCTTTCATCATCTGTAGCCCAGATGTTCATAGTACATTCCTCATTAATCTCCCTGCCTGTTTTCTCCTCCTCATCCCCAGTTAACAACATTTCTGTCATTTGTCATTATCCATCATCTCTCCCACAAAATTAAAGCTTTAGCATCTCTTCATAGCTTACATAATAAATTCTTAATTTTTCATAACCTAGACCCTATATGCCTCACCAGCTTCATCCCTAACTTGTCTTCTGTTTTTTCCTTTCCCATCCTTTGCTCTGGCTACTTTGAAATACATTTATTCCTGGAACCTGCCATCTGTATTAGTTTTCTTGTCGCCTTAACAAATTGCCATGAACTTAGCTTTAAATATTTGTTATCTCAGTTTTCTGTAGGTCGGAAATCTGTGTAGGCTTATCTGGGTCCTCTGTTTAGAGCCTTACAAGGCTGAAATCAAGGCTTTGCTTGGGGCTCTGTTCTTTACTAGAGGCTCTGGGGAAGATCTGCTTCCAAGCTCATTAAGATTCTTAGCCAAATTCAGTTCCTTGTCATTGCAGTACTGAGATTCTGTTGCTTTGCAGACTTTTACTTGAGGACAGTCTTTGCTCCTAGAAACTGTCCTCCTTCCTTCATGTTTCCCTTATTGTCTCCTACGGTAACAGTAGGTAGTCTCTCATGTTTCTTTTTTTTTTTTATTTTTTATTGTTTTTTTGGAGACAGAGTCTCACTCTGTCACCAGGCTGGAGTGCAGTGGCGGGATCCCGGCTCACTGCAACCTCCGCCTCCTGGATTCAAGCTATTGCTATTCTCTTGCCTCAGCCTCCTGAGTAGCTGGGACTACAGACGCGCCCAGCTAGTTTTTGTATTTTTAGTAGGGACGAGGTTTCACCATGTTGGCCCAGATGGTCTCAATCTCTGGACCTCGTGATCCACCCGCCTTGGCCTCCCAAAGTGCTGGGATTACAGGCATGAGCTACCGCGCCTGGCCAAGTCTCTTATGTTTCAAATCTCTCTGAGTTCTGTTGTTACATTTCTCTAACCACAGCGGGAGAAAATTTTCTGGTTATGTTATCAGATTGGGCCCACTCAGATAATGAAAAGATGGTTTTGATATTGAATTTGTTAATCGTCTTTTAGATGTTTCTTCATCTGTATCTTTTAAAATACACCTACCTCATACTTTGTGTGAAGTTTAAATGAAATATCTTTGCTTTATTTGGGATGCTGTGGCATTTCCTTTTTTTGAAAGTTGTGTTTAATCACTAATATTGCAACAATTCTATGTGTTAATGATTCTCTAGGTAAAAGAAATATTTTTGACATCGTAGGCTAAACAGGCATTTGTAAATTAGTTGAGGAACATTTTTTGTTTCAGTTGGGATATATATTGTAAGTATCCTAAAAATCTCAGAATGAACCTGTTTTGTAAACTGGACTGATTGTACAGTAAAATACCAAGTAGGTAATGATATCCAAATACCAGCTTAAATCCTAACCTATAATGGGTGCTGAAAAGTGTTTACTGAAATAAAAGTAACTAAATAGTGTGATGTCTTTTAAGAATTTTAGTACTCTGTAATCACTAACCTAGAAGCCTCTTTATTATAAGATACTGTGTCTCGATGATAACGAAAATTTTTAATTAATGGTTAAAGCAACTGATAAGGTTCTACACATCAGAGTATAGCAGGTTGGCAATTTAAGAAAATTAAGTTGCATGACATTCAAACAACATAGATTTTAAAAAGCAAAAAAAAAAAAAAAAAAATGACTGAAGCCCACAGTAGAGCAAAAATCAGTTGCAGTAAGTTTCTTATTCAAAAATAAGCACAAAACAAAATATCCATTTACAAAGTTCTAACAGGAACACAAAATCTAAGAATTAGATATTAATCCTTCAACTATAATATTGTATCTAGTTCTGATCTTTACACCCATGAAAGGAAACTTTTAAAAAGTTCAAAAAAATGACAAATTACTAGCAAAGAATAAGAAATATTAAGAAGGCAGATTTATTCACCGAGAATCAGAAAAATTTTAGCACAGCATGTTACTAATAGAGCTAAATTCTGCTTGAGTGCAACATCAGTGGTTTTAAGGAATAAAAGAGAAGTGAGACAAGCAGGGAGGAGACGGAGAGGAGAAATAAACAAGATAAAAAGTAACCTTTAAGCTTTTATGCCTTTAGAGCATGATGCGGTGAACTATTTAAGCAATGTCCCAGGATAATTATTATAATCCATTATCCTTTTATAGTGTTTTAATCCAACGATACTTACTTTCCAAATGGGAAGGAAAGACACAGAAATCACTATCCCCTTCTCACCCAGAAAAAAAATAAAGGCTGTGAGATATGAACAAAGACCAAGAGAGTTCAGAAAAGACATTTGTTGGGGATAGGGATAAGTGTGTTGGGGAGGTTAAAGGAGAGGAAAACCTCTCAGAGGAAAAACGAAATAATAGATAATCTGAGTTTTAAAGAATGAGCACAGTTCTATAAGAAGAAAAGTTCAACAAGAGTACAGCATGTGAAAGGTTTATAAACGTGACATGATTTTTTTTTTTTTTTTTTTGAGACAGTCTCACTCTGTCACCCAGGCTGGAGTGCGGTGGCATGATCTTGGCTCACTACAACCTCTGCCTCCCAGGTTCAAGCAATTCTCCTGCCTCAGCCTCCTGAGTAGCTGGGATTACAGACACATGCCACCACACCTGGCTAATTTTTGTATTTTTAGTAGAGACAGGGTTTAACCATGTTGGCCAGGATGGTCTCGATCTCTTGACCTCGTGATCCGCCCACCTCAGCCTCCCAAAGTGCTGGGATTACAGGTGTGAGCCACCGTGCCTGGCAAACCTGACATGATTTTTATTGCTTCATCAAGGACATTGTGGCTTAGTTTTTCTTACTGGGAATTTATGACAGTGAAGAATACAATGCCTAAAATAGTAGTTTAGTGTTACTACCTTGATTTGAGCTAAAATTAGGAATTTTACCCAACATTGCTTTTGCATGATCATTGGCAAACTTCAACACAGTGAAAAAAGTGAAGTCTTACTATTAATAGTATTATGAAAATAGTGTTGACCTCACAGGCCCTGGGAAAGGCCTCATGAGCTCTGCCCTCAATGTGCCTATGCCCCATATTTTGAGAACCACTGTAATCAAGGATATGAGTATGTCCAGAGTAGTATTTTGTTCATGTAAATACTTTTTTACCAGGTGTGAGAAGAATGTAGATAGTAGCATTTGTTCCAGAATCTAGATGATAGCTCCTTGAGGCCAAAGACAGTCTTCACGCCTTGCAGAGTGCTTCACACATTGTATGTGGTCTATATGTTTGAGGGACTGAGGTTTACATCAGAAGTAAGTCTAAACTGAAGCAACAAGACAGAACAGGAGACTGATTAAGGAAAGATTTATGCATATTTTGTTGTGGGGAATGAGGAAGATGGAGAAATCTTTGAGTCTAAGATTTCTAGTGAAGATGATTAGGGGTATGATTAGGACAGATGACACAAAAAAAGCATACTTAGAGGAATTGATATAATTTTGGCTGTATCAAATTTGAGATGCCTGTGAATTAGATGGAGATGAATACTAAGCAAATGAAAATTAAAAAGTCAAGTATAATAGAGAACACTACTAATGAACTCAGACATCATCAAGGATACAGTAGTGGATGAAGCCTATGAGTATAGAGGGGTTTCTCCAGAAAAAGAAAGTAGAGGGAGAAAAGGGCTTTGGAAAATACCACCATTAAAACAGTAAACTAAAAAGTAGGAAAAGTCAGAAAGGTGGAGAACTACCAAGACAGCAATATTAGAGAAATCAAAGATGCATATTACAGGTTTGGCCCCTGCCCCCCCGCCCCTTAATCTACAACAACATAAACCTGTGTTTATGTTAATGACAGAAATGTCCCAAGCAATAAATAGACCCAGGTGGACTTGAAGAACATTAGGGACTCAAACATGGCTAGCACTTTCCATCTTTTTTTTTTTTCGGCTTGTAACTAGCTTCATTTTTTCTAGCTACAAAAGAGCTTTTTTTTTGCCTAGCAGGAAACATTACTAAAAATTACTGAGTTTTAAGTTGAACCAGTTCTGGCTTTGATGTTTCGGACAAAAGTCCCAAGAAGACAAGCAAGCATTATCTGGGTTTCAGCGTGTGTCCCTTGTGGATCAGTTAGCCAGATTTGTCAAAGGATAGTAAAGTTGTAGGTATAGCCATGTTGAGGTAAGGGGAAACTCCCAGAAAAAGAGGTATATAAGTCAGGGAAACAGTTCCAAAGATGTGTGCTATACTTCATATAGCAAAATAAAAGAAAAATTTCAGGAAACAAAATTAGGAAATACAAAATATAATGAAAAATATGAAATTTATCAGGTATGACAAATGTGATTACGTCAACTCAAAAGCCAATATATGCTTTTTAAGTAAAACCTGAAATAAAATGAAACAAAAAATAAATAGCTGACAAAGGTGTTTACTGCCATACAAATAAAAACGATGGATGGCAGTACTACTGTCAAACAGTTAGTATAGGCAAATAGCAGCTTCATGTAATACTAAATAAAAACAAATAATACCTAGTTTAAAAGTGAGAAGGAGAAATACCCAAGTACAGAAATAAAATGAGTTTCAAGCCAGGACAGTAAGGATGGAACTAAAGCCTAAAACCTTAGGGACAGTATTAGGAGTCTTGGCATTAGGTATAAGCCTTAAATGTTGGGGTACAGTAGCAGAGATGATGGAATTTTAAATGTGGGTAGCGACTGGAGAACAAAGCTCTAGGCGCCCCTGAGGCAACTTCTGGAATACTTTGAAAAGGTGGGCGTGATGAGAGTTGTCAAAGCAGAACTGGAACACTGCGGCCCGTGGTCTCAGGAAGAGACTGGATAAAAAAAGTCACCTCTGATAAGTCAACTCAAGCCAATTTTATGTGCTTACTGAGGTGCATACGTGAAGACTTGAATACATAATGAGAGCTATACATTGTTAATGAAAATGCTTAATATTATAAATTGCATTTAAAGTGTGCTCATATATAAATAAATATGACATAGTAAAGGTCAATCTCACATATAAAAGCATTTTTAAAATCTATAGAATTTCAATAAAATGTTTATAATTACTACATCTAGATGGTAAGATTATGGGTGTGATTTTTTTCCTTTTCAATCATGTGTTTTCTAAATTATCCTCTGCATTTATTCAGTAATTTTTTGAAAAAGAAAACAATAAAACGTTACGCATTTAAACAGGGATATGTAAGCCATTCAAGAATACATAAAACAAAAGTGCACACCCCAGCATATCCTTGTGATACTACAGTTGCTGACATAAAGAACAAAAATGAAATGTTCAGCCAGTTTCAATAATAAATATAAGTGCAGAAATAAAGTATCAGCAACATTGTGTACTGTTGGGTATAATTTAATGAAGGAGTGCAAAAAATGTTTGATATTACAAAGTCTTTAGTGAATTTGCCTCTGATTCAGAAGAGGTTAAGAAAACTCAATGGATATTAAAGGACGTTTAAAATTTTATTTTTCTATTGTACTTATCTGATTATTGCAGGTATATAAAAGAATTGTTCCCTTTATTATTAATCTTATATTTAGGCTTCTGTTTAGTTCTGAGTGTCTTTTCAGTTGATTTTTCAGGTTTCTTCCTGTGTGTGTGTCTGTTTCATGTCTGCATTTTTTCTAGTTATATTGTAGTCTCATTGCATACCAGCAAGAATAAGCTGACTTCGATAAAATGTATTAGTCTCCTATTTGAGACCTGTAATATCCTAGGCACTGAAAAATTTGGTGAAGGAATAAATTATGTTAATAAATGGACAAGAATACTTTGGGTTGAGTAAGAGGACTCAATTCGTAAAAGACGGCAGCTCTCCCTACCTAGTGTATAGTTTAAATTAGTGTTTAGACAAAATGATTCTAAATAATTACTTGGAAATGTTTTAAGATTTATATAATATAGGTGACTGTTAGAATCAATGTTTATGAAATTTTAGTAATTGAAATACTGGCACTAATTCCCTAACATTAAGGAATCCAGAATAGAAGAAAGATCTGAAACTGTCTTAGGGTGTGTATGTAACAAAGAGTTACAGTATCTAATATATATATATATGTGTGTGTGAATTTAGTGTATGATCAATTTGACATTTAAAGTTTTTCTTTCAATACAAAAACACTTTTTCTATGACTTAACAAATGTAAACATATGAAACTGTAAATATAATTTTAAAAATACAAAGTTTATCTGATCTCGAGGTTGGGAAGAACTGTCCAAGTATATAAAGAAAGAAAACATGATGGGAGGAAACACCACACCCAAGACTGTGTTGTTAAAGCACTGATGACTTCTGACCCAATTATAAAAGTGACCACAAAGCCAGCTTGCTTTTCAGAGTTCAAAAGAACCATCCTGTAATCTGTAAGATATTTGAGAAAAAATCCTAGTCTTAATGTTCATTTTCTTTAAGTGCTTTTTGGAAGTAAGCTGGGTATAATTAATAAGGAAATAAAGAACAACTTGGTCCGGTTCCAAGATGGCCAAATAGGAACAGCTCCAGTCTACAGCTCCCAGTGTGAGTGACACAGAAGACGGGTGATTTCTGCATTTCCAACTGAGATACCGGGTTCATCTCACTGGGGCTTGTCAGACAGTGAGTGCAGTCCATGGAGTATGAGCCGAAGCAGGGCAGGGTGTTGTCTCACCCGGGAAGCGCAAGGGGTTGGGCCATTCCCTTTCCTAGCCAAGGGAAGCCTTGACACACAGTACCTGGAAAATCAGGACACTCCCACCCTAATACTGTGCTTTTCCAATGGTCTTAGCAAACGGCACACCAGGAGATTATATCCTGTTCCTGGCTCTGAGGGTCCCATGCCCATGGAGCCTCACTCACTGCTAGCACAGCAGTCTGAGATCCAACTGCAAGGCTGCAGCGAGGCTGGGGGAGGGGCATCCGCAATTGCTGAAGCTTGAGTAGGTAAACAGCGGTCTGGAAGCTCAAACTGGGTGGAGCCCACCGCAGCTCAAAGAGGCCTGCCTGCCTCTGTAGACTAACCTCTCCGGGTAGGCCATAGCTGAACAAAAGGCAGCAGAAACTTCTGCAGACTTAAACATTCCTGTCTGACAGCTTTGAAGAGAGCAGTGGTTTTCCCAGCACGGAGTTTGAGATCTGAGAACGGACAGACTGCCTCTTCAAGTGGATCCCTGACCCCCAAGTAGCCTAACTGGGAGATACCTCCCAGTAGGGGCCGACTGACACCTCATACAGCCGGGTCCCCTTCTGAGACTAAGGCTCCAGAGGAAGGACCAGGCAGCAACGTTTGCCATTCTGCAATATTTGCTTTTCTGCAGCTTCCGTTGGTGATACCCAGGCAAACGGTCTGGAATGGACCTCCAGCAATCTCCAACAGACCTGCAGCTGAGGGTCCTGACTGTTAGAAGGAAAACTAACAAAAAGGACATCCACACCAAAACCCCATCTGCATGTCACCATCATCAGACCAAAGGTAGATAAAACGACAAAGATGTGGAGAAACCAAAGCAGAAAAGCTGAAAATTCCAAAAATCAGAGCACCTCTTCTCCTCCAAAGGAACACAGCTCCTTGCCAGCAACAGAACAAAGCTTGATGGAGAATGACTTTGACGAGTTGAGAGAAGAAGGCTTCAAACGATCGGTGATAACAAACTTCTCTGAGCTAAAGGAAGATATTTGAACCCATTGCAAAGAAGCTAAAAACCTTGAAAAAAGATTAGACGAATGGCTAACTAGAATAAACAGCGTAGAGAAGACCTTAAATGACCTGATGGAGCTGAAAACCATGCCATGAGAACTACATGACGCATGCACAAGACTCAGTAGCCGATTCAATCAAGTGGAAGAAAGGGTATCTGTGATTGAAGATCAAATGAATGAAATGAAGCGAGAAGAGAAGTTTAGAGAAAAAAGAGTAAAAAGAAATGAACAAAGCCTCCAAGAAATATGGGACTATGAGAAAAGACCAAGTCTGCCTCTGATTGGTGTACCTGAAAGTGACGGGGAGAATGGAACCAAGTTGGAAAACACTCTTCAGGATATTATCCAGGACAACTTCCCCAATCTAGGAAGGCAGGCCAACATTCAAATTCAGGAAATACAGATAATGCCACAAAGATACTCCTCAAGGAGAGCAACTCCAAGACACATAATTGTCAGATTCACCAAAGTTAAAATGAAGGAAAAAATATTAAGGGCAGCCAGAGAGAAAGGTCAGGTTACCTGCAAAGGGAAGCCCATCAGACTAACAGCAGATCTCTCGGCAGAAACTACAAGCCAGAAGAGAGTGGGGGCCAATATTCAACATTCTTAAAGAAAAGAATTTTCAACCCAGAATTTCATATCCAGCCAAACTAAGCTTTGTAAGTGAAGGAGAAATAAAATCCTTTACAGACAAGCAAATGCTGAGAGATTTTGTTACCACCAGGCCTGCCTTACAAGATCTCCTGAAGGAACAACTAAACATGGAAAGGAACAACCGGTACCAGCCACTGCAAAAACATGCCAAATTGTAAAGACCATCGAGACTAGGAAGAAACTGCATCAACTAACGAGCAAAATAACCAGCTAACATCATAATGATAGGATCAAATTCACACATAACAATATTAACCTTAAATGTAAACAGGCTAAATGCTCCAATTAAAAGACACAGACTGGCAAATTGGATACCAAGAGTCAAGACCCATCAGTGTGCTGTATTCAGTAGACCCACCTCACATGCTGGGGCACACATAGGCTCAAAATAAAAGGATGGAGGAAGATCTACCAAGCAAATGGAAAACAAAAAAAGGCAGGGGTTGCAATCCTAGTCTCTGATAAAACGGACTAGATCAAAAGAGACAAAGAAGGCCATTACATAATGGTAAAGGGATCAATTCAACAAGAAGAGCTAACCTAAATATATATGCGCCCAATACAGGAGCACCCAGATTCATAAAGCAAGTCCATAGAGACCTGCAAAGAGACTCAGACTCCCACACAATAATAATGGGAGACTTTAACACCCCACTGTCAACATTAGACAGATCAGCGAGACAGAAAGTTAACAAGGATATCCAGGAATTGAACTTGGTTCTGCACCGAGCGAACCTAATAGACATCTACAGAACTCTCCACCCCAAATCAATAGAATATACATTCTTCTCAGCACCACATCACACTTATTCCAAAACTGACCACATAGTTGGAAGTAAAGCACTCCTCAGCAAATGTAAAAGAACAAATTATAACAGACTGTCTCTCAGACCACAGTGCAATCAAACTAGAACTCAGGATTAAGAAACTCACTCAAAACCACTCAACTACATGGAAAGTGAACAACCTGCTCCTGAATGACTACTGGGTGAATAATGAAATGAAGGCAGAAATAAAGATGTTCTTTGAAACCAACGAGAACAAAGACACAACATACCAGATTCTTTGGGACACATTCAAAGCAGTGTGTAGAGGGAAATTTATAGCACTAAATGCCCACAAGAGAAAGCAGGAAAGATCTAAAATTGACACCCTAACATCACAATTAAAAGAACTAGAAAAGCAAGAGCAAACACATTCAAAAGCTAGCAGAAGGCAAGAAATAACTAAGATCAGAGCAGAACTGAAGGAGATAGAGACACAAAAAACCCTTCAAAAAATCAGTGAATCCAGGAGCTGGTTTTTTGAAAAGATCAAAATTGATAGACCACTAGCAAGACTAATAAAGAAGTAAAGCGAGAAGAATCAAATAGATGCAATAAAAAATGATAAAGGAGATATCACTACCAATCCCACAGAAATACAGACTACCATCAGCGAATACTATAAACATCTCTACGCAAATAAACTAGAAAATCTAGAAGAAATGGGTAAATTACTGGACACATACACCCTCCCAAGACAAAACCAGGAAGAAGTTGAATCCCTGAATAGACCAATAGCAGGCTCTGAAATTGAGGCAATAATTAATAGCCTGCCAACCAAAAAAAGTCCAGGACCAGACGGATTCACAGCCAAATTCTACCAGAGGCACAAAGAGGAGCTGGTACCATTCCTTCTGAAACAATTCCAATCAATGGAAAAAGAGGTAATCCTCCCAAACTCATTTTATGAAGCCAGCATCATCCTGATACCAAAGCCTGGCAGAGACACAACAGAAAAAGAGAATTTTACACCGATATCCCTGATGATCATTGATGCAAAAATCCTCAATAAAATACTGGCAAACCGAATCCAGCAGCACATCAAAAAGCTTATCCACCAAGATCAAGTTGGCTTCATCTCTGGGATGCAAGGCTGGTTCAACGTACACAAATCAGTAAACGTAATTCATCATATAAACAGAACCAAAGACAGAAACCACATGATTATCTCAGTAGATGCAGAAAAGGCCTTCAACAAAATTCAGCAGCCCTTCATGCTAAAAACTCTCAATAAACTAGGTATTGATGGGACGTATCTCAAAACAATATGAGTGATTTGTGACAAACCCACAGCCAATATCATACTGAATGAGCAAGAACTGGAAGCATTCCCTTTGAAAACTGGCACAAGACAGGGATGCCGTCTCTCACCATTCCTATTGAACATAGTGTTGGAACTTCTGGCCAGGGCAATCAGGCAGGAGAAAGAAATAAAGGGTATTCAGTTAGGAAAAGAGGAAGTCAAATTGTCCCTGTTTGCAGATTACATGGTTGTATATTTAGAAAACCCTATCGTCTCAGCCCAAAATCTCCTCAAGTTGATAAGCAACTTCAGCAAAGTCTCAGGATACAAAATCAATGTGCAAAAATCACAAGCATTCTTATACACCAATAACAGACACACAGCCAAATCATGAGTGAACTCTCATTCACAATTGCTTCAAAGACAATAAAATCCCTAGGAATCCAACTTACAAGGGATGTGAAGGACCCCTTCAAGGAGAACTACAAACCACTGCTCAATGAAATAAAAGAGGATACAAACAAATGGAAGAACATTCCATACTCATGGATAGGAAGAATCAATATCGTGGAAATAGCCATACTGCCCAAGGTAATTTATAGATTCAATGCCATCCCCATCAAGCTACCACTGACTTTCGTCACAGAATTGGAAAAAACTACTTTAAAGTTCATACAGCACCAAAAAAAACAGCCCACATTACCAAGACAATCCTGAGCCATTAAAGTGATCATTAAAAAGTCAGGAAACAACAGATGCTTGAGAGGATGTGGAGAAATAGGAATACTTTTACACTGTTGGTGGGATCGTAAACTAGTTCAACCATTGTGGAAGACTGTGGCGATTCCTCAAGTATCTAGAACTAGAAATACCATTTGACCCAGCCATCCCATTACTGGGCATATACCCAAAGGATTATAAATCATGCTGCTATAAAGACACATACACATGTATGTTTATTGCGGCACGGTTCACAATAGCAAAGACTTGGAACCAGCCTAAATGTCCATCAAGACTGGATTAAGAAAATGTGGCACATATACACCATGGAATACTATGCAGCTGTAAAAAAGATTGAGTTCATGTCCTTTGTAGGGACATGGATGAAGCTGGAAACCATCATTCTGAACAAACTATTGCAAGGACAGAAAACCAGACACCACATGTTCTCACTCATAGGTGGGAATTGAACAATGAGAACACTTGGACACAGGGTGGGGAACATCACACACCGGGGCCTGTCGTGGGTTGGGGGGAGGGGGGAGGGATAGCATTAGAAGATATACCTAATGTAAATGATGAGTTAATGGGTGCAGCACAGCAACATGGCACATGTATACATATGTAACAAACCTGCACGTTGAGCACATGTACCCTAGAGCTTAAAGTATAATTAAAAAAAAAAAAAACGTGATGGGAAAGAATTAGGTATACCTCTGTGAAAAATCAAAACATCTGTACATCAAAACTAGAATTAAAGGCAGATAATAAAATGAAGAAAACTTTTTCCCATAGAAAAATGGGCAAAGGAAATTCATGAAAGGGAGAAAATTAGCCAATAACATATATGAAAAGATTTATACTTTGATGGAAATGGAAAATAACTAGGAGTAGCATATTTTTCTCATTAGAATGGCTATGATTCTTCTTTGACCCAGTAACTTTTTAGTTTTTAATTATTGATCATTAGAAAATCTTTTAAGACTGATTGCCTGAGGGAATTCTCACTATTTAATAATGCTAAAGTGAAAAAACCTACATATTTGTTTTGTCTCAATTTATTTTACACATATAGGAAAAAATTTAAATAACCAAATGACAGTCATTATCTTTGGGTAATAGGATTATTGGTTATTTTTCAGTGTGTTTTTTCTCAGTCTTCTACATTTACTGCAGTCAACATAATTTTATAATCAAACTTGAAGCGGACTTTAGAAAGTACTTAAAATGCGGATTTTAAAAGTATTATTTTTGTGTGCTTGACTGTAACTCTATAGTTGGTTTCTACATGTGCTCCTATTAATAAAATGTATTAATAAGTAATAGTTACTAATACATTTACTAATTTTAATTAATAAGTAATATATTAATAAGACAGTAATGTACTTTAGGACTGTTATGTGAACTTTGTATGATTGGCTAAATTTTTTACCACTTTATAAAAGTCTTTGAAATTTTTTTACCATAGTAATGGGGTTTTTACTTGAGCACATTTCAAACACTCAATGTCTTTTTTTTAATTTATTATTATTTTTTGTGAGACAGAATCTCACTGTCGCCCAGGCTGGAGTGCAATGGTGCGATCTCAGCTCACTGCAACCTCCACCCCTCCACACTCCCCACCCCACCCGGGTTCAAGCGATTCTCCTGCCTCAGCCTCCCGAGTAGCTGGGATTACAGGCGCCCGCCACTATGCCTGCCTAATTTTTTTTATTTTTAGTAGTGACAGGGTTTCACTGTGTTAGGCTGGTCTCGAACTCCTAACCTCAGGTGATCCACCCACCTCAGCCTCCCAAAGTGCTGGGATTACAGGTGTGAGCCACCGCACCCGGCCCACTCAATGTCTTTAAATTGATTTTTTAAAAAACAAATATGAGATAATTAACATTTTATTGTTCCCAAAGAGTGATCCTCCACTGGACTCATCCATCAATTTTATTTTTTATTTAGATGAGTTTATTCTTTCTTAATATACTTTCTCCGCATATGCTGTTACAGCATCCACGTTTGTGTTTGTATTTGGCAGCCATATTTTCTGCTCTTAAGAATCTTCAAGATAAGATTCGACGCTTGGAACTTGAGAGGATTCAGGCAGAAGAAAGTGTGAAAACCTTGTCTAGAGAAACAATTGAATATAAGAAAGTACTGGATGAACAGATACAAGAAAGGGAGAATTCAAAGAATGAGGAATCAAAGCACAATCAAGGTTTGTTGATGAAGAAAATTAAAATTCTATCAAAATAAGTGTTGTGCAGTATTAAGTATTCTAAAAGAAATAGTACATTAGTGTTTTGTAGCGGTATCTTCAAGTACTACAAAACTGCATTGTATTCTGGTGCATTTTGAGGAGCAAATGCTGTTGTCATACATGGCATTTATTTACTGAATGCAAGGCCAGTTTGACTAGCACGTAGAAAGAATGATTTAGGTAATCTGAAAAGGCGTCCAGGTCTGTGGAAGGTGTTTTTATTGTATACACAATAGATCCAATTCCTGTTAACAGCTTGTTAAAACTATTTTATGGGTGAGTTGATTTCTGCTTTTCTTATGTATTCTTTTTAGAACTGACATCTCAGTTGTTAGCTGCAGAAAATAAATGCAATCTATTAGAAAAACAATTGGAATACATGCGAAATATGATAAAGCATGCCGAAATGGAGAGGACATCTGTCTTAGAGAAACAAGTAAGTAAAGCACCTCACAGATTGATACTCAAGAACAGTTATGGGGAAAACTAATTGAATAAAGACTTTTTTTCTTTCGGTGAGGATTAATGGTGCTGTTACAGCCCAGGACTGAAATTTCTTGGCATCAGTTATGAAATCTAAATATGTGATTGGCTTTTTCTTGTTGTTATTGTTGTGTTTCGTAGAGTTTTACTTAAATGGTAAAAATACAGTTGTGAGATGTTTGAAAGTTATGTTAGCTTCTTTGAGTCTACATTATAAAAAGTGTAAATAACCATATACCTCTGTATCTCTGAAATTTGTTTAATGACTCCAGTGAGATAGTAGATGACTTTGTAAAACTCTTCAGAATTGTTACTTAGCATAGCATTTTTGTGCTTTCTTACACCAGAGATCTTCGTATTTAGGTGACCTGTACATTTGTGAGAAGATATCTCAACATCAGTCTCAAATATATTGATTGATCAATTGATTGGATCTCACTCTGTCTCACTCTGTCACCCAGGCTGGAGTGTAGTGGCATGATCTCGGTTCACTGCAACCTCTACCTCCTAGGCTCAGGTGATTCTCATGCCTCATCCTCCCGAGTAGCTGGGATTACAGGCGCATGCCACGATGCCCAGCTAACTTTTGTGTGTGTGTGTATTTTTAGTATAGATGTGGCCAGGCTGGTCTCAAACTCCTGGCCTCAAGTGATCAGGCCGCCTCGGCCTCCCAAAGTTCTGGGATTACGGGCATGAGCCACTGTCCCTGGCCTTGTGTGTATTTTTTTTTTTTTTTTTTTTGAGACGGAGTTTCCCTTTTATTGCCCAGGCTGGAGAGCAACGGCGTGATCTCAGCTCACCGCAACCTCCACCTCCCGGGTTCAAGTGATTCTCCTGCCTCAGCCTCCCAAGTAGCTGGGATTACAGGCATGTGCCACCACACCCGGCTAATTTTGTATTTTTAGTAGAGACAGGGTTTCACCATGTTGGTCAGGCTGGTCTTGAACTGCCAACCTCATGTGATCCGCCTGCCTTGGCCTCCCAGAGTGCTGGAATTACAGGCATGAGCCACCACGCCCGGCCAGCCTTGTGTATATTTTTTTAAAACTTACTCCTTTTTCTGTTATGAATCTAGAGTTTGCATTCATTAGTTTTGTAGACATCTTAACTCTATTATAAAATCGGATTGTTTATATGCTTAACATTATGCTAGATGCCCTGCAATGGAAAAAAAAAATACTAGGCAGTTGTCCTTCAGTATCCATGAGTGAATTGGTTCTCAGACCCCTGTGGATAGTAAAATCCATGGATGCTCAAGTCTCCTATAAAATGGTGTGGTATTTGCGTATAACCTACACCCAATCTCATATACTATAAATTATCTCTAGATTACTTATAACACCTAATGCAATGTAAATGTTATGTAAATAGTTGCTGTACTATATTGTTTGGAGAATAATGTCAAGAGTAAGAATCTGTGTATGTTTAGTACAGATTCAACCATCCTTTTTTGTTTTTTCTCGTATATTTTCAATCCACAGTTGATCAAATCCATGGATGCAAAACACACAGATACAGAGGGCTTACCGTGTATGCTTTCTACCCTCAGTCAGCTTTCAGTTCTCATTGGAGAGAATTAGACTTAAATATTTGAGCAATCATACAACAGTATTTGAGAAGATGTCTCAGTAATTAATTCTTGTGTGTGATAGGTCTCTTATTTCAGTGGTTATAATTTTTCATTTTCATTTGGGTCTTTTTCCATCCACTTAGTTTTGTTCTTTGAATGTACTGTTACTCTGTGGTTTTTATACCTTCCTTCTATCTCTTTGAACGCTATAAACAATTCTCAATTTTTTTTAATTATTTGATGTTTTCAAAGTGTTAATCCTCGTTTGTTTGGCTTTATTTATTGATTCTCCCTTATGGTATCTTTTTTTTTATGGGAACTTAATAAAGAAAAGTTATATGGTGGTCTCATTTTTTCATTTATTGTGTTAATTCCACAATAAATTCCTCAGTTGTGTGGGCAGCCTTGTGAGCCAGTTGTGAATTTGCCTTTGGTTAGGCTTGATGGTTTTCACTGGTTCTGGCTGGGCAGGGTGGCTTACACCTGTAATGCCAGCACTTAGGAGGCCAAGCCAGACAGATCACTTGAGTGCAGGAGTTCGAGACCAGCCGGGGCAATAGAGCGAGACCCAGTTTCTACAAACAATAAATAAATAAAATCACTGGTTCTGTTCCAGATTTATGTTACTATATTGGCTTGATATTGTTGATCATTGTGGATTATACATTGCCTAAAGTTTTATATTCCTGCACATTTTATGTACCCTGGCTCCAATATTGCCTTGTGTGATATTTGACTTCAGTATCCTTTCATTTGCTTTTGAGTTCCTTTCTCTTTTTTTTGTATCTGAAGATTTTCCTTTCTTGCTTTCAAAATTGCTGTGTAATTGTATTAGTCCATTCTCACGCTGCTATAAAGAGCACCCAAGACTAGGTAATTTATGAAAGAAAGAGGTTTAATTGACTCACAGTTCTGTATGTCTGTTGGGGGGACTTCTGGAAACTTAACACTTATGGTGGAAGGGGAAGCATACATATTCTTCTTCACATGGTGGCAAGAGAGGGAAGTGCAGAGCAAGGTGGGGAAAAGCCCCTATTAAAACCATCAGATCTCATGAGAATTCACTATGATGAGAACAGCATGGGGAACCACCACGATGATCTAATCACCTTCCATGAGATCCCTCCCCCAAAATGTGGGGATTACAATTTGGATTACAATTCAAGATGAGATTTGGTTGGAGACACAGAGGTAGACCACATCAATAATCATATATTATTATTATGTCTGCTGTGTTTATCTAACATTTCTGTGATTTTTGGGCTGGAGAAAGGGGTCAGTTTAATAAGACAACTTTAAGATGTTTTGACTAATATATGTCTTGGAGACAACTATTAGGCATATGTAATAGATGTCAAGAGCTGTTAATATCCACTAGGATGTGGCTAGAAGGGAATTAGTTCACACAAATTCCTAAATTATTGCTTTATATTAATTTGTCATATTCAAATTTCTATTAATATGGTACCTATTGCTGTAGCCTTATTTTGAAGACACAGTTTACAAGTTCAGGCACTTTTTACCAATAATAGTCCTTGAGTTAGTATATTTGAAATTATCCTAGTATAATGGTTTACGGGTGGATTACTTGAGGTCGGGTTTGAGAGCAGCCTGGCCAACATGGTGAAACCCCATCTCTACTAAAAATACAAAAATTAGCTGGGCGTGGTGGCAGGCGCCTATAATCCCAGCTACTCAGGAGGCTCAGGCAGGAGAATTACTTGAACCCAGGAGGCAGAGGTTGCAGTGAGCTGAGATGATGCCACCGCACTCCAGCCTGGGTGACAGAGCAAGACCCCATCTCAAAAAAAAAACAAAGTCTATATAGGAGGCAATCTTTATAAATCTTTGACTCTAAACTTCAAAAAAAAAAGTTTAGGGCCAGGTACGGTGGCTCACGCCTGTAATCTCAGCACTTTGGGAGGCTGAGGCGGGTGGCTTACGGGGTCAGGAGAGCGAGACCATCCTGGCTAACACGATGAAACCACGTCACTACTAAAAATACAAAAAATTAGCCGGGCGTGGTGGCGGGCGCCTATAGTCCCAGCTACTGGGGAGGCTGAGGCAGGAGAATGGCATGAACCTGGGAGGCGGAGCTTGCGGTGAGCCGAGATCAGCCACTGCACTCTGGCCTGGGCGACAGAGCGAGACTCTATCTCAAAAATAAAAAAAGTATAAAAGGATATTATACATAGAATTCAAGGGAAATATGAAAAGATAGATACCAAAACCATAATTTTTACCCTAATTAAGAGATTAACTACTTGACAGGACCAAACTAAAAGTATTTGTGTGTGAAGCCTATATGTCCAATAAATCCCTGCTATCCCAGAGCATAAAGATAATGTCACTATATAAAACTACATATTAGGTAAATAGCTATAAGCCAAGGCAACTGAGCTAAGAACAGTATCCACTTATATCAGTCATTTATTGATGCCCCCTATGGTTTCATCTTAATGTTATTTTCCTAGAAGTAGTTATGTGAAGGGCCAAATAACAGCATAGAAAAACACTGCTCAGTGTTTTTCTCTTTTTTGATTGTCAAATTATCAAGCCGTATTGAATATTGTTTTTCAGGTTTCCCTAGAAAGAGAACGACAACATGATCAAACACATGTTCAGAGCCAACTTGAAAAATTGGATCTTCTTGAACAGGAGTATAACAAACTTACCACAATGCAGGCCCTTGCAGAAGTCAGTGCATGTGTCTTTTTATTGTTAACATATATCAGGGTGGTTTTTTTTTAATGTTAATTATTTTACATCACTGGATATTTATAGCATTAAAAGTGATCTTATAATGAAGAAATATATTGGAGTTTTAAAAAGAAAATATAAATTTGGAGAGAATGTTCACATTTTACAATCTTGGTGGGCATTTTTTTTTATGAAAATGTTTGTTAAAAAATTAAATGTTTTTGGCCGGGCGTGGTGGCTCACGCCTGTAATCCCAGCACTTTGGGAGGCCAAGGCGGGTGGATCACCTGAGGTCAGGAGTTCAAGACCAGCCTGACCAACATGGTGAAACCCCGTATCTACTAAAAATACAAAAATTAGCCGGGCATCGTGGCGCATGCCTGTAATCGCAGCTGCTTGGAGGCTGAGACAGGAGAATCGCTTGAAACCAGGAGGCGGAGGTTGTTGTGAGCCGAGATCACGCCATTTCACTCCAGTCAGGGCAACAAGAGCGAAACTCCATCTCAAAAAAAAAAAAAAATTAAATGTTTTTGAGTATCCTTAAGGCTTGCATCACTTGGTTTAAGTTGCTCTCTGAGCTAATTTTAGTTTTAATTATTTCATTTGGGAGATATTTAATACCACTGATAATAAAGTTCCAGATTTAGCCTCCCTATCCCTCTTTACATTCATGCAGTGCTGTGTTCTTTGGCCATAGATTTTACCCATAATTTTGTCCAGCTACCTCACAGATGATAAATAATTGAACACAAAAGGAGAGCATCATGGATGCCATCCAGCTCACAGCCTCCATTACTACAGTGATCTAACCACCTTATATTGAGTAGGATAAAATTTACATGTTCCAGTGCTGCTATATTAAAATTTTACAGACACTTAAGATTTTTCACCTTTATCCCTTTTGACATTTTTATCACTAGAAAAAAATGCAAGAGTTGGAAGCAAAACTCCATGAAGAAGAACAGGAAAGGAAACGCATGCAAGCTAAGGCAGCTGAGGTAAGTTAAAATGTGAGAAAGTGGGCTCTTCATATTTCTTACCGCTTTTTGTGTACAAGTAAACAATTACATTTAGGTATCTTACATTATTTGTATTTTAGAATAGTCCAACATACAAATTTTCAGATATAGGTTAATGTAGAAAATTATGAACAAGTATTTTTATAGACAGAGTAAAATTTGAACAGTTTTTTAGCATGTTTGTAATTGTAGAGTTTCAATCAGCATTTTAAAAAATAACAGACTAAAAAACATCAGAGACTACACACATAAGAAGGTATGTAATCATGTAAAACTTCTTACGGCCATTATCAGTAATATTTAAAAGCTATCTTTCAGTATTGTACTTATAGGTACTTCTCTTTGGTGGCCTCAAGATGCCAGGATAGAAGTTGAGGTAGTGGGATGCCCCAATAGCTATTGACCCAGACCAGTTAACAGAAGCCACCACATGAGGAAAATGAGCTCTACTCTCTCCTACTTTTGGATTTTATCCCATGCAGTGGCCACCAGATAGAATAGGTGAGGCAGTGTGGATTCACAAAAGCATTGAGTTTATATGTACCAACCAGAACTGCATTTCTAGGAGATATATAGCAAGACTACTGAAGTAAGTCTGACTTACAGACTCAGTAAAATAAAATTTTCATGTTTTTAACTGAAGACACTCTCGTTATGAGCGTATTTGCTCAAATTCCTCCCAGATACTCCCCTGCCCCTTCCAGGGTCTTTTATTTTTATGATATTTGCATGTATCTTTTTTCGTAAGAACACAAGAATCAGGTCTCGATTCCAAGGAGTAGAGCCTCTGCAGTTCAATCTGTGACCAAAGGCCTACAATGTCTTGGGCTCACTTCATATATGTGATTACAGGAATATAAAAGTTATCTTTGTTATGTTGTCTATTTCTTCTAGTGCATCTCTAAATTTATTGACTTATTTTGTATTAAATCTGATACAGTTCCTTCTCAAATATTTACCTTCTGATCAATTTGTAGATTTGTTGTTGTTTTCCCTCAGTGTGCTTTCTGAGTTATATAGCCACATGGCTTAATTTTTGACCAACAAAATTTCTTTGCCCATTTTCTCTTTAGGGTTGGCCACTTCACTGTGTTTCCATTTCCATACTTGTAACAAACAAACTTGTGGGTTGTGCTTTATTATATGCATTGTGGTGTTGAGTACATTATATATGAAATACAAAATTTAGTAAGTTCCTTATTTAATGAATTTTTAAAATTATTTATGGTACTTCTATTTTCTCCTTCATTTAGCAGGCAACACATAGGGACCAAATTAGATGTTGCTGGTAATATGTTACCAGTAAATATTTTGAGTTGATGGTGAATATTATTGTACTGAAAGAACAATGAGGGATAGATGTGTGGTTCCAAGTCTAGTGTTGGGCAAGTTATATAACTATTCAGAGTCTGGATTTTTATCATTGTTAAAGAGTGGTCTGCTGAGGTCAGGAGTTTGAGGTCAGGAGTTTGAGCCTGACCAACATGGTGAAACGCTGTCTACTAAAAATACAAAATTGGCCGGGTATGGTGGTGCATGCCTGTAATCCTAGCTACTTGGGAGGGTGAGGCAGGAGAATCGCTTGAACCTGGGAGGTGGAAGTTGCACTGAGTTGAGATCACACCACCTGCATTCCATCCTGGGCAACAAGAGCAAAAAAAAAAAAAAAAAACAGTGTTCTGCATTTTGCATCTTGGTGTTGGTGTGATCAAATGAGAATAAAAAATAATGAAAGTGCTTTAAAATGTTTTAAAACTGTAGCACAGAAATATACAGCTGCTGGGAAGAATAAATAAACTGGAAGTTAAAATACTCAAAAAAAAGTTCTTGTATACTGTTTACACTCATTGGCATCATAAGTCTTCTAGAGTAGTAATTTCCTGTTCATTGAATTGTGTCTAGTCAATTTACTATATATAAAGCAATGTTAGGTGTGTTTGGAGTGTATAGATGCTTCCTGAGGGTAGAGATTCCTGTATTCCTTTGTCATGGAATAGATTTTTTACCCCAAAGCTGCACTCATGTGGGAAGTATTAGTAATAATCTTAGTATCTGTTTTTATGGAATCCAGTGGTTCTGAATATTTGTTCTAGCTCCATTATAATTTCCTGGGGAACTCTTAAAATACTTTAAAATATGAATTTCCCCAATCTGGAAAGGCCAAAATCATGAGATCTGGACAGGCACCTGGCAGTCCAAATTGTCCTCATAAACTGCAGACAGTTTTGGTACATATAGGCAGATTTGAAACAAACACTATTCCAGACAGGTTTTTTGTTTTGTTTTGTTTTGTTTTTTTAAAAAGGAAAGTTGAAAGTTGGCTTAGTGAAAAGAGCAGTCCTTTTTTGAAATTCTTAGTGCTTGTGGAATTTCTACCATGAAGATAGGTTATTTTTAAATTAGTATAGTTACTCAGCTTCTAGAGAAAAGGGCTTGGTAACATTTGCCTGATAGCTTCCAGTGTTTTTTGTTTTTTGTTATTTTTTTGGATATAAGTTTTCAATTCCTTTTTCTTATATAGTAAGTGCATGGCTTTTTAGAAAGGGAAGAAATGTATTCTGCTCTTCGGCTGTTTTGTGTCTGGTAATGTAGTAGATGCCATTTTTGAAAAGAATATATTTAAGCAATGGTTTGGGGTTAGATACATTGCATTTAACTCGTTAGATAGAATTTATGGAGTAACTACAAATACTGGAGATAATGTGTTCCACGCTGAAGAAGGGACAAATTATAACAGAAGGTCAAGATAAAATGAGAGACTGGTATTTATTTAAAATATTTGACAAACGTTGATAGATTGGTTCAAGACATAGTTATACAGCTGTAATATGTTTTTCAGTTAGATACTACCATTGGTTTTTACAGGCTTTTTACATGACACATCTGAAATCTGAGTCATAGCTTTTATTTCTACAGCATTAACTTGAGGCTCTCATTTTTCCTAGTTGCAGACTGGTCTAGAAACAAATAGACTTATCTTTGAAGATAAGGCAACTCCGTGTGTTCCCAATGCAAGAAGAATTAAAAAAAAGAAGTCAAAACCACCAGAAAAGGTGTGAAGACAGAACCAAATCAGGCAAAATGCTGATTACTTGGTATAGTTTATGTCAAAACACCCATAAACTGTGTGGTGTACTACAACCTTGAGAGAGTAAATCTTTCATTCTCAATTTCTTCATTCAGAAGGTGGAGATAAGTAATACCTACTCCTAAATTTTTATCCTGATAGTGAGAAAATATATAAGCATTTTGGAACTACAGAACACCATACAAAATTAGCATTATTAGTACTGCATTATCTTGTGCTCTTACAATGTTTTGTGTATATGTATACTGATTTTCTACTTAGAATGTAACTGTTGTTTTGTCAAGTGCTTTTTTCCCCCCAGCCTTTCCTAGGCTAGGATATATGCTAACAAGTACTATTAGGAGCTGGCTTGTGATCATAATGCCAACTATAGATAAGGCAAGTAGTAGCCTAGTAGTTAACTGAAGTTTCAAGTTAGTCATGTATAGTCAGTTTTTATTATCATGTGAATAAAATAAAATTGTTTTCCTTTTCTTTTCATTCAGAAAAGTTCTAGGAACTATTTTGGTGCACAACCACATTATAGATTATGCTTGGGTGATATGCCATTTGTAGCTGGGAAGGTGAGTTGGTCAAACTCCGGATTCTTTTTATACAACATTGATCCCTGAATTAAGTCCCTGCATCTGCAAGTATGTCTACAAATGGAAGGAACATTTTTCTGTGCCTTTACCAGTGTGTGGATCACAGTGATGTGAAAATGAGATGTAGGGAGGTTTTTGGGGATTAGGGAAGCAAGGAAGAGATGGGGAGGATACCTTAAAGTAGATAAAGTATATGTGGAAAGGAAGTGATAAAACAGAGACCCTAAGTTGAAGAAGGTGTTGTTTCAGATAGGGGTCAAGGAAATAAGAAATAGTATGTTTGTAGCATTGGATTTTTAGTATCAATCCTGTTGAGTTACATTTAGATATAGGTAGATATTCGAATAAGCACGTAGCACATTCTGCTTGTCCTCACATCCAGATCATTTCTAGGACTAATTCTCCAAGAAGCAGTCATACGTACACTTGAATCTTCAGTTTCTTCAGCACTTGAATGTAAAGCTGTATTGTCATATATCAAGTACTGAGTGAAGTGCCTAAAACTGTGCTAGTTGACACTACTTTATAAGCTGTTTGTGTTGCTGGTGGTTTTATATTTAGATTCCAACTAGATTGTTATTCTGGCATCTTGGGAAGTAAATGTTCTTCTGAATTTTGTATTTGTTTATATTTATTTATTTTAAACCCCTAGTAAATTCGCAGTGAAATCATGGGGAATATAATAAATTAGTGGTGACAAGCATTTGAAAAAGGTACAGTTGACCCTTGAACAACATGAGTCCGAACTCTGTGTGGGTCTACTTACAGGCAGATTTTTTTTTTCAATAAGTATCTTGGAAAATTTTTTGGAGATTTTTGGCAATTTGAAAAAACTTGCAAACTATAGCTTAGAAATATCAGAAGTTAAGAAAAAGTTGGTATGTCATAGATGCATAAAATTGACTATGTCAATACTAGTGCATTTTATCATTTACTACCATAAAATATACACAAGTTTTTTTTAATTATAATTTATCAAAACAATTTGCACACAGACTACGTGACGCCATTCACAGTCCAGAGAAATGTAAACAGAGATAAAGATGCAGTATGAAATCATAACTGTATAAAATTAACTGTAGTACATACTGTACGACTGATAATTTTGTAGCCACCTTCTGTTGCCATTGTGATGAGCTCAAGGGTTGGGAGTATTCACTTAAAATGCCACGTGACGCTAATCATCTTCAAATGAGCAGTTCATCTCTCCAGTCAATTGTGTATCACAGTAAAAAGTGTTCTCTAGCAGTTCCATATTTTCCATCATGTTTAGCACAATACAGTAAATAATTTGAATAATATCATGGGACCCATATCAAGTGCTACTAATGATGGTGGAAGTGCTCCCAAGAAGCAGACAAAAGTCATGACATGACAAGAAAAAGTTGCATTGCTTGATATGTACCATAGATTGAGGTCTGCAGCTGCGGTTGTCCACCATTTCAAAATAAATGAATCCAGCTGAAGGCCTATTGTAAAAAAAAAAAAAAAAAAAAAAATGATCCCGGCATGTTGGCGTGCACCTGTGGTCCCAGCTACTCAGGAGGCTGACAGAAGAGGATCACTGTAGCCCAGGAGTTCGAGACTGTAGTAAGCGATGATGGCACCACTGTACTCCAGCATAGGCAACAGAGTAAGATCCTCTTTAAAAAATTTTTTTTAAAAAAAAAAGGAAATTGTGAATCTGTCACTGCAGCTACTCTAGCAGGTGCCAAAACCTTGTGCTTTTTGCAAAATAGCTTTTTATCTCATTGAAAATGCAGCTTTTATGTGGATGCAGGATTGCTATAAGAAAGGCATACTTGTAGACTCTAATATGATTTGAGAAAAAGGAAAGTCATTATATGACAACTTAAAAGGAAGGTGAGGTATCTAAAGCTGGAGAATTTAATTCCAGCAAAGGATGGCTTGATAATTTTAGAGGTTTGGCTTTAAAAATGTCAAGATAGGAGAAGCAGCTTCTGCTGACCAAGAGGCAGCAGATGAATCCCAAGATACCATTAAGAAAATCATTGAGGAGAAAGGGTATCTTCCTGAACAGGCTTTTAATGCAGACAGAAGTACCCTATTCTGGAAAAACATGATGCCACGAAGGATATTTATAAGTAAGGAGGACAAGTCAGCACCAGGATTTAAGGAAAGAGGAGACGGGCTAAATCTACTATTTTGTGAAAACACAATCCGATTTACAATCAGGACTGCCCTTATCTATAAAGCTGCTAATCCCTGAGCCTTCAAGGGGAAATATACCCAACTGCCAGTCTTTGGGTTTACAACAAGAATGACCCTTTGAGAACCCTTTTTCTAAACTGGATTTAGAAAAAACATTGATCCATCAATCCTTTGTCCCTGAAGTCAGGAAGTAATTTGCCAGTAAGAGACTGCCTTTTAAAGTCTTTTTAATACTAGGCATTGCCCCTAGCTACCCAGGAGCATGGAAGTTCAACACCAAAGGCATGGAAGTAGTCTACTTGTCCCTAAACACAGTGTGTCTAATTCACCCTCTGGATCAGGGAGCATAAGGACTTCTAAGGCACATTACATACACTATAAAAAGGGTTCTTAATGCTGTGGAAGAGAACTTCAGAGAGAACATTATGAGGGTCTGGAAGGATTACAGTTGAAGATGATGCCATCATTTTTATAGAAAAAGTCATGAAAGCCATCAAGTCTGAAATAATAAATTCCTGTTGGAGAAAACTCTCCAGGTGATATGCATGATTTCACAGGATTTATGACAAAGCCAATCATGAAAAAGATGGTAGATATGGCAAAAAAGGTTGGAGGTGAAGGATTTCAAGATACGAATTTTGGAGAAATTAAAGAGTCAGTAGACACCATGATAGAGGAATTAACAGAAGATGACTGGGATGGATAAGAGTGCTTTCAAACCAGTGCCACAAGATGAAGAAGACAACACAGAAGTAATGTCAGAAAACAAGTTGACATTAGATAATCTGACAGAAGGGTTCTAATTATTCAAGACTGCTTTTGACTTTTTTTTTTTTTTTTTTTTTGAGACGGAGTCTCGCTCTGTCACTCAGGCTGGAGTGCAGTGGCACGATCTCAGCTCACTGCAACCTCTGCCTCCTGGGTTCAAGCAATTCTCCCACCTCAGCCTCCCAAGTACCTGGACAACAGGCACGCGCCACCATGCCTGGCTAATTTTTGTATTTTTTTAGTAAAGACAGGGTTTCTCCATGTTGGCCAGGCTGGTCTCGAAATCCTGACCTTAGGTGATCCACCTGCCTCAGCCTCCCAAAGTGCTGGGATTCTGTAATCCCACTGTAATCCCAGTGGCTGAGCCACTGCGCCCAGCCTGCTTTTGACTTTTACGACATCGACCCTTCTATGATACATCACTGAAACTAAAACAAATGGTGGAAGAATTGGTATCTCATAGAAACATTTTTAGAGAAATGAAAAAGCAGAAAAGTCAAGACAAATTATAGTGTATTTCTGTAAAGTTACACAGAATGTGCTAGCCTCTCCTGCCTCCCCCTCCACTTCTTCTGCCTCTGCCACTCCTGAGACAGCAAGACCAACCCTACCCTTCTGCCTACTCAACAGTGAAGATAATGGGGATGAAGGCCTGTATGGTGATCCAGTTAATGAATAGTAAATATACTTTCTCTTCCTTAGGATTTTCTTAATATTTTTTTCTAACTTTACTTTTAGAATATTGCTTACAATACATAAAACAAAAATGCTTCCAGTCAACAGCAGGCTATTACATTTTAGGGCAAAATTTATTATAGTTCTCAGTTACATAAGTGGGAGCTGAATGATCAGAACCCATGGACACATAGTGGGGAACAACATACACTGGAGCCTGTTTGGTGGGGGAGTTGGTCAACGGGGAGGGAGAGCATCAGGAAGAGTACCTAATGGATGCTGGGGTTAATACCTAGGTGATGGGTTGATCTGTGCAGCAAACCACCATGACACACATTTACCTATATAACAAACCTGCGCATGTACGCCAGAACTTAAAAGTTGAAGGAAAAAAAAATTTCATTATGGCAGAGTTTTGACTACATGGGTGGTCGGTGCCCCTAACCCCTCCATTGTTCAAGGGTCAAGTGCATATTAATATAATCAGAAAAATAACAGAACGAGAATTTTTTAAATTATTGCATATTGAAAGTGTACTCATAGGCAATTAGTATGCTAAATATATATTACAAGTTACGAGCAAAATAGTGGTTACATCGATTGATTTTTGAATAGTGGACCAGCCTTGCATTGATGTAATAAACTCCCACTTGGATGTGATATATAATACTGCTGCATTCACTTTGCTAGCTAACAATAGAAACTAAGATTAGAAGGAAAGCATATGTTTAGCTTAGCATGGTGGTTCCAAATCTGGCTAATCAAAATCAACTGGAGGACTTGAAAACACAAATTTCCAAACCCTAACTCTGCAGTGAGTTTGGTGTGCTGCCTAGGAACCTGCATTTTAAATATGCTTTCTAATAATATTTATGGAGCCAAGTAAGCCCAGCCATCTATTTATAAAGTGGAATAGTACATTGAGATTGTTGGTTTAGTGTTTAAAACAAAAGCAAAATATCTTTGAGAAGTCTATCAGGTTTTTCTTACACACGTGATAGACATGTAATTTAGTGCTTCCTATTATTCCAGGATACAGAAATGAACAATAGTGTCTACCACCTGGATGTACACTGTTTAATAGGTGAAATAGATATGTAAAAGCAATTAAAATATGATAAATGCTATGAGAGAGATGTAAAAAGTGTTATAGGTGATCTGATAATGGACTGATTGATTACCTGGCAGTTTTAAGGAAGCCTTTAAAAATAATATATTTGAACTGGGTTTTAAAGAATGATATAAATGTTGCTAATACACCAAAAAAATGTCATCTGCAAATATGGTTTGTTCACAAAATGGAGAGAAGGGGAGGATGATAGGACATGAGGCTAGGAAATGTAGGTTGCAGCTCAATGATGTGTATGTAGGGCCTTATTTTCCATTCTGAAACATAGTTAGTGGATTTATATCAAAGGATTTCAAATAGAAGAACATCATGATGAGAATAATTTTAGGATTTATATACTCTACTTTAGGGGGTGGAGAGTTCTTTTTACCTAGGCTTAGGGAATAGAAAGTGGTGTAGAGAATATAACTTCAATTACTTCTTTCATCATTTTTCTTCCTTTAGTCCACAAGCCCTAGCCATGCCGTGGTAGCCAATGTTCAGCTTGTCTTGCATCTAATGAAGCAACACAGTAAAGCTTTGTGCAATGATCGAGTCATCAACAGTATTCCTTTGGCAAAGCAAGTATCTTCACGAGGTGGTAAAAGTAAGAAGTTGTCAGTAACACCTCCCTCCTCCAACGGTATTAATGAGGAGTTGTCAGAAGTCTTACAGACTTTACAGGATGAATTTGGGCAAATGAGCTTGTGAGTTTTTGTTTTTTTTTTTAAATTCAGTTTAGCTCTAAAACCTCATTTTTTAAAAACTTGTTGACTTTATTAAATCTTACTTTCCTTTGTTGAGCAAGTATGGTTGAGCACAATCCTTATACCAACCAAGTTACTGGGACTTTAACAAATACAACTAATAAGGGTAAAATCTCTCTCTTTTTAAATACTGTTAAATGTTTTGAAGACCAAGGTTTATATTTAAGTTTTATTTCTTTGAGAACTTATGATATACAGTCATGCATCACTGAATGACAAAGATGTGCTCTGAGAAATACATCATTAGGCGATTTTCTTTTCCTTGTGCTAACATAAGAGTGTGCTAAGCTTATAGCTTATTGCTCCTAGGCTACAAACCTATACAGCATGTTACTCTACTACTAAATACTATATGCAGTTGTAACACAATGGTAAGTATTTGTGTATATAAACATCTAGGTAGAGTAAAAATATGATACTAAAGTCTTACGGGACCACTGTTGTATATGTGGTCTGTTGTTTACTACATCATCATCTGGCACCTGACATCACATTCATTTTAGCTAAACTTAACTGATAAGACATGAGTGTTTGAAGAGCAAGATTCATCTGTAGACTTTACATATACAATACTCTTTTGGGGAAAATAAGAATATAAAGAATTAACCTTGAAATTAAGAACTCTTGCATTTCCCTCTAGTGCCTTTCTTGAACTTTTAAATTCATATTTTTAATTAAAAATTTCTTGATCTAGGCTAGGCATGGTGGCTCACACCTGTAATCCCAGCACTTTGGGAGGCTGAAGTGGGCATATCACATCCTGGCTAACAGGGTGAAAACCTGTCTGTACTAAAAATACAAAAAATTGGCCAGGCATGGTGGCAGGCGCCTGTAGTCCCAGCTACTCGGGAGGCTGAGGCAGGAGAATGGCGTGAACCCGGGAGGCAGAGCTTGCTGTGAGCCGAGATCATGTCACTGCACTCCAGCCTGGGCGACAGAGCAAGACTCCGTCTCAAAAAAAAAAAAAAAATTTATTGCTCTGTTCAAAAAATGGAGTCATTTTTTAAACACATGGAGCAGTAACCCATAATGAGGTATAATAGACCTAACCATGAAACACAGAAAACTTAACCATGTTCTACTTCTGCTTTGTATATAGTGATCACCAGCAGCTTGCAAAACTTATCCAGGAGTCGCCAACCGTTGAACTGAAAGACAAGTTGGAGTGTGAATTGGAGGCATTAGTGGGAAGGATGGAAGCAAAAGCCAACCAAATAACTAAAGTTCGAAAATACCAAGCCCAGGTAACTCAGTTTTCCTTCACTCAAGTTTCTAATGATTAAGAAAAAAAAAACACTTTAATTCAAATATTAAATGATGACACTAAGTGTATCATAGATAAATATCTACAGGAGATACTTCTTTACTGAAGACATTTGTTCATTGAGAATTGGTAAGTGGATTAAGAAAGAAGACACTTTTAGTCACTTAGCATATTCATCTAAGAAACATCTTTCAAATACTGAATATATTTAATATTCTTTATGAATAAGCTTTAACTTCTTTGATGAATTTAAATTGGAGTTTATCCAAGTAAGTTTTTTTAAAAGCACCTGCGAAATTCTGTTTCCAAAGGAATAAGTCATACATTAAATATGTGAAATATATTTATGTTGCTAATCATTTTATATCAGCCAACAATGTAGTACTACCAGATGCAGTGGTGACATCACACTCAAGGGTTTTCAACCAGAGAGAAACATGATTCATATATTTAAGAGATTACTGTAGTGACTAGGGGTAGGGTAATGGGATCAAGGCAGAGAGGCTGAGAGATCAGCTATAGATGTATCAGAGGTGGTCAGCAAGACAGTAGTTGGGTTTGGGCAGAGGTAAACAGATTTGAGGTATGTTTTGGAAGTAAAAAAAATATTGGGGTTACTTGCTGCTGGGTATCATGTAGAAGGAGAGGGAGTTAGGATGGTGATTCCACTGACTAAAATGGAGAAAGCTGAGAAGTTCAGAGAGCAGAACAGTTTTGTTGACTGTTGATTGGTAGCCATATGATAGACACACAGTGCCAAGTGCTCTGAGTATATCTTCTCATTTAATTTTCACAAAAGGCTTCTGAGGTGGGTATATTCTCATATTATAGATGAGGTAGATGCTAAGCCACATTTTCTGGGAAGTATGCATATATCCTCAGTGAAATTAAATAACTTGCCCAAGTACCAGCTTACTGGGAAATGGCAGAGCTGGGATGAAACTAGCCTTTTCAACTCTAAAACTTTGGCTGTTTTTTCAAAGTTCATGTATGAAAAAGAAATACAAGCAAATTATTCCTGTAGGAGTAAGGAGTAATGGTCTAATTTGTTGCTTATACTAATTAGACTTATTCTATTGGAACACCAACATGCCAGCATCAGTTTGGCTAAAGTAAAAATAAAGCTCCCGTATTTAAAATTATTCTAAAAATAATGGAACAAAAATAAAATTCTTTTCATAGTATTAATACATTACCAATTACATCTGTTCATCCATCTGGAAATTGCTTCTTTGCCTCCTCAGACTAGTTTCTAGAATATCTTTCTCCTCTTCTCCCATTTGTGAAAATCCTTCCCATTCTTCTTTTCTCTGTGTCTGATTTTTTGCCTCCTTCATGAGTCTTTCCTTCAACTCCCCTTGTTTCTCACTCGCCCTGTTCTGTACTTTGGCAATATTGCCTTAATTTAGGACAACCAGAATTTGTTTACTCATGTCTACTTGTTTGTGTATTGTTTTATATATATATAAGCATATATTTATTTATATTAATATTTAAGTGTTAAATGACTAGTGCAGTAGATTTTGAAGTCTTTAAAAGAAAGCCTAGAATGTATTATTTTTCAGTTAGCATGAGAGTTAACCAAAAAAAGGTACTCTTGTACTTTTTGTTGTCAGAAAAAAAATATTTTCATTAAATTCTCCTTTTCCTTCCTGCCTTGGTTATTTGGTATAGCTGGAGAAACAGAAGTTAGAGAAGCAGAAGAAGGAATTAAAAGCTACCAAAAAGACTCTTGATGAAGAAAGAAACAGCAGCAGCCGTTCTGGAATCACAGGGACCACAAATAAGAAAGATTTTATGAAACTGAGACCTGGAGAAAAAAGGAGAAAAAATCTTCAGTTATTGAAGGACATGCAAAGCATACAGAATTCATTACAAAGCAGTAGTTTGTGTTGGGATTACTGACTCATAACCAGGTCAGAAATTTTATTCAGATAATCTGTACCTCATCAATCAGATGATGACAATTTACTTCCCAGGTCTCATACTCACTTATGTTGGAATTAATTAATAGCAGGTGTTAAAGGACCCAGGCTTCATTACACAGGCTTTTCATGTATGCAGGATGACTCAATGTTAAAGCATTTAAATGGAAACCAGGGGAGTTTTAAAGCCCGAGAAACCACACATAATCTTTTGTTGAGATGAGTTTGCTGTACTGACGCTGCACTTTGTAAACAGATTACCAGTTTTTTACTTGTGGGTGTGATTTTTTAAAATAGTTCTTTATATATAATTAAAATTAGGTTTAAATTTTCAAAATATGAGACTATGCTATAGGCAGTGCTTGCTTGAAAAGTCTCATTTTTAAATCTCCCTGGCATGAGGTGCCCACTTCCCCTTTCCAAAGCAACCATTAAACATACTTTGTTTCTACTATTGGTGGAGTTTTTCTATATTTAAAAATACATATATATTTCAGAGGATTTTTATTTTGCTTTTTGGCATTTCAGACTTTGATCAGTGTTAAGTGCACTTGTATTGCTTTTTAATCTGTTAATTTTTTAAAGACCCAAGCAGTCATTTTGAGTTATATCTATAAAAATTATAAAAGGATTTTTGAAAGTATAAACAAATTGTCAGTGAAATAAATGAGATTTTGGAATAAAGTGAGAATGGGAGAAGGGATATGTTGTGAGCATATACCTTCACAGTTCTTAATACCTGTTTTGTAATCATGATATTCAGTCAAGGCATTATGGTTTTTAATCTTGAAACTTAGAGAACCCTTTGAATATTTGCTTTTACTGGTGTACAGTATGAGTGGAATATAAACTGTACACATAATTATCATGTTGATATAAATCATAATTTCAACTAGATCAAGACATGTTAACCTTTTATAAATTTAAAGTCAATAAAGCACCTTTTTAAAGGAAACACTGCAACTTTCCTTAACAGCCTGTTAATAAAGGCTTTGTGACAAGCTCTCAAAAAATGCATTTCTAAATAGGAGGACATCAATGTATTGATGAAGAGAAAAAACTAGTACTTAGTTGCCACACTCATGCTTACATAGAAAGAGAGCCCAAGAATATTAGATTTCCTCATGATACAAGATACTACAGTAACAGGCTTTAATTTAGGATCCTTAAGATTTTGGGGTATTATTTGTGACTCTCCTGAAATTGTAAACTTGTGCTTCTGTGTCCAGTTTTCTAATGAGTAGGTTCGTAGCTTGATTGAATTAATAATTGTGAGCCCATAGACACAAGGGAAGTGAGAAACAGTGCTCTGGTGACATGATAAATATATGTGTCAACCACCATTTCAGCTATTAAAAACTCCTGTTATCTCCTTGTTTGAATTTCAGGTCATTAAATTGTATAACCATCATTTGAATTGTAGTGGCTCTGAGTCCTAATTAGGAGAATGGTGATTGAATGATGCTAAATCCCACCCCTTTTCTCAGCTAGGATTCAAACTGAACTACTCCAGCTTTTTGTACTGTCAGGTGAGAAGTGAAAAAATACTGCTTCCATTTTCTTATCTGCAAGTTTACAGTAGAGGAATGTGTCATCCATCCACTTACGTTGTAACAGAGCTTTATTGCAATTCATTTCAAATAAGGTTATGTTTACAGACTTGTGGTAGACATGTGAATTGTTCATTCCAATATAATGTGAATTGCAGTGGTAGTAGCGGTATACACAGTGCTATGGGGGCACAGAGGAAGGTGGGGATGTCAGAGAAGGCAGTCGTGAATCAGATAACTTCCCAAAGGAAGAGATGATGCCTAAACTCTAGAAAATAGGAATTAGTCACAAGGGAGAACAGTTGTTCCAGGTGCACAAGACAGACTGAACCAAAGTGGGGAGGCAGGAATCTGCAGATTACATGAGGCAATTGTGAACAGCAGAGTAGCATTGGTACGTAAAAGTTGAGGTATGCAGAGACTAGGTCGAAGGAGGCTAAGGAGCTTCAACTTAATCATACTGGTCTCTAAATTTTGTAACCCTAATCAAAAAGGGAAAAAATTACACCTGCACAACCAATAGACATACAAAGTTATGAAACATGTAACTGTCAATTCAAATATTTAAAAGTTTTGCTTGTGTAAATATATAAAAAGGGCTAGTATTCCTCCTCCCTCCCTCCCACACACACCAGTGGTATATATTAAATGCCCAAGTGCATGTACTCCATATTGGAGACTTCTGCAGAAGGTGAGGGGAACCACTGGAAGGTTCTCAGCAGAGAAGTGGTAGGGTTGCACTTAGATTTCCCTGGCTTTTGATTTGAATTTGAAGTGGATGCAAGTATGTTAAGACTAGAAGCTTTAAATTCTTGATCTCTTCAGCCATTCTACATTCTTTTATGTGGTATCAGGCCAAGATAACCAAGGTTTAAATGAGGAAAATGGCAGATGCGTTTGTGAAATACTTGGAGTAGAAAGCTTAATTTTTAATTACTGATTTGCTAGCCACTTAAATGCCCTGTTAAAAAGCTTATATTTCACACAATTACCAAAGAAATCATTTTGGTACCAATTTTGCTAAATTGGATATACTAATAGAAACTTCCTCACTGCAAGACCAAGAGGGAGGCTAAGGTTCAGACTCTCTGTATAGTGAATTAGTGAGTGGAAAAACACTGTATATTTTAATTGTTTGATTTGGGTGTTGGTTAAGGAAAAATGGGTACAAACTGAACATTTTCATCTGGGGTGCATATTCCTCCAATAATTTCCAAATATTTCTGGGGAAAAAAAAGAAATGGCAACTTTGGACAAGAACAAAGTTTAAAAGTCAGTTGGAATTTCTTTTAATTAAAAGACCAAGGGGACAAGAAGCTCCTTTGTTACAGTACATTACATATGGCTCTTATGTAGAATAAAATAGACATCAGAGTCAAATGTTTCTACCAGCACCAAACTCTTACTTGTAGCAGGTGAACAGTGAAGCAAGATTTCTTTTACTGGCTTTGAGATTGTAATACATCTTTTACATGCAGTGTGTTCTTTGGTAGACTTAATCGTTGAGTGAAATTACAGAATTTGCAAAGGAAAAAAATGTAAAATTTGAGCACAGTACTTCTCACTATAAGCTATTTATACAGAATTCAGAAAAAATGTCAATCCTAGTAAGATTTTTAAATACTTCTTAAAAACTTGCTAATTAGCTTCTGTGTGTTCAGACACACAAGACAAGTGAAATACACTGTAGTAAATAATTAGTTTTTAAAATATCTTTCATGATGTTTCTGGTAATTGGGCTAATCTGAAGGGCATGGAATTCTTTGAACTCCTGTATGGCTACTTTCTCCCCTTCATTTTCCCCCAAGCACATCTATAAGGCCTCCCATTTTGGATCAACTTGCTAATATGTCTTAAGTATGTAAATAATGACGGCAATAATTTTCAACTACTACCACACCGTAGTATCTTCAACACTTTGCCTTTTACTATATGAAGAATATGGAAGTTGAAAAGTGATCAAGGTAAATCAGTTACTGAAAAAAAGAAAAACCTAGAATGGAGAAAGGGATATCAAATGATTTTGATCTGTCATGACATCAAGGCCCAATATATGTGATGCCACAGAATTTCAGTGTTGGTTTGAAAACTGATGTTCCTCTGCACAGTGAGCACAGAGTGTATTTCTAAAATGGTTTTAATATTACCAGATGCCAAAAATTTGTAACAGCATTTGCCTTTTAATAGAAACTTGTTCCCACTGTGAATCCAGGATTGAAGTATTTTAATATTCTTTGGATACTTAAAAGATTAGTATCATAATCATGTAATTACATATGGAGTTACTTCACTTAAGCCACCTGCACTGCTACAGTTCTAAACTCATCCTAGAGAGATTTAAAATAAATAAAGTGACTGAACTTTCTCTCATAGATGGGTTCTAAATTCCGAAGACTTTCTACTCATAGAGCTGCCAGTGTAATCAAGAGTGTATAGCAATGATGCCCCTGATCTTACAGTCCTTTATACAACAGTTTGGACAGGAGTGACACACTGTGCAGGAGAGCTGGCTCTCTCTGAGGATGAGGTTGATCGGTTAGAAATCTCTCTCTGTAGTTCCTCTACTTTTTTCTGAAGCTCTGCTCGTTTAGCAAGAAGTTCTTTGTATCTGTTGTGAATAGGTTCCTGCAAGAGCAAAACATAAAATATTCAACTAGGCAATCCTGACCAAAGCCAGGTCAAATCATTCCCTAAATGTTGCAGTGTATGTTTTTTCAGCTGTTGGAACCAATGGCACCTTTCCAACCCATCAGTGAAATTAAATACCGGGACTGTGGACACCACTAATCTTTTCACTGGCTTTCCCAGTGCCCCTGAGTATTTCCAAAGAATAACCTGCTGTGTAGGTGCTCCTGAAACTGGTACTTTTCCAAATACAACAAATAATTAACAAGACAATTAAAAGACAGTAGTCAGAAGATTCCCTGTTATTTATAGGTTTTTAGTCTTAAACAGTTCTAAGTAGTTAATATTCCATAAACATATTCACAGTAGACCAGAATTTTGTTCAGCTTTTAACTTTCCTAAAGCTACTTTCTTCAGCTTATTAAAACAAGACCCCCTAGAGGTTATCCAGACAGAGGAGGGAAGATGCAAGAAAAGAGAGCAGTGATTTGTCCAATGTCATACAAGCAGTCCTAAGAACCAGGTATACTGATTACCCTGCCCCAGTGTAGTATTTTTCTACTATACGATTGTTAACTATCAATGGGTAAGGAGTAAAGTTTTAAATATGCACAGATAATCTTTCCAGCTGCTTTTAAGGAGACAAAGTTGCACTGCATGAATGAAAACTCCCATTGTATATTGTAAGGCACATACCTGTGGTTTCATCCGTGGATTCCACCTTATGTAATATCCCACCCAGAGCTCTAGGTGGCGCATGCTGGCTACTGGATAAAGGACATGATTGGAATAGCTCCCATAGAGAGGATTAGTGAAGTCTTCCAGCTGGCTGTTTATGTAAGACCACAGTGACACAGTCCTTTTAGGAAGATTCTGTAGGCAGGAAAAATAGGTAAAGATTCTCCACCACATAAGCCATTTACACTTTAGATGAAATTTGTGAAGAAGTACTTTGTTGTCATTAAAATCTCTTTAGAGGAAGTGGACTTGGAGACTTCAGTGATAAACCAACTTATATTAAGATCAGAGGGTACTGGAAAACAGTATGCAGTTCCTCAAAGAGATACCATATGACCCAACAATTCCACTCTTGTACATATCCAGCAAACAGAAGACATGTCTGTACAAAAACTTTTTTATAGATGTTCAAAGCAGCATTATTCATTAACAGCCAAGAAGTGGGAACAACCTAAAAGTCCATCAACTGACGAATGGATAAGTAAAATATATCCACACAATGGAATATTATTCAGCCATAAAAAGAAATGATATAAAATGTATGAACCTTGAAAGCATATTAAAGGAAAGGAGCTAGACACAAGGTTTACATATTAAATGATTCCATTTATATGAAATGTCCAGAAGAGGCAAATCTAGAGACAAAAACATTAGTGTTTGGCAGGGGTGAATGGGGAGTGACTATTAACAGGTTTTCTGAGGTGATGAAATGTTCTGAAATGAAAATGTGATGGCTGTACAACTCAGATATACTAAAAACCAGTCAACTATACACTATCAAAGTGAATTTCATGGTATGCATATTATTATCAATTTAAAAAGTTTTTTTAAAAATAATCAATGATTCCTACCCCAAGGCTCTCAAAAAATAAAACTCTTCGAAACTTAGCTATGCTATTTCTAATGAACATTCCTTAAGTTGTTGAGTGCCTGCTATGCATAGAAATACTTACTGCATGCTAGACACTGAAGACATAAGGTGAATTTAAAAATTTAATACCTGCCTTTAAGGAAGTCTAGGAAATACTACATAGCAGTTCTTGTGGTATTTTGTATTGCTTATTTAATAATCTTCATAATTTTACAAAAGCAGACATTAACTTCCCCAAGCGAACTGTTACAGTAAGTGATAGATCCAGGATTTGAACCCAGCAACTGGGCTTCAGTGCAAGTACTTATTCCTACTGTGCTTTATAAAATAAAACATAAATACTTTGTAACCACATTTTTTAGAATAAAAGTTGATGCAGAGGGAGATACCAATCAAGATGATTAAGATGTTGATACATAGGATAGACAAGTTTTGATAAAGAAGTAAAACTTGAAATGTAATCCTTACACCATTTCTTCTTAATACCAACCCCACTTAACAGTGATACCTTTGGGGAAAAGGGATAACGAAAAACTTTAACTTTCTACATACTATCTTTTCCGTATTTGAATTTTTTTATGGTATTACTTTACAACTTAAAAAACTCAAAAACTTAACCTAAAATGTCTCAATAAGTAGGATATACTTGGGAATTTGAGCTGCCTATTCACTCGAATATACATTTTCTGCTAATTAAATTTTTCTGCACCTGCTGTAAAGGATTTCCATTCTACATGGAAAAATTGGTACACTGGTGCTCCTTAGATTTCACGTACTTCAGTTCTCTTTAGCAGAAACCACTTCCCACTCATGAACTCAGCAGACAGCTAGCTAGCACCTTCAGCCTTGTGACAAAGATACTTCAGAATATATCAGGTCCAGATATATGGAAGGAAGCCCTCAATATTATAGCATGTAAGATAAAGTATGACCCAAAAGAATGACTTCAGTTGAAATCTGTCACAGAGTACATTCTTTTAGGGAAAAGTATACAGTAGAGATAGTATGGGGAAGGTCATGTTTCATATTTTACCTCTTTTCCTCTCTGTTGTTCACTATTACAGAGGAATGTTCCGAATAAGCAGCTGTATAGGTGGTCCAAAATGGTAATGAGAAAATACTCATTGAATTCAAATGCGGTAGGAAACTGCAAATCAAACATCACAAACACATAAATTAAGACATTCTTCAAGCATATTCATCCCTGTCATGGGTAGATCCTTTTGAGGTAGTATTTAAAATGAAGTTAAACATTCAAATCTACATTATTCCAAGCCATTATGGCATTATTCGTATGGTTTTCTTTTCAAAAATCATGTTATCACTTTTCTGATCATGATGTTTCTGTATCTGCTATATCTGCTAACCCTAAATTTGCAGGCTGAATTTTGACTTAGGCAATTCTGGCAACTCTAGGCATTCTCTGCCCAAAATGACCACAAACAACATTAAGATTCTTTAAATTTTCAAGAACATAGTTGTTTTTCTTTTTTAAGGATTACACACAAAATGCCAATAATGTCTCCAGAAAATGTCAGCAATACACAAAAGTAAACATCTAAGGCAGATAATTTACAAGTCAACCAACCTATTAAATATTTAGATGGTGCAAAAATAATTGCGGCTTTTGCCATTGAAATGGCAATTACTTTTGCACCGACGTAAACTTTTCAGGGAACATCCATCCCATCAAACCAGAGTCCCTTGTAAGCCACTATTTTGGCAGCATCTAACAAAAAGAAAATTCACTCTCTAACCCAAGCCAGGGGCTTGACTGGATGTCTTAGTTTTACACAACACAATTTTAGGGGACTAATCAAATGAAAAATTACGAACCCCTGAAAGTTAGAAGGTTTCGTTTAATCCATCCTATCTAATATTTCAGAATTATTTGGAAGCTTCTATGTAAGATTCTACCAATTATAGGGCTGTACGTGATAAGAAATTATATAAATATTTAGATTGCAGACTGTGAAAATACACATTGCTTCCAAGCTTTTACATCTTAGATCCCTTCCTTTATAGTGGAGGAAAATAGTATAAACATCATGTAAATGGAACATGGATGAAAACAACTTTGCCTTAAAGTTTCCTACATTTTAGCAAGTATAGACAGGGTAACATGACAGATTTCCTAAACAAGAAAGGGCACTTACTAGGCCTTGATTTTTGTGGCTGTGAAGCTGAATGAAGCAGATGATCAAGCAGAAGATGACCAAGCATTTCCACAACAAAACCAATTGTAAAAAACTTTGTCAAGTCCCATTTATTCCTTTAAAAAATAAATCCCACCTATTTTTCACACTCTTAACAGCCCTATTATTAGCGAAATATGAATGCATCCTGAATCACTAAATAGCAATCCCAAGGATCTAAGCCTGCGATTAGTTTTTCATCTTCTTGGCAAAACTGTTAGCTCAGTTATGAGAAGACAGTGTAATCAGTAGGCATTTCCTCACAAAGAAAGTAAAATAGCAGGGCATTAACTGCAGCTATTGCTTTTAAAACCCTCAGCAGAAGAGAACTATTTTGTTTTCTTTACATGTTTAAAATCTAAAAGGCCCTTCAACAATTGCTTCCTGATCTCAGGGCTGAGGTGACAGAGATGAGGATGGAAATAGGAGGAGAGGTATAGAATCTGGCTGTCATAACATAGTTGGTTCTGTTTTGACAAATGTGCTATTCAAGTCTCTGTACTAGTATTCAAGTATTTATAAAACTGATAATTGCTAACAAACATTATGACTAGTTAATATGCTTTATATTCAGGAAGAAAATATACAGAAAAACACTAGGTGTATAAAATAAAGATGGCTACAAAGTATTTTAGGTTCTATCAAAAATACAGATTTAAACTGATTTTCTTTTATTTAGTGCCAGGCTCAAAATTAGGATTAAACTACTTTTAGATAGACAGCATATATAAAGTTAACAAAATTAAAATTACTAAGGAAGAAATGTATTATGATGTATTCTTCTCCCATCCAAGTGCTAACAAGGCCCGACCCTGCTTAGCTTCCAAAATCAGATGAGATGGGTGCATTCAGGGTGGTTGGCTATAGATTATCGTGTACTCTTCTTTGCAAGAAATTGGTAAATGTGCTTTTTTTCTAGCAAACATATCAGAACTGATACATTCAAACACATCGTTTCCTTCAAGGTATTCACCTTGGAAAGCAGTACACACAACCATCAACAATACCACAGTTTCAAAGAGCTTTCCTACTCCTTTGATGGCGAATTTTATTTCTACCAAGAGTCAAAGGCTATTTAAAACTGAATATGGTAACAGTCAAAAGTGGGGTCCTAATGTTTTGGGTCAAACATCCAAAAAAGGATTGTAGGGACTTAGGTAGTTGATATACTGCCTCAAAGCCAATTCCAAAGGAAAAAGTCAAACCTAATCCAAGAAAGTATTAAACACTGCACCTCTCCTTCCTCTTACCTCCCAACACACCAAAGGTCTGATTTATAAACCAAAACTGAATTGTATACACCTTTTCAGTATATATGCTAAAATACTAGTCTCATCATATCATAGTCATAGCTACAAAAATGCTTCATTTAACCCAACAGTTTCTAAATAATTCACCCAAGTAGAAATGCTTATGGAGGCAAGGGACTGTTAAATATATAATTGATGATTATTTCACCCCATTACCATTAATTTTCTTGTATTGAAATAAACAGTATTTTATTGAAGCTAAAAATATGCTCCTAAATAAATATGATCCAAAGCCAGGCAGAGCCAGCACTTGCCCTACTTTAAATTCATATGGCAATCTAAATAAAAACAATTCAGACTTCCAGTTGTTTTGGGGTCTAATAAACCCTTGGGTAAATAATTATCTCCCAATGAGCTGCATTCAACAGGGTTTCGAGATGGTTTGAGTCAGAATTAAATCATATTTTTAAGACAATGACCCGTTGCCTCATTAATAAAGTGATCTCACAATAAACCAGGTGTTTTCTCAGTCCCCTCTACTCTTTCCAAAAGATTAAATTCATTTATATTAATATTTCAAATAAATTTGTTAGAAGTTCTAAAAGCCATAATAGCTCTCTCTATGCCAAAAAATAAAAAGAACTGGATGTAGTATGTGCCTCCCTTGTTATGCTTTCTATATAAACATTTTTCCCTTAAAATAAAAATTTTCAGAAGAAGCAGATTGAAATTCAAAAAAAAAATTAACAGTTAAAGTTACTTAAAATATTTTATTTTGCTTGCGGTACCTAGCTTATTTTTTCTCCACTCTTAGCAATATATAAATGTGTTTTTAGGTGAGCCTATTTAACACTATTTGTTCAAAACAAATGATAAAACCTCTCAGGAGTTATTATCAATGCTACTCACTGAAATACTAATAGAATCAAATTTTCAAGTGTTAATCTTTAACCTGATTCATAATGTGACAATAAATAGCTCTCACATGGACATGGAGATGTTACAAGAATTTCCATTTAATGATCTATAGGCTAATCAGTGACCAAATCTCCCCACTCTGACAGGAAAACTGAAAGGAGATGTGTAAGAATACATAGGCCAGATAAATTACCTGTCTTGTCATCTGCCAGACACAGTCAATAAATTGAAGAAAAACAGGCGATCTGTCTGCATCTGCATGGTTCTTATCTCCATGGCCAACTCTCTGAAGCAAAAAGAGTGAAATATATGAACTTAGGGGGATTTTTCATGTTTTGATGGAAATAATTTTTTAAAAAAATAATTGGTCAATAGTCTAAAAATTTTCAAAGTCGGGTGCTGTGGTTTACACCTGTAATCCCAACACTTTGGGAGGCTGTGGTGGAAGGATCACTTGGAGCCAGGAATTCGAGATGGGTCTGGGCAACATAGCAAGACCCCATCTCTACAAAACATTTTTAAAAGCCAGGCATGGTGGCGTGCACCTGTAGTCCTAGCTTTCAGGAGGCTAAGGTGGGAGGCTGGCTTGCGCCCAAAAGTACAGGACTACAGTGAACTACGGTCGCATCACTGCACTCCAGCCTGCATGACAGCAAGGCCCTGTCTCAAATACATAAAAATTTTCAGAAAGTCTTTTAAAGAGCATTGCAAAGTAAGTAAAAAATCACCCATTATCCTGCCAAGCAGAAACATTTTGATGTGCAAACTGCTCAGATATTTTCTGACACAAGTGCTTATAATATGAATTACTACTCTGTTTAATAAACTCAGATCCTAAAAGGTTGCTAATAAAAGATGGAAGCAGTCAGAACCTCAGAGGCCAGATTTTTGTCCTGGAGATTTTAATTTCTCTCTGAGAAATAAGTTACATGGACACTGGCCTCAGAAAGCACCATTCTCTGTTCATATCTTGACCACTGAGTGAAGGGTACCCCCTCCTATCTTAGCACTAATGTGTCTTCATCAGGAGGAACCATATTAGCACACATCTTAGAAAACCTGTCAAAAATGCTTGACATCCACCCTCCAAGCATGCAGTCATCTACCTAGTTTCTCAGTTATTTCCTCTGAGGACCTTTGACTCAGATAACTGAAAACAGAATCCTGCTCCTTACCCCAAAGCAGGAATTCTAAAAGTGTGGTCCACAAACATCCAAGGGCTGTGAGGTCAAAACTATTTCCATAATATTAAGACATTATTTACCTTTTTCAGTGTGTTGGCATTTGCACTAATGATGCAGAAGTTATGAAGGATAAAAATTCTGGTGCCTTTGCAGGCATCAAGCAGGGCAATGCTTATAATTAAAACTGCATTCGTACCCACTGTATTCTACCCTACCAGACACTCACAGTTAAATTAAAGAAAAAAAGTCCATTTCTCTTATGCCAGTGTACTTAACAACGCAGTAAAAATTACTGATTTTATTAAATCTCATCCCTTAAGTACACTTTTTTTTTAATGGCCTGTGTGACAAAACGGGAAATATGTGTTAACTCTTTGCTACTGCATGTAGTATGGTAGGAGATAGCACTTTCTCATCATTTTTACTTGAAAGAAAAATTAATGTATGCATTGTGGTTAGAAAGACTTAAAGACTTTTTTTTTTTGAAAAGGTACAATGTGAATTATCACTGAAAGGAAAACAGCTGACAATATTTGTTGTCAATGAAAAAATTCAAGCTTTTGAGTGAAAACTCAATTTTTGGTGAACTTTTGCCCACCATAATGAGCTTAAAAATACTTGAAGGCTTTTCTGACAAAACCAATGGTGATGATTAACAAGTGTGATTTTATGGTATTATATGATGAAATGCATTTACATTTGGAAGATCTGTGTAACTCAATAAGCCAGTATTTTCCAAATAACCAATATGTGATGTTACAAAACCACACATGGGTAAAAGATCTATTCAAAATGGAAGTGAGACCAATGGAATTTAATGATAAAAAAAATTCATTAACTTGATTTTGGATTCCATATAACAACTAACCTCTAAGAAACTACCATTTATCAAGTTCTGGCGTAGTATCAAAGAAGAATATCTACAATTCCCTGAAAAAGCTATTAAAATACTTTCTGCTTTTCCACTTACATATCTGTATATGGTTAGATATTCTTCATATACTAAAACCAACAAAACATAACAGATTGAAGGTAAAAATAGATATAAAATTCAGCTATCTTCTATTAAGCCAAACTCATTAAATTTGCAAAAGTAAAACAATGCCAGTCTTTTCATTAAACTTTTTGTTTTGGAAAATATTTTTTTTAGTTTAAATATTTCTGTTAATATATAATAAGCTTATTTCCTAAATTAAGAAATATTTTTAAATTTTTTCAAATTTAATTTTCAATATGGCAAATATTGATATAACTCACATAAAGTTCTCTGGGTAACAAGTTTGGGGAGTTAGGAAAAAAAAGTTCTATCCATAATTGTTAACAATGTAAAGGGGGTCCTGAAACCAAAAAGTTTGAGAATCATTACTCTACATTAACCTTGTGAGCAAATCCTCTTGACTGGGTGCCCTTTAATTGTCAAGATTCTATTTTCAGAATATAACTAGGTAAAAAGAACGGGGGGAGTAGGTAACCAGAGTTAGCAATTTAGGAATCCATAGCAACTTCGAACACCCCAAAATGTTTGATTTTGAACACATTTATATAAACATGTGCAGCTTTGGCTGACTAAAACTTGATTCTTTGAAGTACGAGTTTGTTTTAAATGGCCGTTTCATGATAAGTACATTGTGTAGAGAACGGCAAAATGTGAGCCATCTGAATAAACACTCCAGGTACCCAATTTTATTTAACAGTTCAAGTTCAAAAGAGCAGACTAACTTTAAATGTCTGTTCCTTTCATGTTACAGTTAACCCTTGAACAACACGGTTAGAACTGCACAGGTCCACTTATATGCAGATTTGTTTCAGCCAAATGCAGGATGCGGAACCCACATACACAGAGGGCCAACTTTACATGGTCCCAGCAGGGCCAGCTTCAGAACTTGAATATGTGTGGATTTTGGCCTGTTCATGGGATCTGGGAACCAAGCCCCCACATATACCAAGGGACAACTGTATAAACACTGCTAGTATACTCTGGTAACTACTGGATACTAAAGGTAAACATTACAGACAGCATCTGGGTAAAGACCCTTCTAAAAGTTTTTCAATTATTTAGGAAAACGCCTGCCCAGAAACACCCGTGGACATCACTGAATGATATCCGATGTTTCCCAGTGGAGATCACAGAAAAGACTGGGTCAGACACTTGACAAATAGCTAGCTCTGACTCCAGACTAGTCATGTTAGGGATATCTTAATGCTTTCCAAAACAAGCAAAAACGTTTACCCCACTAGATAAATGATCAATTTCAGATGAATATCTTATTTTAAAAAACACATTTTTTTCACATGCCTTGGCATGAATGCATGTGATATATCCAAAGTCAAGGTTCCTTACTTACTAGTTGAAATCGATGTCCAAAACTTAGCCATTCTTTCTCCACAAGGACTTCAAATCCTCGGATGGTTCGATAGTATCCATCCAACATGAGCATGGCAAGGGAAGTGAGCTGAGCTGTGCGATCCCAACCATCACTGCAATGCACTACCACAGACGTCTTCCCTGACTCTACCTTGTCAGCAATCCTAAGAGCCCCTGCAAGAATAAGCTGGAAAACAGATTTTTTAATACATTGTTTTTAAACAAGGTAAATACTTCCTTCTTCAAAATTTACTAATACAGCTTATCAGGGATCATTATTTCAATAACATGAGGAAAAACATTTGTCCCTTCCTAAGAAGAATTTTTTTAAATGGTAGAAGATATATAAATTTTGCTTTTAAAACTAGAAAAACCTCATAATTGCTGACTCCTATTAATTTGCCCAACGAAATAGCCAAATCAAAAGTACCTTTGGGTGCTACATAAATCATGGTGTAAGATTCTTCTTAGAAAAGTTCTAAAGAGATCTGTTTCTAAGAATCAAATATTCCATCATCTATTTAAATAAAAATAATTGATATAGCAATTGAAGCCTTGTTATGATTTAAAACAATGCTTAAACCAAATTGGGATAAGCACCTGAAAGCAATAATACTGGATCTCTTTAAAATACTCTATAGCAGTTATTGTATTGTTTTGACTAAAGATTTTTATGTCACAGAGCATACAGCAAGCACAGTATAAACTTTAGAGTGAGCTACTTTTCTGTAACACTGCATGAAAATTCACAGAATATGTCAATCTGTTACTTAAAATAACTTCAGCTCTTATTTTTTTAAATATGCAGAAATCCTTTGCAAAATAACTTACCTTTTCTGAAGTCAATCTTGAGTTAAAACTAAACATAATTAGATATAACCAAAAAAGAAACACAAAAGTATGGTATCTTAAAAAAAAAAAAAAAAAAAAAGGACAATACAGCCCTATTCTTCTCTGCAATGGCCATATTGTATTATACTTGAAAAACAGTATAGTTCTACATACGCAGATGAGAATGAAAGAAAACAGATTATTAAGCTTGGAAGTATGATAACCTCCCCTTGATCACAGCTATAAGCATATTCTGGAAATGGGGTACTATGACGATCTTGACTATATATCAAGAGTCATTTGTAAGCCTGAAGTGCCTAGACCTCATTGTCCAATGATCCTAATTCAGTATCTTAAATAAATTCCACCTATAATTCTAGTGCATATACGAAGTTAAGAATCACTAACCCAAAGGCTTAGTTAAGATTGATCAGGAAGAGTTATCCAAAGTAGTAATTGTTCATTCATTCATTAAATAAACATTTATGGAGTCCCTTACTAGAAGGTAGATACTGCTCTAGGCACGGGCCATACAGCAGGGAACAAAGTTCCTGCTTACTGAAGTTTACATTCTATTTGGGTGAGGCCCACCAGTCACAAATAAACAAGGAAATATACAGTATACCAGATGGCAATAAGTGAAAACGCTCCATAGAAGTTATAGGGAATGCTGGTAGAACTCTTATTTTGTAAAGAGGCTGGGAAAGGTCTCTCTCAGAAAGGTGATATTTGAGCAGAGACCAGAAGAGAGTGATTGAGTAAATAAACTTTCTTTGTGTGATAAGGATTGGGGGAGAATAAAGTAGTTTAGCCCAACTATATGTCTTATAACTCTAGGGAAATTTGATTCTGTTATAGCCAGCCTTTTAGAGACCATGTTGAAACTGCAAATTAAATATCTGGAGTTTTCAGAATCAAACACAGCGATTTATGTTAGTTCCAAATCAAGCCTAAGGCTGTATATTTACACATCACATAATTTAATGAATGGGCCACATGAACATGCTCTCTGAGTAGTGTTTATACTTTGTGATTTTCAAGCTTCTAAGCTTCTCAAAGGGAAACAATAGTAAAAATGGTCTATTTAAAATTCTTATTCAGTTTGGTTTTCTCTTCAATTCTGTCTGAACTTCAGAGATTTTAATGTGAGCAGAAGTATCCTCCTTCTTAACGTGAAAGACTGCATTTCCCATTACCTCTTAATATTTATATATGTGGTTACATAAGTCTACATTTTGGTGAGTTATGTTACTGACAGACCATATCTGAAAATATAACTAGATTAAATTAGCATGTTAGGTAAATTAGCACTGACATGTGCTCTGCGAATGACTTAGCACTCAGTGTGGCTCATGCAACCACTCCACCTCATTTCCCTGATCAGAATGGTTTTAACTTCACAAATCAACTAATATTTATTGGGTACCTATTCACACGGATAGTGCTGCCCTAGCTCCTGAGAGGACAAAAAAATATATGTAGGATTTATCCAGTCTTGGTCTCCATAAATTAGCAATATACGTTGGTTGACACACAAAAGCAAACAAAGTACACGCTAGTTCCTGATTAGATGGAAAGACAGGGTAAAGAGTTCAGAGAAAATGGAAAAGGATGCAATCTGGGAAGACCTTATGGAAGAAATGAAATATGAACTGGAATCTGAAGGATGGTTCGAATTCAGATAGGATGGGAGGGGGAACAAAAGAAATACAACATAACCAAATGCACAATATAAAAAACCAATTCATTCAAACATTAAAATTCACTAGTAGTTCCAAGTATCAAAGCATTTACCCATTTTTCATTGTTTAGAAAGGTACCTTCATGTTGATTGCAATTATAAGTAAAAAGCTAATATAAACAAAGGGGTAGAGAGAGTCTTTGTTTGGGATATAGTAACACACACCCACCTTAATATGTTCTAGCCAATGAGTAGATTCCAAGTTAGACAACCAGTGGGTTTCCTCAATGTTGGGGTACACAATCTCCTTAAGTTTTCGTAATGATTCTCTCATAACATGAATATTGTGGATATCCAGGAAAACTAGTTCAGCATTTTGATAGGCATCTTCACTTTCATAACCTCCACCCTTTGCCTGGAAAAAAGCACACATCATGGAAAATCATAAATGAATGCACATCTGTAAACAAGTGACATAAAATATCCAATAGCATAAAAGATGATACATATTACTGGAGACAAGGAAAACTCCACAGGAAAATGTGGATGGCTCAGGACAACTTATTTAGCACAACCACTCGCTTTCTTGTGTTCTTCTTTACAAAATGAATATATACGTAGTCTGACTTGCCCATATGGCCATTATTAAAATTAAATATGAAACACATAGGAAGGTATTTAAACACTGTAAAGCACTAAATTTTCCCAGCCCATACGCCAAGTCCTACCCAAACATAAGTTCTTACAGATGACTTCCTTTCATATATACTGAAATTACCAGACTGTAAGTTTCATGTGCTGAGACCACATGTCTGGTTCACCTATGCTTCTTCACCTCCCTGCCTCTTCACCTCATTTTAATCTTCATATCTGAGAAATAAACTCTTTGCAATCAAAATGACCTGCTTCTTTTTTAACCACATAATTCTCTTTAAATAAAAAGACAGAACAAGGATAAAAGCACAGAATGCTATCATCATCAATGTTCTCAAAGACTTAAATCTACATCTACAAAATAGAATGAGAAAATATTTGGTGTTCAAAATAAGCTATGGCTAGAAAGAAGAACCTTATTTTTCTGGACTTAATCTTTTTATATTTCATGAATAAAATATTCTATCTCCTACCTAACTCGTGTAAAATTATACTTCTTAGAGCCCTAATAGAAACAAATTAGGAAAATACTGGAGCAGTAAATTATACAAAATTAAGTGATTATATGACCCACACCTTTGAAACAACAAAACCACCAACTCATAACCAGCAACAAACTACTGAAAGAACAGAAGTTCAGCTTCCTTTCTGACACTGAGAGTCTGGGAAATCGTTTGGCACAATTATAGAATTTACAGTATTTCAAGGGATACCTGTTAAAGATTACTTCTGAAGAGTGGGAATAAGACAGGAACTTTCAATTCAAATTTGTTGCAACATTCTAGAAAGACAGCAGTGGTAACAACTATACAGAACCTGTCACCGAAACACATAGAATAAAAATGCCCTGGATTCAGGTAGTGGCATGGTTGTACAACTTTGTGAATATACTAAAAGCACTGAAATGTACACTTGAAAAGATGAGCGCTTTTCAGTAATGGTACCTGCTGCTGTAGTTATGTCTTCTCTCTCCTTCCCTCCTCCTATAGATTTGGTCAACTGAACCAAAATTTCAATTTCCACAATGCTAATATTTATTCTGCTGGAACAATCAGCTACAGCTAACTGCCAATTCTTCAGTCTGAATAACTTGTTCAGGTGGAGGACGGTCAGAAGAGGGCACCACTAGTCACCGAGAACACTAGTTCGCTATTCCTAGAGCAGTACTATACAGGGACTTCAGTGAGTCATAAGCTCAGTTAGTTGTCAACTTTGGAGAAGTGGGAAGCTAAGAATAACTGAACACCTAGTTATTATGTAAGTAAGCAAAAGTTTATGCATTATTTTTTATTAAATGATTTTTGCTCCCAAAACAACACTGTTAACTATTATTATTCTCATTTTTACCAATAAACAAATTGAGGTCTAAAGAGGTTAAATAACTAACTCAAAATCACACCATCAAGTTGAAGAGCCAAGACAAGAACCTATATGTTTACCACTGTAGAGCCTGAGCTCTTTTTACTACACTGTGGCCCTGCCAAACTCAGCTGATTCATGAAACCATAATTATAATTACTAAGAGACCATCTGACCTTGTTGGCAACAGCATTAACACTTGGCCGGGCATCAAATATAAAGATTTTGTGAGACTGGGCATTGGAATCCATGATAGCTTGAAGGTATTTTTCATCTTCTTTGCTTCGCTTTCCACTCACTCCAACCATGGGCTGGCTACACCGAGTGATTGTGGCTTGACTTTCAGGATGAATCCATGATAAAACCTTAATGAGGAAAAAATGGTAACACACCTTTTACATACTTCTCTGTTTATAATTCTCAAAAACAGTACTCAGTAAAGCTCTGCTTTCTAATTGGATCCAAAGCCTGGCCATGAAAGGACATCTGAGGCTGCTAAGAAAAATCATCACCTTTCCTTCAAGCCAATTCTGGGATGTGGAAAACTTGGTCTAATTCTTTAGTCAGATACTGATTTAGGAAAGTATTTGATTATTGGGAAATGTTATCTCCTGAAAAAAATACTGTGAAACAGGGCTAAGTAAACCCCACTTAATATATTAGTAAAACTGCTCAGTTCTAAAAGCCTTTAGAATCTATGAATTTTGTACCTAAAATTATTTAAGCTCATCTTTCTAAGATCCAGTTATAAATCTGTAAGGTGTTCTTTCTAGGACTTAAAAAAAAAAAAGAACATTTATCATCATGACTAAAGAATATACAATAAGATAAATAAATAGTGACTAATACACACAGCAAACTTTTTCAGTGAAGAATCATGCAATTCTGTGCAGTTATCTAATACCCATATCACACTCTCTGGAAGCCTCTTTAAGTCTTTCTTCCAGTTTTAACTTTACTAAATAAATCAATCTCCAATATCCCCATGAAAGACCTGCTGCTGTAGCTATTTATATCCTGAATCCATTCTCCTACTCATTAATCTCAGCATTATGTTGAGTAAAAAAGCACTTGCAAAGGCTCATCCAAACTTCCTACTTACTGGGATACGGCCTCTTGATCTGAAGGATGCCACTCTCTTTAATTCTTCATCAGGAATATTTGCTGGCACAACCAGGAGGGCAGGGTATGTATCACAAAGTTCATATCGTTCATTTATCTTTGTTATTCTCCAGCTTTCATTTGGAATTCCCTACATGTGAAATGAAACATAAGACAAATTACTATATAACTAAAATATTAAACGACACCAGGACAGAAGCCATCCTGTTCAATCTCTCTGACCTCTACTATCCATCTCCTAAAGTGTTGGGATAGTTGTTGTCAGCCTGTGGTATCAGGCTTTCAGGATTAGATATTCTAATGTAGGGATACGTATTCATTTGTGGAACCCAATTTGATGTTAATATAACAGACATTAATTCACTAAATATTCAGTGTGGACCTGTGCTAAGCATATTCAGGAGGTGGAAGGAAACAGTAAGACTTCAAATATTCCTTTTTTTTTTTTTTTTTTTTTTTTTGAGACAGAGTCTCACTCTGTCGCCCAGGCTGGAGTGCAATGGTGCGATCTCAGCGCACTGCAACCTCCGCCTCCTGGGTTCAAGTGAATCTCCTGCCTCAACCTCCTGAGTAGCTGGGACTACAGCCGTACGCCACCATGCTGGGCTAATTTTTGTATTTTTTAGTAGAGACGGGGTTGGCCAGGATGGTTTCAATCTCCTGACCACCTACCTTGGCCTCCCAAAGTGCTGTGATTATAGGCATGAGCCACCACACCTGGCCAAATGTTCCTATTCTTTATTTATTTATTTATTTTTTTGGAGACAGAGTTTCGCTCTTGTTGCCCAGGCTGGAGTGCAATGGCGCGATCTTGGCTACTGCAACCTCTGCCTCCCGGGTTCAAGCAATTCTCCTGCCTCAGCCTCCCAAGTAGCTGGGATTACAGGCATGCGCCACCATGCCCGGCTAATTTTGTATTTTTAGTAGAGACAAGGTTTCACCATGTTGGTCAGGCTGGTTGCGAACTCCTGACCTCAGGTGATCCGCCTGCCTCAGCCTCCCAAAGTGCAGGGTCTCATTCAGTTTGACTGGATGATTGACTTTGTTGCCATTCATCTATACAAATAAATATCAGAAGTCAGGCACCAAGTGTCCACCAGAGTGCTACATGCACAGCTATCGCTTACATACGTAAAGTACATTTTTCACTGAGGTATTATAATACTAATGGATGTTGCTAATCTAAAATATATTAGAAAAGTAAGGGAGGAATGCAAGGCAAAATGACAACAGGCAACAGGCAAGAAAAATGCTTGAAACAATTTTTAAAAAACATATCAACTATTGAGCTCTCGTGCTCCTTCAATATCTGCTATTTTATAAATAGTGTACTACTTCACATATAGGATTAATAAAACAACTGAAATTTTCCATCCTTCACTGTATACAAAATTAAGCTATTATATTAAATGGTTGGACTTAAGAAAATCTATCTTAAATTTTATGATCTCTGAAAATTCTTATCAAACAGAAAAAGACAGAATTGAAAGTGAAAAATACATTTACTGAGCATCTACTATGTGTAGGCACTTTGCCAGCCTCTTTACACCCAAACACACAGATATATTTTACTGTACTCAGGTTTCATTAACTTCATTTCATAGATAAAGAAACTATGGCACAGTTTGTAATTTGGCCAAAGCTATACATTAGGAAGTAGTAGAGAATTCCATGAGCATTCCAAATCTATCCTTTTTATATAAAAGTACATTATTCCTCAAGAAAAATTTACTATCGTATTCACTAAATTGTTGTAAAAATCTCAAAGAGCAGAATGTACTCTCCTTTAAAGAAGTATTTCTCAAGCTGTTTCCAAACACCCAGAAGGATGTTAAGAAAGAAAATTCCCTTCCAGCAAACACTCTCAATAGCGCTTCTATTTATCCCTAACTGTTCTTTCATTACTACCTTACATCCTGTTTACTCCATATAATTAGCCTGGTCCCATCTTGCTCCCTGTGGTCTACATATTTCCCTCCCTCCTGATTTCGTTGACTTCAGATATTCTGGACAACTTCAAGATGAAAGTTAAACCCTGCACCAGGCTGCTCATTAACTTTATACAGATTTTTACCCATGACTTATTTCCAGAACTACAGTCTTAATTAGAGGTTTTTAACAAAATATTCACGTGCTGGCCGGGCACGGTGGCTCACGCCTGTAATCCCAGCACTTTGGGAGGCAGAGGTGGGCAGATCACTAGAAGTCAGGAGTTCAAGACCAGCCTGGCCAACATGGATGAAACCCCGTTTCTATTATACAAAACTTAGCCAGAAATGGTGACTCATGCCTGTAAGCCCAGCTACTTGGGAAGCTGAGGCAGGAGAACTGCTTGAACCCAGGAGGTGAAGGTTGCAGCGAGCTAAGATCACGCCACTGCACTCCAGCCTGGGTGACACGGCGAGATTCTAAAAATTTATATATAATATATATATATATACACAGTTCACTGTACTTTTTATTATAGCACGTGAAAAATATATATTTCATATTTTTTATATATGTATATATCATATATATACTTATATATTTTTTTCACATGCTGTACTAAAAAGTACAGTGAATTGGCAAGTTTAAAGAGATGGTATTCAACCAAGAAACCTGGTTATCATCTTTAACTCCTCCCCCTCCCTTATCCCTTACATCCAGTCAGTGACCAATTTCTATGATTTTTCCTCCAGAAATACCAGAAGTTTGCTCACTTTTTTCAATTCTTACCACCACTTCCCTAATTCAGGCCATTATCACTTCTCTCCTGTCCCTCTATAATCCATTCTCTACACTGCCTCCACAGTAATCTTTTAAGATGCAAAAGGGATTATGTCATTCCTCTGCTTAAAATCAATGGCTACCTATTGCTTTTCATATAAAATATGAAGTCCTTTACCAGACTTAGCAAAGCCCTCTACAATCCTGCTTTCTCCAGATCTCTCCCTTGCCACTGTATGCTCTGGTCTAGTCTATATCAAACGTCTTTCAGCTCCCAGATGGCCTCATGTTCTCTCCCTACAGTACTTGCTCTATCAGACTATTCATTACATTATATTGTAATTGTTAATCTATTTGTTTGAATGCTCCACTGAACACAAACTCTTTGGGAACCTGGACTTTATCATTTTGTTTCATATTTTAGCCACTAGTATTTAGAAGGTATTATATGAATTTGATAAATGCATGAATGAATAAATCAGTGAACCACAGGAAGTTTCCATATGAAGCAAAATTAGTTTCTGAAGTTTTCTTAGAAAACATGGAGTCAGAGCTAAAGGTCAGATCACTTGAGAAGTATACATCAGAGGGCCTAATGTACCATCCCCCAACCCAGAAAGGTACTCCTGTCTCTCTCCCACCCCACTTCCCATATCCTTGTAAAAACACTACCAGGAGAACCACTGTTCTCATGGGGAATGTCACATTATTCACGTAAGTAGCAGGGTGGGGTAGGAATGAGAACCAATGACTTAGATTACCTTCATGGCTATTGTCCTCCTCATTCTTAGATAAGCCGACACACCTATCTTCACTAAAAACTGCCTTTCAAGCAGAAAACTGGAATTGGCTAGCCCTCAGACACTCTCTTTGTAGACTACTAAAAATATACTGACAATTATTGATCTTTGGTATATATCTACTCTCCAAGCAAAATCACTGCCCTTCAGTATCCACTTGTCAGGGTCAAGTTTATTATACAAACAAACTGAAAGGACCATGGCTTTCTTAGTTACTTACATTCCAGTTCTAAGGATAAGTTCTCTTTCCCTTGACTGAAGTAACTGTTTTCCAAGTTTGTTAAGTAATGCATGTAACTTATGTTGGGTATTTCTGCAGAAGACCGTGCTCGTTATCTTTTTTGTTCGTTTCATGAGATAAGGTCTCTGCACTCTTCACCAGGCTGGACTGCAGTGGTACAATCACAGCTCACTGCAGCCTCAACCTCCAGGGCTCAAGCAATCCTCCCACATCCGCCTCCAGAGTAGCTAGGACTTCAGGCATGCACCACCATGCCTGGCTAATTTTTGTATTTTTTGTAGAGATAGGGTTTCACTATGTTGCCCAGGCTGGTGTCGAACTCCTGAGCTCAAGCAATCCTCCCACCTTGGCTTCTCAAAGTGCTGGGGTCACAGGTGTGAACCACTGTACTGGACTGCTCATTATCTTTATACAGATTTTTACCCATGACTTGATATTTTTCCTTTTTGTTTTTTTTGAGACAGGGTCTCACTCTGTCATCCAGGCTGGAGTGCAGTGGCATGCTCAGGGCTCACTGCAGCCTCGAGCTCCAGGGCTCCATCAATCCTCCTGCCTCAACCCCCCTGGATAGCTGTGACTACAAGCATGTGTCACCACACCTGGCTAATTTTTGTATTTTTGGTAGAGACAGGGTTTCACCATGTTGCCCAGGCTTGTCTTGAACTCCTGGGCTCGAGCAATCCTCCCACCTTGGCCTCCCAAAGTGCTGGGATTACAGGTGTGAGCCACTGTGCCCAGATGACTTGATTTTTCTTGGCCTTATCCACAAACTCCATAGTCCTGTCTATAATCACTACATACTGTATATGTCCTTCAAGAGTAAATTAAAGAAACATTCTCCTATATGACAAACCTAAATGGTTATTAATAACTTTGTCCATTTTTATTTATTTACTTATTTTTTGAGACATGGCATCTCACTATTGCCCAAGCTTGAGTGCAGTGGCACATTCACAGCTCACCACAGCCTTGATCTCCCAGGCTCAGGTGGTCTTCCCACCTCAGCCTCCCAAGTAGCTGGGACTACAGGTGCATGCCACACCTGGCTAATTTTTATTTTTTTGTATAGATGGTGTTTCACTATGTTGCCCACGCTGGTCTCAAACTCCTGGGCTCAAGCGACCTGCCTGCCTCGGCCTCCCAAAGTGCTGGGATTACAGGTGTGAGCCACTGCGCCCAGCCTTTGCCCATTTTTGAAGAGATATAGTCTAATTTCTTTTAAGACTATTAAGTGTAGATCTGTTGAATGAATGTAGCTTTCATTTTTTTAGTGGCAGCACATGATAAAGCCAGTCATGATATCTGTTTTTCAGAGCCTCACAATGTAATAAATATAATAATCATCATTTGGATAGATTTTTACAGTTTACAAAGTGCCTTTCTATATGTCACTAATCCTTCAAACATCCCATAACGTGGTATCTATCACCAAGTAAAAAATGAAGGCACTGTGCCATAAATGATTCATTCAAGAGCCTACATCTGAGTGTGAGAGTAAGAACTAGAGCTAAAATTCAAAACTAAGTTTTCTAAATGTGCTAGAATTAGAGTGTGGTGGTAATTGCACAATTTCGTGAATATGTTAAAAAGCAGTGGACTGTATACTTTAAAACAGTAAATTTTATGGTATGTGAGTTACATCTCAATTTAAAAAAAAGAAAGGTCTATATGTTTGAAGATGGTACCATCTCCAAAATATATTAATGAAGAAAGAAAAGCACAGAAGAGTGTGCATGGCATGCTACCATATGCTTAAAAAAACAATACCCACACATATATACACAAGCTTTGTAGGCATGAAACCTTTGAAAAAAATACTCAGGAAACCAATAATATCATTTCCTAAAGGGAGGGGAACTGGAATGGCTAGGGGGACACAGGTTGTCCTGCAAGGAAAACCTACCTTTCAGTATACCCTGCTGGACCTTTTGAATTTTGTACAGAATGCAAGTATTACCACTTCCTTTTTTTTTTTTATTTAAAGGGGGGGAAGTGAATAATCTGATGCTTTATCATTAGTCCTTAATTTTAAGAGATCATCTTCATTTTCTTCTGTAATAAACTTAAAATATATCCAAGAAAAAAATCTTAAAACTACAGCTTCTAACTACAAATACAGTGTCCTCTCCATTAGACCTTTTAGTTGACTCAGAGACAGTTTCTCATGCTGCCAAAAAAAAAAAAGCCAACAAATTCATCTAGTAAGTCAAAGACCATAAAGCATCCATACCATTTTATGTAGAAGCTAATGCTCTATTCTTACTGCCACAATTCCTAATCTCTTAATTCTCTTTCTGTATGGGTATAGTTGTTCATTTACACTTCAACTTATTTTTTTTCAGTAATAATTTACCTCTTTTCTTTAGACACCTGCTTTCCAAAGTTCTACACTGAATGCTCCTGGGACAGCAATTTCTTCCCAGATTCTCAAAGAGTAGTCCTCATTTTTATAATTTCTAAAGACACCTGCTAGACTTTTTGGTTGCTTAGTCATCTTCTTCTGACACTGGATTTTTGAGTTAGCATGAATCTCCTGTTTCTTGTATACTCTTGGCTTTTAGTTGATTCCCACTTATTTTGTATTCTATTTCATATTTTGCCAAATAACTTTATAACTGAATGAGGAAATTTCAACTTCACTTTCCACATGTAAGTGTGGTAACAAACCCCACTTCAAGTCATTTAGATATCTTTAGCTCTCTGGTGGTGGTTCTTTACCTCTACCTGGCTTTGTGAAACAAAACCACAATAAATTAGAAATGTTATAATTAAAATGCTACGTTTGAAATTTAAATACAAAAGTAAAAGCTCAAGAATTTTCATATTTGAATTCTAGAATACTCTAGATAACAAATCTAATGATTACCAAGAAATAATCAATATGTCTTAAATTCTCAAGAAAGCATAGTGGACAGGAGGAAAGTTAAAAATAAAGAAAAGACTATTTTAGGTGGGGCTTAAGTAATGCAGTATAGGGACTCTTTGGGAAGTGGTATACTGAAGGAAGAATAGGAAGAATGATATACTAAAACAGATTTCAAGATTGAATTCTGCTTTAATCTCTTAATGTGGTGAATTACTGTGGTATGAGATATGCTGGTTTTCGTACATGGTTCCACCCAGTTTTCTTTGGAATGAAAAGAATACAAAATACTAAAATTGAAAGAGAAGAAAGTACATACCTGCCTTCTATACTCTAAAAGAGGGTCATATAGCTTCCACCCATTTTCAGGGAATACTTCTTTGTATTCAAAAGCAAAAAGAGGCTACAAAAAAGTAAACAATGGTAAGAGCTAAAAAAGATATTCACAAAGGTAATGAATCAGAAATGTATCCATATATCCAAAGTTTTCATTTATTTATCTGCAAGAACATTTTATGTATTAGCATCCTTTTTTGTATTATAGTTTTTGTTTTATCATTTTGAAAATCTATTTTTTTACATATTTTTAAGCATACAAAAAAGCAAAGACACTTGCCAACAAAACTTATCAAATACCAACATATCATTGTATTTCTTTCAGATTATCCTTGGTAGCCTTTGTAGGTTTACTTTCAAATAAAGACATTACATTTAAACACAACTATGATGTGAAAAAAATTTGAACTGGAGTCATAAGACCAACGTTGATTCCAAATGGTACTCCTACTAACTGTGCCCTTGAGTTAACTGCTTACCTGATGTTGCTTTCATCGCTAAACAGGGATAAATAATATCTACCACCATAGGCTACATAGAAGTGAAATGATATAAACGTGGGAGTCTAACACTGTCTAAAGCACATAGTGGGAACTCAGGGTTTGCCTACCCTTACCTCCCTCCCAAATTGCTAGTGTTAACTGGCTCCCAATTAAAAAGGAGATTACAAATCCTAATGAAGACAACAGGTAACTTTTCATCATGGAAACACCCTGAATAGCAAGATCATATAATCATAAAATGTTAGTGCTGGAATGGACCTCAGAAATCAGCTAGTCCAGCTTCCTTTATTTCATACCTAAAGAAATTGATCTAAGAGACTAAGTTACACTTACACTATACATCTGGTTAAATGTCAAAGCAGGGATGTAAATGTAGAGATTCTAGACAGCCTAGACAAGTTTCTTTATACGACATCAATAATTATAGCACAAATTTTCCAAAGACAGGAAACATTTTACCAGGTTATTAGAGACAGGAAATGCATATTTCATTAGATTCTCAAATATGGATCTTCTTGTCCGCCCCTCAGGTTTATGAGCAAATCGTAAATTCCTAATATCCTAGAAAAGATTTAGGAACCAAGTTAATAATTGTTCACTACTTACTTAAATGAATAAATAAGGTTACTTGGAACTATCTTGTAAAATGTTAAGATCTGTGAATGTGGGATACAAAAATAAATCAGACATCAGCTCCTGGAGACAGGGAAATTATAATGGTTTATTGGGAAAAACTGAAAGAAACACAAGGTACTCTACTATGAAGCAGAATTCAGAGGGCAGGAAATTTACCTATGCTTATGGACTCAAAATAGGCCAGTGAAAGAGGTAGTATTTGATGTAACCACTGGAGATTAACGATATTACATCTGAAGATTAATATCATGACTGATACAAACTATCAGCATATGTGCTTTCCCTGTGAAAGCCCATTTTCTGTCATAAATTTCTTTATTTATAAAACCTGATTAGTAGTTGTTACATTTCATACGTGTCTTCAGTTCATTATATCTGGTGATTATTTTCCTACTAACTATCCCTTCCCAGGGTTCATTTGCATTGGACCTTCTCTTCCTAAGTCCCCTGCTACTAGTAGACTTGATAGAACTAAACCCTGCCTGAAAGTGTTCCTTCCTTCACTCCATAACCACATTCTTCCACCATCTACTGACACATAACTCTGAATAGTTTAGTTTATATTATCCAGGCTCTACAGTAAGGTCTAAAGACCAAGTTTCCCTTCCATTTGTCCCTAAGCAGTTTTCTATGCTCAGACTGAATGCAGTTATTCATGTTCCGGTTTACTGGTATCTTAACAGCACTTAGAAAAAAACTGGGGATTAAGATAATTTCAAGGGCCAGGCACAGTGGCTCATGCCTGTTATTCCAACACTTTGGGTGGACAAAGCAAGAGGGACACTTGAGGTGTTCTACTTCTAAAACAGTGGTGGGGAAAAATTGGTATTGTAGACTTTTCCTATGTTCTTATCTACCGACATTCTTTAAATGCATTGATTGATACTTGAATGAAACATGAATTGTTACAAGTTCAAGGCCAGCCTGGGCAACATAGTGAGACCTTGTCTCTACAAAAAATTTTTTAAAAAAAATTTATAAGAAAAGAATAATTTTAAGACTGATCATTTTATTTAAATGTTTTTACCTAGGCAGAATTCAAAATAGCTTTATTATGCCTCATTTTGTAGAACCACACACAAAGCCTCTCCACTACAGTGTACCCACAATACATAAGTAAGACAGTATATGATCCAAAACTAGAATGCTGGCTTTACTATCTTTTAAAATAAACATGTGCGGGAACCTAAGCTGATATCTTGTTTTCCCTCAGTAAATATCTTTATAACTAGGTGAGATACTCAGAATCATTCTGTTAACCACAGAGTTCTCTGAAAGTACCATGTCAGGGGCCCTACAAATATTTTTGTTTATTGATAACGATCCTGTTCCATGGAAAGAAATTATATTTAAAATGATTAAGATTCAAAATTATCTTCTTTCACATCGTCTTATATTCTATGCACTACTTACTCTTAAACTACAGAAAAGTGATCAGGAAACAGTGTGCTTGACACATGGTTGCCAGCGATTACACTCACAGAGCCCTTCTGACTATAATGGAAAACCACAGGCCAGGCACAGTGGCTCACACCTGTAATCTCAACACTTTGGGAGGCCAAGGCGGGCAGATCACTTGAGGCCAGGAGTTCAACACCAACCTGGCCAATGTGGTGAAACCCATCTCTACCAAAAATACAAAAATTAGCCAGGCATGGTGGCATATGCCTGTAATCCCAGCTACTGAGGAGGCTGAGGTAGGAGAATCACTTGAACCCGGGAGGCAGAGGCTGCAGTAAGCCAAGATCACGCCACTGCACTCCAGCCTAAGCAACAGAGCCAGACTCTTGTCTCAAAAAAAAAGAAAACTACAAAAATAATTACTAAGTCATTAGCTTTAATACCAGAGTCACAAAACTTCTAAGATTAGCATAACAAAGTATCTTGAATTATACACATGCTGTTTCTTTTGGCACTGGCAGAATAAAAAGAAAGGAACAATGTGATGTAGAATCTCAATGTGCATGGGTGTTAGTTAATTAGGCCTTAATAACAGTGACCTGGAGAAGTGGTACGTAGAATTAAATACCTATGACTTAATGGTAAAAATGTAACAATCTATGTTTCATTCAAGTATCAACGCATTTAAAGAATGCCAGTAAATAAGAACATAAGAAAAGTCTACAATATCAACTTTTCCACACTATTGTTTTAGAAGTAGAAAAACTGGCCGGGCACGGTGGCTCACGCCTGTAATCCCAGCACTTTGAGAGGCCGAGATGGGCAGATCACGAGGTCAGGAGATTGGGACCATCCTGGCTAACATGGTGAAACCCCATCTCTACTAAAAATACAAAAAAAAATTAGCTGGGCGTGGTGGTGGGCGCCTGTAGTCCCAGCTACTCGAGAGGCTGAGGCAGGAGAATCCCGTGAACCCAGGAGACGGAGCTTGCAGTGAGCTGAGATTGTGCCAGCCTGGGCAACAGAGCGAGACTCCGTCTCAAAAAAAAAAAAAAAGAAAAATTATGAGAACTAGAAACAGAAAAGATAGGTGATGATGAATATAACATATTTAGTTATTTAGTTCTTCCACTACGAAGTAGTGGAACTGCTCAGAGCCTTATGTTGCTAATTTGTAAATTAAAGGTAGTAATGTCTATTGTGCCTACCTCACAGGATTTTTATAAGGCTCAAAGTGAAATCATCAATGTGGAACTATGTGGTATCCTATCAGTACTATGTGCATTAAAGATGGTTATTATTATTATTATTATTATTATTATTATTATTATTTCAGACAGAGTCTTACTCTGTTGCCCAAGCTGGAGTGCAGTGGCACTATCTTGGCTCACTGCAACATCCGCCTCCCAGGTTCAAGCAATTCTCCTGCCTCAGCCTCCCCAATAGCTGAGATTACAGGTGCCCGCCACCACGCCTGGTTAATTTTTGTATTTTTAGTAGAGATGCGTTTTCATCATGTTGGCCAGACTGATCTCGAACTCTTGACCTGATGTGATCCACCTGCCTCAGTCTCTGAAAGTGTTGGGATTATAGGCGTGAGCCACCATGTCCGGCCAAGATGATCATTATTAAAAAATAAGTTATGAATTTGTGAATATATCAAAATATGTAGACTGAACTGGGCCCAAAAGAATTAAGTCTAATTCATGAATCACCTTTTCTATTACTGCTAAATTTTGTTTTCTTCTATCAATGTCATACTAAAATAACATTTCTAATTGGAAATCCATTTTATATTTTAGAAACCAATTTCAAAACAGAGGTTCTATTTAATACAAAGCTTTTCAAACCAAAGAAAATCACATACATATTATAACATTTACCTTACACACAGTTTCTAGTCCATAAGAATTTTCACCTCGACTAGAAGCACCACCAATTTTTTCTACTCTATTTATCACACCAAGGGAAGCATCTAAAACAAATGGGGGATCCTAAAGAAGGAAAGAAAAAATAATTAAAACTGAGCAATTAATACTGTCCAATTATAGAGCTGATCAAAATCTTAATCAGAAATGCTTTAATTAGAAATGATCAGAAATGAACAAAACTAGCTACAAACAACACACTCATGTACATACAAAAATCTAATCTGACTCTTACCCGTTCCATGCTTTTGAAATATAACCTATAATTCGTGACAGTCAGAGTTCCTCGTACAGCGCCAGTGAATGGACATATATAAGTTACATCTTTGGCTGAAAAAGCAAGAAGTCCACAGTTTACTATACATTATGTGCTATTAAAACCTGCTATCTCATCTTATAAAATTGTTATGATTCCTAGACTAATTTATGCTGAAAAATAACAGAACCAGTAATTTCCAGAGACCTCAGAATCCTACAACCCAAGCTTCCATCCTTGCACTAATCTGGGGAAGAAACACAGAATTAAATGGGATAGGCTGAAAAGGTGGAGGGACTTCTCATCCCATGAGACAGAATGGAAGTAAACAAAGGGGCTACTATCCTGGCTAGATAAAACAGGTGTGGGTAGCTGCAGCAGAGACGGGTGAAAGAATACTGGTAATGGTGGTATCAACAATAAGCATGTCAAGGCACAGTCGCCATCATCTCATTGCAGTTTCTATGTAACCTCACCAATTTCCTGTCCAGTTTGTCAACATTCTTCTAAAAATGCAATGTCCAAAACATATGTTATTCCACAAACTCCTGATCTGATTAATACTTATGGGGAAAATTTTACAGGTGAAATGACACACATTTAAAATATAATTTCTTAGAAAAATAACAGTATAAGAAGAGGATATTGTACTGCTGACCAACCAATGCCAGACTTTGTAAAGAAATAATCACAAGTAATGTTTTATCAAATAAACAATGGATCTACATGGCATTATGTTTTGTAAAATATGCATTAACTGATTATGCAGGATAACTTAGGAATCAGTATCTCAAAATATTATTTAAAATGCCACAGTTCATAATTTCCAATACATGGTTTTTATATCTTAAAATATTCATAAATTCCTAGTATGTCATTATTACACCAAATCAGCAGATAAAGGAGTATCTTCATCATTCCAAGGAAGTAAGGGACAATTCTGTGGAGCAACAACTTTCTAAGACCCTTTCAACGGGCTTCTGGGAAAACTTGGGGCCATGAAATATATTTAATAAGGTATTACAACCTCCTGACTTTGCTTCTCATTCAACACTTCGAAGGACTGGCTGCTTTGTATGGAATTTGAAATGAGACTGATCTTTTCACAATCATTTCTAACCTTCAAAATAGTTCCCTTAGGAACATTTTAAGTATAAACTACTTTTTTAAATCGTTTCGAATGCATATTTCATTTAGAGGGAAGCTTTTAAAATTAAATGAACCCATCATTATACAAAAATACACAAACTTGCTTTGCACAAATAATATTTTTCCCTTATGAATTTTTACCTCAACTAGAAAAGCTTTATTCAAGGTTACTAAAACATTTCTGGATTCCTTCCACAGTCAATTTTCTTACTCATGTAAGAAAACTCAGCCTTATTATCCTATATCCCACCACAGGAATGTCATTCTCAGGCCAGTGCTTTTCTGTTACATCTTCCCCTTTATTCTAAAATCATGAGATAATATACATATAAAGATGCTTCTAAAGTTCTAAGTACAATACAAAAATTCAAGGGTTTATACCTATGTTACTATTATCATCATTAGTCTTTGCTTTGTTCTGTACCCTCTATCATTCCTCAAGAGATCATGACAATGGAGAAAAGAAGATAAATACAAGAAATTCTTAGACACTGACTGGATGTTAAGAGTCCAGAAAAGAAAAAAAGAGCAGTCTAGTACGACAACCAGATTTCTGACTTGAGTAAATGGACAGCTGGTATTGATGTCAACTGAGAGAGAGAATGCAAGAAAAAGAGTAAGTTTGGAGTTAAACGTGATGATTTCCATTTTGGAGATGTTGGGTATAAGGTTCCTATGGGATATTCAAGGATGTGTGTTTAAGATAGAGGCATTTGTTTACTTACATTAGGACAGGGGTTCACACTGGAGATAACAAATTTTGGAGTCATCAGCCAATATATGGCAAGTGATGTTACAAATTTAGATATGGTCAACCGAAAAGAGTATACAGGAGGGAAAAGGGAAATGGGTCAAGGATGAAGTCCTAGGGCGTGTTGCTATTAAAGGAAGAAGAGCCAACAAATGAGACTGAGTGGTAACTTGAAGTTCTTTAATAAAGCCATATTTCATAATGGGAGCTGCAATTACGGCATTAAGTTCAGAATAAGAAAAAGAAATTGTCACAATGCTAGATATAACCTTATTAGCTAGGTTATCTTCCTATGCCTTAGTTTCCTTCCTCACCTATAAAATGGGGTTGATGTTATTCTCAAGAATATACTCTCTGAGAATGACTGAGATAGTAAGCACTCAATAATAATAACTACTATCATTATATAATAGCCAATTCTGAAAAAATGTAAGTAGGTAGTTCAGATCAAGAGCTTGGTGTATATATAAGGCTAACTGGGGAAAAGAAAAAGACTGAGAGGTTATTCAATCAAGAGCCAAGAGCAAGAAAAGACAAATAGCATGCTAAGGACTAGGAAGCTAAATTTAGTAAATAATAATCCATTTAGAATACAGGTCCTGCCTTTGGCTTGTTTTTACACATAGAAATGACACCTAGCCAAGTAAAATTCAGCATTTTTAAAATCCTTTTTAAAAATTATGATTGGTAACAAAATGAAACATGGTAGTTATATTAACTAAGAAATCATTTACTTCATTCTTCTAACATATTACTTTATTTCTCAGAGTTTATGAGTAGATATCTGTAGATTATCACACAGATGAAACAAAACAAAAGCATGAGGAAAAAAAACACAGCTTGTAAGCTCATTTTCAGTTTCCAGTCCATATTATAAGTATTAGGCTGGGCAGAGAAGGGCATCTACATACAAACAGATGCAATGGAGATGATGTATTTCATCCAAAAATTAACCTGACTTTATTCAGAGAAGAAAGACATGAAGGAAGCAAACAGAAGAGAAGATATTTTAAGAAAAATTACTTGTATAAGGTGACAATTCAATGTTTTTATCTAGGCAACTCAATATCTGAATATAGTAATTCAAAATAATAAAATTTTCCTTCACAGGCTTCAGCAACAGTTTTAGCAAAAATCCACCTACTTTTAAAGAAAGTAAAACAAACCAGAGAAGAGGCAAAGTATAATTCAATTTGCATGTTTCCCAGGAGTTCAAACACAAACACTAGCAGCGGGTCTAGGCTTACGTTTGTAGAACACACTAAGATGCTGAGAAGACTGCAGGTAAAGAGTTCTGCCAGACAGGAGGTGTCTCTGACAGCCAGTTTATTCTCTGTATGCTGAGAGTACTGAACATTCTGCACAGTAGAACGGAGAAGGACATTAAGCAAAAAATACCATTACGGACCCATGTCTTTAATATTTTCTCCTGGAAGCAAGGGTGGTTCTTCCATTTCTGCTAACTTGTTAGACTCCCTCAGGACCTGGGGTGGGAAAGACAAAAAAAGAAACATTTTTTTATTCAAAGGCTACTTTTTCACTCATATTTCAACTGAGTATACTTGCTCTTGAAGTTATAACATCATATCACATACACTATTTTAAATCAAATTTGTTAAACTGTAGTGTTGGCATGTATAATATATGAAGTTAATGTTTTTCTAGAAAGCATTTACTGAGTGCTTAAATCATATCAAAGCACTCTACATTTGTTACACAAAAAATTGTACATGTTTTTGCACTGCATCCTAAGACAGCCTAACAATAAAAGAGGTATTATATCCTCATTTCTCAGATGAGGAAAAAGCAGCCGAAAGTGGTAATTAGTTCAAGATCACATAGTTAAAGTGCCAGTGTGTAGATCTGAACTACAGTTGAATGGATTCCAAAGCCATGCTGAAGGGCCATAGTACATTTAAACTCAGACAAAATTAAGTTCTTGTGTAGATTTAATGTTTAGAGAATTTAGAAATGATGTTGATAAATCATCTTGTTGAAAAAGAGTTTAAATAAATTCATGATCAACAAATATGACCAGGTAGTTACCTTTTGAAGGATGCTACACTATATTCCAAGAATGTGGATACAGAAACAGTTCTCTAAAGGAGTTACAACCCAGAGAACACACAGACACACCCAAATTGTCATATGCTAAATATATCCCCCATTAACTACCAAAAGCCTTCCTCACCTCCTCCCACCTCTCTCACCATCAAACAGTAAATTTCTGTCTCCAATCCCATTAATTCCTCCATCTTCCGCAATCTGGCTCACCTGCGGCCAATAACTAAGAACTACAAAGAACAAATTAACTTATTTTCAATAAATTTGCAATCTAAACAAATTCATTCTTTTGAAAGTTTAACAATTTGTTTCATAAAGTAACTTTAATGCAATACCTAAAGAAATAGTATATACACACATACATATTTTTATGTGCCACATCTAAACTTCAGAAAAGTCGTCTTTAAAGGTCATCTTTTAAACACGCTATCTAGTTGCCAGTCCCTAAATAGTCTTATGTAGTCATAAAAGAAGAGAAGAAGGAAAGAAGAGAGGAAAGGAGGACCAGCCTATGAAGATGGGGTTAAAAAGGCAAAAACTTGCCATATACAAAAATATAGACTTGGGTTCACATCCTGACTGCACCACATACTAACTTGGTACTCTTAGGCAAGGTTTTCAACTTCTCTATGCCTCATTTTCCGCATCTATAAAATGGTAACTATTATAGTACCACACATAGGTTGTTATGAAAATTAAATGGGTTAATACATTTAAAGTACTTATATCAGTGTTAACACATAAGATGTATGTAATAAGTGTTGTCTACTGTTAATAAAAGTTCAAACTAACAACTAATTGCCAGAATCTGCTAATAATTCTACTAATTATGAAAGCAACAAAATTAGACCCAAAGATAACAAAACAAATATCAGAGTATACCGAAAAAAATCAACCACGTGAAAGATTATAGAAAGGAAGATGCTTTATTCTTTCCCCGGTCTACCACCTCACTCAGAAATACAACGTTTATGTCACTTATAACGCTGGGCAGTAGTTCCCATATTGCATATGTATACCTTCTTGTGGCTGCTACAGCACTGCTCCACATGACTTCCTTTTTCTCTACATTTCTACATTCAGAAAGGACCAGCAACCCCCGGAAAATATTTATGTTATGTACAGAAGAGAAGAGGGTAGTTCTGGCAAAGGCACACAGAAACATGGGAGACACAATCCTCCTAAAGCTTCATAAAGTGAGAAAAGAGACAGGAAAACTCATGCAAGCAGCACACTTTGAGAACCACACATAGGCTTTCTTATATTCTCTCTGACCAGAATGTCAAAGAGCGAGGCAATGAAAAGAAGCAATACAAGATCCTATCTTTGTCCAGCAGAGCTGCTCTAGATGACAGACTTTTAACAATAGGCTTATGCTAAAGGTTGTATATAAACAACTAATTCTACACTGGAGATAGGAAAAGGAACTCCAACTAGCACTCAAGTGAACAGAACAGGGATGGGGCAATCTAGACCCTGTGTTTGTTGACAAACACTGATTCTAGACAAATCTATCCTTAATCAAACAGGAGAAAAGAGACTAGGAAAAAAAAGGCCTAGAAAAAAAAAAAAAAGACTTACAAAGAAAAGAGAATATCAACCCGAAACTTTAAAAAAGAAAGCAGTCTTCTGAAAATAATTCTCTATAGGCATTTGTAAAAGCATGTATAAGGTACTTGGCACACTCAAAAGGAAATAAGCCATATTTTCTAATAAACACAAAGAGAAGGCCAGGCGCAGTGGCTCAGCCTATGCTCTCAGCATCCTAGGAGGCCGAGGCGAGTGGACTGCTTGAAACCAGGAATTCAAGACCAGCCTGGACAACACGGCAAAACCCTGTGTCTACTATAAATGCAAAAAATCAGCTGGGCAGGCATGGCATCACGGGTCTACAGTCTCAGCTACTTGGGAGGCTGTGATGAGAGGACTACCTTGAGCCCCAGAAGTCAAGGCTTCAGTGAGCTGTGATGCACTCCACTGCACTCCAGCCTAGGCAATGGGAGTGAGACCCTGTGCTAAAAAAAAAAAAAAAAAAAAAAAAAAAAGAAAGAAAAAGAAAAAGAAAAAAAAGAAATAGAGTAGAAACAGAAAGTCATAAGGAGAGAGACACAATGAAACAAGAGAAATGAATGAGAATGACTGCAAGGACATTTAAAAATGTAATAGCAGAAATAAAATCTGTATGCAATTAGCAACAAATTGCATTGGTTATTCAGAAAACAGATTTAATGTTGAGGACAAACTTGAAAAGTGCTGTAAGAATTTGAAGGAAAAGAACAAAGATAAAATCATCATGGAAAATAATCAAGAAAAGAATTGTATTTTCTAAAGGAAAAAAAAAATAATCAAGAGGAGCAAAAAGTCCAATATATAATTGATGTTGATCAGAAGAGTTTACCATGTTCCACCCAAAATCAATGAACAGAGACATACCTAGTTGCATCTTGGCAAATTTTTTTGAACTAAAAGAATTAAAATATAAACTGTAAGAATATAGGTGGAAAAAAAATTACCTTTGAAGAAAGCAAAATCAAGTTAGCTTCAAGGTTATCTATAATACCATATTCTACAAGACAATAACAAAATGTGATCAAAGCTGTGAAGGAAAATGCTCCCAAAAAGTATTTAATGGCAGCAGGAAGTCATTCTCAGATAGCCAGGTCTCAGAAAATACAACCCAGAAATACTTTTTAGAAAAAAAAAAAGAAAAAGAAAAAAATATCTTAAACTGTGATTCAGCTAAAAAGGGAAAATCAAAATTAAAATATACAAGGGATTTGTGGTGTACTGCAAAACCTTATGTTTCATATCCTAAGAACCCCTAAAAAAACTCCACATTCACTACCACCATACTACGCTCTGAGTCTTAGTTTCACCATTCATGTTATTAACATGATATTAATACCCACCTTAAAAGTTAGCAACTATGAAATCAAGATAACTGCACCATAAAGAGATTTGCAAAACACCATGAAAATGAAAAAAAAAAAAAATACAGACAGTCCCTGACTTACAGTGGTTCAACTTATGGTATTTTCAACTTACAATGGGTTTATCTGGATGTAACCCCATCATAGGTCGAGGAGCATCTGTACTTATTATTCACGTAATAGAAGCATCAACAGAAGTTTTCACCGCCTTTTACCAAAATGGCCTATTGACATGGTGCTTTTTTCTCTGCTCTAGAGATTCCCTATATGACACACTTTCTCTAATACTCATCAAAGGGATTAATATTTGAGAAAGCATGTCATATAGGGAACCATAAATCAATCTCTCCCTGACTCCTAACTACTATATTCTAGATTTAGCTACAGAATAGTAAGCATCTCACTGTTGTAAGGAAAGCAGCAAATCTTTTCCCTTTCTTTCATTTCTTATGAGGACTGAAGACAGCTGCAATATTCCAAAGAGTCTGACACAACTTAGGAAAATTAATGGAATAATGTCTACCTGAGAGAATAAAGGAGATGGCTTGAGAAATAAAAATGGAGTAAAAGTTTAGGGTATCCTAGTGAAGGGTTTCAAGATGCCTTCAGCAAGACAGTCCATATCGTATGGGTCCATTTATATGAAATTCTGCAACAGACTAAACTATAGTACAAAAACTTCAAAACAGTTGTTGCTATGGGGATGAGAATGAGAGTGTGGACTGAAAAGGGGCATGATGAAAGTATCTGGGGTGACAAGTTCTATATCTTGACAGGGATTTGGGTTGTACAGGTGTATGCATTTTTCTAAACTCATAGAATGTACACTTAAGATTTCTGTATTTCAATAGATATAAATTTTATATCAAAAGAAAAATTACATATATTTATTTGCATGCTGACATATTTAGTTGGAAAACTACTAATGTCTGCAATTTACTTTGAAATGCATCAAAAAGTAAGCCAGATAAATAGATGGATAGAGGGACACACAGATGATGGATGTCAGATAAAAACAAGGAAGTAGGGTAAAACGTTAATGGAAAAATTCTGATGGTGGATACAGCAGGGTCCTTTGTAAACTTTATTTTGTGTTCAGAAATTTTTATAATAAAATACTGGGGAGAAGTTAAGGACTTTAAACTTGACCAGTCATGTAAAAAAAAACAAAACACTGCAGGCCTTTGATAGGGGCAGATGGCATGGTCAAGGAGGGCAAAGAAATGAAAAGGAAGAAGATGAAATGATGATAATCTACGAAAGAAATAGAATCCTGGATTAGTCTATGGTAATAGAAATAAAGAGGAATATGATACATTGGAAAAGTGATCAAATCTGACCCTAGGCTTATAAAACAAATAGAAGCAATTATATGAATAATACTTGATGATTTTTACTTGAGAGGAATTGCATCTCAGATATGTCAGCAATGGGAGAAGAGAGAAAGCAGATTCAATGAATAAATGAAGTGAGGTCAAAACAAGAGAGGCAACTCAAAAACACCAGGAACCTATCTTCTTTTTTTTTTTTAAGGTTCTTTTTTTCTTTTTCTTTTTTTTTTTATTATACTTTAAGTTTCAGGGTACATGTGCACAATGTGCAGGTTTGTTACATATGTATACATGTGCCATGTTAGTGTGTTGCACCCATTAACTCGTCATTTAACATTAGGTATATCTCCTAATGCTATCCCTCCCCCCTTCCCCCACCCCACAACAGGCCCTGGTGTGTGATGCTCCCCTTCCTGTGTCCATGTGTTCTCATTGTCCAATTCCCACCTATGAGTGAGAACATGCGGTGTTTGGTGTTTTGTCCTTGTGATAGTTTCCTGAGAATGATGGTTTCCAGCTTCATCCATGCCCCTACAAAGGACACAAACTCATCATTTTTTATGGCTGCATAGTATTCCATGGTGTATATGTGCCACATTTTCTGAATCCAATCTATCATTGTTGGACATTTGGGTTGGTTCCAAGTCTTTGCTATTGTGAATAGTGCCACAATAAACATAACGTGTGCATGTGTGTTTATAGCAGCGTGATTTATAATCCCTTGGGTATATACCCAGTAATGGGATGGCTGGGTCAAATGGTATTTCTAGTTCTAGATCCCTGAGGAATCGCCACACTGACTTCCACAATGGTTGAACTAGTTTACAGTCCCCACCAACAGTGTAAAAGTGTTCCTATTTCTCCACATCCTCTCCAGCACCTGTTGTTTCCTGACTTTTTAATGATCGCCATTCTAACTGGTGTGAGATGGTATCTCATTGTGGTTTTCATTTGCATTTCTCTGATGGCCAGTGATGATGAGCATTTTTTCATGTGTCTTTTGGCTGCATAAATGTCTCCTTTTGAGAAGTATCTGTTTATATCTTTCACCCACTTTTTGATGGGGTTGTTTTTTCTTGTAAATTTGTTTGAGTTCATTGTAGATTCTGGATATTAGGCCTTTGTCAGATGAGTAGATTGCAAAAATTTTCTCCCATTCTGCAGGTTGCCTGTTCACTCTGATGGTAGTTTCTTTTGCTGTGCAGAAGCTCTTTAGTTTAATTAGATGCAATTTGTCAATTTTGGCTTTTGTTGCCATTGCTTTTGCTGTTTTAGACATGAAGTCCTTGACCATGCCTATGTCCTGAATGGTATTGCCTAGGTTTTCTTCTAGGGTTTTTATGGTTTTAGGCCTAACATTTAAGTCTTTAATCCATCTTGAATTAATTTTTGTATAAGGTGTAAGGAAGGGATCCAGTTTCAGCTTTCTACATATGGCTAGCCAGTTTTCCCAGCACTGTTTATTAAATAGGGAATCCTTTCCCCATTTCTTGTTTTTGTCAGGTTTGTCAAAGATCAGATAGTTGTAGATATGTGTGATGCCTCCAGCTTTGTTCTTTTGGCTTAGGATTGACTTGGCAAGGCGGGCTCTTTTTTGGTTCCATATGAACTTTAAAGTAGTTTTTTCCAATTCTGTGAAGAAAGTCATTGGCAGCTTGATGGGGATGGCATTGAATCTATAAATTACCTTGGGTAGTATGGCCATTTTCACGATATTGATTCTTCCTACCCATGAGCATGGAATGTTCATCCATTTGTTTGTATCCTCTTTTATTTCATTGAGCAGTGGTTTGTAGTTCTCCTTGAAGAGGTCCTTCACGTCCCTTGTAAGTTGGATTCCTAGATATTTTATTCTCTTTGAAGCAACTGTGAATGGGAGTTCATGATTTGGCTGTTTGTCTGTTATTGGTGTATAAGAATGCTTGTGATTTTTGCATATTGATTTTGTATCCTGAGACTTTGCTGAAGTTGCTTATCAGCTTAAGGAGATTTTGGGCTGAGACGATGGGGTTTTCTAGATATACAATCATGTCATCTGCAAACAGGGACAATTTGACTTCCTCTTTTCCTAATTGAATACACTTTATTTCCTTCTCCTGCCTGATTGCCCTGGCCAGAACTTCCAACACTATGTTGAATAGGAGTGGTGAGAGAGGGCATCCCTGTCTTGTGCCAGTTTTCAAAGGGAATGCTTCCAGTTTTTGCCCATTCAGTATGATACTGGCTGTGGGTTTGTCATAGATAGCTCTTATTATTTTGAGATACGTCCCATCAATACCTAATGTATTGAGAGTTTTTAGCATGAAGCGTTGTTGAATTTTGTCAAAGGCCTTTTCTGCATCCATTGAGATAATCATGTGGTTTTTGTCATTGATTCTGTTTATATGCTGGATTACGTTTATTGATTTGTGTATGTTGAACCAGCCTTACATCCCAGGGATGTACATCCCACTTGATCATGGTGGATAAGCTTTTTGATGTGCTGCTGGATTCGGTTTGCCAGTATTTTATTGAGGATTTTTGCATCAATGTTCATCAGGAATACTGGTCTAAAATTCTCTTTTTTTGTTGTGTCTCTGCCAGGTTTTGGTATCAGGATGATGCTGGCCTCATCAAATGAGTTAGGGAGGAGTCCCTCTTTTTCTATTGATTGGAATAGTTTCAGAAGGAATGGTACCAGTTCCTCCTTGTACTTCTGGGCTGTGAATCCATCTGGTCCTGGACTTTTTTTGGTTGGTAAGCTATTAATTATTGCCTCAATTTCAGAGCCTGTTATTGGTCTATTCAGGGATTCAACTTCTTCCTGGTTTAGCCTTGGGAGAGTGTATGTGTCGAGGAATTTATCCATTTCTTCTAGATTTTCTAGTTTATTTGCATAGAGGTGTTTATAGTATTCTCTGATGGTAGTTTGTATTTCTGTGGGATCGGTGGTGATCTTCCCTTTATCATTTTTTATTGCATCTATTTGATTCTTCTCTCTTTTCTTCTTTGTTCTAGCGGTCTACCAATTTTGATCTTTTCAAAAAACCAGCTCCTGGATTCACTGATTTTTTGAAGGGTTTTTTGTGTCTCTATCTCCTTCAGTTCTGCTCTGATCTTAGTTACTTCTTGCCTTCTGCTAGCTTTTGAATGTTTGCTCTTGCTTCTCTAGTTCTTTTAATTGTGATGTTAGGGTGTCAATTTTAGATCTTTCCACTTTCTCTTGTGGGCATTTAGTGCTATAAATTTCCCTCTACACACTGCTTTGAATGTGTCCCAGAGATTCTGGTATGTTGTGTCTTTGTTCTCATTGGTTTCAAAGAACATCTTTATTTCTGCCTTCATTTTGTTATGTACCCAATAGTCATTCAGGAGCAGGTTGTTCAGTTTCCATGTAGTTGAGTGGTTTTGAGTGAGTTTCTTAATCCTGAGTTCTAGTTTGATTGCACTGTGGTCTGAGAGACAGTTTGTTATAATTTCTCTTGTTTTACATTTGCTGAGGAGTGCTTTACTTCCAACTATGTGGTCAGTTTTGGAACAAGTGTGGTGTGGTGCTGAAAAGAATGTATATTCTGTTGATTTGGGGTGGAGAGTTCTGTAGATGTCTATTAGGTCTGCTTGGTGCAGAGCTGAGTTCAATTCCTGGATATCCTTGTTAACTTTCTGTCTCACTGATCTGTCTAATATTGACAGTGGGGTGTTAAAGTCTCCCATTATTATTGTGTGGGAGTCTGAGTCTCTTTGTAGGTCTCTAAGGACTTGCTTTATGAATCTGGGTGCTCCTGTATTAGGTGCATATATATTTAGGATAGTTAGCTCTTCTTGTTGAATTGATCCCTTTACCATTATGTAATGGCCTCTTTGTGTCTTTTGATCTTTGTTGGTTTAAAGTCTGTTTTATCAGAGACTAGGATTGCAACCCCTGCCTTTTTTTGTTTTCCATTTGCTTGGTAGATCTTCCTCCATCCCTTTATTTTGAGCCTATGTGTGTCTCTGCACGTGAGATGGGTTTCCTGAATACAGCACACTGATGGGTCTTGACTCTTTATCCAATTTGCCAGTCTGTGTCTTTTAATTGGAGCATTTAGCCTGTTTACATTTAAGCTTAATATTGTTATGTGTGAATTTGATCCTGTCATTATGATGTTAGCTGGTTATTTTGCTCGTTAGTTGATGCTTTTTCTTCCTAGCCTCAATGGTCTTTACAATTTGGCATGTTTTTGCAGTGGCTGGTACCAGTTGTTCCTTTCCCTGTTTAGTGTTTCCTTCAGGAGCGCTTGTAGGGCAGGCCTGGCGGTGACAAAAATCTCTCAGCATTTGCTTGTCTGTAAAGGATTTTATTTCTCCTTCACTTATGGAGCTTAGTTTGGCTGGATATGAAATTCTGGGTTGAAAATTCTTTTCTTTAAGAATGTTGAATATTGGCCCCCACTCTCTTCTGGCTTGTAGAGTTTCTGCCGAGAGATCAGCTGTTAGTCTGATGGGCTTCCCTTTGTGGATAACCTGACCTTTCTCTCTGGCTGCCCTTAACATTTTTTCCTTCATTTCAACTTTGGTGAATCTGACAATTACGTGTCTTGGAGTTGCTCTTCTCGAGGAGTATCTTTGTGGCATTCTCTGTATTTCCTGAATTTGAATGTTGGCCTGCCTTGCTAGATTGGGGAAGTTCTCCTGGATAATATCCTGCAGAATGTTTTCCAACTTGGTTCCATTCTCCCCGTCACTTTCAGGTACACCAATCAGACATAGATTTGGTCTTTTCACATAGTCCCATATTTCTTGGAGGCTTTGTTCATTTCTTTTCATTCTTTTTTCTCTAAACTTCTCTTCTCGCTTCATTTCATTCATTTGATCTTCCATCACTGATACCCTTTATTCCAGTTGATCGAATCAGCTACTGAGGCTTGTGCATTCGTCACGTAGTTCTCATGCCACGGTTTTCAGCTCCATCAGGTCCTTTCAGGACTTCACTGCATTGGTTATTCTAGTTAGCCATTCGTCTAATTTTTTTTTCAAGGTTTTTAACTTCTTTGCCATGGGTTTGAAGTTCCTCCTTTAGCTCAGAGTAGTTTGATCGTCTGAAGCCTTCTTCTCTCAACTCGTCAAAGTCATTCTCTGTCCAGCTTCGTTCCGTTGTTGGTGAGGAGCTGCGTTCCTCTGGAGGAGGAGAGGTGCTCTTCTGACTTTTAGAGTTTCCAGTTTTTCTGCTCTGTTTTTTCCCCATCTTTGTGGTTTTATCTACCTTTGGTCTTTGATGATGGTGACATACAGATGGGGTTTTGGTGTGGATGTCCTTTCTGTTTGTTAGTTTTCCTTCTAACAGTCAGGACCCTCAGCTGCAGGTCTGTTGGAGTTTGCTGGAGGTCCACTCTAGACCCTCTTTGCCTGGGTATCAGCAGCGGAGTCTGCAGAACAGTAGATATTGGTGAACAGCAAATGTTGCTGCCTGATCGTTCCTCTGGAAGTTTTGTCTCAGAGAAGTACCCGGCCATGTGAGGTGTCAGTCTGCCCCTACTGGGGGATGCCTCCCAGTTAGGCTACTCTGGGGTCAGAGACCCACTTGAGGAGGCAGTTTGTCCATTCTCAGATCTCCAGCTGCGTGCTGGGAGAACCACTACTCTCTTCAAAGCTGTCAGACAGGGACATTTAAGTCTGCAGAGGTTTCTGCTGCCTTTTGTTTGGCTATGCCCTGCCCCCAGAGGTGGAGTCTTCAGAGGCAGGCAGGCCTCCTTGAGCTGCGGTGGGCTCCACCCAGTTTGAGCTTCCGAACCTATCTTCTTAAAATGGTGGTTGGGAACCAAGAGACCAAAGCCACTCTGGTCCATTAGGTTTTTCTGCCTTCACATGTAAATATCTTTAGTGGAGAATAAGTTACATAACCCTCAGATATGAGGGAAGAAAATTCACTCCTGGAGAAATCCTCTAGAATACATCAAGCACTTTCTCTTATTGGGTCAAAATAATGTTACTAACTGGCTAGCCAACCTGTTTTCTATGAGATGCATCAGAACCCTGCCTGACTCTGGAGCTCTGGCCACATCAATAGGTAAGATTCCATAAAATGTGCTATTTGATAGCATTTAATACAATATTTAATCCTTTTATTATCAAGAAAAGTCTGATAATCTTATTAAAACTCTTACTTCAAAACACACAAGATTCAAATTTATAATTTTTTTTATTCCTACTACATAATCAGTTTAGTATTCCTCCCTTCCCAGCCCTGATTTTCTTCCATGCCCACTTCATCAAATTATTTTCAAACTGCCCAGTAATTTTCCATGTGACTTTAACTTCTTTTTTCACTCCCTCCCTTTCTCTTCTCTCCCTCTCTCTTTCTCACACACACAGGCACACAAACACAAAAATGCACTCTCTCACACACACACAATTAGGAAATTACTATAAACTCGATCTAGAAGTTGGCAAGTTTAAGTCAGTTTTCACATGGAATGGTTAGATGGTAGAAAAATAGGAAAGAATTTGTCTGAAATCTGCAAAACACTAAATAATAATCACCTGAAAGGGAAAAATGAGTCTATACAGTTATAAACTATCCTCCACAGTCTTTTTACATACTGTACTAAAACCCAGAAGAGAAAAAAAGGATTTTCTTAGTAACTTATTTTTTGTTGGATAATCCTTCTAAAGAAAACTGTTTATATCAATTATACTTTATTCTATTTTCTCTACAACTTGACTGACAAGCCACGAAGTGGCCAAATGAACCATGCAAACAAAAATTCTAACAAGGTAGAGCCACAGACTGGCATCTGGGATAGATCTTAGTGGTTACACATTTCAAAGTACATTCAAGATCAAGCACAGGGAAGCCCTTTTTTTTTTTTTTTTTTTTTTTTTTTTTTTATATAACACAGTCAGGGACATTTTGGTTTTTCAGCTGAAACCACAACTAGCCAAAGCTGGAAAACGTTACATCACCATCCATGATTCAACAATAACAAAAAGGATGACTATCTAAAGAAGAATGGTCTAGAAAGCATCACTTCATGCTATGGGTTGAACTGTGCCCTCTAATAACGTTGTTGAAGTCTAACCACCAGTGCCTTAGAATGTGACCTAATTTGGAAATAGGGTTGTTGCAGATATAATTAGTTAAGATGAGGTCATACTGGTGTAGGGTGGGCCCCTAATTCAATATGACTGGTATCCTCACAAGAAGACAGCAATGTGAAGAAACAGGGAGAATGCCCCATGAAGAGGGAAGCAGAGATTGGACTGATGCATTTACAATCCAAGGAACATCAAAGATGGCTAACCCTCATGAGCAGCTAGGAGAAAGGTATGGAATAGATTCTCCCTCAAAGCTCTCTTGGTTGGCAGGTGCCAACCCTGCTAACACCTTGATTTCTGATGTCTAGGCTCCAGAACTATGAAAGAATAAATTTCTGTTGTTTTAAGCTACCCAGTTTGTGGTACTCTGTTATTATAGCAGCCCTAAGAAACGAATGCCTAATATCAATAAAAACTTCCAGATTTTAATCTTAAAATACAAGTTTTCATAACTATGAAAACTTAGAAGCAATCTGACCTTCAGCAGGAGAATGGATAAATGAATTGTGGTACGTCATACAAAGGAATATCATTCAGTAATAAAAAGAAATTAGCTATCAAGCCATGGAAAGACTTGAGGAATCTTAAAAGGATATTACTAAGTGAAAGAAGCCACTCTGAAAAGACCGCACACTAGATGATTCTAACTACATGACATTCTGGAAAAGGCAAAAATGTGGACACAGAAAAAGATTAGTGATTGCCTGGTGTTCAGGGAGAGGGGAAAATGAAAGAGGTGACGCAAAGGGGATTTTTAGGGCACTAAAACTATTCTACATGATACAGTAACAATGAATATATGCCACCATACCTTCGTCAAAACCCGCAGAATGTACACCACAAAGTATGAACCCTAATGCAAACTATGTATTTTAGTATTAATATAAAAATGTATCAGTATCGTTTCATCAGTTGCAACAAATGCACCACACAAGGTACAGTCAACGTAATAAATATCAATTCCTTCACTTTTCTGCAAAAACTTCTACAAAAAATCCTGTATCTCTAAAGGGTAACATATTATTCTATATATCAGCTAAGTCATAATTTAATGCTTCCTTGACTCTCATATTTAATCTATTTCTACATTTTGTCCTGTCTCATCCTTTCATTCCCCACACCAATATAGCCCCACTTCTCCATCCATAAGGACGAGCCCCACACCTTCTGATGTGTCCTTCTGAGCTATACTTCAGACAGTCCTTTCCAATAAATGATGGTTCATAATAGATTATATGCCAAAAACAAGAAAGACAGAAGATAGGTGAATAGATATAATATTATCTAAATTTCTTTCATTTCACCTCATACCAAGGAGAATGAGCCCAGTTTATGTACTGTTTTTAGAAGATCATTATTCATTCAGTGCTCTTAACACCCTTGAAAGATAAGTAGTATTCATATGCCCATTTATAAATGGGGTCATTGACCCTTATAGAAGTTAAGGAACTTTTCCAAGGTGACATATATCTCCCAACAGTGGCTGGAATTGAACAGATGTCTGATTACACTAAGACCATGATCATAACATGATAACATCCCAAGCAAGCAAGGGATATGAAGGACCAGAGGCTGAGAAAGAGATCAGAACCAGAGGTAAAAATGTGGGAGTCATCCAAAAAGAGATGACAGCTGAAACCACGAAGAAGAAAGAGAATGTGGAAGAAAGAGAGTGGGGAAAGCAAGGGATGAAGAAAACTTTAGCATTACCCCACTTATAAGAGAAGGAACAGCAAAGTACACATAGGAGGGGAGGGCAGATGAGAAATGAACCACATATTGTCACCAGATTTGAAACCTGGAATCATCATCTTTGACTCCTCTCTTCCCATAATCTGCAATGTTCAGATAGCTTTGTGTACATTACATTCACCTATAATTTTTTCAGATTTGTTTTTTACAAAGCATTATGTCATTATCCTAGTACATGTCCTTTAGCAACTTTTACTTGGAATTATTCCAGTAGCCTCCAAACATGTCTTCATTCTTTCCATTTGACCTGCTCTTGACTAGTATCACCTGTTTATGTACCCACAGCCTCTTCTATCACTCCACCTACTATCGCCAACAAATGGGAGCTTATTATTCACAATGTTCTTCTGTCCTTGGATTTTTAATCTATCTTGAAAAACAAATGGAGATGCACCATTCATTTCAGACTGCACATATTCAATAGTAAACATATAAATAAACTTAAAATCATCCTCCCCACTGAAAGGCATTTATATTGTCTCCAGACTTGTCATTACAAACTTCAGGATTATCTTGTCAAATTTTAACCATATTATTTATAGAATAAGCAAAAATTAAAATCTTAAAAATACTGAGCTTTTCTGTTCAAATCAAGGTATGTTTTTCTGTTTAAGTATTCATCTTTACCACTCAGCAGAGTTTTAAAGTTTCTTCACATATTTTCTGCATATTTAAGTTTATTCCTAGATATTTTACATTTTTAGTTATTATAGAATTTTTCTCTTATATTTTATAAGTATTTTTATAATAGAAAGCTATAATTCTTATATATAAATTTTGCCTTTTAGTGTGCCTTGTAATTTTTTCTTGGAAGTCAGACATGTAAAAGGTACTAGGTAAAAAGAACTGAGGTAAACAGGCCTTTGGTGATGTGGTGAAGCAAGAGAGAAACTGTAAGATACTCAATACATTACTCGTGTGTTTTAGGAGGAGCTTGTATTTTCTCAACTGCATATATGTCTATAATCAATATATAGTATGTTTTGTTTATTGAAATTTACTTAGCTAGATAGATACCATTCTGTCATAGAATATACCACAATTTATTAATGATCAAATGATGTACATTTATCACGTACACAAATAATGTACAATTAAGATCTTTATTCCAGTCTCCTGGAATAAATGTGGGACTTTCTACATTAGTAAAACTGGAACTGCTAAGAAGAATGAGCATTTGTAGATATTGCTATATTTCTCTCTACTGTGGCTGTTTCAGCACTGTATGAGAATTCCCACTGCCCCACTTTTCAAACAATCCTTGGTATTATCAGACTTGTTAATTGTTTTGATCTGATGAATGTGAAATAAGTTTTCTCAGTTGCTTTAAAAATGACATATCCCTGATTCCCTGATTATAGTGAGGTTTAACATTTTAAAATATATTGGTTAAACATTATGTATATATTTTTCCTTGAATTTCTTGTTCATAGACTTTCTCAACTTTCTGTTGGGTTGCATTTTCTCTTATTAATTTGTAGATGTTCTTTGCATATTTGGGTACTAATCTTTTATCAGTTACACATATTCTTTGCAAGTCTACTATCCCAAAATGTGACCTGTCTTTTCACAGTCTTCACATACGGAATTTGTCACATAAAGTTGGTAAATTTTAGCACAATCAAAATAATAATCTTTTCTTTAAAAGTTAATACCTTAGAGTCTTATTTTAAATATTCTTCCTGATATCGTAAGTCATAATGATATTGTCATATATTTTCTTCTAAAATTTTAAAGTTCTTATTTTCAGTTTTAGGTTTTCAATCTAATGAATCCAGTTGGTGTGTGTGAGTTAGAAATTCAACCTTTTTTTTTTTAAACATGGCCAACCTAGCATTGATTACCAAATAGTTCATTCTTTCTCCCACTGATTTGTTATACATCTGTCATATACAGAGTTCCTACAAACATCAGTCTGTTTCTAAACTTGACTGATTTATTCCTATTCTGATTTACTTTAGCTTATGCCTGATTGGGTGAATCTCCCCACTTTATTTTTCCTCTGGGTTAATCTTGACCTTTTACCCTTGCATATAAATTTTAGAGTCAGCTAAAATTTTGCCAAGTTCTGCAAAACAAACTTTTGAATTTTTTTGGAATTATATTCAATTAACAGATATATTTGAAAATATTTTACACCTCCAGACTATTGATTTACCCATCCATTTATTTAGATATCCTTTTAGCTTCTTTAATAAAGTTTTATAACTTTCTTCATAAAGTTCTTCTATATCTCGTTTTAACTTATTCCTAAGTAAGGTACTTTTGTTGCTGTTGTAACTGGGATCTTCTTTAAATCACATTTTCTAAACATTTTTGCTAAGGTACAAAAGCATGATCTTTTTATGTTATCTTGTATCCGGCAACAGTGGTAAGCTATACAATTAGTTCTGGTAGTTTGTATATAGATTTTCTCAGATTTCCCATACAGACAATCCTCTATAAATAATGAAAGTTTTGTTTATTCCTTTCATTTCTTGTATCATTTATTATTTTTCTTATTTTACTGGCTAGGGTTTCCAGCATAATGCTGAATAAAAGTAGCGATAGTAATCATCATGTTTCTAAGCTTAATGAACGTATTTCTAGTATTTCATCATTAAGTATGAGGCTTATTGTAGAGTTCTGATGGATACCCTTTATCGGGCTAAGGTTGATTTTTTTCAATTCCTAGGTTCTTAAGAGTTGATATTGTTGGTAAGGGAGGTCGTGGTGCTAATCATAAATAAATGCTAATAATCATTTCTTCTCTATTAAAATAATCATTATGTGATAGACACTGTTTACTATCTAACATAAGCTCTATGAGACTCCTTAACTCATTCTAAATAGATCTGCATATTTTCAGTACATGTCAATATCACATTCATGGACATAGTCTAATAATCCAATTGGCCAGGCGCGGTGGCTCACGCCTGTAATCCCAACACTCTCGGGGGGGCCGAGGTGGGCGGATCATGAGATCAGAAGATCAAGGTCATCCTGGCTAACACGGTGAAACCCCGTCTCTACTAAAAATACAAAAAATTAGCCAGGCGTGGTGGCACGCACCTGTAATCCCAGCTCCTCGGGAAGCTGAGGCAGGAGAATCGCTTGAACCCGGGAGACAGAGGTTGCAAATGAGCCGAGATGGCGCCAATGCACTCCAGCCTAGGGGATAGAGCGAGACTCCCTCTAAAATAAAATAAAATAAAATAAAATAAAATAAAATAATTTCTGGCCTTTAGTTTGCAAAGGAAATATGCATAACACAGATTTTGAAGACAGACACGTTTGCCTGATTTAAGCCTATTACATACTTCAAGACAAGACAGATGGTTAAGAACAAAACATATCCTTTATCATATACATGTACATAAGATATCTAAAACAAAGACATAAAAGACATAATTATTTTGTGTTGTTTTTTTTTTTTTTTGAGACAGAGTCTCACTCTGTCGCCCAGGCTGGAGTGCAGTGGCACGATCTTGGCTCACTGCCAGCTCCGCCTCCCGGGTTCACGCCATTTTCCTGCCTCAGCCTCCCGAGTAGCTGGGACTACAGGCGCCCGCCACCACATCCAGCTAATTTTTTTTTTTTTTTTTTTTTTTTTTTTTTTGTATTTTTAGAGAGACGGGGTTTCACCGTGTTAGCCAGGATGGTCTCGATCTCCTGACCTCGTGATCCGCCCATCTCGGCCTCCCAAAGTGCTGGGATTACAGGCGTGATCCACCGCGCCCGGCCAAAAGACATAAGTCTATTTAATATTTAATTCTGAATTGTTGACAAACATTGGTATAAAACAACAGGCTTCACAAAGGAAAGGAACTACTACATAGCTTGACTTTTATCTTTCAATAACCATCATTTGAGGCACATACTTTAATTAAAACCCAGTGCTATACAAATTATAACTTATAAATAAGTAGAGCTGTGCATTTGAATTTTAAAATCCTATATTTTGTGGGATTTATTCTCCAGTGAGCAAATAAATAATCAGACATAAGTTCCCTGGGTTCTTAATTCTACTAAGTTGCCAACTTCAGAAATATGTTTTAGTAAAAACAAGCCTAATTTTAAAAATTGCAAATGAGTTATTTCTTTAAATTGCATTACTTGAAATTCTATGTAAAAGAATACTACATTTTTAAGTTTTAAAACTGAGATTAAATAAGTTTTACTTCCAGAGGGAGAACAAATGAAGCAAGGAGAAAACACTCTACAATTATGTCACCAGAAAAGCACAATTCCATTTACAAAGCCTGGATTCGTGCCCAATTTTTCCAAAACACATCTACCAGATTACATCTGTATAAGACTTTTTCCATAACAAACAAGGATAACAAGGCAAAAAAGTAATACAAATATAATTCCACTTGAAAAATCAAAGTTCAAGATATATCTAGACTAGTTCCATCCCCAGCCCATTTTCCATTCTGCTTTACTGATGCAGAGGCAACAAATCTTGTTTGAATACAAAATTCTTAACAGAAAAAGCTTTCATAGTTAGCTGTTAATCTACTAAGGCACTATCCTTTCAGGAAAGTGCCATTTTACAGTACCTATAGCAAAAAACCTACACAATTTAACCTTTTTAATGAAACTGGATTAGCTTTTCAATGTATTATGTTCTCTACACTTTCTATTTAAAAGCTATTACTAAAGGAGCTTATAAAATGTGAAGGCTCAGGACACAAATAAGCAATGAGGCTATGTGAAGAACTGGAAGCCTAGAGGTTAACCAGCTTCAAATCATCTGTGAATGATAATTTTCAAAAACACTACACCAAACCCTTCATCACACACATAAGAGCCAAACCACAGTCAGTCAAAATGCAACACGTCGCTGTCTGCAGTTAGTTTTGCCTGTAATTAAAACACTACCATTTTATGGCTGCTAAAGGTATACACATGAAAAGCAATCATCATCAATTTAAAAAATTGAGAGAGGAAATCAAATTTTATTATAAAACTCTCCTTTTCTGGTTACTTAGCAAAGCATTTCTCAAAGATTTATTAAGAAATATTGAAACCCACTATTTTCATCCCCCAAAATGTATAAAATATATTCCTTATTAACTAAGAAAATCTCACTTAGCATTTAAAAAAGTTTAGCAGCAAAACTGTGGGAGGAGTCTCTCCTAGTAATGTATCCTACAAGAGTATGAATGACCTGAGACAAAATAAGGGTAACAGCCAACTGTGCCACTAAGCACATGATTTCATTCACCCTTTCTGACTGTCAGGTTTCTCATTTGTCAAATGGGAATAATAACAACTGGATCACAGGATTGTTGAGAAAGCTAAAAGAGATGAGTCATGTACGAATATCTATCATAATAGCAGGCTAGACTTTTTTTAATTGTTAGAAGCACATCCCTTCTCCCACCACAACCTTCCCCACAAAAGAAATCCACATATACCTTTGAAATCAGGCCAGATTTTTTAAATGATACTAACACTTAATTTAGTGTTACTCACTCATCTCCCTCCAGCAACTGAAGACTGTAATTCAAGTAAAGATATATCTAACAACTAAAGATACCTTTAAAAATGAGAAAACTGGGTAACATGTAGCTTAACAACATACTACTTTTCTTTTTTTTCTCTGCCCTTTTAGGCACTCTCCTAGGGAAAGAACAGTTAACCTTTGTTGCCTAAAACCATCTTCTCCTTGATCTAACAGCTATCTGCTTATTCAGCAAATAAAAATTCTGTGAGGGTCTTCCTAAGTTGTTAAAGATCCTAAATTAGTAAGGCACTAATGGGGATACATTGAAACAATTCCTGCAAACAGAGCTGATGTATAAATTTGACAGACTCCCTTTGTAACCTAGTGCTAAGGTAGTCATGTAATTCAGGACACTTACGTCTAACGTTAAACCTGAAGGGACAACTATTCTAGACAAATTTGCATTTATAATCACCCTACCCATCGTATTATCTCCAGATTGTACATTTGCAAAATGATCTTTTGCTTCAGAAGGAAAAGGCTTTGTTACTTTTTCTTTTGTAAAAAAAATAACAACTAAACACACCTAGTGGCTAGCTATTGTTTTCCAAAAAAAGGAACCAGGGCTCCTATGAAAACTGGATGATGATTCTAGAACTGAGGGAGGAAATATATATTATGAGTCTGGAGCATCTTGTCGTGCCAGAAAGTAAGCAAGTGCTCAAAAAACACAATGACGAGAGCATAGCAAAGGAACAAAAGATCTGACTGAAAGAACTCTCAATTTGAAGCTGGAATCAATAAAGTCGTTCTGGATTGTAACAAAAAGTATAAAATAAATATCCATGAGTCCATAATAAGATAAATAAAAGATTAAACAAATCAATAAATGGGAGAAACAAATCTCCCATGCAGAATTCAAAACATCTTGTTAGATGTTCCACCCTCAAGGAGGTAGAGTATAACCCCCTACTCCTTAAGTGTGGGCTGTGCATAGCAACTTCTTTCCAAAAAGTACAGTATGTGGGTGGGGGAGGGGCTCAGGGAATAATTACAGTGAAAAAACCTAACACCGCCTCAACCAAGTGATCAAGGTTATCATCAGCAGTGATAAGTCATGTTGATAGTAAGTACTCTTAATAAAATGTGATGAAATGGCACTCACTTTACCTCTGTGACCTTCCTCCCCAAAACACATAACCCCAGTTGAATGAGTAAAATGTCACATGGTCTATAAAATACCATCAAGTCATCAAAAACAAGATACAGTCTGACACAGTCATCAAAAACAAAAAAGTCTGAGAAACTGTCCCAGCCAAGAGAAACCTAAGGAGACATAACTACTAAATGTAATGTGGCATCCTGCATGGGTAGGATCCTGGAACAAAAAGAACATTAGGTAAAAACTAAGGATATCTCAATAAAGTGTGGACTTTAATAATAACGTATCAGTATTGGTTCATTATGTGGAACAAATGTAGCTTACTAATGTAAGATGTTATAATGGGTGGAACTGGATGTAAAGTAGATGGGAACTCTATTATCTTTGCAATTTTTCTAAGAATCTAAAACTGTTCTAAAATTAAAAGTTTAAGAAAAAGTAGCAAACCTTAAAATATTTTATATACAGATTAACATTATGCACTATGGCCCTCATTTTGTCCAAATGTAAGCCAGTCATTCACTATTTATGATATTCATGGTGTCCTGAGGAAATGATGGAGGTCTGCATGCAGAGAGAAGTTGACAGTGGAGAATCCTCCTTCATCTATCCATTTTCAGCATCCTGCAGTGTACTGCACTTCACATGTATGTCGAGTTAAGTAGTTTAAACTAATACTCACAAGTATACACAAATGATTTAAAATGTCTCAGACAGGAAACAGCAGGTAGGATATAGGCATAAGCAAGTAGCATAAGTGACATCCCTTCATTCCTGAGTTATCAGTCACAATATGAGGTTAGTTGTTATTTAATGATACTTTTAACTAAATAAATCTGACCAGAAGTATGCCAAGACATTTCAAAATTATTAAGAAGCCTATGAGCCCTTAGTGGATTTTTATTAATGTAATGAATAAGCAAACATTAGATACATACATATATTTTAAAATAGTAACAACTTGAGAAGCAACAATGGATTTATAACCATTCTTGTTAACAATGAACCCTGCCCTTTGTATGCTTCAAGATAATGGCTAATGATAGCATGAAGTTTTCATAATTAGCATAAGATATATGCAGATTACGAAGATAAGCCTTTCTAATTTTTAGTGATGTTTAAAATCATGCTACTCCCAATCTAATATTTTATGAAATTTCACAAAAGGTAATGACAAATATGCAGAAGATTTTACAGATGTTGTCTTCTTGTTGAATTCTGTTTTGACAATGAAATGGATGAAAAAGATATAAGTATCCTCAACTTATGCTCAACAGCAAATGACTTCCTTAAGGAAAACAATGTTTTAGCTAAAATTGTGTAAGTGTAACCAGTGAGAAAGCAGCCACATGTTTGGAATAAAAAGATTCTGACATACTGTCCATCAGGTGAGGATACAAGAAGACATACCCTCATCAGATAATGGATTTGCCAGCACCTTGATCTTGGACTTCCCAGCTTCCAGAACCATGAGAAATAAATGTTTATTGTTTCGTGTTTTTTGGAGAAAAAAAAAACGATTATGAAGTAAAGTTAAAGGGTTAGCACTACACATATAATTCATTTTCTCAATCATTCATAGACAAGCAGTTATAGAAAAGTAGATAAATCCAGAAATGTACAGAGTGCTACAGGATATCACTAATGTGGTTAATTTCATAGAAATGAGACCTTTAATAAATAGAGGAATACTTACAAACTATAATGAGATGTGTAGGAACTATCACACAGTGTTTAAGTGACTTAGCTCCCGAACTGGACTGCATGGGCTGGAACACCGGCAATAGAATTTATTAGCTATGAGATCTTGGACATATTACTTAATCTCTACAAGTTATTATCATCTGTAGAATGGTGACAGAATTGGTCAGAGTTTTACAAGAGATAATTCATGTATAGCACTTAGAACAACGCTTGGCACACAGTACATATTCAATAAATGTTAGCTATTACTGGTTATTATGAGAATAATCATAAAAATCTTTTATACCACAAAAAATTCATTAATCATCTTTTGGCAAAGAACTTAGAGGTGATCAACCTCAGAGATGAATTACACATTTTTCTTTTACAAATAAGTAAGCATTCCAAATTTGCTGGCCTATTCTGGGATATTTTGTAGACCGGGATCTATGAGAATACTCCATCAGTATCTCCTGCTAAATTAGTTATATTGATAGTGTTGGCCACAAATATTTAACAGAAAGTACTTCATCAGAACTTTAAAATAGTATACATACCCTCAAATCAGGAGAAAAGTTGTCGGCAGAAGTTGAAATGGAATCTGATGATACAACAGAAGCTGATTTTGTATGCACTGAATTCTCTGAATGAGAAGTGGAGGCACTACAAAATACAAAAGTACAGTATGTTGGAAAAATGGGGGCTTCAAAGACCAATTTCAGACATTGTATTTAATATAACTCCAATATTTATTAAAATTTCCACAGCCAACTAAGTTCTGCTTTGCCTATTCAATCTTATCTCTAAGTCTTAACAAATTACAAACTATTCCTGCTGGGTCAAGTATTCTTATGATCCAAGTTCCCTCTGGATAGACTCCCAATACTCATGAAGACACTCCAGGCTAATTCCTTCTTTTTATCCATTCACCCATCCATTCATTCATCCAAAGAACATTCACTGAGTGGTCCAATGTACAAAACCACTACACCAGGCACTGTGATTTGAAAATAAATATGACATCATCCCCATGTTCATGAAGCTCACAAGCCTGTGACACAGACAAGTAAATAAAGTGGTGCAGTGTTATGACTCTAAATAGAAACACATACACACACACATACACACACACACACACACACAAACACCCCACATACATACAAATATCTATGGGAGAAAAGAAAAGGAAGCAGCCAATTCTGGCCAGAAAGTTCAGGGAAGACTTCTCAGAGGAGATGATATTCAAACTGAGTCTCAAAAGATAGGAGATTATCAGACCAACAAACAAGGAAATTTCAAGAACAAACAAAAGGCAATGCAAAGGTATAGAAGTATCAAAGTCTACAGAACATCTCAGATACTACAAATAGTTGAATAAGGGTGAATGGATAAAAGAGCAGATGAGGATGGAAAGAGAAGTTCTTTGTACCTTGTACCCTCCCACCACATCAAACAACCCTGCCTGAAGTATCTACTTCTTCCATTATAAGTAATCACTCTACAGTTACTTTTACTTTCTTAAATTCCTATAGAACTTTTTTTTTTTTTTTCTGAGACAGAGTTTCACTCTTGTCACCCAGGCTGGAGTGCAATGGTGCGATCTCCGGTCACTGCAACCTCCGCCTCCCAGGTTCAAGCGATTCTCCTGTCTCAGACGCCTGAGTAGCTGGGATTACAGGCACCTGCCCCCATACCTGGCTAATTTTTGTATTTTTGTAGAGACGAGGTTTCACCATGTTGGCCAGGCTGGTCTTGAACTCCTGACCTCAACTGATGTGCCCGCTTCGGCCTCCCAAAGTGCTGGGATTACAGGTGTGAGCCACTGCGCCTGGCCAAACTTTCGATACCTGATCACGCTTTTATTGTTTATTTTGTCTCACCAACTAGTGCCCCAAGAACAAAAATTATGTCTTTTTTGGGGGGGGAGGGGGGCGGGGGAGAAATGAGGTCTCACTATGTTATCCAGGCTGTTCTCCTCAAACTCCTGGCCTCAAACGATCCTCTCACTCAGCCTCCCAAAGTGTCGGGATTTCATGCATGGGCTACCGTGCTCAAGCCCACTTCTTTTTTATTTTCCACAAAATCTACTTCAGGACCTGTGTACACTGTTAACATGTATTATGTTTGTTAAATTTAAAAATCTGTGACAATATGCCACAAATTGAATAACTGATATCATTTCCTCTTATCAGTAAAACAAAGTTAAAATTATTTAAGGTAAGATCAATGGTAGAAAAACCTCAAATACTTTGAATTGGGTGTTAAAGTTCAGATTTTCAAAAATGTATTTTTCTAAAACATATTAAAAGTCTTCCTTATACCAGAATGCAAAATTTTTTTCACTAGGTTTTGATGAAATACTTCACCTTTGAGTTGTGATAATATTAAGAACCATTTAGCTTTAAAATGAATCCCATTTATTCATTACAAACCTGCCTATAACAAGAATAACTAAATTACTTATACAATGTGAAAATCACCTCCCCAAAAAAGAAATTGTCACTTCATTTAAATGAATGAAAAGTGGCATTCCAGTGCAAACACAACATAGTATTTCCAACAACCTATACTATTATACAAAAAAGCAGTCATAAGAAATTATATTACATAGTTTTATAATGTAAGGAAAGAAAAAGTGATAGGCTGTGATGTTTTCCTTTTTTTTGTATCTAAATTCTGATTAAATGTCATTTGCCTTAAAATAACAGGCAAAATAACCAAATTTTAAGCACAGTACTTTGACAGACATTGTTAGCTCCCTCCTTCAAATAGATTCCCCTTTCTCCCTAACTTTGATCAGGGTAGTTTGTGCCCTGCCGAAGACAAGAGGCTTGCTATTCTCTTCCTTGTGGCTAGGAGAGCCACGTGAGTCAATTCCAGTCAGTGGGATTTAGTGGGAAATCTGCTAATGGCTATAGAAACCTTTTATTTTCTCAATAAAGGGGAGCAGAAACAGCAGGGTAGTCTTTGTCCTTTCCCATTTCTCTTGCCTAAAATAAGAATATAAAGTTTGAAAATACAAGAGCCATCTTATAAACATTAGCAATGTGCTGGCCTGCTGAGGACAAGGAGCCAAAGAATAGGATGAGCATAGGTTCTTGTAGCATCACTGAGCCAACAACTCTCTACCTCTGGAATTCTTGTTATGTAACATAAATGGGTGAGCACAGCTGTGTGTGCCTGTAGTCCAAGATGCTCAAGAGGCTGAAGCAGAAGGATCACTTGAGCCCAGGAGTTTGAGACCAGCCTGGGCAACATGCCAAGAACTCATCTCGAAAAATTAAATAAAATTAAAATTTTTTAAATAAAATAAATGAACTTAAATTTTTTAAATCACTGTAATAGAGTCTGTTCTAGACAGTCAAACACAATATAGCAATCAACATCTCATAAAGTCTATCTGGGGCAAGTTCAAATGTATAATGCTATTTTATACGCCTATGCCCTTCTGGGAGAAAAACTCTTAAAGGCAATTGAATATAACTTGAAATTATGGAGAGTGTATTATCTAGAAAAATAATATTGACAGACTATTGTAGCATGTAGCACCAAGAAACCAAACAGCTCTCTGGTTGGGTGTAGTGGCTCACGCCTGTAATCCCAGCACTTTGGAAGGCCAAGGAGGGTGGATCACTTCAGCCCAGGAGTTCAAAACCAGCCTGGGCAACATGGTGAAACTCCCTCTCTACTAAAAATACAAAAATTAGCCAGGAGTGGTGGCACATGCCTGTAGTCCCAGCTACTCGGGAGGCTGAAGCATGAGAATCATTTGAACCTGGCAGGTAGAGGTTGCAGTGAGCTGAGATCATACCACTGCACTCCAGCCTGGGCAACAGAGCAAGACTCTCACCAAAAAAAAAAAAGAAAGAAAGAAAGAAACCAAATGGCTCTTTAGAGCCCAAGTATAAAGTAAATAAATCTAAGAGAGAGAAAATAACAAATCCAGGTACTGCAACTTATACTTTGCAGTCTCAGATTCAAAGAATCAGTCTTTCTAGCAAAAGTGTGGTAAACAGCCTTTAATTATTAACTTCTCTTCAGACACACATAAACATAGGTAGATATTATGATCCACAGTGTTATAGTTTAATAAGCACTAATGTATATTTCTGTATAACCAGTCTACAAAGGGTTTTACTCTCCAGGCAAATATTGAACTGGAGGGGTACAGTGTGGGAATACATCATAGTACTGTTCTTGTGATTACGGCAGAAACACACACACACACAGAGAGAGAGAAAGGGGGAGAGAGGGAGGGAGAGAGAGTGCACAGGATAGAGGGAGAGAGGGAGACAGAGAGAGCATGAGAGAGCAAGTAAGCATGCAGGTGCAGCAGAACTGTTAAAACTTCTGGTATAAACGTAAAGTGCTGCCTTTAGCAGCTACTCAGACTGAAGGTGGCCGTGGGCACAGTAGGATGCATAGTTCTCTTTTCTGTAGTTGTTTGTGTTCTTCTGTCATACTGGCTCTGTGCATGCTTGTAGTCACCATGGCTACTGGTATAACACACGCTAATTTCCACTGCTTTTTTTCCATTTCTCCCTTGCTCATCTTGAAGTCAAGCTCTCTATGTTTATTTTTTATGAACTGTTCCACAAACAAGCTCTGTATTTCCCAAAATTCATGCCTCTGCTTCAGGCCTTTCCAAAATAGAATGTTCCTTTACCCTAATCTATTTAATAACATCCTACCTACCCTTTAAGACCTGGTTTAAAAAACTAACTTCTCCAAGAAGTCTTGGAGTGTTCCAAGAAGGTCTTCCAGTTGGAACTAAACTCTCAGTCTTCTACACTTTCATAGACTTTGTCTATAACTGCACTTAACACTTCCCACATTAGACTAGAGAACTTCAGTTACATGGCCACCTCTTTTTAAAATTACAAACTCCAAATAATAAGAATCTTGTAATTAGCAAGGCATTTGAACTTGAAGTAGAAACTGCAGTCTCTAACCTCATTAAGTAACCGATACCATTTTGGTCCCCAGATTTCCTAGGCCTATATACTTCATCTCAGTCCATCCAAACATTCCTGTTTTCCTTGTCAACCTGGGCCTTTGTTCCAAATGCTAAAACTTCTAGTCAACACTCTGTCGCATATGTTCATTACCATATTACTTTGTGTTTCCTACACCCACTTTTCTCTGTCCAAGCCTTTCTTCAACTACTAATTCTCTTCCTAATCTTTATCTGAATGTTTTAGTCCACAGTGAATAAACTCCCCTACATCTTCAACAGGATTCTCCCCTTCACCTCTGCCTCAACTAACCTCTCCTCACAGGAATCCACTTCCCTGCAGACTTTAATAAGAGACTCTTTTCTTTTCCCACATGTAACAACGCCCAAAGATGAAACAAGCATTTTCCCAGCTGAACTCTCAGGCTTCTACATTACTATTAGTTTTGCATCTTCACATATAAAAACCTTCTTCCTCTAAGGTTTATGGCTTTTCAGTATACAACCTCCTTGTTACTATCATCCACCCACCCATCCTCCTCACTCACTAAGGGTTTTCTCATCTGGCTCACTTTCCTCTCTAGCATTTCTTTCTACTCCAAAGCTGCCATCATTATGGGAATTTTATTATCCATAAAGATAAACTGTCAACAACCTAGCTCAAAATTCCTCAATTCCTACATAACCTCATACACATTCCCACTTCAGCAATGTGCATCTTGTCATTACACCTTGGACTTTATCACTTCTGGGAATTACCCTGCCACTATAATCTTAAACTTGAGGAAATTAATCTTTGACTAGATGCCAACCCTTTCTAAATATTTAACTTTCTTAACTTTCCCTTCATCTCATCTTCAACCTAGTAGAGACACCCAGACCCTCAACCCCTCCATTTTTTATTATCCTTCATGATTCATTGCTCTCCTTTGCCCACTTCGCTTCCCTTCCTAACCATCAGTGTCCTTATATCCGTATCCATTAGCCACGACTGTCCTGCTAATCCCTAAATGTGGACCAACATAACCATCTTTCTTGGCTACTAGTGAAGGAAATCTTCAAACTGGGGCCACTTAGGACTTACGATTAGAAACATCAGCTAGGCCCAACACAGTGCTCAATGATTCTCCCATTCCCCAAGTGACTTTTTTAAACCATAACCATCCTCTTCTCCCACACAGCTATCACATCCAATCTATCCAAAGTCCTGTACAGTCTACTTCCCTACCATCCCTTGGGTATATCTTCTCTCTATCCTACTTTTTACCATCCTAACACCACTTCTCTGGACTAGTGCAAATAACTTGTCTCTTTTCTCCTACTCATCCAATATATCATCCCAAACCAAAACCAAAGTGATCTTTCCAAAACCTAAATCTGATCATATCAATCCCTTGCTTAAATCTTCATTGATTCCTCACTGCCTACAGAATCAAGCCAAAACCCCTCAGCATAACACTCAGTTTTCCACGATCTGGCCCTTGTTCTACATATCCAGCTGTAGTTTTTACTCATCTGGAACCACTGGGAATGGCTTGCAGATTTCTTAAGTTCTGTAGCCATTTCATGCCTCTGTGCCTTTGATAACCCTATTGTATCTGCCTCTAATGTCCTTTATAATCTTCCATGCCCTCTTTGTCCCATCTATCTTGTAGACATACCTACTGCTTCTTTTACTGTACACTGTACATATTTCTATCATAATACCTGTAACATTATATTGCATTTACTCACCTAAAAGCTCCTCTCCCCACATAGTTATTATTTACTATTTCAAGATTCTTTCTTTACTACAATCTTCTGTGAGCAAACAACCTTCTCAAAATAAAACACGTAAAACACTGAAAGAAGAATACGTGGCATATGTAGCTATTATTATTTATGACAACTGAGTGTTACTGTACACATATTATCCCTCAAGTCAGGTTAGTTACATAAATAAAATTATAACGGCAAAAGTTCGAAGGCAAGAACTATAATTAGTGGCCTAATGTTTACAAAATAAGAACTTACGTCTCGTGGATGGCATTATGTTTGAAGTATTAGAAAAATAAATATTATTCCCACTATGGAAGCATGTGTCTTGGCATTGCAAATGCAGTTTAAAAGTGAAACTATCATAGAAGATTAAAGTTTTCAAAAGAGTTTCTTGAAATTTTGAAGAAAAAGAACTCCAATTTGAAATTGACTGCTTAAAATTACTTTTCTTCTACATAAAGAAAACTCTTAAGTCCTAAAAAGGACTAAAAAGAAGAAGACAGTACCAAGGGAAGAGGGTACATGATTACATCACCAATAATAACTTTTCTCTGAGAAAATATGAGTAAAAATCGAATGCTCCTTTTGCCTGTTACTGTTTTCTACATTACATTTCCCAAAACTGTTTACTCCCACTGACAGACACTCCAATTATACAAGATAATTTCATGAAGAAACAATTTTCATGTTCTTTTCTTCCTGCAAAAAAATTTTATTACCACGCCCTTTCTATATACAAAACATTGGGTTATGAAACAGCCTCTGCACTTCAGATTTCTGACCAATAAGAGACATTATACCACACAAGCATATCAATAATACCATGAGAGGTACAAACAAGGGCCAGGAGAAAAAAAAAAAAACCCGAAGGAAATGGTAATAGTTATGACTAGAGGAAGCCAAGAAATGTATTAAGTTGAACCATTTGAAATTGCTGTTTTTATAGGTCAGATGGCCAAATATCAACTATTTCAGATGGCTCCATGTGCTAATGAAGGAAACAGAAGACACTGAGGTTGGGCCTTTAATGAGTGAATGAATCAGATCAAGGCTTTGGAAATCACACACACACAAAGGGAAAAAAAGTAAAAATAAAGGGCTTGAGAAACTACAAGGCATATTTTGTAAATAAGTAGTTTATTCAAACTAAACAGATAAAAGGCTGTAATTTGCTGAAATCTAAATGCCAGGCTTAAAAGCCTGGCTAATAAAAGGCAAGGGGCATACAATGAGATATCACTTCACTCACACTATACTGTCTATAATAAAATTTTTTTAAAAACAGACAATAGCAGGTGTTGGCAAAGATGTGGAATAATCAGAACACTCAGGCACTGCTTGTGGGAATGTAAAATGGTATAGCCACTTTGGAAGACAGTCTGGTAGTTCCTTAAAAGGTGAAACACACAATTACCCTATGACCCAGCAATTCTACTCCTAAAAATAAACCCAAGAGAAATGAAAATATTTTTCCACACACAAAAAAACCCACGATTATTTACCAGAGAAAAACAAAATATATATTAAAAACACATGAATGTACATGAATATGTACATGAATGTTCATAGCAGCATTATTCACAATAGCCAAAAAGTGGAAACAACCCATGTCATTCCCCTTCTTAAAATCCTTCAGTGGCTCCCTACTGCTCTCAAGATAAAGATCAATACCTTACCACAGCCTCAAGTTGCTACATAATCTAATCCTTGCCTCCTTCTCCAGTTCCTCTTTGTATCTCCCTCTCCCCTTGCTCTCCCCAGTTCAACCACACTAGCCTTCTTTGAGATTCTGAAATTAGCTAGCCCCTCTGCAGGGAGCATGGTTCTGCCAAACTCCTCTCAACTGAAATATCACCTCCTTGGGAAAATCCAATCAGATGCCCCAGACAAAACCAGTGCTCCCATAGCCACTCTCATAGCACTTTGTGCTTTTCATTCTTTTCACTTACAACCAGTCTCTTCTTACGTATCTTTGCAAATGTTTGATTAATGATTTTTTTTTGTTTTTTTGGTTTTTTTTTTTGAGGCAGGGTCTTCCTCTGTCACCCAGGCTGGAGTGCAACAGTGCAATCATAGCTCTGTGCAGCCTCAAATTCTTGGACTCAAGTGATCCTCCCCGCTCAGGCTCCCAAGAAGCTAGAATTACAGATGCAAGACACCATGCCTGTCTTGATTAATGACTACGCTTCCTAAGACATCAAACTTCAAGGAGAAGGGATCCTGTTGGTTTTGCTCAACATTCTACTCCTAGGACCTAGCATAGCACTTGGTATAAAGTAGACACTCAGGAAATATTTGTTAAGGAGTGAAAGACTGAATGAGAATGATCAGAAGATTGAATTATTCTAATTAAATGCATCAGAGGCCATCACTAGAACATGCAAGATAAAACAAAAAAGAAATCTGTGAAAGGAGGGAGAGGGATAAAACATGGGTAGGGAAGGTGGAAGTCTAGTTTTCCTTCTGGAGTTGTTATTGTGTGCATATTATTCTGTATACCATATATCATGTCCCATTCCCATCAAAAGACTTCCTGGAATACTGAGACAAACATTTCTTTTAAGAGGTTGTCTTAAAAGAATGACAATCTTTAAAAAAAAAAAAAAAAAACTAGTGGGAACTGGTTTTTGACTATGTTATTTTCACTGGGATGGTTAAAGAAGTAGTTGGGAATTGAGAAACCAGGATTAGTCCTATCTAGCTAACAGCAGTATCCTTGGCCAAGTCACTTAATTCCCACTCCCCATTACACTGTCACTCTGTGAAAAGTACCAATTAGACTGTTGGTGATTAACTTTTTTGGTGGTCATAGACCTCTTTGAAAATCCCATGAGAGCTATTTCCTGAAGTGCTTACAATGTTAGGGACTTAAAGGTTAAGAATCTTGGCCCCGATGATCTCTTTTAGTTCTAAAGTGGTCCAGGGCTTCTGAAATGAGTATTCTGCCTTTTGTAACATCCACACAATATACAGATAAATACTAAAAAATTAAAATAAATTTTTTATACACACACGATGCACACATGCATGTGTGCTAAAATAGCTTCATATTTGAAATTTTTTAGTATTTTAATTATGTAATCACAGTCTTAAATATAAAGACACAAAGACTAAATAGAATTAATCCGATATTGTGTTTCTTACAATAAAGTCTTTAAGAGAATATTTATGTACAATGGAGTCAAAGGGAAATTAAATCCAACAACTACATATATTTCAGGAGCTCTGGACTATCACTGTGCAAATTCAACACCCTTACTTACAAATAGAAATGACATCTATCAACAAATATTAGCCACAATTCCTTTAAATATTTTCATTTATATCATGTGATTTTATCAGAAACTACACCTATTTAGCTAAGTAGTGATTCTATTTCAAATGTCCTACATTTCAAAATATATCCACAATAATTTAAGAGAGAGAGACCTCCTAACAATACATACACGGTTGGTTCAGTAACTCTTCTCTCTAAATGATTTAATCAGACTAAACTGGACCAGACTAACGTAAACTCTATTGACTCCAGGACATCACCTTTGCCAGCGTTCAACAAGGTTACGTTTACAAGTCTTCTTAGTCTGTGATTCACAAACTTACTCTAACTTTGTGACCTCGGCACACTAGAGCTGGTTATTCGCTTCAGTGGCCTGCCTGACTCACTTGGAGTACTTTTCTGCCAACTTGAAAAAATGGAAACACTTTGGAGTAATCTTGGTACTTGCATTTCTGACAGCAAACTCCTTTTTCTTTCAAATACTACATATGGTTTTTGTTCACAAGTCTCTTCCCAAATCTGCAGACCGTATTCCATTCTTATGTGTCTATCATCATTGCCTCCATTTCTCAATGCCCACTTACTGCTTAATCTCTTGGAATCTAGCTTCTGCCACTATCAAGTGATGCCCTGAAATTGTTCTTTCTATAATTACTAATGGCCTGGTTGGTTTTTAAAAAAAAAAAAAAAAAGTTTTTTTCTTAGTTCTGATTCTATACATGATCATCTCCCTTCAGCAGCATATTATTTTGGTTATCCCATTTCTCAGTTTAACCAATGCCTTTTTTAGTGCCTACAATATGTAAGATACTACTCATCTAGGAACCCCTAGAAATACAGAGATAAATATGACCCTTGCTGTTGTTGGTGAACTTTCACTAGTATACTTTAACACAAGCACAGCAACAGTGAGACGCTGTCTCTACAAACACACACACACAAAAAAACACACAAACAGAACATGATAAATGGGTGTGAGAAAGAGAAACAAATCCCTGGGGTTTGGAGAAACAGAGCCCTTGGGTGTTGTTTATATTATGTGATTTTACCAGAAACTATACCTATGTAGCTAAGTAGTGATTCTATTTCAAATGTCTAACATTTCCAAATATATCCACAATAATATTGGGGAGAGAGACCACCTAACAATGCTGTATATGAAAAGTTCATATAAAGTTTTAATTTAGAGGCTCGAGAAAGGCTTTTATGAAAGAGGTGGCATTTGAAGTTGGCCAGAAGATTCTAAAGAGGTTCAATACTCTCAACAATTTCACTAAGCAAAGGAACAGCATGAAAAAGGACAAAGTAGGAAATTCAAGACATGTTAAAGCAACTGGAGAAGGCAGATCACTTTTATTGGCATACAGCGTACTTATAATGCAGTTAGAGATAAGCCTGAAAAGGCAGGTTTGGATTACAGAGTAGAAAGTGCTGAATAATAAGTTGATATTTCTGTAAGCAATGAGAGACCTCTGAAAGTTTCTGTACTTTAGGAAGACTTTTAACAATAAGTCGAAGAATAGATTACAAGAGAAGGAAAATCTGTTACAAGACTATTAGGAGATCTTTTCCAGTCAGTGGTACTGAGAGCCTAAACTAGCAATAAAAATAAAATAGGAGTGGACATATGGGACACTTTGGAAACAGAATAGAATTTAGCAGCTGACTTGACCTGAAAACAAGGGAGAAGGAAGACTCAAAATATGATCCCCAGTCTTGCTGACTGAAAAATCAGTGTGCCAAATTAGACAGTAAAGAAGAAAACAGGTCGTTTGAGAAGCTGCTGCTTTCTGTCTTGAAATTTTTTAAGACTGAGGTGGTAGCAAGGCCAAAGGATTTTAGATTTTACTTGATCATATATTTGTTCATTCATTCATTCATTCAGGCAATGTTGATTTACTGCTTATCAGTGTGATATGAGTGTTCTATGAAGATATAAGTGTGATACAACAATGTTATATATGCTCCCCAATTATAGCCTCATGGGAGAGATAGACTCCTTTTTAACTGTCTATGAATCTGATTGTGATGAATGCTATAAGAATGGTTAAAAAAAAAAAACTACAGGAGCGCAGAGGAGGAAAGGACTAAATATGACTGGGAAAAGCTGAGGCAAGCTTGAAAGATGTCATATTTGCTGGCCAGTGACTTGTTAGTAGGATTTGATGGTAAAGCAAAAGAGTAAAAACATTCCAGACAGAGAACAGCTTAAATAAATAGATCATTTGGGGAAACCTATGTAACTGGGCTTTGTGGAGGCAAGAAAGGTTCAAGCTATGTTCCGTGAATAAACCTCGATACCATGCTAAAAATCCAGATTATGTTCTGAGGACAATGGGAAGCCATCAAACATTTCTGAGTAGAAGTGTCAAATAGTTCTATGTGCAGAGACATTCTGCTCAGGTTATGGAGCATCCACTGGGAAAAAAATTCTAGAGGAACTTAGGTCAGTTAATAAGTTATTGTATTAGAGCAGTAAGATCACTGAATAGACAACGGAACGAGGCCACATAATGACAAAGATAGAAAATATAGAAGAGCGAGCAGGTTTGGCTAGGATGTGGTATGTGGAAATAATTCAATAGATTTTGATATCATTGAACATTGAACTTGAGGTTCTTGCAAAACATCAAAGTGGATATATTCATTAAGCAAGCAGAAATACAGCTTTAACATTCTATGGAGAGGTTACAGCTAGGTGACAGCTAAATCAAATCCATAAAATGGAATTATGTAGCCCAGGGACAAGATATAAAACAAGATTTAATACTTAGCAAATGCAACTATTCAAAATAAGTAGTTAACACTACCTAATACTACAGAGCAGTCAAGGGAAATGAGAGAAAAGTCCATTGGACTGATTAATAAAATGATAAATTAATTACAATGTCAACACAGTCTCTATAATGTTTTAGAAATACTTATTTGACATGAATGAAAAAGTTAAGGTATGGAGGCACGGACTGCCTCAACTTCTTGCCCTTCCTTCAATAAACTTACCTATATCCAAACGCACCCTTCCTTCCTTTTGTAGATAACATTTTTTTTTTTTAGGTTCAAAGCCAATCCTTCCTCTCATGCACATCATTCTGCCCCATCCAGTCTACTTTGGGAGAGGTGTGTGTGTGTGCATGTGCGTGTGCACGCACACACACTCACATGCATAAACTTACACAATACCAGACATTTAGTAGGAACTCAATATTGATTACCTGAATCTACATGAGAATCATTAATAACACTCAAATTGAACTCTACCTTCAACTACTCTACTGATGCTGTTTTCTAGATGTCATTAATGACCTCAGGAACAAAACCAGGGGCCTTGTTTCTCTGAGTTCTCACCTTCCTTAACCTCTGTGCATTATTTGATGCTATCATCACTACCTCCCTCCTGGAATTCTTTGCTCTCTAAGCTTCCCTTGTCATTAAAATTTACTAGCTTTGCTTTGACTCTCTCCTTTTCTAAGTTATTTCTTCTAGTTGTCCCCTAAATATAGATTCTCTTGAAAGCTCTCACCTTGCCTCTGTTCTCTCTTCTTAATTTCTCTCTGAAATATCATGAATTCCCACATCTTCAGTTACCATCTCTGTGCAAATGATTTTCAACCTTCTATCTTTAATCTTCTCAGTCCCACATTCACAAATACCCACTACTAGTCAAAGCATTTGACTATCTGGCCCCACACTCTCTCTCCAGCCTTATTTCTCACTCTGATCCTGCTTGGCTACTGCCAACACCTTTCAAGGACACTAAGCTATACAGTACCTAGAATTATACCAAATATTTTTTAAAACTGTCCCTTTCACATGCAAGTACTGCATTAGTAGCCAACTATTCTCACAGCCAATCAGAAAGTTATAGAATATTAAAAATGTAAGGGATTTCTGAGATCATTCTAGTGAAACCCCATCCCTCCCCTTATTTATAGATAAAGTATCGCCCAGAGAAGTGAAGTAAATGGTTTGGAATATAGTATCAAATTAGTGGCACAGCCAGAGAGAGAGAGAGAAGCAGATACAGAATTGGATCTCCTTTTGACTAACTCATATTGCTTCTGATAAGGAGTACAGAACTAAAAGGAGAAATGCCCTCAAAGTGCTTATTATCTAACTGGGGAGCTATAACACAAACGTATACCCCAATATTTATTTTTATTATATAAACTCAATGCATGAGGATGAAGTTCAGTTGAGACCAATAAGGGAATGCTCCTTGGAGCAGATAAAGCTTAACTGGATTTGGAAACAGGTTAAGAATGAACTACAGAGACAGTAAGTATCTTTAAGCCTATTTCCCATAAATATTTTTAAAGTTTTTGGACAACAAAAAACAAGGAATGCATTCCACATGAGAAAGATGGATTGGTAATCTAATCCCCCACTTAGAATTCAGTATGAATCCATGTGATATTATAAGATCTGATAGTAAATGAAGATAAGAGTTCATGGCAATATGATATTATCTCATAGAATCTTACTGTTCCTTGACTCCTCATCCACAAAGACTGCTTCGTTTTCTTTTACCCTACTACTTAGTAGCCATGTGACCATGGGCAGGGTGTTCTACCTCTCTGAATCTCAGTTTCTTTCTATGTAAAATGGCGATGGTATATCATATAATTGGTTATTTATTCAGCTCCTTGTGCTCCAGACAGGCCAACCCATTTCCTTATCCCCCAGCCTCCATCAGCAAGAGTTTAAAAAGGGCATTGGAAATCCATGTGCTCTGAGGAAGTAAGACTGTCTGTCCTTCCATCTCTCTGTCAGCCTCTCCAATACCATTAGCAAAAGTGAAGTGGAAGCCCCAGATTGTGAGTGTCCCTTGCACAACCTTACCCTTTCCTCCCTTCAACATCATTTGCATTTTAACATGGACAGTCTTACAACTATCCACATTAAAAACTGTAAGGGCTAACATCATTATACTTTTACCTCTATTTTCAACAGTTCTCACAAGTAGTCAGAACTACCAGATTCTAATCCCCCTTCTCATTCTACCTCCCATTCACTCCCTATTCCTCTGTTTCTGAATTTTAAGGTTAGCCATCACCAAAATGACCTTTATCTCTAGCTCTTCTTAAAGGGTCTTTTTACCTTTTATGCTTACTAAAGCCTAGTTTTTACCTGAGGACACTGTTCCCCAACAGCCTTCTCAGACAGAAAAATAAGCCCTTTTATTTTCTCTCCAATATTCCTCTCCCACCACTAGGCCTGAAAACTGGGCCTTGTCCCTCACTGCCACTTTCAGATTCTTCTACCTCTCTGTCTCTAAAAACCCCAAGTATTCAACCTCATGCCATCAGACTACAGCATGTACCACCCTCTTTGTTGACATCATTTGCCTGTCTCTAAGTCACTCTCTCTCACTCCTTAAGACTTTAGCTTCAGGCTTACCATAATTCTTTCCAGTGCTGCCAACTGCTGTAATTCTTACTGATTCCAATTTACATAAATGAGCATTTAAACACCTTGGCCATTCAGTTAATCGAATTCCTCTTCCGCAATGATCTTGTCTTCCATTCTACCTCAGCCATTCACCTCAATGATCATATCCTCCGGACTGGCATTACCAATTAACTGCAATCACTCCCTAATTTAAATTTCAAACACTCTACTGTCTGACCATCAGCTCTTTTTCTCTAGTACCCCCAACCAACACTTCGAATTGTTCAATTTCACCAAAACCTCCACTGTTCCTACTACACTCCAGAGTACCTATTTCATGTTCTCACTTCTCGCTTTTCCCAGCTTTTAAAACTCCATGCCTGTTATTACAGTCGTTCCCTTGCCCTTGCTTACTTCATAGTACTTACTTGTCAACACGGAAAGCTGCTTAAAGCCAACTTTCTGACTATTCCAGACCATACCCACACAGTTGAACGAGTTGACAGAAAAAAAACACCACCACAGAGCGTGGACTCATTTTGAATTCATGGCCGCTTACCTCAACTAGACCCTTAATACTGCCTAGATATTACACAACATTTCTCTAGTTCATACACTCTCTCATTCTGCTAGATTACTATTTCATATTTTCTTTGCTTTCTTCACCCTGTATCATCCTCTCCACCCTGAATTTCCTAGATGCTCTAACTTCCTGTTTCACTCAAAAATACAGAACCAAACACAGATTTTCCACAAGCTCTCCAACTATAACCTGTGTGCACTGTGCACATATATTCTGCCTTGCTTTCTCTTACTATGGAGAAATCATCCATATTGCCATTAAATACCCCTCATTAGGCCAGGCATGGTGGCTCATGCCTGTAATCCTAGCACATTAAAAGGCTGAGGCAGGCGGATCACGAGGTCAGGAGATTGACACTACCCTGGCTAAGATGGTGAAACCTCGTCTCTACTAAAAATACAAAAAAATTAGCCAGGCGTGGTGGCACACGACTGTAGTCCCAGCTACTCAGGAGGCTGAGGCAGGAGAATCACTTGAACCCGGGAGGTGGAGGTTGCAGTGGGCCAAGATCACTGCACTTGATCTTGCCAAGACCACTGTACTCCAGCCTGGGTGACAGAGCAAGAGTCCATCTTAAAAAAACAAAAAACAAACAAACAAAATCCCTCATTAAACTCTATCTCCTCTTGTTTACACAAGAAAATCTCTCCAGCAATTCTCTCCTCCAGTTACTGCATCATAAAATTTTCCCTCTCTACTCAATCTCGCTAATCAGCATAGAAACAAAGTATTATTTCTCTCATCTTAATCCCTCCAAATAGTGCTTCATTTCTCTGAGCTTCTTTATAGCAAAATTCACTGAAAGAGATGTCTATATGTCAGAGGTGTTTGAACCAGAGCAACTCCATCTTGAATAGGGGCTGGGTAAAATAAGGCTGAAACCTGCTGGGCTGCATTCCCAGGAGATTAAGGCATTCTAAATCACAGGATGAGATAAGAGGTCGGCACAAGACAGGGGTCTTAAAGACCTTGCTGATAAAACAGCATGCGGTAAAGAAGCCAGCCAAATCCCACCAAAACCAAGATAGTGACGGAGGTGACCTTTGGTTGTCCTTACTGCTACACTCCCTCAAGTACCATGGCAATCATGAATAATCCACCCCTTGTTTAGTATATAATCAAGAAATAACCATAAAAATGGGCAAGCCACAGCCCTTGGGGCTGCTCTGCCTATGGAGTAGGTAGCTATTCTTTATTCCTTTACTTAATAAACTTGCTTTCACTTTACTCTATGGACTCACCCCGAATTCTTTCTTGAGCAAGATCTAAGAACCCTCTCTTGGGGTCTGGATCAGGACCCCTTTCCGGTAATATATATGCAGTGCTTCCAATTCCTCACTTCTCATTCTTTCCTAAATCCACTTCAGTCAGGCCTTTGCCTCCACCACACCAACAAAAATGCTTTTGTCAAGGTCATCAATAATCTCCACTTTGCTAAACCTGTTAATACTTCCTCCTCATCTATCAGCAGCATTTAACATAGTTGATCACACCTTCCTCCTTGAAACACTTTCCACACTTGACTTCCAGAACTCTATACTCTTACGGTTTTTCTCCTATTCCCTAGCCAATCCTCTCAGGTCTCCTGTAATGGTTCCATCTCACCTCCTTAACCTCATAACACTGGAGTGCCCCTAAACTCACTCTGCCCTTGAACTTATCTTCTCTACGTACTCCTCCTCTCCTTAATGATCTCATCCAGCCTCACAGTTCTCTGATGTGAAAATACCGTCTAAAGTGTGATATTCTTACACACACACGCACGCACCTGCGCACACACACACACACACACACACACACACACACACACAACACAACACATACCACTGCTTAAAAACAAAAATGCAGGCTGGGGAAAGGGGACCGGCATCCTGTAATTGACAACAGTGCTAAAATGCAGAAAATGAAGTTACTGTTAAAATGCATAAGACATAAATTTAGAGCAAAAAACAAATATGTACGGGGCTAAGAAACAAAAGTAATTTTCTCAGGAAGACTTTCTAGATTATTCCCACTCTTCCTGGATATACGCCTCCCTCAGCACATTCATCTTTAATTCATACCTATTAAAAACTGGTTCTTTGCTAATGTTTTCAAGCAAATTTATGTTTTCTAGTTTGGTGAAATACACAGACTCAATAAATATTTGTTTACCAAGAAATCTTTCTAAACTAAAATCAGAACTCTTTTAGAGATCAGCATTTACAACATATCCACTATATTAAAAACAACAGCAATAAAAATAGTAGGCCAGATATATTCACACTAAAATAAGGAGATAATATATAGGCTCAAAGTAAAGGGATAGAGAAAAACCTACCAAGCAAATGGAAAACAAAAAAAAAAACTATGGTTTGCTATCCTAATTTCAGATGAAACAGACTTGGCCAGGCATCGTGGTTCCGCCTGTAATACCAGCACTTCCGGAGGCTGAGGCAGGTGGATCACTTGAAGCCAGGAGTTTGAGACCAGCCAGGCCAACATGGCAAAACCTTGTCTCCACTAAAAATACAAAAGTTAGCCAGGTGTGGTGGCACACGCCTGTAATCTTAGTTATTCAGGAGGCTGAGGCACGAGAATCCCTTGAACCCAGGAGGCAGAGGTTGCAGTGAGCCGAGATAGTGCCATTACACTCCAGCCTAGGCAATACAGCGAGACTCTGTCTCAAAAACAAACAAACAAACAAAACAGACTTTAAACCAACAATGATCAAATGAGACAAAGAAGGGCATTATATTATTATACCCATTATAAAATGGGTAAAGGATTCAATTCAACAAGAAGACTCAACTATCCTAAATATATATGCATCCAACACAGGAGCTCACCTAGGTTCATAAAACAAGTTCTTAGAGACCTACAAAGAGACTTAGATAACCACACAATAATAGTGAGAGACTTCAACACCCCACTGACAATATTAGATCATTGAGGCAAGAAACTAACGAAGATATTCAAGAGCTAAACTCAACACTTGATCAAACAGACTTTACATTCATCTACAGAACTCTCCACCCAAAAACAACATTCTTCTCATATGCACATGGCACATACTCTAAAATCGACAACACAATCAGCCATAAAACAATGCTCAACAAATTTAAAGAAACCAAATTCATATCAACCATACTCTTGGATCACAGTGCAATAAAAATAGAAATCAATACTAAGAAGATCACTCAAAACCATACAATTACATGGTAATTTAACAACTTGCTCCTGAATAAACAATGAAATTAAGACAGAAATCAAGAAATTATTTAAAACTAATGAGAACAAAGATACAACATACTAGAATCTATGAGACATCGCTAAAGCAGTGTTAAGAGTTAAGTTTAAATCCCCATATCGAAAAATGAGAAGGAACTCAAATTGACAACCCAACATCACACCCAGGGGAACTAGGGAACCAAGAGCAAACCAACCCCAAAGCTAGCAGAAGAAATAACCAAAATCAGAGCTGAACTGAATGAAATTGAGACACACAAAAAACATACAAAAGATCAAGGAAAGTGGAAGTTGGTTCTTTGAAAGAATAATTAAGGTAGATAGACCACTAGCTAGACTAATAAAGAAAAACAGAGGAGCTTCAAATAAACACAATCAGAAATGACAAAGGGGGCATTACCACCAACCCCAAAGAAATACAAAAAAATCCTCAGTGACTACTATGAATACCTCTATAGACACAAACTAGAAAACCTACAAGAAATAGAAAATTCCTGGAAACATACAACCTTCCAAGACTGAACCAGGAAGAAAGTGAAAACCTGAAGAGACTAATTCCAAGTTCCAAAATTGAATCAATAATAAAAAGCCTAACAACTAGAAAAAGCCCAGGACCAGATGGATTCACAGACAAATTCTACTAGATGCATAAAGAAGATCTGGTGCCATTCCTATGGAAACTATTCCCCCCAAAAAAATGAGGAGGAAGGACTCCCTAACTCATTCTGAGGCCAGCATCACTCTGATACAAAAGCCTGGCAGACAGACAACGAAAAAAGAAAACTTCAGACAAATATTCCTGATGAACATAGCTGCAAAAATCCTTAACAAAATAGTAGCAAATCGAATCAAGCAGTGCATCAAAAAGCTAATCCACAATGATCAAGGAGGCTTTCTCCCCGGGATGCAAGGCTGGTTCAATGTGCACAAATCACTTAATTGTGATTCATTACATAAACAGACTGAAAATATAAACCATATGATCATCTCGACAGATGCAGAAAAGGCTTTTGATAAAATTCAATAACGCTTCATGTTAAAAACCTTCCACAAACTAGGCATTGAAGGAACATACCTCAAAATAGTGAGAGCTACAGCCAACATCACACTGAATGGGTAAAAGCTGGAAGTATTCCCCTTAAGAAACAGAAAAAGACAAGAATGCCCACTGTCATCACTCATATTCAACATAACACTGTAAGTCCTAGCAAGAGCAATCAGGCAAGAGAAAGAAATAAAAGCATCCAAATAAAAAACAGGAAGTCAAACTATCTGTTTACAGATGATATATTTCATACCTAGTAAACCCAACAGTCTCTGCCCAAAAGCTACTAGATCTGATAAACAACTTCAGCAAAGTTTCAGGATACAAAATCAATGTATGAAAGTCAGTAGTATTTCTATACACGAACAAAATTCAAGCTGAGTGCCAAATCAAGAATGCGATCCCATTCACAATACCTATAAAAAAAATACCTAGGAATACAGGTAACCAGGAAAGTGAAAGATCTCTACAATAAGAATTACAAAACACTACTGAAAGAAATCAAAGACGATGCAAGCAAATTGAAACACATTCCATGCTCATGGATAGGAAGAATCAATATTGTTAAAATGATTATACTACCCTAAGCAATTTACAGATTCAGTGTGATTCCTACCAAATTACCAATGATATTCTTCACAAAATTAGAAAAAAACTATTCTAAAATTCATCTGGAACCAAAAAGAAGCCCGAATAGCCACAGCAATTCTAAACAAAAAGAACAAATCTGGAGGCATCACATTGCCCAACTTCAAACTATACTACAAGGCTACAATAACGAAAACAGCATGATACTGGTACAAAAACAACAGACACACAGACCAATGGAACAGAATAGAGAGCCCAGAAATAATGCTGCCTTCCTACAATCATCTGATCTGACAAAGCTGACAAATGCAAGCATTGGGGAAAGGACTCTATTCAATTAATGGTGCTGTGAGGGGGTTATCTATACGTAGATTGAAACTGGAACCCTTAGAAATGAATGAAGTGGTGATAAAGAAAATATTTTCTCAAAAACAACAAAACTTATCAGAGTATAGCCAGCACTCTGGAATATATACATATACACATGCCTATGAAATAATAAGACTTAGGTTTATAGCAACAGAATAATATAGTACAGCACTAGTCTGCCTTGGTTTTCTAATAGTCCTGCCACCATCTCAGCCAGAGAGTTTTCTTTCCACCATAAGATCAAAACAGTAATCCCATCATCTGATTCTTAGTCATTCCCACACATTTTTTTCTCTGCTGTTATTATAACAAAGGGTTTTTTTCCTTTGTTACACTATTCTTAAAAGCAATGATCCACTCTTTTGGTCTCAAAAGTTCTACTATTTCAAAGTGTAGCATTTAGGTGAACAAAGTTATACAAACATTATTGGTGGGGGGGGAAAATTACTCTCTATATGCTTTTCAAAATAGAATCAATAAATAAGACAAAGCACTCTTCACTTATTTTTTTGCTGTTGTTTCATGTAGATTTTGTTTTTAGTTACAAATATTCCTAAGAAACTTTCAAATTAAGATTATGTCTAAACAAATGAAGTTTGGTACCTACTACAGAAGCATATTCTGACTCAAACTCTGGACTTATAAGAATCCCTTTTAATGCTGCAAAGGCAGAAAAATCTGTCTCCAGATAGCAGGGGTTCACTGATCACATCCAAATATTCCACACCTCAAAACACCAACTTAGCTTCCTCGGAAGGATGGAGACTGAGGTCTTCCACCTCTAACTAAAGGCCTCAGCCATCTTCCCTCCTGTCCTCTCTAGAGCAGGAACTTCCTAAATCTCCTTTATTTTGTTTTTTTTTAACCTCCCCTCCATTCCACAAACATTTACTGATATCATCAATGTACTAAATACTGGGGATAGAGTTCTCTATTTATAAAATGATAATGATGCATTATAAAATCTTGCAATAAGGATCAAAATATTTTAATAAGGATCAAAAAGCAAGATCTATAGAAAGTACTTAGTGTTAAGTACTGAACTGGTAGAAAGTGTTCAACAAATAGCATTGTGGAAATACAAGAAGAGAATAGGAAGTCTACTTTTAAGAAGGCATCCACTAATTAAATTAAAATTAAGCAAAGCACTAGGCCCTAAAAGTACTTTTCATTCAGCTCTATAATGTAAAATGTCTTCATGTGCACTAGGAAAATTGAATATACATACTTTTAAACTTACAAGTTTTAGTTAACTGATGAATCACATAATACAAAGCACAAATATTGGGGAGAAATTTTTTTAAATATAAACACACACACACACACGCACGCATGCACGCACACACACACACACACACACCCTACATGATTTTTTATATAGTCAATCAGAAGACAGACCCAAAACTTCAATCACAAAACCAATTTCACCACCAGTATTTTTCAATGTAACCGTTAGAAAAGTATTGACCCTTTCTGGCTCCACTGGTTTGGCCGAGTGTTAATGGAATTATCATTACTTTATTGTCAATCACAGCAACACCTGAAGGTACTTCACAGCAATGAACAGAATCTAATATTTATAATTTAACAAAAATATTTTTTATAAAATTGAAAAAGTATTTCTGAAAATTAAAGATGCAGATGAACAAACATATAAAGAGTATATACACTTTAGAGTATATACTCTAAAGTGAAAACAACCTGGAAACTTCAAGTCATCTATCTTTTCATATATCCTAGTAAACAAATGCCTCTAGAAGATTTAGGAGAGGCTGCATTTCTACTGACCATAGTCATTACAATAAGATCTAAACCACTTGCCTTTAACTGTTTCACTCTTGCTGCCAATTCAATTTTTCTTCAATATTCCGTAAAAAGAAAAGGTTCTTTTTAAAAAGTGATTTTCTTGTAAGTAATGTCCTGAGCACATACACAGCATGTTTGCCCAAGAACATTAAAGCATGCCTTCTATATTCTGATTGTGAACAAGCTTTTCTAGGAACGCAAATTTTGCTCTCAATACTTAACACAATGCACTATAGTATCATAAGCACTGTTCATGCTCTATTAGTCATTCTGTTGAAGATTTTATTTAAAAAAAATAATAAAAGGCCTGCAGTGTGTATAAAACATTTGAGACACAAAAGACTTATTGTCAGAATATTTGCAGGATCCTCAAAACAGAAAAACAACCCCCCCAAAACAAATTAATTTATAATTTTTAATTATGTTTAAAAATGCTGTGCCAGAACCCTGCATTAAACTTAGCCAATTCATAAGATAAAAACGATTATATAAATGATCATCATGGCATCTGATTGACAGAAATAAGAGACAACATGTTGTATTCTTCCGAGAAACAAAGGAGATTTGAGCTCTGGGACAGCCTTCCAACTGGTGCATGTTGGCACTTAGTTTGGAAAATCCCAAGGTTCTAAGGTACATGTGACCCTGGACACAGTTATCAATTTATTTCCAGGTCTATTAATTACATTTCCCAAAATATAACACAGGCATATGATTTCATAATGCAGCAGAGTCTGAACAACCAGTTTGTATAGAAAATAATTTACATATGTCTGTTTTTTCTCCAGAGTATTGTTTCTTCAAAGAACTTATTGGGAAATTTAAATAAATAAAGAGGTGAAAGCCAAAGTATTCTGCGGAAAATGAATGTGTCCCTGGGAGACAGGGGTGAGGACTGGAGGGCAGGAAGGACCTTGAGTTCCAGCACCAATCTCACAGCCTCAGCACCCCGTTTAAGGAGCTTCTCAGAATCTCTTCAAAAACCTCCGATTCAAATTCAGATGACAGCTCAAATGAAAACACACAGATTCATAAGTAGCCAAGAGGGAAAAAGTTATTTAAATATCACTTAACTGAGAGAAGAATCAAACTAAACTGAAAACTGGTCAGATTATTAGAGCTCTGAAATTAACCCTTCCATCCCAAACTAAAGTATACAGGCAAAAACACTAAAAGAGAGAAGGTGATCTATTCCCTAAACACTTGCTCAACAAACACTTACTTGGACAAGTATAGAAAACAGGGAAATTTATGTCTTGAAAAATGATCTGTCATGTAATTTTCTCACTCCACCTTGCAAACCTGAATTCATTATTCAAATTAGAAAGTCATATATCCATTATTTTTGCTATCCAGATAGATATATTTTGTTTTTCCAAGACAAGCAAAACTGTTTATTATACAATTAATCTTTCACTACCCTTTCAATGTAATGAGATACAACTTTTCTGCACAAACTTCAAAGTCATATAAATGAAGTTAACACAGGTGGGTTTTTTTTTTTTTTTTCAGTTACTAAGTTAAAACTCTCAGTAGGAAAGGTAGAGCATTCAACATCTTTCTCTTTGTAGTCCAGAAAGGTTAAGCTAAAAATCAAAATACTGACAGTACTCAGTGATCCATGCCTGCCAAGGATATCTCTCCCTAATTTTGAATACTCTTCCCTATTTACCAGATTAGTTGTTAGAAATCATAAACTAGAAAACCACATAATAGATAAGGTTCCTTTCTAGAGCTCTTATAAGTACAATCTTGTTTCCATGGTTATGAAAAGAACAAAAAAGTTTTTAATGAAAAGAAAATTTATAATTGAAAAATATAATAATTTTTTAGAAATCAATAGGCTATTTTAAAATGACGTTTTTTAAAAATCATAGAATAAAAATGTCTTGAAATATTAAAAAAAGGCATTGCATCATTAAACTCTCTAGTAATTTGAGAATTACAGAGTATTTCCAAAATTAAGATAACGAGATTTACTCATATAAAGTTACAAATCAGTAACTATCAATATACCATACATAATACAATATAAAATATACACAATACTAAAACGAATTCAAACTCTTATAGTTCAAAAATACTTTATAAATTTCAGTCCCTCAGAGATCTTGTGAATATCAACTATAAAATATAGTATTATAAATACAATAAAATTATTTCAATTATTTAAAGTTTCTGGCTTGGTATATAAAGCATCAGATTCTGTATGAAGCAAATAAAATCACTCCTAACTAGCGTACTTCACAGAATACAAATGAAGAAAAGTTTTAACAGTAAACTGTTCATAGTATAGCTTATCAAGCACCTACTATTTGCAAAACACTATAAAATTTGTACCTACTATTTCACTCAAAAAATGAAATCAGATCCTCATTTTCGTAAGCATGAAACTTAAATCCAGGTAGAAATAATATCATGGATACAAAAAAAAGTTTTTTCTTTCCTTCACCAAGTCTATCCAATGATTTCAAAACCAGAATGAGTCACATATCTGACTAAAAATGAAGAAACAGTATGTTTTTCATTTACATAACCCATATGTCCTCTTATTTTTTTCAGGAACAGTGATGGATTGGTTATAATCTTATACATCCTATAAGCAGAGGGTTCTATAGACAGGAAATACAGTGAAGTTATATGGCCCTGCAAAAAAATCATGATGCTACATGGTAAAGTCTAGAACTGGGAATTAGGAGATCATCTCTGACACTAAATAGCTCTATGACCTCAGAGGAAAACCACAACCTTTCCTGGCCCTCTAACATTTATTGTGCTTTGGGGTAAATTATTAGAGTTCTCTAGATCTATTTCCACATCTGAAAACTTTTGGAACTAGACTAGCATCCAACAGCATTTGGATGGGTGGTTCTTCAACTGTTAAATGCCGATTCCTAACGTCACCTCAATGATTCAGAATGTCCACGCTGAAACCTAGGAAGTTAAATGTTCACCAAGTTCACAGTTGACTGAAATACATAGGTGGTCCTCAGCCACAGTTGAAAAACACTAATTGGTTGATCTCTAATCCCTCTAAGAGTGTGAAAAGATGATATAATTCATTTCAGCACCAAGCTTTTAGGAATTCAGAATCTAGCACAGTGTGTAAGGCACAGTAGATGTTAAACAATTATTTGCAGAAAGAAAGGAAGGGAAAGAGGAGGGGAAAAAAAGAAAGAATAGAGAAAGAGGGGGAAGGAAGGCGGCTAACTAACTGGTCATATTTTTGGCTAAGAAACATACAAAACAGTAGTAAAATTACACTTGAATAACATACACAACACACATCAATAGCTGGAAAGCAAAGACCTTAGTATCTATAACATTTTGCATATAACATGAATTCTTGTCATCCTCTTCTCAAGTCAAACTGCAAATTGCTAAGGAGGAAAAGGAAGAAAACAGAACATGGATGCCAAAAGAATTCTAATGGAAAATAACTGGATGACTAAAACTTAGTGACTGCTTTCCCCAAGTAGAAGAGAACACAGAATTTTAAGGACAGGGACTTGGAAATGGAACTGAAGTTTGAAACTACTTGTTACTCATAAGTGCAAATTTCATTTGGGATAATATATAATCCAGAAATACTGTTGGCAATATTAACTTTTGTCCATTTTTATATCTGCATTTTCCCATTCACTTACATTATAATTTTTGAGATGTTTTATCTTCACTTCTGATGATCTTCAAATGTCAATGGCTCTTAACACATTAACTGTAAATAAACACAAAGGAACTTAGGGGAATTCAGAAATTTAAGGAACCCTAAAATATTCTAAATCATTGTGCAAAGCCTGCAGGGCAGGGAGTGGTGGGGAGGAGGCTTTGGCAATTACTTGCTTCATACTTTACATGATCTTCAAAATGTAAAACTGTTCTTTTGAATGAAATGATACTACCGATACTACCCTCTTAATCATCAGGTAATGAATGAAATGATACTATCCTCTTAATCTCAGGCAAAGAAAAAAAAACATCCTATTTTCTGTCAGAAGGCAAACAAAATTCAAAGGTAAAATTCTCTCCAAATACAAACTCTCACTTGGTGAATGTATACTGTATCTTTATCCTTCTCCAGCAAAATAGCAGGTCAAGGAAACTCATGTCCTTATCACTACCACCCAATCAACCTGCCCTGGGACTGCCCTCTAACTACAAAGCTTTGGTCTGCACCTGGGGCACTAGATCTTCAGGCATGTGTGTTCTTTAGAGCACACAGACCCTGAAGTCAAATGGACTTGAATTCACATGTCAAGGTACCCTCTCTAATCTTCCGTTTTCTTCTCTGTAAAATGGAAACATTAACACTCTCTACTTTATACAGTTATGAGGATTATATGAGAAAATGCATAGAAGAAATGTAGCACCATGCCCAGCATAGTAAGCATGCAATAAATGTTGTGCTATTTATATTATTGTTGTGTTTAATATTAACATTATTATTACTATAACTGTCTACCACTAGGAAAGCAAGGCTTGTTTTCAGTGTTGCTATTTTGAGGCAATGCCTTTGGTTATGATAAAAGAATGTTGTTATCTAATATTGGTAACAGAGAACAGAGAACAAAATTTTATTTTTGAACTTTGCTGGGCTTCTTGGCTCGCTCAAGAATATTAAGGCTTGTAATCACCAGCCCATCATCAGCCAGTTATTTTCCCTTTTGCTAATGCATAACCTCCAGACAAGGCCTCCTCCCTACCTCAGCAACTGCTCATTTGCTGCTATCAGTAAAAGCAATTCTGCCGAGAAGAGAAATGGATATGTTTCTGACTTAATGTCTATTAAATCCTCAGAGCCTGATGAATAAATGTTTTATCAATCCAAAGGAGACTTATATACATATGCTCTTCTATTCACATCCAAATTATAAACTCCTTATGTTTGAAATTATATGCTTAAAATATTAATATTTAAGTTAGGTGACAAAAGAATATATAAGACACAGATGTCTCCGCATTTTTAATAAAATGTTTAGGTCAAAGATATAAAAACAAACTGAATATTGGCAAAAGCATTCATAAATTAAAATGGTCAGCTTTATTTATTTCCCTTATGGAAACCACATCCTTACAACTGAAATGAGAGAAAATACCTAAGTAGAACCCGATGCAACATTCTAGAAGAGGATAAAATACATGGATACATGGCTTGGAAATGGATGTCAAATTGGAAGTAAGCAGAGTAGGCCATCAACTTCATTACCACTACTACTTTACCGTGCAATTCCTTGAGCTCTTCAAGTGAAATACAATATAGCACGGCAATCCATTCTTCCTTTGATTTCTGTTTCCCCATCACTTAATGATCTTGTCAATATTAAATGTACCACTTTCATTTTATGGTTCCAGATTAGGATTATAAAAATCTGACCCAAGACAAGACACAAAAAAATAGAAAGCTAAACTCAAGAGTTCAGAGTGCTCCAAGATACAATTCTCTTTTTTGGTCTGCAGCAATGTATTACCTCCTCTCTTTCAGTGTGTTTTCTATTTTGGTCATCGCATTTGCAGCTCTAAGGGTGTCTCTGGCATAAGTGAAATATTGCAGACTTTAGGTGGAAAATGTCTTTCTTTTAAATGATTCATCTGTACCCAAGGGGAAAAGCTGCTATGACTCCAATACCCATTCTCTCCTATTCCTCAGTGACAGAACCTCCAAATTTAGCTCAGCACAAAGGCCTCACAGATGAGACTGCCTATCCCAGCCTCTTGTTTACCTACGTATGGCCATGGGACCATCCATGTTTTAGCCAACTGGATGTAAGTTAAAAAAAATGACATGTGACTGCCAAAAAAGTATCCTTCAAAGAGAGAGAGTATGCTCCTCTTCTTCCCTTCCTCCTGAAGATATAATAGCTGGAGTTCCAACAATAATTTTGGTTCATGAGGTAACCCTGGAATGTAAGACAATCTGGGTCCTTGATACTTCAGATCCACCATATTAGATCTGTATTGACTATCTCCAGGCTTTCATGTGGAAAAAAATTTAGCATCTCCTATATTAAGCCACTGTCAGTTTGTATTTTGTTATGTGCTGCTAAACCTAAAGTAGAACTTAAAAAAAAAAAAGAATTTTCCAAATAACAGTGTTTAAATTTTTAATTAAAATATATTTTACAGGTAATTTTTAATATATTTAATACACAGCATTTGCTCTTATTTACTCTAGACTAAAAATATTTAAAGAGCCCAAGAGTTATTCACACAAAGTAAGAGTCTTTGAAAGAATAAATATTCACCAGTGATTATGGCCATAGGTCCTATGTACTTGGGGAAGGGAAGAATTATGAAGCTTGCTTATTAACAGTTTGTATTAATGACAACATTGGTACCTATATAGAAACATATTAGGAGGGACAGGCACAATTAGCTTTGCATAATAAAGCTACAGGAAAGGGAACTGAAGTTATTATTTTCAAGAAGGCATCTTCCCTAGTCCTTTTTATTTTAATAATCTAGTACCAACTTTATCTTTTTATACAGTTCCATTTTTAATTTGACTTCCTGTGGAAAGCAGGTTTTTAAAATCACTCCCTATCCTTGACTATCACCTCTAATAGTGTTTAATTATTATCTACCGATTTAACTAAATCAAACAGTAGACACAAAGATAGCAAGTACTTTACATATTCAAAACCATCTTCCTTACAAAGGAAAAATATTCCACACTAAAATCTGGAGAATTTCCATTACTCAAATCCTGAATCGCACGCAATCTTTGGCTCTGATGATTTTGAATACAATAGCATTAACTTGGCAGCTTTCCAAAATAAACTTACTGCTTTCTGGTCATCTGTATCCAGGTTATCTCCTTCCCCTGGGCATAATCCAAACTTTACAGGTTCAGGTGATGGCCTCCTGGAATTACTTGTTCATAATACAGTTGACCCTTGAACAACACAGGAGTTGGGGTGCTGACCTTCAACGCAGCTGAAAATCCGCATATAATTTTGACTCCCCAAACTACTCCCCAGACTTAACTATTAATAGACTACTGTTGACTGGAAGCTTTACGGATAACATAAACAGCCCATCAAAACATATTTCAGGCTGCACGCCAATATACTGAACTCTAACAATGAAAAAAAATGTTATTAAGACAATCACAAAGAAAAGAAAATACATTTACTACCCATTAAGTGGAAGTGGGTCATCATAAAGTTTGTTACCCTCATCATGTTGCACATGCTGAGGAGGAAAAGGAGGGGTTGGTCTTGCTGTGTCAGGGGTGGCAGAAGCAGAAGAAAATCCACATAAAAGTGGATCTGAACAGTTCACACCCATGTGGTTCGAGGGTCAACTGTACTTTTTTTAAAAATGCTTGTTTCCACTAATCTTTCTCACTAAGAATCTATTTTTAAGAAAAAGCCTAAAACGCATATTCTTGTTTTATGTTACTCAAAGAAAAATGCCTTAGGAAATTTCCTAGAAATCAAATCTAATAAATCGACAAGAGATGACTTTTACCTTTTACTACTTTAGTCAACATTTTTACAAAAATGCTCTCAAGTAATAGTTTTACAGTACTTCTAACATAGACCTTAACTTAGTTTTAACTAATGTTGATTGCATTACAAAAGGCACCAATTAGCAAAAGATCCAAGGCAGTGGTTCTCAAACTTCAGCATCCATCGGGATCACCTGGAAAGCTTGCTAAAACACCAACAGCTGGGCTCCACCCCTAAAATGTTAATTCAGTTAGGTCCAAGGTAGGGCCCAAGAATTTGCATTTTTAACAAATCCCAAAGAGATACTGATGCTACTGGCCTGGAGACCAAACTTTGAGAACTACTGGTCTACACTAATAGGAAATTATTGATAATAGCATAAAAAGGAAAAATACAGATATATACGGGACCCAGTCTCAGGTTCACTATCAACTTGCATTCTTCAAATATGTGCTTTCTGAAAAGCTACATAATTACTATGTCAGACCAATATTGTTTCTTATCTAAGAGAACTTAGATCTTTGAGGGTTTTTAAGTAATGAAATCCAAATAAGTAATTTTTAGTCTAATATGTTCAATGTTTGATACAAGGTACTACTAATAATGCCAAGGTTGTAGGTTCAATCTGGTAGCTTTACTCTGTTTTACAGCTATAATTTCTACCTCTAATCTTGCCAGCTGTCTCAGCAGACATGCCAAGAGTGACAAAGGGAATGGGTAAAAATGTGTGATTGTACACAAATCCATCACCACTACTAGAAAAACAACATAAAAGCATATTTCCTACCAACATATCACTTTTTTTTCTTGAGACGGGGTCTCACTGTCTTGCCCAGGCCAGAATACAGTGGCACTATCACAACCCACTGCAGCCTCAACGTTCCCAGGCTCAGGTGATCCTCTCACACCAGCCTCCCAAGTATCTGGGACTACAGGCATGCACTACCATGCCCAGCTAACTTTTTATTTTTTGCAGAGACAGTGTTCTGCCATGTGACCCTGGCTGGTCTGGAATTTCTGGACTCAAGCAATCCCAAACTGTTCAGCCTCCTAAACTGCTAGGATTACAGGCGTTAGCTACTGCACCTGGCCTCCAACACGTCACTCTTAAGTGACCTTGAGGCTAAAACTAAAGATGAGACCTTGCAACAAAATGTGTTTTAGAAATCTAGGAAACTCCTCTACTTCTTCAGGCTATAAGTATAATCAAAATCCATGGAAACAGAAATCTAGGAATTCCTGTTTTCAAATGATGATAATTTTAAGGCAGGCATGCAATTTATAAATGCAATTAGTTGAGAACTACTTTGAGTATGTGTACCCCCCCTTTGATTTTTTTAATGGAAGTTAAATGTAAATATAAGATGCTCATCAATGCTAATGAAATTATATACTACAAATTGATAAAACCAAATAATCTGGGATAAACAAGTATGGTACCCAGAATAACTAAAGCCTGAGGTTATATGAAGGATGACAAGAACACACATTAATTAAAACGACTAACAACACAAGTTAGAGCAAAAGGGGCAAAAGTAATCAAGAGTAGCAGATGGATAAATAGGTAGTTGAAGAGGACATAATAACCTCATTGTGTGTAGGACTGGGCACAGAACAGTAAAATCAGCTCAAGATGTCCAGTCTCCCATAAAAATAACTTCAGCTTAGACCTGAAATTGCAAGTGTTCAGGCCAAATTCAACAGAAGGAATCCTTTTTAATCCTTTGAATGGGAACAACAAACAAGACCAGTGGTGAACATTCCGTCAACATTCTTTTATTTAGATGTTCACTCAGCACCTATTCGGCACTAGATATCTTACCATTTGATTATGCACAATACAAACTAATCAAAGAAACCCACTAAAGCAGTGCATTTTATAATAGTGTATAAACTGAAAAATGGAAAACCAGACTAAGATGGCAGATTATTACCAATATAATGTCAAATTCTGCTGTGTAACTCATTACAGTTCTGAGACTCAAGCCTACTCTTATTATCACATCTGACCTACAGTATTATTTTACCTATATCTTATAAAGTCATACTTATATCAAGAATCAGAGCACACCCAACAAAAGTAAAATTACAGAATATAACTAGATTATTAGGATGCTAAAGTGAAGTTTTCCACAACTCCCTCTCTCTTTCTGTGGGGATAGATATACATGAAGAATGGCCAACAGCAAGATATACAAGAGTTGCTGAACAGTTTACTGAAGTATGGCAATATTAAGCAGGACTCACCAAAGACAACTATTGTTTTTTTTGTTTTTGTTTGAGATGGAGTCTCACTCTATTGCCCACTCTGGAGTGCAGTGGTGCGTTCTTGGCTCACTGCAACCTTGGCCTCCCAGGTTCAAGTAATTCTGGTACCTCAGCCTCCCAAGTAGTTAGGGTTACAGGTGCGTGCCACCACGCCCAGCTGACGATTACTTTTTTTTTTTTTTTTTTAAAGATGCAGGATGACATAACTATAGCTGGTTAGGAAACTACTACCTGGATATCATATGAAGAATGAAATTGCCCTTTTGTGGGCAAAAGCATCAGATCTATGATGACCTAGAAGGCATAACTGGAGACAAGAGAACTCTGAAATGACTACAGATACTTAGTAAGACTCATCACATGTTTATTGTGAACTACAGATTGCACAACAGCCTGTAATCCAACTTCAATGGAGTATGTCATTTTCATTTTTTAAAATATTTTTACTTATTTTAAAAAGTCTTTCTTTTTTAGAGATGGGGCCTCACTATGTTGCCCAGGCTGGTCTCAAACCCCTAGGCTCAAGTGATCCTCCCACCTTGGCCTCCCAAGTGCTGAGATTACAGGCATGAGCCATGGCACTCGGCCAAGTATGTCATTTTCAAAAAACAATGGGCAACCACATGGATTAGTGTATCATCCTTCCTACTTCCCAAAAGGGCTTCAGACATCTAATCAATACATTTAAACATAACACATAATATTTAACTTGAGTTCATGTAATAATAAAAGTACTTAAAGAAATTAGAGATGAGTATATTACCACCTTCAGATATAAATTTGACTAAAGTTTTACTAAGCTAAAGAGAAAGACGCAGTTATATAGTTACCACTTACTAACAAACAAGGAGCATACATAATTTTTTCTATAAATAATTTTCTTTGTAGCTAAACTCAGCAGAAATTTATGTTAATGCATGTGTGAAAAACATTCTGTGACACATTTAACAATATTAACTATTATTCTGCCAGAGATATCAAAACAAATTCCAAAGGCAGTTTCCCAATTAGGCCTCTGTATAAAAACAGAAAGCATAAAAATAAACTACAATTTAAGGGAATCATTTCTGCAAAAACTGAGATAATATAGGCCAAACAGCAATAATTTTGCTTTGTCAAAGGCTAATGAAACAAAAGAAATAACTTAAACAATCTAGATAGACACTTAACATAGCTATGAGACCAAAGCAGGCCACACTGGCAATGTATTAGAGTCACCTGCGATGAAGTGTTAGCCTAGATTGTTTAAAATTAAGCTTTCTAACTAGTGTCTATAATGTATCTATTACATACTGTTGATTAAGGAGAGTGCCACAAACAGGTATGATGATTAATGAAATAAAAGATACATAGAATTTAGCAGGGAAACTTCCATACAGTAGACATTAAGTAAATGTTACTTTTCTACCTTCCAGAGGAGAGTAATGAAAGCTGGCATTCTCTTATGGAAAATAGGAATCATACTTATATTTTTGTCCAGAGAGGATTAGGCTAATCTACTATATCACAATTCTCTCGAGGAGTACTTAATTTTCTCAAATTTGTCAGTAACATAATTTTTTATAGAGAAGTTCATATACATATATAATCTTTATACTTGCTGGGCTTTCTGTTTTAGGAAATAAATATGTTCAAGTGGCACCGTTAGGTATATTAGTTTGTAATAATAAAGGACACTTATTTCGTGTAATTGCAAAAATCCAAAACAAAGGTTATTTGCAAAGGAATTATCTTTAAAATTAATATCAATGCATTCATCTTAGTATTGTCATTAAAATTTTAAAAATGACAATGTTAGAGTTCCAAGGGACCTTACAGATTTTCTAGATCAAGCTTCTTATTTTAAAAGATGAGAAAACTGTAGACTAGAAAGTCTAAATGAAAAGACCAAAGAGCTAGCTCAGCCAGAGACTTCAGCATGGGAGCTTCCTAACTTCCAGTACTTCCTTCTTTCTAACATACTGTGCTGCTTCATGTGGTTCTAACTTCTCTGCCTTGGATGAGAGTACTGGTTGCCTCTTATGCTATTCTGAGGCATAGTTGTCATTTGTAACTTTCCCATAAAATTCGAATTTTCCAACCTGTTTTCTGAATGAATTACACAACTGAACATGTTAATCCTCAGCTTTCCAAATTTCAAAGCAATAAATACAGAATTCAAAAAATACTTGATTCAAACGTGCAATATATATAATCAAACTGCAAAGAAAAATCCTCCTTTCCTGGATAATTCAGGCTACAAATTCGAAAAAAAAAAAACCATTTAGTGAGCACCTATCACATGCTGAGACTATGTTAAGTGCTGGAGATATGAAGATGATTAAGATTGCCCTCAAGTATAATAGCTTATAACCTGGTAGAAAAGGCACTTTAAGCCAACAATTATAGTGTGCTTATTAAAGACTCTGAAAAACGACTGTGCAGGGAGCTATGAGTGCATATGGCAATGTAGAATGACGGGATCAGACAGTGGTTCCCCAGTGAGGTGCTGAACATCAACAGGAAAAAAGGCAATAACTACCCATATTTAGCAGAATCCAAAATGAATTATAATAGAGCCACTTCAACTGATTGAAGGAGAAAATGAAAATTGTGTGTTTTCACACAGCAGTTATCGAATCACTCTCTAATAACAATTAGACTATTATTCAGTGGAAAAGAACCAGATTTCATCGTGGCTGCATAAAAAGCAAATACAGGTCTTATATTATTTTTTAAAAAATTTTTAAATCATTATTTTAAAATCAAAGAAAAAGACTGCATCCAAAACGCGTCTAGTTAATATTCATAAAAGCTCTCTGCAAAGCTGCATAAAGTCCTCCTCAAAATTCCAGGATAAAATTCCCATCTGTTACAAGAGAAATGACAACGTGGAGAACCAGTAGCCCAAGAAGGAAGAAAACTACCACTCATTTTGTTTTCTTAAACCTATCACTGGGGATAAAAACCACTCAGATTCCTTGATACTGACTTTCAGCTGGAAGATTTAGAAAAGAGAAGCACAGGAGACATTTTTATTTACATATTTAAGCAAAAAGGGAGGCGAGAAGAAAATCAGAGTGTAGAGAAAAGCATGAAAGAAATTAAGAAGGTGAAGCCATGAAAAGAGAGAAAAGGGCTGGGCAAGAACCCAAAAACCAAAGACATAAGAAGGGGTGGAGGAGGAAAGACTGACTTTAGGATGGTTTTGGAAAAAGTGACAGAGAAAGACAGGAAATGTGGGGAAAAGAATGGGGGCGGGGGGAACTGTCTTAAAAAAGGTTTGAGAGGGAATGAAAGACAGGAGAAAGTAATTAACTGGGACCACCTCCATCGGGGAGAAAACGAGATCGGAATATGAAAGGTAGAGGAATCGATAAAGAAGCAGCGAGTTTTAACCTCCTTTTCCTCAGCCTCCACGCCCCAGGGAGGGAGGCAGAAGTGGTTCCCAAGTCCCGGGGAAGGAATTCCGGCGTAGCCTTCAGAAACCAGAATCCGCGAATTGGGGCAACAATCCAGCAGGTCCCCGGCCCCTCTCCATCCCCTTCGGACGCTGGGCGGGGCCCTGGGCGTCCTGGTTACCTGGACAAGGAGTCCACGCTGGGCGGCCGAGCCGCCGCCGGCTGGGAGCCAAGACTCTCGCAGCTCGAGCTCTTCTCCATCGCGCGGCAGGGGCAGCACAGGGAAAGGCTGAAGCAGTCTTCGCGGCTACAGGGCGGGAGAAGCGGAGGGCGGAGTGCTACGGACCGGGGCCGCAGTCAGGCCAGCGCCGGCCCGGGAGGGAGACCGGAAGCGGCCATGTTCCCCCAGAGTGCACCGCGCCTGTAGGCTGCTGGGCAGCGGGAAGACCCCACTGCGCAGCTCAGACGCCGGCATCGACTCTCCGTGCTGGCTGTGTCCGGCCGCGCGACATCTGGTCTTGGGGAAAGGGAGGTGGCGGCTCCCAGGGTGAGGGGGTCTGGTGAAGCGGGAGGGATGAAGGACCAGACCCTTATGGAAGGAGGAGAAATCCTAGGTGTAAGAGGAATGAGGGAACACTAAACATGAGGGTCTCAGGAAGGCGATAAGGACCTGAGGCCAGGAGGATGATTTAGACAGGAATGTGGGGGTCAAGGAAAACAAGAGGACCGGATAATGAGAGAAAAGTGAGAAAGAGGTATGGGAGAGGGATTGGGGAGGATCTGATATACATGCAAAAAGAATTATATACTACTGGATGCGGTGGTGTTGGATTACCCAAGTAGAAGACAAACTTTCACCGATTTTTCCCTGCCCTTTCAAATTCCCGTGCCTAGCAGGAAGGGAGTGTGGAGGAATAGAACTGTGATAAGAGAACAGGAACTGGGTAAAGGGGAAATGCTTCTGCTAGGATTTTTCTGTTAGGATACAGGAAAGCCATAAGGACACCATAAAGGGATTTTTCTGATTGAGATTGAATCCTAATCATCTCATGTATGGGGTGTAAAATTATGCAAAGATTATTCCTGTAAAAAAAAAATCAGACCATCCTTAAAAAACTTCCTTGCTAGGATAAATTGAATTATATTGATTTAAACTAGATTTAATTTATAATGTACAACTGATGTCTTTTAAAAAACCTTATAGTTGCAGTGCAGTATTAACTTGCAAGTACATTCCCAAGAAGAACAACCTAGCTTAGTTATGTTCAGTGTAAGGTAGAATAGTTACTGATGAGTATGTGTTTAAGCACAAAAGGCTTAGCCTTTTTTGAGTTTGGCGAGGACAGACAGCGACCGATTGTTTTTATTTCCATAATTTTTAAGATACCTTAACTGGACTCTGTAGGCAAAGGGAGTAGGTAGTCAAAAACATTTTTTAACAAGCTTAAATATCTATCATGACTCATAGAAGAATTTCCTTATTTCTTCACCATCTCTACCTGCCTTCCAAAATGCTGACTCACTGTCAGCTACTTTGACTTAAATTTCCTTAGTGAAGGCTGATGAACCCTTGAATGGGAGACCTATGTACTTTCTTCCACCCAGTTCATTCGTAGCACTTTGTTAATAGAACCCTCGAAACCTTCTGCCTGATGTAACAATATGTGTATGGTTCTATCTAGTGATTAATAAAGAACAGTGTAGTAAAAGTGTAGAGACTTTGGAACCAGACAGATCTTCATCGGAATCCCGGTTCTGTCTCTACACTTGCTCTGTGCTGTGGTTAAGTTGTTTCACATCTCTAAAATGGGAATAAAATGGGAATAAAAATATCTACGTAATAGGTTGTTTTTCTCTGTGCAGAGTCGGTTGCACAGTACGGTCTCACTAAGTAGATTTATTATTACTTGTTTTTCCACTGAACTTACTGCTTGACTTCTAACCTGACTGGTAAAATGGTAACTTCTCAGAGTGAAAACACAAGCAAAGAATATCAGCTGGAAATTAATTAGTGAACTCTAATTAATTAATGAACTCTAAGAAAATGAAAAAACATGGTTAACTTGGGACCTCACCAAAAGTTATTAATTTTTCAATTTATAATCTGGGCTGTTTTTTCTCAAACTATCTGCAAGAAGGAACAGTGTTTTGTTTTTAATTTTCAAACCATCACCAACCAAAACTTTTTTAAAATATAAGAAAAATTAATCACAGTTGGTTCCATATCCTCAGATTCAACCAACCACAGATTGAAAAATTTGTAAAAATTGTAAAAAACAAAATAATACAAATAGAAGACAATACAGTATAACAACTATTTACATAACATTTACATTGTATTAGATATTATAAGTAATCTAGAGTTGATTTAAAGTATACAGGAGGGTATGCATAGGTTATATGTAGACACTAATGCCATTTTATTTAAGAGACTTGAGCATCTTTAGCTTTTACTATCCTTGGGGGTCCTGAAACCAATAACCTGCAGATACTAAGGGATAACTGCACTAGGAAAATTAAAGAAAAAGGTTTGCAAAATACAAGGCCAAATTGTTTATTAGATTTAACAGATATTACTCCTTGAAAGTTTCGTGAAAGTTCCTAAACACTTATTCTCAATATTGCGTTGATCTCATCATAGACTGACAACAGTTCATGTATGGGTACTACACCAAAAAACCATTGAGATCTCATAAATTAATAAAGTTGCAGAATACAAAATCCACATCCAAAATTAGTTTGCATTTCTATGCATCTATAATGGCCAAAAAAGAAATCAAGAAGGCAATCCCATTTACAAAAACTGCAAAACAAAAACAAACAAACAAAAACCAGGAATAAGTTTAACCAAGGAAATGAAAGACCTCTACAAGAAAAACTATAAAACTCTGATAAAGGAAATTGAAGAAGATGCAAATAAATGGAAAGACATTTCATGCTCATGGAACAGAACAATTAACATTGTTAAAATAACCATACTACCCAAAGCAATCTACAAATTCAATGTCTATCAAAATATCAGTGTCATTTTTCACAAAAAAAGAAGAAAAATTCTAAAATTCACATGAAACTAAAAAAGAGCCTGAATAGCCAAAGCAATCCTGAGCAAAAAGAACAAAGCTGGAGGCATCAGACTATCTGACTTCAAAATATAAATAAACATAAGGCTATACCAACAGCAGCGTATGGTATAAAAACAAACACACATACCAAAGGAACATAAGAGAGAATCCAGAAATAAACACATGCATTTACAGCCAACTGATTTTGGACAGACATCAAGAAAACACACTGGGGAAAGGACAATCTCTTCAATAAATGGTGCTAGAAATATTGGATATCCATATTCAGAAGAATAAAACTGGACCCCTGTATCTTACCACATACACAAATCAACTTAAGATGGATTAAAGACTAAAATGTAACACCCAAAGCTGTAAAATAACTACAATAAAATACAAGGGAACTACTTCAGGACTTTAGGCAATGATTTTACAGCTAAAACCTCAAAAGCACAAGTAACAAAAACACAAATAGACAAATGGGACTATATTAAAGTAAAAAGCTTCTGCACAGTAAAGGAAACAATCTACAAGGTGAAGAGACAACTTGTTGAATGGCAGAGAATATTTGCAAACTATTTATCTGACAAGGGAGTAATATTTAGAATATATAATGAACTAAAATATCTGAACAGTAAAAAAAAAAAAAAAGAAAAAAATCCCATTAAAAAATAGGCAGGCTAAGCGTGTGGCTCATGCCTGTAATCCCAGCACTTTGGGAGGCTGAGGTGGGCAGATCACTTGAGGTCAGGAGTTCGAGACCAGCCTGGCCAAAATGATGAAACCCCATCTCTACTAAAAAATATAAAAATTAGGTGGGCATGGTGGCATGTGCCTGTAATCCCAGCTACTCAGGAGGCTGAGGCAGGAGAATTGCTTGCACCCAGGAGGCAGAGGTTGCAGTGAGCCAAGATCATACCACTGCACTCCAGCCTGGATGACAGAGTGAGACTCCATCTCAAATAAAAAGGCAAAGGGCCAGGTGAGGTGGCTCACACCTGTAATCCCAGCACTTTGGGAGGCTGTGGTGGGTGGATCGCCTAAGGTCAGGGGTTCGAGACCAGACTGGCCAACATGGCAAAAACCCATCTCTACCAAAAATAAAAATAAAAATAAAATAGCTGGGTGTGGTTATGGGTGCCTGTAATCCCAGCTTCTGGAGACTGAGGCAGGAGAATCGCTTGAACCCAGGAGGCCAAGGTTGCAGTGAGCCTAGATCACGCCACTGCACTTCAGCCTGGGAGACAGAGTGAGACTTCGTCTCAAAGAAACAAAGGGCAAAGGACATAAACAGATGTTTCTCAAAGGAAGACACAAGAATAGCCAAAAGGTATATGAAAAAATGCTCAACATCACTAATTATCAGGACAATGTAAGTCAAAACCACAGTGAGATATCACCTTATCCCAGTCAGAATGACTGTTATCAAAGAGACAAAAAATAACAGATGCTGGTGAGGATGTGGAGAAAAGGGAACTATTATACTCTGTTGGTGGGAATGTAAATTAGTACGGCCAGTATGGAAAATAGTCTGGAGATTTCTGAAAAAAACTAAAAATAGAACTACCGTATGATCCAGCATACCCATTACTGGGTATTTATTCAAAGGAAAAGAAATTAGTTATCAAAAAGATACCTGCACCCCATGTTTATTTTGCAGCACTATTCACAGTAACGAAGATATGGAACCAACCTACATGCCCATCAATGGTCGAATGAATAAAGAAAATATATATACGCAATGAAATATAAAAAAAGAATGAAATCATGTCATTAGCAGCAACATAAATAGAATTACAGGTCATTATGTAAAGTGAAATAAGCTAGGCACAGAAAGACAAAAGTCATGTGTTATCTCTCATACATGGGAGCTCAAAAAGTCAATCTCATGGAAGTAGAGAGTAGAATGAAGGACACCAGAGGCTAGGAAGGGTGTGTAGAGGAAGGATGAGGAGAGGTTGGTTATTGAGTACAAAGATACAGTTAGATAGAAGAAATAAGTTATAGACTGGGCGCAGTGGGTCATGTAATTTTATCGCTTTGGGAGGACAAGGCGGGTGGATCACTTGAGGTCAGGAGTTCAAGACCAGCCTGGCGAAAATGGTGAAATCCCATCTCCACTAAAAATACGAAGATTAGTCAGATGTGGTGGCAGGCACCTGTAATCCCAGCTACTCAGGAGGCAGAGGCAGGAGAATTGCTTGAACCCGGGAGGCAGTTGCGTAAGCCAAGATTGCACCACTGCACTCCAGCCTGGATGATAGAATGAGACTTCATCTCAAAAAAAAAAAAAGTTCTAACATTCAATAACAGAATATGATGTCTATAGTTAACAAGAATGTACAGTATATTTCAAAATAGCTAAAGCAGAGGACTTGAAATGTTCTCAACACATAGAAATAATAAATACTCAAGGTGATGGATTCCCTAAATACTCTGACTTGGTCATTACATATTCTGTGCATGCAACAAAATATCACATGTGCCCCATAGATATGTACAAATATTATATATCAAAATGAAAAGAAGAGAGAAAATGAAAATAATAAACATTGAATGACCAAGAAGATATAATTAAAATAGATTGAACATCATAGAATAATTTTATGGACATCTTTACACCAAACGCTTATAATCTTAAATAAATAAATATTTTGAAACAGAGACATGCCAAAATTTGCTAAATAAGAAACAGAAAAAAATAGAAGTTAAAAAAAATCAAAAACCTCTCCCTCAAATATTTTTATGGATAAAGTCTAACAGATTTTGAAGAAATTAAGGAACAGAAAAATAAAGCTGCTGAATCAATTTTATGAGGTCTGTTTCCCATAGGCCTTTCCTTTGTGAACATTTATAAACACAAGTGAAATCCTAAATGAAATATTACTTAAAATAGGGTGATGTCAACAAGACGCCAGACTAGGAAGATGCAGGCTCTTCTGGCCACACAGATGATGACTTTAAAACAATGTACAAGCTGGGCACAATGACTCACCCCTGTAACCCCAGAATTTGGGGGCCTAAAATGGGCGGATCGCTTAAGCCCAAGAGTTTGAGTCCAGCCTGGGCAACATGGTGAAACCCCATCTCTTCAAAATATACAAAAGCTAGGTGGGTGTGGTGGCATGTGCCTGTAGTCCCAGCTACTTGGGAGGCTGTGATGGCAGGATCCCTTGAGCCCAGGAGGTCAATGCTGCAATGAGCCGTGATTAAGCCACTGCACTCCATCCTGGGTGACAGAATGAGACCCTGTCTAAGAAAGAAAGAAAAAAAAAAAGTACAGGACAATCTGTGTGAGAAGTTAAAGCATGTTAAACCAAGAAAGTATTCTAGAGAAAGAGGTAGAAAAACTTATGGCATTTGGCATACCTGTTTATCGTCCTTTCCCTAGATGGCATATCATGAAGGAATGGGTGGGGGGAACACTCCACACTTCTTATCAGGGCTTTTTCCTGTGGATGAAAGCAGAAAAGGGGACTTTAAATAAAATGTTTTGGCTTTTCTGGGGCTGCCCAAGGGACTGGTTTTGGTCTTGCCAGACTCTGAGCACTGATGGTATTGATACCAGAGCTTGGAGCCTATAATAAAGGAGAGCAGCTTATTATAGCCCCATTTCTACAGGCAGACACCAAAAGAAGCAGGAGATCAGAAAATATCTTGGAGGTCATAGAACTTCCAGCCCAGGTGATTAGTAAAAGTCCTCTCTTGCACAAAACTAGTACACAAAGACTGGGAGAGGTGTTTTTTTTTTTTTTTTTTTCAAATCCTGTCAAAAAAGTTACATGTCATACAAAGAAAGGGTAAAACATGGCCCAACCAAAGAAATAAATACAATTCCAGAAACAAGCCCTAAAGAAATTCAGATTTATGAACTGCCCGAAAAAGAATTTAAAATAACTGTTATAAAGATGCTCAATGAGGCCAGGCACATTGGCTCATGCCAGTAATCTAAGCACTCTGGGAGGCCGAGATGGGCAGATCACCTGAGGTCAGGAGTTCAAGACCAGCCTGACCAACATGGTAAAACTCTGTCTCTACTAAATACAACAAATTAGCCAGGTGTAGTGGCACATGCCTGTAATCCCAGCTACTTGGGAGGCTGAGGCAGGAGAACGGCTTGAACCTGGGAGGCAGAGGTTGCAGTGAGCCAAGATTGCACCATTGCACTTCAGCCTGGGCAACAAGAATGAAACTCCATCTCAAAAAAATAAATAACATGTTAAAAAATAAAGATGTTCAATGAGCTTAAAGAGAATACCAATAGATGAATCACAAAACAACACATTAACAAAATGTGAATATCAACAAAGTGATAGAAGCTATTTTAAAAAGGACGAAATTTCTGGAACTGGAAAACACAAATGAACTGAAAAATTCATTAAAGGAATTCAACAGCAAGCTTGATCAGGCAGAAGAAATAATCAGTGAACTCAAAGACAGGTCATTTGAAACCACTGAGTCAGAAAAACTAAAAGAAAAAAAGGAAGAAAAGTAAAGAAAGCTGTATTAGGCTGTTATTGCATTGCTATAAAGAAATATCTGAGACTGGATAATTTATAAAGAAAAAAGGTTTAATTGACTCACAGTTCTGCAGGCTGTATAGGAATCATGTTGTCTGTATCTGCTTCACTTCTGGGGAGACCTCAGGGAGTTTTTACTTGTGGCAGGAAGTGAAGGGGGAGCAGGTGTCTCATATGACAAAAATGGGAGCAACAGGGAGAGTAGTGGGGAGGTGCCTACACTTTCAAACAATCAGATTTCATGAGAACTTATTCACTGTCACAAGGACAGCACCAACCCATGAGGGATCTACCCCCATGACCCAAACACCTCCCACCAGGCCCACCTCTGACATTGTGAATTAAATTTCACCATTAGATTTAGAGGGGAGACATATCCAAACAACACCAAGAGCCTAAGGGAATTATGGGACACTATCAAGTGGACCAATATAAGCATTATAGAAATTACAGAAGAAGAGAGAGAGAAAGAGGCAGGGAGATTATTTGAAGAAATATTGGCTGAAAACTTCCCAAATCAAAAGAAACAATGAACATTAAGATTCAATTAACTCAAAGAACTTCAACTAGGATAAATTCAGTGAGAATCACCCCAAGACACGGTATACTCAAACTTTCTAAAATCAAAGACAAAGAAAGAATCTTGAAAACAGTCAAGAAAAGCAATTTATCACATAAAGGAGCTTCTATAAGATTATCAGATTTTCCAGCAGAAACTTTACAAGCCATAAGAGTATAAGATGATATGTTCAAAGTGTTGAGGAAAAATAATGTCAAACAAGAATACTGTATTTGGCCACACTGTTCTTCAAAGATTAAAGAGAAATTTAGACTTTCTCAGATAAACAAACACTGAGAGAGTTCATTACCTCTAGACCTTCTCTACAAGAAATGCTAACAAGAGTCCTTCAAGTTGAAATGAAAAGATTGTAGACAGCAGCACAAAGCTATATGAAAACATAAGATTCTCCATAAACGTACATATATGGACAAATATAGTAACCTGTCCTATTGTACTTTTGATGCATAGAATTTAAATAACAAAGATATTTTAAGAACTATAAATCTATGTTAATGGGTTTACAATATATAAAGATGTAACATGATATCAGTAACATAAAGTGGGGGTGGAGTGGAGCTATAAAGAAGTAGCATTTTTATATATGATTGAGGTTATTATCATTTAAAATAGAATGCTATCATTTAAATATGTTGTACATAATTGCAATGGTATTCACAAAGAAAATATCTATAAAACATACACAAAAGGAAATGAAGACATCCAAGCATATAACTACAAAAAAATCAATGAAACATAAAGGTAGGCAATAAAAAAGGAAAGGAGGAAAAAAAAGGCTACAAAACACAGAAAACAACAAAATAGCAATGGTGCAATGGTAAGTCTTTCCCTATCAGTAATTATTTTAAATGTACATGAATTAAACTTGCCAATCAAAGACACAGATTGGGTGAATGGATTAAAAGAACAAGATACAAGTATATATTGTCTAGAAGAGACTCACTTTAAGTCTACATTCATAGTCTGAAAGTGAAAGGATGCAAAAAAGATATTTCATGCAAATGGTAACCAAAAGAGAATAGGGTTGCCTATACTAGTACCAGGTGAAATAGACTTTATATCAAACACTGTTACAAGAGATGAAGAAGCATGTTGCATAATAATAAGAGGGTTGATTCCGCAAGAAAATATAACAATTATAAATATTTGTGTACTAAACCTCAGAGATCCTAAATATTTGAAGCAGACTTGGACAGAATTGAAGGGAGAAATAGAGAGAAACACAATAATAGTAGGATACTTTAATAATTCACTTTCAATAATGGATAGAACAACAAGAGAGAATGTCAATAAGGAAATAGAGGACTTGAACAACAGTATAGACCAACTGGACCTGACAGACATAGAACCCTCCACTAAATAACAGCAGAATGTGTTCTTCTCAAGTACACATGGAATGTTCTCTGGGATAGACCATATGTTAGATCACAGTACAAGTCTTAAAAAATTAAAGAATGTAGAAATCATACATAGTATCTTTTCCAATAATAATAAAATAAAACCAGAAACCAATAGCACAGGGATTAACTAAGAAAATAGAAGACTCAAAGACTAAAATCAGAGATGAAAGAAGAGACATTACAAGTGATACCAAAGAAATAAAAAGGATAATAAGAGAATACTATGAACAACTGTAAGCCAACAAATTGGAAAACCTAGAAGAAATTAATAAATTCCTAGAAACCCAACCTACCTGTAGGAGATCAGTCAGGGTATTGGGAAAAATTGTAGAAAGATGCAAACCTTCTTGGAAAGCCGGAAGGTTTTACAAAAGCTTCGGAAAAGGATTTGGCTGAAGGCAGCCAGATTCTCTTATCCAGTGCCTGAAAGCTTAGGTTAGATAACAAGGGGATATAAAGAAACTGATCTAGATAGGTTAGTTTACTTAGGCCTCGGAATCTGGCCTTTAATCATCCGCACACAGGACTACTGTTGGGCAGGGGGCAGAGGGCGACCTTGTGAATTGCCCACAAGTGTGTTGCCCCAAGGCCTTTGTCATTAAATCTATACTGAATAGAGCCACCTTGTCAGGGCCATGGCTGCTGACTCTTTACAGCACCCTCCTTGGTGTCTGTGGGCAGCCTGGCCCCCAGCCCACTTTTTCACTGGATACCTGTGTCTGAGTGCATTTGTTCATCCGTCGTTCAGCCAGGGTCTGTGGGTCAGACCCGGCAGGTGGTGCCCCGCATGAGGAACGTGCAACAGATCGCAACAGAATCCTCGAAAATGAAGGTGAAAAGACTGCACAGTCAGTAAGTCAGAAGTCATTGGTGCCCGCTCAGGATTTCCAAGTTCGAGGGAATTATTCAGGCTAGGGTTTCATCATGGGACAACAGTTATCAGCACAACAGAAGCAGTATATAAAAGTATTGAAACAGCTGCTTAAAGCTAGCAGAGACTCGGTTTTGCAGGCTCAATTAAGGGACCTAATGCAAATAGCTGTTTTCCATAACCCATGGTTCCCAGAAGAAGATATGCTAGACGTAGAGCTCTGGGAACAAGTGGGAAGATATCTTAAATAACATCATGTGCAAGGGCAATGGGTCCCAGTAACATCTCTAACATTATGGGCCTTAGATAGGGCAGCTCTGGCCCTGTTTTACACAGAAGAGCCTCAGAAGGGAAGGGAAGAGGAAACATCACCTACCTTACCTACTCCTTATCCCTCGGCCCTGCTATCACCGGGCCAAAACAACAAAGAGGAAACAGATGTTTCGCCTGAGCCCCCTCCTCCAATAAATTGGAAAAAATACAAGGGATATGCTACAGCTATGGGACCCTGTCTTAGGCAAGCAGCATTAGAAGAGGAGCTCTTAGCCTGCCCGGTAGTGCAAGATTGACAGGACAATGAAGTGCATGAACCCATTTCTTTTAATGCTTATAAAGAGCTAAGAAAAAGCACTAAAGAAAATGGAGCCGCTAGCCCATTTATGAATGGAATGATTGAAGCCATGGCAGACAACTTCCGTATGACCCCATGTGACTGGTCAGTGCTAGCTAAAACAAGTTTGGAGCCCAGCCATTACCTCCTCTGGAGGGCAGAATATGATGAGTTGTGCGAACAACAAGCCAACCAGAATAAGGTGGCCAGGCAAGACATAACAGCTGCTATGCTCCAGGGGAGGGCCCCCATGCCGATGTACAACAACAACTAATTTTGATCCCCAGGTCTATCCACAGGTGTCTTTGCACACTCTCAGGGCATAGGACTGAATTCCTGGAAGCAGAGTTCAACAGGGATCTTTTATAAATGTTCAATGAGGGCCACAGGAGCCATTTGTTGAGTCTATCAGTCAGTTAACCCAGGCAATTAAGAGACAAATTAGTCAGGCCCAGGCCGCTGATATATTATTGTTGCAATTGTTTTATGAAAACGCTAATGTGGATTGCCAACAAGCATTTCAGGCAATCAGAGGAAAGGCAGCCACAGTCAGGGAACTTATACGAGCATGTCAATTGGTGGGGACTGAAACACAGAAAGCCAAAATATTAGCTGTAGCATTAAGGCCTCCTAAAGTGAAAAGGGAGAGAGACCCAAATTGTTTTCTATGCAGAGAGCCAGGTCATATGAAGAAGGAATGCCCCAATAATAGAGACCAAGGTAACTCAGGAAAATAACTCACTTCTACATGCCCCGATGTAAAAAGGGAAAACACTGGGCAAATTAATTCAGGTCCAAATTTGATAAAAACAGCAACCCCACAAGTAACCAGGTGGGAAACTTCATGAGGGGCCGGCCCCAGGCCCCACTTCAAACTGGGGCAATGCTAGCGGCTTTCCTCGGTCAGATGGAAGGCCCACAGTCCTCTCTTTCAGAGCAGCCACCACTGGGAGCACAGGACTGGACTTACTCTGCCCCAACAGATTAGTGCTAAAAGGAGAAGACCCTAAAAAGGTTGCAGCTGGGATCTGGGGCCCACTGCCTCTGGGAACAGTGTGATTAGTCCCAGGGCGATCAAGCCTATCCAGTAAAGGAATTAATGTGCTCACCAGGGTAATTGATAGTGATTATCAAGGTGAGATATTAGTTATGATGGAATGTAAAGGTCTGTATATTCTTCCTCCTGGATCAAAGATCGCTCAGTTACTGCTTTTACCATATTGGGTCCCCAGTGCTCACGGAAAGGAAAGGGGAAAGGGAAGTTTTGGAAGCATAGGAGCCACAGGAGTATATTGGAATCAATTAATCACTGATCAGAGACCCATGATCACCTTAAAAATTGGAAATAAGAATGTCACTGACTTATTGGACACGGGAGCAGATATTCCAATCATTAGTGATCAAAACTGGCCAGAAACTTGGCCTTGGGTCACTCAGAAACAAAAAATTGTCAACATCGGGGAAGTGCGCACAGCCAAGCAGAGCACACGCCCCCCAACCTGTTGGATTCAGAGGGAAGAAAGGCAGTTATACAACCTCTAATCATGCCTATCCCTGTTAATCTTTGGGGACAGGACCTATTAGCCCAATGTGGGGGGTCACTCTGCAGACCCCTTTCTAATAATGGCCACTGTTATTATCCTTCCCCTACCCCGGCGTGGCTCTCTCGAGATCCACTTTGGGTAGAACAGTGGCCCTTAAAGGGAGAGATTACAAAGACCCCATGAATTAGTTGAGGAGCAATTAAAAGCCAGCCATATAGAACCATCAAACAGCCCTTGGAATTCACCCATTTTCGTCATTCCCAAAAAGTCTGGTATATGGAGACTTTTGCATGACTTACGTGCTATCAATGCTAATTTGCAACCTATGGGGCCCCTTCAACAGGGGCTCCCCTCCCCCACAGCGATTCCTCAAGATTGGCCTATAATCGTTATTGACTGAAAAGACTGTTTTTATACTATTCCCCTTGCAAAACAGGACAGAGAAAAAATTGCATTTACAATACCAGCTATCAATAATGAAAGGCCAGCTTGCCAATTTCATTGGAACGTGCTTCCTCAAAGAATGCTGAACAGTCCTACCATGTGTCAGTATCATATAAATCAGGCTTTGCTCCTCAGTGGAAAATAATTTCCTAATTGCAAGATTATTCATTTTATGGATGATATTTCACTAGCAACCACAATGGAGCCAGTACTTTTAAAGTTACATGGCTTGCTCGTAAAGAATACACAGTTAGGAGATTTAATCATAGCATCTGAAAAAGCACAAATATCCTCTCCTTGGAAATATCTTGGGTACATACTAACTTCCTAGTCAGTAAGAACTCAAAAGGTTAAATTAAATACTAGAAACTTACGTACCTTAAATGATTATTAGAATTACTAGACGATATTAACTGGCTATGCCCCACCTTAGGCATAACTACTGATAAGTTACAGAACCTGTTTTCTATCTTAAAAGGCAGTGCTGCCCTAGACTCTCCTAGGTGTTTAACTCCTGCAGCACAAAGGGAAATTGAAGAGATCAAGCAAGCTACTTCTCAAAGGCAACTAGATCGCATAGATTCACAGTATTCAGTTCGATTGTTTGTTTTTCCTACCAAACACTCCCCTACAGGGTTAATAGGAGAGATGGCCCCAGAGCTACACTTTCTAGAATTAGTTTTTTGCTCACACACCAGGACTAAAACACTCTCTCCCTGTATCCAGCTAGTTAGTAAAGTCATCTATTCAGGCTGCAGATGATGCAATCTATTACTAGGTTATGACACTGGTATCATCAGAATTCCTTTAAGTAAAAAGCAATTCAAAGCAGTATTGCCCTCATCTGTGGACCTGCAAATAACACTCTCTGATTATACAGGCCATATAGAGCATACCCTTCCTGCTGATAAACTACTTCAGTTCTTATCTCATACTTCTGTGGTTTTGCCTACTAAAATAGTTCAATCCTTCATACCTAACACTTTAACATTGTTTACTGATGGCTCTGGTAAACATGGAAAAGTGGCTGTCTGGTGGAGACCACGTAATTCCCTCACTCATTCTGGATTTACTAGCACTCAAAGAGCTGAGGTTGGAGCCTTAATATTGGCCTTGGAAACTTTTTCCGCTCACCCCATCAATATTATTAGTGACTCTGCTTACTGTTTATTTATTGCAGAACCTTGAGACAGCCCTCATTAAATCCACTCTGGAGCCCACCCTGTGTACACTTTTTCTCTGACTTCAGCAATTGCTAGATCAACGTACACATTCTATTTTTATTACACACATTCACACCCACAGCTCACTCCTGGCCCATTGGCTTATGGCAATGATCAAGCAGACCTACAGGTTATGACATCACTGCTTGACCAAGCCACCCAATAGCATCAATTTTTCCACCAAAATTGGAGAAACTTATCTAAACAATTTCAACTTACCCAGAGACTAGCTAAACAAATTATCCTACAATGCCCAGATTGCCAGCTCACGGGCACATCCCTCCTTCTACAGGTGTTAACCATAGAGGACCAGAACCTAATCAGTTATGGCAAACAGATGTTACACACATCTCTGAATTTGGGAAACTTAGATATGTACATGTATCCATTGATACCAATTTTCATTTAATTAGTGCTCATGCTCTCCTGGAGAGTCTACCCGATATGTCATTAAACATCTTAACTTTTGCATTTATGGGGCGGCCCACAAAAACTAAAACTGGTAATGGTCTGGCTTATGCCAGCTCACAATTTCAACAATTTTGTCACATGTGGAACATCCAACATTCCACAGGCATCCCATATAACCCCCAAGGACAGGCCATAGTTGAACATACCCATTCCACCCTTAAAAATATGCTCAGAAAACAAAAAAGGGGGAATATGAGTAAGGACCCTGCAACACTATTGGCACAAGCCTTATTTTTTATTTATTTATTTATTTATTTTGAGACGGAGTCTCACTCAGTCGCCCAGGCTGGAGTGCAGTGTTGCGATCTTGGCTCACTGCAAGCTCCGCCTCCTGGGTTCATGCCATTCTCCTGCCTCAGCCTCCTGAGTAGCTGGGACTACAGGCGCCCGCCACCATGCCAGGCTAATTTTTTGTATTTTTAGTGGAGATGGGGTTTCACCGTGTTAGCCAGGACGGTCTCGATCTCCTGACCTCGTGATCCACCCGCATCGTCCTCCCAAAGTGCTGGGATTACAGGCATGAGCCACTGTGCCCGGCCAGCACAA